>NC_000014.9:25861713-27111713 GCF_000001405.40 Homo sapiens
TTTATTAGAGAGCTGAAGAGGGTATAGCAGACATTACATTTCTATAAAATATAAGCCTGGCAACATTCAGATCTGTTTTAAAATTAATAGAGCTTCAATCTTTTTTATTTTGGCAGTAAATTGAGTTGTGATGCCTGCTAACTCTGTCTTCATTCTGATTTAGTAAGCATTTATTAAGAACAGTTCTGTATTTCTCTAACTGCATCACCAAAGCTTCTTTCTGTCCCCTGGACACTAAATTAAGAGGGATTGCAGCAAAGCTAAATAAATAGATCCTTAATTTTCCCAAGCAACACACATAGAAACACACACACAGACACACAGACACACACACACACACACACACACACACACACACACACACACACACATCTATCTATCCATCTATCTAGCTATAAAGTTAGGTGTTGAGCATTGGAAGTGGAGGGAAGATGGTTTATGTGTAGGTTTAGTTATCAAAATCCACAGCATATAGGCTGACAGCTTTTGAAATACATAAACTGTTTCTCCCTCTCCTGTTTCCATAGCAACAGAGTGCACAAAGCCTTAGTTTTTGCACATAGAGAAAAAATTGGGAATGGAGTCTGGAATTGTCTGGAACAAAAGAAGTACACAGAAAATGGAAAACGAAGCATCTGTAGTCTCGAGAGCCTCACATTTCTTCACCGCTCCTTGATGTTATTATTCAAAATATGTATTTGAAGGCATGTTGGGGTAGCTTTGAAGAGTTTGGTCAGGATCTGAAAGGTTAGGGCATCCGTGCCCACCTTTGACAAGCGAGAAGAGCCAGCACAAATAACTCACTGTCGTCTTTGTCTTGAGCAGTTGCATTATGACTTCTTCTTTTCAGGTATTCTTCATGATCTATTGTCCCTTTACCACACTGCAGGGTGATTATTAAGATCTTTGCACTTTCTTTTTTTTCCACCCATTTGATTACTTTAAAGAGCCAATGATAACGTCCTAAATTCAATAAATGGAGGATGTGACATATTCTTTAAGCAAGAGGGTCACAAAGTGAGATATAATGATCAGCCAAGCAGCCAAAATCCAAAGCAGGGCTTCCCTGGTTGGGCAAGGGTTTAAAGGGCTGTATCAACCTTGTATGGATATATCTCATTTATTCCCATATAATCTACATGCATCTGTCTGGAGTTCTCTGTGTCCTTCATATTGATTCATAACAATTTCTCTGAGTTTGACTTAAATTTCTCTTCCCACAGGGCTAGATATATATGTGGAAAAATTTACCCAATGCAGTAAATATTTTACCAAACTATCCTTTCTGCAGATGCAAGAAAGTAAACTACAATTCAGTGTGGAATATCAGCTTTCTTTAAAACAAACCAGAACATTTTTTTTTTTTTAATGGAGAACGTAAAACTAAATGACTCTCTTATAGGTAGCCCAGTAGACATTAAAAGGAAGTGAGCATTGCCAGTTCCTAACATCTCCTCACCAGTCTGGGAGCACTGAAAGTGGTGTAGTGGTGTACTTCATAAGCCCCTTACTAATTAGTTGATGGCTATTTTGGTAGACAACAAATGTGCATCATATTCTCCCTCACCACCCCCTTAGTAGCCAAGAATAAACAATTGTTGCCTGTCCAGTTGGGGATATTTCCTGAAGCAGAGTCATCATGACCAGGTATTTGAATCGGTTTTGCTTGAGTACTCCTGGAGCAAGAAGTTAATTGCTGATCTTCTCTAGGGTAAGGATGCAGATAATACTGCATTTGGCAAGTTTAACGAATCTTTCTGTGGCTCTTGGCAGTTTGTACAGAATTCTTAAAGGGATTTTTCTAAATGCAGGACATGCCCTAAATATATAATGGCATGATAAACTGGATTAGCTCAGATGAAGCCATTACTGTCTATTTGTAAATAATAAAGCCTTTAAAGAAGCATAGGAACGAAACCATACTTAACCAATAGACTACAATGGCTCCTAAGGGGCTTTTTGGTTTGATTGGGGAAATAATAAAACATGTTTTCCAAAGTTGCCAAAACATATTGACCCACTGGTCCATAAGGAAAATTACTAGGTTAAAAACAAACTTTTATTTAAAAATTAAAAAAAATAAACCAAAATACAAATTCTACTTAACCAGCAGCCCTTAGAAAAGGAGCTTTAGAAATTTTCCACTTTTTAGTACTGGAGACATACTACTGTTTGGATAACATGGGTTTTTGCTAGAGATGAGAGTAACCTATAGTAGTCTGTCTTCAAATAGTGAACGTCCTCCTCTGGTACTTCTGTCTGTTTCTCTTGACATAAGTTAATATGAACTGAGAGAGAACTTGTTTTCTTAGCCTCTTCCTTTTCTATCCTTGAAATCTTGTTTTATCTCCACTACTAAAAGCAAGACCAAAGGACTCCTCCATGTGAGTCGAGCTGATCCCACAGACTAAGGACACACCTGGCCCACATTCTTTGAGACACTTAGAAGAGGCGAAACTCAGGGGTCAGTTGTCCTGGTATTGTTGGTGTCTCACAAATCAATAGTGGTCCTATGGCAGTATCTATTTACCCTATGACAGGCTGTCAGAGACATGCCCCTGTGAGGAAGGAATACATCTATTAGGTTGGTGCAAAAGTAATCACGGTTTTTGCCATTACTTTTGCACCAACCTAACAGAATTCTTTCATGTGGCCCAGATCCCACCCTGTCATGACTGACCCTGGTGACAGTCCTCTCGTTTCTGACTGTATGAATATCGTCTCTCTTCTCTTTAATCTTCAGTATTTAAAACCTCTTTTTCAGGTCCCTAAATCATGCCTTCTAAAATCATTTCTGGCTTTTCTATGCATTCTTTAGCAATTTTAAAATTGTTCACTTCCAAGGGCCTGTGTCATTCTCTCCTTGTCATCACGTGCTCCTCTCATTCTTCTCTTTTCCCCCATTCTTTTTAACCTCTCTCACAGGCTCAGTGAAGTGGCTGAAAATTACTTGTGCTGAAAATCCAGAAGGTATTACTGCACTGTGGATTCATTTGCAGGCAGTTCAGCTGGAAAATCTGAAAATTGTGTTACTGTTTTTCTCTGATTCTTACCACTGGATATAGCATTCCCATAGGCTTTCTTAGCATTTTTTCCCCTTTCCCTATTCCTATTTCAGGAGCTTCTATGAAAGCGTATCTCAAACCTCCTGGAAAAGTTAGCTGTTCCTAAAAGTCCCTCATAGTTCCTTCTTGAAAGTTACACTAAAATTTACCAATGTGGTCAATTTGCCTCTGTATCTGCTTCTGGCTGAATACCTTTAGGTAGGGCTATCTGTAATATGACCCATACAACATTCCCTCAACCTCCTAGAAATACAACCCCCTTTCCAATAAAAATCTTCATAGAAACCCAAATGTTGTAGCCTACACTGCGGAGACTGGGGAAGGCACTAGGAACACTATCTCCTTGGTCTCCTCATAGCCTCACCAGCAGTGCTCCTTAAACACCCACCTTGAGGCCTAGGTCTTCTAGAACAATGTTTGTTTGAAAAGCATTGCTGTAAACTGTAAGTGATCAGCATTAGTCCAGTATTAATTAAAGTTAGGATTACATAAATCAAATCCTATTATCAGTTACTTCCTAAATCACACCTGCTGCCATACTGCTCTTAGCAGTTCTGATCTTGGCCCTCCCACCATGCCTTGATGAGTGATGTAAGACGGCTTCTACTGACCCACTTCCAGGTGATTATGTGGGTCCACAAAGAAGTCCCTCTCACAGCCATCATGAAACAGCAGCCACTGGTTGCCACATTTTCAGTTATCACATTTGTAGAACATTCAACAAATGATATATTAAAGACTTTAATGCTAAATATAGTTTTCAAATTGCCACTAGGAATTTATTATGTGGGGAAAAAGCTATCTTATCCAATTATAAAAATAGCCATAATTTCATCTTCTCACTTGATATTATCCACGATGGCACTCTTTCTAAACCCAGGGGACAGTCAGAGAAAGCGCAGGTAGTGAAAGAAAAAAATGTACAATAAAATCAAGATATCTATGTGGATACATTTATTTTCTGGCTTCAGAGTCTCATTTCTTTCCCTTGTTATTTGTATTGCTTAATTATCATACAGTGAAATTGACTTTTTGACGTATAGTGTTATGAACTTTAACACCCGTATACAGTCATGCAATCACCACCAGAATCAGGACGCAGAGCAATTCCATCATTCCAAATACTTCCTCCGTAATACATCTTTATTTTACCTTCATTTCTGAAACATAATTGTGGGTTTACAGTTGTTTTCTGTCAGTGTTTTAAGAATATTTGCCACTTTCTTCTCATCTCCATGATTTCTGGTGAGAAGTTCATTGTCAGTTGAACATTGTTCCCCTACAAGTAATTGATCGTTTTTCTCTGGCTACATTCAAAATTAGTATTTTTTTTTCTGTCTTTAGTTTTCAAGAGTTTCATTATTATATTTCCATGAATTTCTTTGAGTTTACCCTGATTGGTATTTGATGAACTTTCCCAAACTGTATACTTACATCTTTAAACATAGTTTTCAGCCTATATATATATATATATATATATATATATATATAGCTACACTCTTCTTTATATATATCTATCTTTATATATAATATATGAAGATATATTATGTATATCTTATCTTTATATATAATATATATATAAGATATATATCTATCTCATATATAATATATATAAAATATATATCTCATATATAATATATATAAAATATATATCTCATATATAATATATATAAAATATATATCTCATATATATTATATATATAAAATATATATCTCATATATATTATATATATAAAATATATATCTCATATATATTATATATATAAAATATATATCTCATATATATTATATATATATAATATATATCTCATATATATTATATATATAAAATATATATCTCATATATATTATATATATAAAATATATATCTCATATATATTATATATAAAATACATATCTCATATATATTATATATATAAAATACATATCTCTTATATATTATATATATAAAATACATATCTCATATATATTATACATATAAAATACATATCTCTTATATATTATACATATAAAATACATATCTCTTATATATTATATATATAAAATACATATCTCATATATTATATATATAAAATACATATCTCATATATTATATATATAAAATACATATCTCTTATATATTATATATATAAAATACATATCTCATATATTATATATATAAAATACATATCTCATATATTATATATATAAAATACATATCTCTTATATATTATATATATAAAATACATATCTCTTATATATTATATATATATAATACATATCTCTTATATATTATATATATAAAATACATATCTCTTATATATTATATATATAAAATACATATCTCTTATATATTATATATATAAAATACATATCTCTTATATATTATATATATAAAATACATATCTCATATTATATATATAAAATACATATCTCTCATATATTATATATAGAAAATACATATCTCTCATATATTATATATAGAAAATACATATCTCTCATATATTATATATAGAAAATACATATCTCTCATATATTATATATAGAAAATACATATCTCTCATATATTATATATAGAAAATACATATCTCTCATATATTATATATAGAAAATACATATCTCTCATATATTATATATAGAAAATACATATCTCTTATATATTATATATAGAAAATACATATCTCTTATATATTATATATAGAAAATACATATCTCTTATATATTATATATAGAAAATACGTATCTCTTATATATTATATATAGAAAATACGTATCTCTTATATATTATATATAGAAAATACGTATCTCTTATATATTATATATAGAAAATACGTATCTCTTATATATTATATATAGAAAATACGTATCTCTTATATATTATATATAGAAAATACGTATCTCTTATATATTATATATAGAAAATACGTATCTCTTATATATTATATATAGAAAATACGTATCTCTTATATATTATATATAGAAAATACGTATCTCTTATATATTATATATAGAAAATACGTATCTCTTATATATTATATATAGAAAATACGTATCTCTTATATATTATATATAGAAAATATATATCTCATATATTATATATAGAAAATATGTATCTCATATATTATATATAGAAAATATGTATCTCTTATATATTATATATAGAAAATATGTATCTCTTATATATTATATATAGAAAATATATATCTCTTATATATTATATAAATTTATATTATATCTTTTTATATATATATCTTCATTATATATATATATATATAGTGCTACACTCTTCTTCCCTTCCTTCAAGACTCTGATGACACAAATATTAGACCTCTTGTACTGTCGCACAGGTCTTAAGGATCAACTCTTTTAAAAAACTCATTTACTCTCTGTTATTCATACTGGATAATTTATATTAATCATTCAGGTTCACTCAAGTTGAGATTCAAATCTATCTCCAATCTACTGTTGAGCCCAACCAGCGAGATTTTTATTTTATTTCTTGTATTTTCCATTCCATAATTTGTATTTGATGAGATGGAAATAGAAATTATTTCCTCCTTATTTGCTAGATTATTTTTCCTTTCACTATTAGCGTGCTTTTTATTACTTATTAGAGTATTTATGTAATGACTACTTCAAAGTATTTGTCAGATAATTCCAACACCTGTGTTTTCTTGGCATTGTTGATTGTTTGCCTTTTCTCATGAGAGTCAAGGTTTTCCTTGTCTTCTCATATCTTTAGCAATATTGTACACTGAACATTTTAAATATGAGAATGTCAACCTCGACCTTATTTGAATATTAATATTTTTATTTCAGTAAGCGATTTACATGGTTAGGTTCATTCTGCAAGTCCCAACCAACTTCTGTGAGCTGTGGTTCCTATGGTAGTTATGTTTTCAAAGCCTTTGTGGTGCTATTCATACCCACCTCACATATGCACCACTGTGGGTAGTGATCTATTTCCATTTCAAAAGGCTTTGGTATGCTGATTCGACCCATACATGCCAGCTTGAGTGAACCCAGGTATTTCTAAGAAATTTTATTGGGTAGCTTTCCTGAGGTTCTTTCTGTGCTATGTCTCTGTTACTTTCCAGTTCCCTGGGACTTCCCTTTCTGGTTGTCCAGTCAGAAAGCAGCTGAGTTTTAGTTGCTTTATTTTGAATTTCTGTGACTAATCTGGGAGCCAAAAGGTAGAAGGGCAAAGAGAAAAAAAGGCACCAAGGCTTGATGCCACTCTTTCAGGATCACAACTCCACCAATTAAGAGTGGACAATTATCCTCCTTTTGCTTTCTGTGGCCTCCTCTTGCATTGTGGCGTGTTCCACTGCCGTGGTATGACTGCTTGTAGGATAAGGAACAAGGAAATAGTGGTAAGAAAAATACAACACGGAAGTCTACACTCTCTCTGAGAATGAGAAGCTCCCTTTTTGATTCCCTGAGCCAAAACTAGTAAGCTTCTCCTGGAGCTCTCTGTTCTTTCTAATGTCTACTTTAAGGTTTCAGACTGCATTACATTCAGGCTAGGAGATACTGGAGAAGAAAAATGATAAATTCACCACCACTTTGGTGGTACTTTTAATTCTTGTCTTCTTCCCCAATCTGCTTACTACTATTTTCTTTTCAGGATTCTCAAAGAGCTGCTGCATGCCTTCTGTTCACATATTATAGTTGCATTCAGTAGGAGAGACCAGACATCTTTTGCTGAAGCAGAACTCCATCATTTCCTAAACGTGGGAAATCTCCAAACAGGGCTATCACGTATAATTGTACGAAGGCACTTTGCCCTCCTTCATGGGGATTTTATCACATCAACTATGCTGTGAATGGCATCTTTCTGGAATTAAGTAGTAGATAAGCTCTAACAGCTACACAAAGGAATCTCCTTACTTCTATCCATGTTTTCTTCTCTCTCTTTACATACCTTCCCTCAGTGATCATATACAGTTTTATAATGCACCTTTGAAGTTATGCACCTGAATCTCAGATTTATTGGGTCTAGCTCCATCCTTACAGTGAGCTCTGATCCCACATTTTCAATCACCTGATGAATATTTGTACCTGGATACTTCACTTTTACTTTTACATACAACAGGTGAAAGACAAACCTTGTCATCTTTCCCATAATTGCTTTTCCTGACTTCGCCATTTCTTACTGGAGCATAATTATTCTTTTACTATCTATCAAGCTGAAAGTCATATTTGACTTATTTTCCCTCATTCAGCAAATATAACCAGTCAAGTACTATTCATTTTCCCTTTTGAATTTTCTAATTCACCTGATCACTTCTATTTTCTGAATATTGGTCCAAGTCCTTTATATGCTGAGTCAAGATAATAACAGTAGACACTATTACTAATATTATTGCTATCCCTATTCACGATCACCGTCATCACCACCACCATCCTTATCATTCATTGGATATCTGTTACAATCCTTTTCTAAATACATTGGGTATATGTGCTAACCACAATCTTGGAAGGTAGGATAAGTGAAACACAATTCCATTTGTAGCTGTCCGGTGCATGTAATGCATAAATCTTCCTAAGTGGAGAATGAAGGCTAAAACAAAGCCAGGATTATACTCCTCTTTCCTCACATGCAAATAATGTTGCAAAATCTACTCAGAGACCTAGAGGAAAGTTTTTCTGTTTTTTTTTTTGTTGTTGTTGTTTTGTTTTTTGTTTTTTTGTTTTGTTTTGTTTTTGTTTTTGGCACAAAGGTGCTGTCTGCTTCCCAAGCAATGTAGTGTGCTCCTGGGCTTCCCCAGCCCTATGGGGTTCCTTTTTCTAATTCACATAAAGATATGTTTATATTGATGGTAGATTACACAGAAAGGACAGGAGACACTTTCTCAGGGCAATATTAATAGTCAAGTTATTGAGATACATTTGGAATTCTGGTCTGTCTCTTATATAATCCCCTTAGATCTGGGTTCCCATAAAACCCTTTAGCATATTAACATCAGAATAATCATCTTAACCTGTTATTTAAATTGTGTAATTTTGCAACTCCAAGACCTTCACTGACTTCCTCTTCCCCATAAGATGAAGTTTAGATACCTTGGCTTGAAACTTAGAACACGTGATGGTTTGATTTCGGCAAAACCTTTTGATTTTTTTTTTTTTTTTTTTTTTTTTTAGACAGACAGAGTCTTGCTCTGTCGCCCAGGCTGGACTGTGTTGGTGCAATATGGGCTCACTGCAACTTCTGCCTCCCGGGTTCCAGTGATTCTCCTGCCTCAGCCTTCCAAGTAGCTGGGATTACAGGCACCAGCCACCATGTCCAGCTAATTTTTTATTTTTTTTTTTTTAGTGGAGATGGGGTTTTGACATGTTGGCCAGGCTGGTCTTGAACTCCTGACCTCAGGTGATCTGCCTGCCTTGGACTCCCAAAGTGCTGAGATTATAGCCGTGAGCCACTGCACCCAGCCTGGTATTTTTTTTCAACTTAATATTTTGTTCTAAATAGAAGAATCTAGTATTCCCAGATATGACATAATTGTTTGCTTTATTGTTGCCTTTGCTTTTATTTTCTGTATCAGAAAGTCTTCCCTCTCCATTCTTACCAACTGTACCTGTTCTTATCCTCCAGGCTGCCTTTCCATTAAGCCATTCCTAACTACCCTACCAGGGTAATCCTCTCTGGTCTTCCATCAGATTCTTTGTGCTTCTCTTATATTTATATCATTTGCTGTCATGTTGCTTTATCTATGACTAAGATTTATGATCTCCTTTCTGGGAGATGCAACTTGAGTTTACATTAACATGTATCTTTGAATTCCTATTACACCCAGTGTTGTACTGGCTATATAGTAGGTGTCCATAAAGATCCTCTGAATAAAGAACTCTATTACATTGAAATATCAAAAAATGGATGGGGTGCAGTGTAAAGGCCCTCAAAATGCCATCTGCACGTTTCAAAGATAGTTGTCAACTACATTTCCTCACAGGTTGCTGTGTGTAGACTTAATAGAACCCCGACTTAGGCATAAGTTCTTTAAATCACCTGCTTCAGTTCTGAGAATGGGAACAGGTTCACATATCCATAGTCTAGTGGACATAAAATTGTAAGTCCTAAAAAATTGCCGAAACCTTGGTTTCCATTTTCCCTGAGGATTATTTTTGTAGGTATTATCTCTATAGGAGTTTTGGAACTGTTTCTTTGACATCAGAAAAATTGTAAAAGGGTAAAAATTAAATATATCCAGTCAAGCAATTACTGTGTTTATATAATATCAACTGCTAGCTTGATGAATTATCTGTCATTTCTTCTATACCTGTTCCCTAAAAGCACACATGCAATGTGAATTGATTGAAAAAGTTTATGTAATAAAAATAGTGCATAGTAAATATAAAAAATTAAATATATAAAAGTATGTAAAATTATCTTAAAGATTATTTTTACTACTTGGGGCATTTTATCCTAATAAGATAAATTCATATTATATATTAAGTTTCTGTCTTTTTATCTCTCTAAATTTTATAGTCATTCAGTCATATGTGATATTTTATACATTTAACCATATGTATCATATTCTATACTGGAGCATGTGTGTTAACCTTCCACCACGAGTGGCTATTTGGTTAGTTTTTATATTTTTGGTAATAGTATGTTAAACATATTTATATAAAAATATTTTTCCAAATCTCTGATCAAGGCAGTTCTTGTAGTGATCCTATAAGGTCAAAGTATATATACATATTTGGGAATCCACTGCATACTAAGGCTCTTCTGTTTCACCAGATTTGCTCTGGAGGATAGCTGCTTTGTTTTTGTCCACTGAAATGTAAGTTTGAAACGACAAGTTTTTCTGAATAAAGTTTCACCCTCGCACTCCATTATATTAATGTACCGTATTTTATTTAGCAGTGTGTCTTAGTCCATTTCCTGTTGCTCATAACAGAATACCTGAAACTAATTTTTAAGAAACAAAATGTATTTCTTTCATTTATGGTGGCTGAAAAGTCCAAGGTCAAGGAGTTGCATCTGGTGAGAGCCTTCTTGCTGGTGGGACTCTGCTGAATTCCAAGGCATTATAGGGCATCATGGAGCGAGAGGGCTGAGTGTGCTAGCTCAGGTCTCTCTTCCTCTTTATATAATTCACCAGTCCCATTTCCATAATAACCCATTAATTCATCAGCTCATGAATAGGTTAATTAATTCATGAGGGTGTAACCCAATCACCTTTTAAAGGCCCCACTTCTTAATACTACCACATTGGGGATTAAATTTCAACATGAATTTTGGAGGTGCCAAACATTCAGATCATAACATAATACTACTATTTTGGTCATTTGGGGTGTTGCAAAGTTTATTATAATCAATACTACTTCTGTAATAGTCATTTTGATGCATAAACTATTTTTAGCACATTATTTTATTTTTTAAATAGATTCCCAGAAGTGAAGTTATTGAGTTTAACAGCAAACACTTTTTAGGGTTCTTAACACGTATATCTAGAAACCAAGTACCACATATATCTAGAAACCAAGTACCATTTTATTCTCTCGCTACCAGTATATCATAGGTGTACCTTCCCCATCGCTAAGCATTGTAGTGAATAAACAATAATATTATTAAGTTTACCAATATGACAGGATGTTTTTTAATTTTGCATTTTAAATAATAAGGGACTGAGTCTTTTTCAAACACTTATGGCCCATAATTCTTCTAGAATGATTATGTGATTTTAATAATTGATACATACAGCCCAATGTTTTATTTCTGGCAGTGAATTTGATTCTCAAATTAGTTTACATTGACTCAGAGGAGGGCCTTGAAATAATACATTAATAACTAAGATTAATCACATAGCACTTCATAACTTATGCGCCATTTTAATGCATTATGTATATCATTTGATCTTTCAAGAATTCTAGGAGCAATAAAATTAAGATAATTCTCCTGTGTAGGTGAGGACACTTTTGAAGCATTGTTCACGTCAAGGCAGAGCCACATGGGGGCATTTATACATATCTAATAGCACACAGATAAATTCAAACCTTATGACCCATAGGCTGGCAATCTTTGTTCAGTCTATAGTAGAACCATTCAATAGCTGGTCCCCAGAAAAGCAGCACTGGTATCACTGAGAAGCTTTATTTATTTTTTTTAGATAGTCTTGCTCTGTCGCTCAGGCTGGAGTGCAGTGGCATGATCTTGACTCACTGCAACCTCGCCTCCTGGGTTCAAGCAATTCTCCTGCCTTGGCCTCCCAGGTAGCTGGGACTACAGGTGCCTGTCACCACCCCCAGCTAATTAATTTTTTGTATTTTTTAGTAGAGACGGGGTTTTGCCATGTTGGCTGGGCTGGTCTCGAACTCCTGGTCTCAAGTGATCCACCTGCCTCGGCCTCCCAAAGTGCTGAGATTACAAGCATGAGCCACTGCACTCGGCCTACCGAGGAACCTTTTAGACCTTTTTAGAGCTTCAGGCCAGGGTCTTTGGCCCAGGTGTTTTCTATGCACACTAATGTCTGAAATACTACCTTAGACTAACAGAGTATATGTAAAATCAAGCGTGGATAACTTTCCTACAAAATTTGTATGTAATACCAACAAGGAAGAAATAAATGATGAGTTTGAAGATTCTTCAAATAATAAATAAACTACTAGTGGAAATTTATAGGAATTAAATTTTTTTAAAGAAGGAAATTATAGATTAATAAGTGTTCTTTAATATCCATCAATTAGTCTTTTTCTACAGACAAATGTGGATATTAACCAGGAGCTCTGCCTACACTTAGACATTTTCATGGGTCTAGAAGAAATATTTTTCTTTCTATGCAAAGGAATCATTGGTGGAGGTTTTTCAAAATGCAGAGATAACTTTGCTAGGCTTCCACTTTAAGTAAGTGCCTCAGGCCCCAGACACAAACACAGAACAATAGCATCTATGGCTGTTTGCATTTCCAGTCAGTAACACAGAGTCCCAGCCTCAGGATTTACCAGCCATTAATAAAAACAGTCCTAGAAGGAAGACATAATGCATCTTATCAATCAAGAAATGAGGTGCTTTATTTGAGAATGTGCTATGAAATACAGTAGTTTCCCCTATCTGGAGTTTTCCTTTTTTGCAGTTTCAGTTACTTGTAGTAACATAATTTTAGAGGGGGAGATCACATTCACAAAACTTTAATGATAGTATATTGTTATAGTGGTTCCATTTTATTATTAGTTGCCATTAATGTCTTATTATACCTTATAAACTTTGTGATAGGGATGTATGTAAAGGAACAAAAATATATAATATTTATATAAGGTTTAGTGTAATCCAGTTTCAGGCATCCACTGGGGGTCTTTGGATATATCCCCACATAGATAAGAGGTGATGACTCTTTTTTGGGATGTTGGTCATCTCTGCTAATGTGTCAGGATCTCTTTTCTTACAAATAAACAGTTTGATGACTAAGTTATAGGGCATTCCCAGGCTCGATATTCTGTTGTTTTCCCTTCTAAAGAAAATGAGCGCCCTAGATGACAGGGCCTGGGTTGGAAGGAATGAAGTAGCCAGTGGACAAAGGGAATACGATTTAAGGAGTAGAGGAAACAAAGATAAATTTTGTTTGAGTTATAACTTTGCCTAGAACCAGACCTCAATTTTGAGCAATAGGTTATAATGTGCCATCAACTCTGGGCACTATATTTTTAATTACGAAGCTTGTCACTTTTATATATAGTCATTTTGAGATTCTTTAATGTACATTTGATGTTTCTCCAAATATAGGAATAGTGGAGTCTCCCATTTTGTGAAGAAATGTTTTATTTTTTGTTCCTGAAGGACATTATCTGCTTAAATGTGTTCTGTTCCTGAAGGACATTATCTGCTTAAATGTGTTCTCTTTGGCATTCAAACAGAAGTGCTTGATATTCTTACATCCTGTGCATATGAATCTAACTAACATGTCTCAAGAGACCAGTACATAGGAATTTCTTGTCAGCAAAACTGCGCCTTGTGCGATTCTGGTAGATTTATGGCTGCACAGTCCCCTGGTCAAATTTGGCTTATTATTCTGAATCCATTTTTGTAATAATGATGCTGGTAATGCTGTAATATATTATTTTAATAGCATAATACATTGAACTCTAATTTCTACAGCATAAATACATTATTCAGCCACTGCATTGTGTGCAAACAAGGGAAGAGGAAACTAAAAAGATGTCTCACTAAAAATTTCTATAATTGTCAGTTATGTAAAAATTTATAAAAGTTGATTGGACTATTACATAATTTTTATATGTAATAGCTTTCCAATCAGAAATAAAAAGTTCCTGATTTTTATAATATTGTCCACACTAGTTTTTGAATTGCTATTTTGGGCAAACCATAACCAAAAAGAACAAGAGTAAGACTAACTACAGGACATGGCAAGTAGAATATACCTTCTCTGGGATTAGAAAACTTCTTTTTCAGAAGCAATAATTGTATAATACGTGCTGAGAACTTCAGGAAATGCACAAAGTATTCTAGCAGCTTCTCTCTGAATTCTTTTTGCTAAGTCTTGCCAGACAAAATTCATGTAAACAAAATATCTGTCTTACTCTGACTTACTTGGACTTTATTCCTTTTATGTTATGAGTGAGTCTGCAAAGCTAGAATAAATGGGGCTTGTGTATGTTTGTGTGAATTGTGTGTGTTTTCTTATAATTATTTAAATAAAATTGCCAACAGGCAAGTGGTTCTATCTGACTAATCCCATTTTGAAAAGGTATTGAAACTTCGTTGTCTTTGATAACATTAAATGGGTAAAATATAGCATGCTCTTTCATACAACTTTACTATATCAAACATTATATTCTACCTATTAAAATCCATGAGTACAAAACTTTGTATTTACAATGATTTAAAATTTTTACAAATGAAAAATAACAATCACCTTACTGTTACTCTCAACCTTTGCATAGCTTAGACCTGATTTTATATCTATTTGAGATGCCTCAAATAACCCCAAAAACAAATTAATAGAAAATTAAATCTTACAAAGAAAAATTGGAATAGCCTCCATTTTCATGCTTTTTAAGATGGAGAAGTTCTAAATCCATTGATTGTTTACTCTGTATAGGCATTTTTCCAAGTACTAGAAAATACATTACAAGAGCCTCTAATGTTTCCTTGCCTTCCTTATATTTTTAAGAGAAACAACATTACATTCATCCAAAGAGAAAAAAATAAAAAATTTGGGCAGCTAATGACCATTCAGTAAATACAAAGGCTTTGGGGTTTTTCCCCATTGCCCTTGCAGGTATTTTCAGGCCTTTACTTCAGGGAAGTTTTCTTCCATCTCTGCTCTATGCCCGCCCTTTCTTGCCCAGTCATTATTCTCAATTAGCTATTGCTATGGACAGTCATTATCTATTGAACCCATTTAGAAACTTAGCCACAGACTTTATTAACTCCAAGCTTTCAAAGATACTGACTTTGCTGGCAAGAAGCATAACCTTTGAATAAACAAGCCAGGTTTGCTCGTAAGTATCACACTTTTAATTTCAACCAACATTCTTCTTTTTTCTGAAAGTTAGTACCTGATTAGAGCTGTTCTCTTTGCTAATTCAGCTCTCTGGGTAATAAATATTTTATCTTATCAATAAACATGAATTTCTGTGATCCAAAGATATTTAGATCCTTAATTGGATAGTACATCTAAATTGGTTAATCAGAGTGTTTTCTGGCAGTTTCTGAGTTAAAGTTATACTTCGTCTCTGGTTAGCCTTTGTAATATTCAAGATGAACAACTTAAAATTCTTAGTTCAAACTACTTACAATCTGTGTTAATCAAAATGCTGTAATTAAATTGGGCATGGACTTATTCTGTAACCTTATCCACTTTGCATTTAAGTTGTCTCTACATGAACGTTTGACACTAGTACAGTCTTTAAATATTAATGCATAGGGGAAAAAAAAAGAAGATGAAAGGAACAGTTGGAGCCAAGAAAAAGTAAAAGATAGCAAGGAACAATTGTTAAAAAAAAACAAAAAACCCTTAAGAAAGTTAGGAGAGTATGCAAAGAAAAATAAACTTGTCAAAGCAGTTACTTACCAGCATAAAGTAGCACAATTTATACACAATCTAAAGCTCTAAGGAATGAGTAGCCATAACAAGCTTTTGTACACTAAAGATTAGAATCCCTGTGAAGCAGTTTCTCATGTTTTCCTTTCTCTGCTTTTGTATTTTACTTTTAAATGATCACAAAGCTACAAAATATGTTAAAATTGAAAGAAAGCAAAACAAATACAAAAACTTTTTTTTTTTTTTACTTTCATGTATAAGGAAAAACAGCACACATCTAAAAGTCTGATTTTGCCCCTCTAATAATCAGGCTCCCTATGGTTTTGGTATAAAATGGTGTAGATCCAAACAACATCACAAAATAATGTTTTGTGCCCCACACACAAGAAAAGGCTTCTTAGCATAATCTATAAAAGTTTCAAGTGGTTATGTTGCCAAATAGCTTGGCTTTTGCTATAAAGAAAAAAGAAGGAGAGTGCATGAATCTAAATGTATAGCTAGTGTCTCTCCTTCCTCCAGATAGAGAAATTATATTTGTTGAGACACTGCACTGTTGAGATTCGTAGAGAGAGTATGCCCTCAATTTCACTGCACTATGCTAGTGTTCATTCAGCTGATGAAGTTCTCAACTCAAAGGGCAACATCCACTTTGTTCTAAGTTCCTGCTGGAATGGAAAAGCTGACAAGGGAAAACTTACACAAAGGATATTGTGCTGTTAAAGTTTGTTCAAAGCCACACTTGTCAGATCTCTTTGAAATGAAATTGAAAAGGAAAAACCAATTTTCTTTGAGGACAAAGTTCATCTCATTTGGTGTGCTGCACCTATCTAATTTTCTTCTTTGAGAAAGAAATCTTGACTAGGAAAATTTGAAAAAATAGTTTATAGCAGTACAGGTATGTATCATAATGTTTAATTCAGACCAGTGTTACATTCTGAGAAAATAAATATAAGTGAATTACTGCCTGTTTGAAGCTGTGATAAATACCTAGTTTGGCTGAAATTATTAGACACCATTATTGTGTCTCCAAAATGTCTCTGAAGGGCAATAGTCAGAACTATCCTGAAATGAGAGTGCTCTAATGTTTTCTTTTGTCAGTAGTGTGCAGATGCCCAGTATGATTCAGTACATTATCAAATTGAAAACCAAGATCCTTCAGAAGAGTTCCAGGTAAATATCTTGTATGTTTCCAAACTTGAAAAAAAAAAAGCATCTATTTCCAAGGAGCATATTATTAAAAATATAGAGTTATATTAAAAATATACAGTTATATTAAAAATAATAACTGGATGTTTAAAATGCCACCAAATGATGCTTTGAATAAGTTTGTATCAATAGCAAACAAAAGAGCTTTCTGTGTTTGATTTTACAATTTCCTGTAAATAGGAGTGTTATAAGATTCCAGGTCAACTTAAAATAAGAAATAAAAGTGAATATGTCACTTAAACTAGAAAGAAATACAGCTGTGACCCCCAGACAAGGTCTTATATTCAAGACAGAAAAATGTTATTTTAGTCAACAGACAAAAAAAATGATGAAAACAAACCCAAGGGTAATCCTCTCCTCTAATGCATTTTGTCACCTATTTCTCTCTCTTAGTCTGTGTTTCTATGTCAGCCTTCCTTGTTCAACCTCACCCTATGTGATTGGCTACATGTTTATAAATAAATATATAGATAGATGGATAGATCCCATTTATTGGCAATAAATGATTACAAATGAGGAAGTATTTTGAAAATGGAAAGGAGAAGCAAAATTATATCTTATCTGTTAGATCATGGGAAGCAGAATATCTTAGCTTTTGCCAGAATCTCTCCAGAAATGTATATTCTCTAGCTTTCTTCTTTGTGATGTTTTCCACTTGGAACTACATTGCCAATCCCTTTTTATTTGTTCTGTGTCCAAATGTGAATACAACTGGATTCTTTTGACTGTTATTATTCTGCTTGTATCTAAACAGATTTTTTTAAACATATCCACACCCTTTGGGTAAAGTTTAATTCCTTTTAAATACAGTGTTCACCATGAACTTGAGAGCAGAAGGAAAAAAAAAAAAAAAAAAAAAAACCAAAACACTGGCGATTGAAACATTCAGACAGCAGCTACCTTCCTTTTAGAATTAAAATTCAAATGACCAGCTGGGCGTGGTGGCCAATACCTGCAATCCCAGCACTTTGGGAGGCTGAGGCAGGCGGATCACTTGCAGTCAGGAGTTCAAGACCAGCCTGGCCAACATGGTGAAGCCCCGTCTCTACTAAAAATAAAAATAAAAATAAAAAAATAAAAATTAGCTGGGCATGGTGGTGCGTGCCTGTAATCTCAGCTACTCGAGAGGGTGACACAGGAGAATTGCTTGAACTCAGGAGGCGGAGGATGCAGTGAGCCGAGATCCTGTCACTGCACTATAGCCTGGGCGACAGAACAAGATGGTCTCAAAAAAAAAAATAAGTAAACAATAAAAAATAAAAATTCAAATGACCAAAGTCCTGAAAAATCAATGGAGAATCTTCTCAGAGTAGAAATTATTTAAGTGAAAAGCAAGCTTTCTGATTTTCATCCCATTTTTGTTTAATTTTTATTTCCTTTTTGCTCCATCTGTTATAGAGTAAATGTGTTTCAATTTAGTGAAAACATCTTCGGAAATTAACCATTCCTGTTATAGTTTAAAAATTCATTCTATTTGTGCTCAATATTTGTAAGAATCATAATTTGTTATGTGCCTGTGTGTAAATTAATCTGTTGTCATATCCTTCAAAGTCCACAAGTCCCAAGTAGTGTTTCTGGTGGAGCACCATCTTTACTTCACATGCACTGTGCATTCCTCTTGTGCCTTCTTATAGGCCCCCTAAATATTAATATTTGCTGAATGAATAAATGAAGATATATGGCTTTCCCTCTTCCTTTTGAACATCACTCTTTGTTTTTCCTTTTATAATGCCCAGTGCACTAAAGTCATGTCAGAGGAAAGAATATTCCCTTCTTCACAGTCCGTATACTAATTAGATACTCTTCTTTTTGGCCCATCTTCCCCAAGGGATAGTAAATGAAGCACCCACTCTATGAGACCCAGTTCTTTCCTGACTGAGATATTGTCTATAGGCTTCTTGTTTACTTCACTAATGAGTTTTTTCTCTGTAGCTTTTACATCTTTATAGTAGGTCATAAAGAACCTCTAACAGAAAATGAACCAATAGTAGCTATATTTTATTTCATGTTTCTATAATGCCCCTGGTCACAACCATGTCTGTTTCCTGTCCTTTTCTTTCAATAAAGGCTTACAACTTGGGATCAAATCATGTGTCCACATTTGCTGCATAGAACATAGTATCAATGCATTGGTGCAAAAGCCATTCTGCCCAAACTCCTGTACACACCACTCATTCAACAATATTTCTAGACTCTACTGTGGGCTTAATGCAGTGCTTTGGAGACTATAAAGAGGCACACTGAAATAATCCCTACCCTTAAAAGAAGAGATAATTTTTTGTTTTCTAAAGTATTTTCACATTAATTACCTCATTTGATTTCCTATAACAACCAAGAGAAGCAAGGAGAATAATTGTTACTACAGACATCTTCCAAACGAGAAACCTGAGCCTAGAAATTGAAGTCACACTACCAGTTATGCCAAGACCTCTACAAAAGACCTAGGACTTTGATTATACCATTGAATAGCTTCTCCTTTCTACAGCATAGAGAGCCAAGCATCTTGAGTGGTGAGTTGCTTCTCAAGCTGCACAAAAATATTATAAATATTTCTCACTTATAGAATCTATAACAGGTCATACATTATAGGTATTTTAGACCTAAATGGAACCATTCAGTTCCCAAGGTTTGTAGTTTCTAGCCCTGCTAAGCATCAAACAACAATCTATTATTTGAAGATCAGCAATGATAATTCTCAAAGCTGGAGAGTTTAGAAGATAACTACGGTTATATATTCCCTCATTCACCTTCCTACTTTTTTGGTCCTACCTCATTTCATTATCCTTACTGCAATAGCCTTTTATAATTATCTATCTTTCAATCTCCCCTCCCACACACCTATCCATTTACATTCTGTTGCCAGGTAAGCCTTTCTAGAGTATAATTATATTTCAGTAATTAAGCTTTGCAGAACACTTGGAATGTTCCCCATAGCCTACTGTATTAAGTTGAAACTCCTTAGCCCCTTCATAAACTGACCACAATTTACCTTTCCATCCTTTGCTTAGCCTGCAGTGCAGATCTACAACTTCCTGCTTTCTGTTCACTTTCCTCCCTTTCCCACCTTGATGCTTTTCTTGCTATTTTTTCTGCCTAGAATATTTACCTTCATCCAGACCCTTTTCCATGCTATTTTTAGCATAAATAACAATAAAATCTTTATTATAAGCCTCCCCTGAGGCTCCAAATAGGGATAAATATAACTTACTTTGAACACACACACACAACTTTATTTCTTCCCTGGCATTTATGAAAATAGCACAGGTTTACAGACAAAACAGACAGGCAGATGGAATTAAGTTTAAATCCTGACCTGGTCAAACTTGGGCAAATTATTTAACTTCTCCAAGTATTCATTTTCTTATCTAGAAAAGCTTTGCATGTTTTTTGTAAGGATTGATGGTTATCCACATACATGCTTTTAGTCAATTCCTAGCATATATTAAGACTCAATGAATGTCAGCTCTTATTTTTAGATTCTGTTTTGCATTATATTTGTATCTGTGTATATTATACAAACATCAGTATATTGTCTGCTTTCTGTGAGGGCTGCAACTATGGTTGCTATTTTCATTTTTCGTCTTTGTATCCATGTAGCTCTTGAGAGCAAAACCAAGTTTATTGGCAGTGATTATTAGTCCCACCGCACACCTATTTATCATAGCTGAATTATGGACAATATCCATATCAGTGAATTGCAAATCCCTAGTAATCCTTAGTAGCGATACCATAAAATACACTGTCCTTTCAGTTCCAGAATAGCAAAATCAGTTGGGTCAACTTATAAATCTTCTAATTATAGTTTCTTAGTTAAAATTTGGTCAGATAGGAAATCTAGGAAAGCCTCAAATGCAATTAATATAGCTCAGGAAGTCAGCCATTTAGATAGCATTGGCAGCTATAAAGATAGAATGGGACTAGAAAATTGTTTGCTCTATTTCTCCAGGATATTACTAGGTCTGCTTTTATGTCAGTCCAGGCTGTGCCAACCATGGAGAACATGAAGTGGTAAACCAAAAAGGTTGTAAAGTTGACTGCACCCAAAGTAAATTGGATAAGTTCCATCACAAATGTGCTTTTAGTTGGATTGAAAAGAAATGGAATGTCATGAAGACTTATGGAGGGGATTAGATGATGTCATCATAGCCCTCTCTACCGAGGGTCTATAGGTCATACGTAATAATTATAGATAATTATATTTATATATGTATATACACACATATGACCATTAAAGGAATAATATAATTACCAATTTCTTCTCAGCTTTAAAATTGGTATACCTAACAGAAAAACATATCTTTTGGACTAAAGTATCTGAGAAAAAAGGCACTATCTATCTCTGTTTTTAAGTGAGGGCAAAATTTTTTTTTTAACATATAATGTGTTGGTGAAAGGATTTTGTGGGCACTTATACATCTAGAATTTGTTTTAAAGTGAAGTGGGAATTAATTAAACCTTCCTATTTGGGGATGAGAGTGGCATTTAAAAGCCTCTAAAATATTTACAATCATTTATTCACTTTGTCATTCTCAAATACTTATGGCTAATTCTAGTTATTGTGTGAATCATAGACTAAGGTTATAAATCCAGGGCCAGAAATACTTGCTACGAGGCTATTAATGTAACCGAGGTAAGAGGTAACGACAGTCAGATTTGTGGTAAGGGCACTTGGTGGGGCAAAATATGAAGTAGCTGGGCCATGTGATTGTGCCTCAGGCATAAAGGATTCTCAAATTTTGGCTGCTGCCTTTGTAATTTGTATCAGAGATCTGTGCCTCATAATACATATAAACTAATGTGGAATTATGTTCATACCCTTCCTCTAATCCAAGAGAGAGCTAAAAGCGATAGGATATATCAAAACGAGAGGGAACTCAAGCACTCTACCATGTTTCCTCGCCCTTACTGATACTCACATAGGCCTGAAATTAGAGAGAGAGAAGCAAAGACTCAGGATTCATTCAGGTAAAAAATAAAATGAATGGGAGTTGATATGTGCTTTGACATGGGACAGAGGGGGAGAAAGTGAAATATAAGAATCTAACAAATTTCTGGCTTTGGTAACTGGATGGACTATGGCACCATTTGTGGAAATGGAGAGCAGAGGAGGAAGAGCAGATTTTGGCGCTGATATTTTATATTTACTTTTGGACACGTTAAAAGTTAAAATAGGGCAGGAAAATACACATATCCTGAAGGCCATTAGGCTTTTTGAGTCTGAAGCTTAGGAAGAAGTTGTTGCTGGATTAAGGAGTCATCAATGAATGTTGAATTATATTTTCTACAGGAAAATTGTTTGTTTAACTCAACAAGAGGACAGAACCCTCAGTAAAATAAACATTTGATCTTCAGGCAGAGAAAAGAATGCCTTAAGAGGAAATGACCAGGGAAATGGGGAATAAGGAGTGACCGAGATCACGAGAATGAAGTATGTTCAAAAGGAGGAGGTCACTACAGTGTTAAATGTTGCTGAGCTTTCGAGTAAGTTAAGTTCAATAAGGTTTCCATTTGCTTTGCTTTAAAAAAAAAAAATGTCCGTAGACGACTTTAAAAGAAGAAGCATCAGTGGCGTGAGGGGCCTGGAGTCTGGCTTTCTGTATGATGACAAACGTCTTATATAATTTTCCATAGTTAAGAAGCTTGCCTATGGAGGGGAGCATAAAGGATTTGAATGAGAAGAAAGTTTTTCAATTTCTTTATCCCTCTGTTTCTAATATATTGTATGTTCTTTTATTTATGGGTTCACTGATACAGGAATGGCTTAGTTTGTACTGGCAAATAAGAACTATATATATAGTTGGCATAGTTCTAGTTTTGACATTTCACACTAGGTACCCAATGACTAAGAACAGAGAAGTTTTTATATTAACTTTGTGTTGACGTCATAGAATAAAATAATCAAAATTTCTTTTTTTACTGTACTATATTCAGCAAGTCTAGTCATTGGAATTTGCCCCCACATACCTTCAGGCAATGAAGAGATTCTTTAATAGATTTCCATATTAAAGGTAATAGATATTTTATGATCTTCAGAAAATAAAATGAGAGAATAAACATGTTAGCAATAAAAATTAATGGTTTTAATTATAATTTTTCAGTTTTTAAAAATAGGTGTTGGAAGAAATTTTAGTAAATTCTATTAAATAATGTACCATGTCTCACCTTTATAGTAACTTCCATGATCCTGGGTGTAGAATTATATGATGTATGCTGCTTAATGGAAAACTGTTGTTTTTTTTCTTCAGAGCATGAAATAGATTTCATCAATATGAAGAAATACATACAAATCAATTCTCTTGGTCTGTAAGCTACAACTAGAATTATGTGAAGTACTTTAGAAACTGCTTACTTTTTCATACCACAAATAAAATACTGTGAGAACCAACTGTTTGGCTTGTGACCTCATTGTATTAATGCTAGATAAATGAAAAACTACTTATAGGTGTCAGTTATCACAATAATAATATTTAATATCTATATAGGGCTTTACAACTTATGAAAAAGTTAGACATCTGATATCTCAAGTAAGCCTCAGAATGATCCTATGAATTAGTCAAGGCAAGTATAATTATTGTCATTTGATGAAAAGGAAACCGAAGTTCAGTATTATTGTGTGGTTAGTCCAACTGCACTGGGTTTAGTGAGTGACAGACTTGGAAGTGTTTAGGAACAGTGAAGCAAAATAAATTTTTCTCTTGAATTGTTTCTAACTATTTTGGGAAGACCAGCCATGTGAAACCTTAAAGAACACTATAGGACTGTATACAATCAAGTGCTAAATGAGCTTCACTTTATGCAAATCCACCTTAACAGGTCTGACAACCTGTAAGGTCACTTCCTTAGTAGTGCTATAATTACTGGTTTCTAATGCCTTCCACTAACAGATATTTCTTTTTTAAAGAAAAAGACAAAAGTTTCCAGTATCATAATCAGATTATTTGAATCTTGTTACGTCTGAAAACATCTATACTATGCAGGAACAAAGCAAAACTTGGGCCTATGATGTCAAATGGAGAATTGAATCAGAGCCAATATGTGTGTTCATTCCTAAAGCCAGAGTATTTGAAAAGTCTTAAAAATATGTTTTTATAAAAAGCCTCATAATTTTTTTTAAATTTACTAACCTCTTATTTCCAAGATGCTTCTTTATCCATTCTAGAGACATCTTATATTTTTTTAAAAGGCTTACATTTATTGATGGTTGAATCCAAATAGTATTTAGGATGACATGGCCATAGGATCATATCCAAAGCTTATTCATGCTAACCATATTTTATTAAGGCTTATCTCTTAATTAAATAGGAGATTATAGACTATGGTAGTAGGTTATTTGATGAGGCCATGCACTAGATTTTAAAATATGGATTAGCAGACAAGTCAGTCACAAGTAGTGGTAATACAAATAAGAAAACACAACACAAGATATTAAAAATCAGCAACACAAGATGTTGTTTTGAGCTCCCTCTGCCTTTTTGTTCTGAAGGTTTACTTAAATTAATGAAATGCTGCTATGTGGACTTCAGTTTCTCTCAGGGATAATACAACTAGGCCTAGGCTACGTGGGATATGCTACCTCTGCTCTGTAAAACCAATCCAGTTTTGCTATCAGACTCCTCTTTTGTTTTTACAAACTTTTATAAATAGCCATCCCTATTGTCATCTAGATTATTTATGTCTGGCCTCCATGTTCCCTGAGCTGCCTTCTGATCTGTGGAAGGTCTCTCTGTAGCTTAAAGAGCAAAAGCTATTGAGGCAGAAAAGCAAAATGGCATGAGATTAGCGAGAGCAGAGTTTCTTTCCCTTTGTTCACCATGTCACTTGGGCTGATGACTTGACAAGACATCAAAAAACAGTACCTGGACAGGAATCAACAATGAGAAGATAAGAGTGGTAAAGGTAAATGGAGCTGAAGAGAACAGAAGCACAAATACATTCAGCAGTGTAGCTGAGAAAAGTCCATTTAATATATATTCACCATCAGGTTGGTGATGGGTTTATAAAGTCAATGACAAATGGTCTACTCATTGGCTTACTTCTAATTAGACGTATGCCTTAAATATGGTGTCATTTTACAAAATATGAGGGTCCTGAAGTTATAGTCAAAACCTGAGCTGTGTGCTCTTAAAAATTCTTCAAAGGCCATGCTCTTGTCTTCATAATCAATCAAAGAATTTGAATCTCTCTTGGTCCTGTGTTCTAAGAACGCAACCAAATAAAGGAATTTCAAACACGTATTGGGTAACATGCTAAATGTTTTAGGAGTTTGTGAGAAAGGTGAGATGTGAGAGAAGTACAAGTCATTGCTCCTGCTATTAAGGGAGAAATAAAACATGATTCAACCAGAGTTGAAAGGAAGATAACTTTAACAGGAGACCGGAGAAACATAGAAGGTACATTTTGTGTTGGAGGAGCTGGAAATGCCTTTTGGAAAAAGTGGGATGTGACTCAGGTCTTAGTACATGAATAGGATTTTCTTAAACATTGGTGAACAGAGAAAACTTTCCAGTTACATGGAAATAGGTGAATGAATCATGACGTGTGGAATACTCATACTGTGTGGGAGGTCAGCTGGTAGAACTTTCTGAGTAGATTAAAAAAAATTCAGTAATAAACATTTTAATAATTCTTATTACATTTGAGCACTGATAACAGAAGCTTTATATACTTCATTATAGACCCCCACAAGAACCGTGCAAATAGGGATTATTAACCCTTTTTTTGTCCCTATGTGTTTTTTCTATTAAGTAGGCATGACTCAGAGGGGTTAAATAAATGAATCAACATCCTGTAGTAAGTGACATAATAAGGATTTGCATGCAGGTCAAGCTGATTGACCTAGGGGAGCCTACTTCAGTTCTTCCTGCTGCCTCCCCCTATTATACAAAAACAGTCTCCTGAGCTATCACAGAATTTCAGTGACTCTAGCCCCTAAAATTCAGAGCCAGTAACATAATGATGTAAAAGCAGAATAAGGCTTGAGATGAATTCCACCTTTGTTTTTGTTAAAATGGGGCTTCAGTGGAAGAAAGAAATCTAGAAATGCAGTTTCCTTTATTGTGGGCCAAGATAAGTGTAATTCCAAGAGCATGTGCCCTGTCAGAAAACAAATTAGGAAGAGTTAAGAATACTCCCAATAGTATTAGGGTGCAAACCCGAATCATCTCCAATCACTTCACTCAGAGACTGCACAGGGTCTTTGATTATGGTCACACAGTTAAATGTCAAGAGACCAGTTGCCCTAAACCTCATTAACCTCCACCATTTCCTATCTTTTACACACAGTAGATGTCTACATTAGTCTTCATTTTCAGATTTTCTGTTCCCAGACTTCATAAAAGAAGAATTTGCAAATAAGTTTTTATCATCATTAACAATACTATCGCTAAAGGGCATATGTGAAGTTTTATGATGGTTTAGCACATTAATATTTTACAATCAGGCTTTAACATGCTTTTATCTTTTTTACACAAGATTAATATCCTGCCTGAATTAGTTTTATTACATGCATTTTCAATTTTTACTAAGCTGATTTTCCTGCACTAGAATTTGTTTTTTTCCTACAACTTTTTCATTCTCATCTGTAGGACTTAATACATTTTATCCATCTTAATTTTTTTTTCACAGTAATGCAAGGATTTTCCTGTTGCGCTGCCATTTGCAATGCCGTCCCATTAGTTAATCACACCATTCGGTGTTAAATCTTTTATTCCACACAACATTTACAGTTTTGTTATCTCCGAAGCCTATACGATTGCTGTCATGCCCATGAAGGTTAAGTAAGAATATAGATTTAGCAAATAACTAATTTGATAAATACCGGCATCAAATCAGGTAATTTAGGGTTATATTTTTACTTTAAGGAAGATTACGACTTTCATCAGAGGAATGCAAAAAGTAACACATTATTTCATATTTAGAACCACCCTAAAATACTAGAAAATATTTCAAAGGTGTTCAAAATAAATTAAAATCTTGAAGTTAGTGCTTTTTATTCTGAAAAGTCTGATTTGCACTCTTACACCTTTCCAATCTCTAATTTATTGAATAGTAGAGTGTAGACACAGCCTCACTCCTGGCTTGTTTTAGTATATCAGAATGTGGAAATCAAAGTTTGGAGTCTCAGTTGGACCTGAAAATATACACTTGATTGAAGCCTAGCTTAGCCTAAGCAACACTTAAGGATAATAGACAAGGTATAAAAGCTTATGAGTCAAATAACAAACAATAGCAGGAAACGATACCCACACAATAAAGGAATTGGAGAGACATCGATGCAAATTTGATCTTGAAAAAGAAATCAACCAGTATGTTCATATCTATCTTATCCCCAACAGCTACTGCGATCTCTTATACTGGCCTCTGAAGCAATGCCTCCAAAAACATATCCCTACAGCAAAATTTTCCATGCTGTGTTCTGGTATTACTGGGCCACCCGCCAAATGGTTGGGGAGACAAATTAATATTCATAATGATAGTTTTAATGATTAAAAATTATATAACATCCCTCACCCTCAAAGGGAACTTATTGTATGACTGAAACCTCTCAGTGCCTTGATCCAGAGGCCCAAGTCTTCATCATTTTTTGCAGGCCAATGAATTAGTTACTTTGACAGTGAACAAGAATAATTTCAGATGGCAATTAAATTATGCACACATAGACAAAGGGGTGAGTGAGGCTACAGGTCAACTCCATACACGATGTTTTCTATTGTCCCAATTTTCCCTCTTATTCTTAAGTGATTAATTAGTTTAACCCAATTGGCCTTAGGTTAAACTTAGTTAACATCCCTCTGCCTTCATTTTTTATTTTTATTTTTTATTATTATTATTTTTGCTGGAACTGTTTAAGCAGAACAAGATAAATAGAATTCCAGCTAGCAAAATCTTTACTTCTCAACTCCATTCTTCCCACTGACTAATCTTAAAACAAGAAAACTAGTCCATATAATCAAGGTTGAAAAGAACCTGTATACTGCAGAAATCATCTATCATCATACTCCCCCATCCAAAGAGAGCATGGCAATCAGAGGCAGAATAATTTGATTGGCTGGAAAACCGACATCAATAATCTTCTCTGTTCTATAAAATAAAACAAAGTGTGCTGAAAATATGATAGGAGGAAAAAATTTTATAACAAAATTCCACTTTTAAGTAGGATTTCAGCAAGTATTCTGCATGACATGCGATAGGTGGGATCTGCAAAGATGCACATAAAACAGAAAACTTACTTGTGGGAAACCAAATATTTTTGAAGATGGAGTTGACAAGAATCAAGCTCCAAGATTTTCACCCAGATAGAGAAAGCAGGACCATGTATCTGAGTTATAAAAAACAGAAACCTTTGTTCTTTTCATAAAACAGGAAGAAGAAATCCCCATGGCAGTTGGTATGTGTATTAGCTGCTTCTTGTGTGCTACAGAAACAGATGCCATTTTCTTGAGGGATAGAATAACTACTCACTGAACCCCATTAGGATAGCTGAATGCCTCTCCATGCATACTAACTACTTTGCTCACAAACAAGATGGTGGATGAGAGGCATAATTAATATGATGTGGACTGAGAGAAAACACTGTGGGGAGTTTTGAATTGTGGCAAGGCAGATAAGGTAACTCCTAAGTGCCAATTCAATTACTATTAGAATTCATCTGCTACTCTCCACTCCACTTCATATTTAATTATTTCAATAAAGAAGTGGAGTGATTTTTATCATTTCTATTCAATTCCCCAATGCACTTATTTCTTCCCTGGACACATTTATTCTACTATATTCTCTGCTGCTTTTGTGTATAGATTTGGAAAATGAACTCAAAAGACCAGAGAGCTGAGGATAGTTGGTATCAGATGTCTCTTCCCTGTAGATTTAAGGGGAAAAAAAGGAAAAAAAATGTTTTGCCAGTTGTGGTTGATTTTTTTCAAAATGTAGAAACTATTTAACCAGAGCAGCCCAGGCTTTTGTTTCTCAACTCTGTTTGGAACCCTGTGCATTTGCTTGTAGAAAGTCAGACTTTGCTTATCAGTGGTTTTTCCAAGCTTCTGTTTTGAACACTGTGTGTTAATTCTAGCCACTTCCATTAATTTTTTTTGAAAAAAAAAACAAAAGGAAAAACAAGAAATCAAACATTCAGCAGCACCTTACCTCTGAAAGTCTAATTATCTCTATGCGTATATTATCTGCTTATTCTCAGACTCCCCATGAAATGATGGGGTACAGAAGCTATTAATTTCCTGTTGATAATTCTGGGTGTTGGCATACAGGGAGTGAGTCTTTGTCAACAAGGGGCTCCTCATCTAAATCTGCTGGTACCTGGAGGGCAAAGTGGAGATACCATATAGCCTTATTCTATGGTTTTCAACTACTCCATAATCATCATAGAGTATTTGACTTTCAAAATTGTCTTCCTCTCTGAATTCTTGGTCTATGAAATTTGCAATTAAGTAGTTCTAACTTTGTAATTCGTTCCACAAAGACTCAAAACAGCCTTTTCTGCCTTTAGTCTCTAGAGTCAGCAGTAATGCAACCAAAATTGGTGAGAATTCACTCTCTCTCTTAAATATCAAATGATAAATTCAGAACCTTGAGAAAGGACCCCAAATGCACCCCCTTCTGTAAAGCTAAAGCTGACACTAACAATTCATATACCACTGAAGATCAGAGCAATCATTGAGCCATTCTTTGTGTTGCTAGAAAGAGTAGATGAGATTTAAAAGAGATCTTTTCTCCAGGGATATGAAACATGGCTTGGGAGTCAGACCACCTTGGCTCACATCTTGGCTCTTCCACTTACTGAGGATACAAATGTGGATTGAATAAACTAAGGATTAGTGCTATTGTACAAAAACATACAGAAAAGTAACTGGCATGTAGTAAGTGTTAAAAATAATTGGCTGCTATTATTGTTGTTGGGGTTCAGAAACAAACCAAAATATGGCACTTTGACATGCTGAACCAAGGAAACCTCAAGGTCTCCCTGACTGCCCCTCCGCACCACCCTGCCACCCTGTCTCTTAGTCTTCTGCCTCTCAGGAAGCACAGGATGCAGTCATTCTCTGAAGTGCCCTCATCTGCCTAAAATCTTGACCCACCAAAAAAAACAGTTACCTCTGGTTCCTTCCCCGAGTATTCATTAATTAAACTCATATAACAGGAAGAAAGACTAATCTATCAACACACCTGGACAGACTTGTTGCAAACCACTGTCTGCTCTTCGAGCCCAACAGACTTTGTCCCAGGCAATTGTATGTTCTTTAAGCCCATTCACTTTCCCAAAACATCATTTATTATACATCTAAAATCATCTACATTTCCACATCTCCCTTTCCTCTAAGAAGAAGGGTATATGTAACCACCCAATGGGTTTTTCCTGCTTGTGGCACAAACAAAATCAACTCACCGAGACCATGTCATTGCATGCAGAAAAGAGTTTGATTGACACGAGATCACCCACACCACATGGGAGACAGGGTCATTACTCAAAATGATCTTCCCAAAGGCTTGGAGGTTAGGGATTTTTCAAAGATAGTTTGGTGGGCAAGGAGCTAGGGTAGGAGGCATGCTGATTGGTTGAGTTGCAGATGAAATAATAGGGAAATTAAGCTGTCCCCTTGTGCTGAGTCAGTTTCTGGGTAAGAGCCACAGGACTGGTTAGAGGGCCCAGATGGGGTTATCCCTTGTCGGAAATGAAAAAAAACCTGAAAGTACATCTCTAAAGGTCAATCTTGTGTTCTACAATAGTGATGATGTTATCTGCTCAAGTAACTGGGGAAGTTGTAAGTAAATCTTACAAACTACAGAATAATGGCTGGTAATTATTTAGAATTCAAGACCCTCTCATCCTCCTTAGTTTCATTAGTTTTATAAGAACAGTTTAGTTTTGGGGAAGGGCTATTATCATTTAAACTGTAAACTACATTTCTCCGAAAGTTAGCTTGGCTTACACCCAGGAATAAGCAAAGACAGCCACCCTCTGAGGCTAGAAGCAAGATGGAGTCACCCATGTCAGATATCTCTTACTGTCATAATTTTGCAAAGGTGGTTTCATATATGAGCATCTGTACCCCATTGGCTGAGGGGTGATTACTCTGTAATTTCTCCCTAGGACCCTCCTGTGCACATTAACAAACCTGTATGACTTTTCTCCTATTAATCTTTTGTCAGTTGTGATTTTCAATAAACCTTCAGAGGATGAAGGGGAAGTTTTCCTTTAGGTTCTACATTGTTCACAAAGGTTGTCTATTGATGACTTGTTTTCCCTTTATGGGCTGCCCTCTATGTCCATTTCATCCTATGAAATGCATTCGGGCTTGAGGAGGCAAACACACAGTGGACATGTTTTACATCTCCCATGCTTTATTTATTCTACCCATGTCCTCATTCTTGGCTCTGGTTGGGGAATGTATCATATATATATATATATATATGTATCATATATATATGATGTATCATATATGTGTATATATATGTATCATATATATGTATCATATATATATGATATATCATATATATGTATATGTATGTATCATATATATGTATATGTATGTATCACATATATATATTCCCAAAATCACATATATATATGTGATTTTGGGAATATAGATGGAAATTATCTGGAGCTAGAAATTCCTCCCACTCAATCACCCCTTGATATCGCCAATAGTAAGAATGAAGATGGACACAAAGATATCTTGATAGAGACACATAAGTGTTTTGGTGAATCAATATTGCTAGTTCTGCTGAGAAATGGTAAAATATGATTTAATTGTCCTGAAACCCCCAGCAACTTATGAATCCACATCTGTCTTTGCTTGTGCTCCTGTGGATCCTCTTTCTCTTCTTCCCTCTCTGGAAGGCCTTACTAGAAAAGAAAACCCAGAGTGGTTATGTCCCTGCCATGGCAATACTCAGTCTTCCCAGGTGAGATGAAATTCCACAAAAGATGCCCTCTGAAAGCCAGAATCTTGATCCTATTGGTCAGAGTTCTTCAGTCAGTCCAAGTATGTACACACAATAATATTGCTAAATGATACTCTAACTTGACATTGTGTAAATATGACAAAAATAATGTTCTAAAAATGGCTGAACTATCCATCTTAAAGAAAAATATATAGACTTCAACAGATATATTTATAGAACATCAAATTTGAAAGATAGTGTATCCTTTAATAAAACTCCAAATTCCTCACAGTAAAAAAAAAAAAAAAGGACAATAACTTTTAATCAATGAGACTAAGAAAATAATTGTCCAATCTGAATCCTCATCTCTGAAATATATGCATTTTGTTTCTTTCTACATAAGCTGCTCTGCATTTGCCATTTTGTGGCTTGGGATCATCGATACCAAGCCTTGATCTTTTCTAAAGCATTTACCAAAAGTAGAGTTGTAAGGTTTGAATAATTAGATTTCCAGGAACACTTTTCTTCCACCCTTAAGAGAGATTGTGTTTAACTTGAATGCTTTAAGACTGCATGCACATTTTCCGTACATTCATCTATTTTCTCCACAACAAAGCTATTGAAACTGCCTTTGCAAGAATTATAACAGTGAGAAAATTATGACAGTGAAAGGGATCTGATCTAGCCAACCCCCATCTTGCCTTTATTCTCCAAACTGCCCTTAATAATTCCTGGGCCTGGGTCAAGCTAACTTTAGGAGACATTTAGTTTATAGTTTAAATGATAATTGTTCGTCCCATAAACTAAACCATAATTGTTTAGTTAATAAAAGACCATCAGGTTAGGAGGATGAGAGGAACCTGAGTTCTGCTAATGTGCAGACATAAAAGATTACCAGATATTATTTCGGAGGTCCCAAGATATGCAACTTCTCCAATTACTCCTGCAGATAACATCACTACTGTAAAACGTAAGATTGGCCTTTGAGATGTCTTTTCAGGTTTCCGTGTTTCTGACCCATGGATGGGTGGACAACCAGTGACTCCATCTGGACCCACCAAGGGGTTCTGTAGCCCCATGCAAAAAGCAGATTCCCTGGCCTGCCAAACTTTCCTTGAAACACCCTAGCCTCCAAATTTTCATGGAGATTGATTTGAGTAATAACCATCTCCCACATGGCACAGCCAGCCTTGTGTCAATTAAAGTCTCTTTACTGCAATGCCCATGGTCTCAGTGAACTGGTTTTGTTTGTGCAGTGGGCTGGAAGAACCCCTCAGGCAGTTACACTATGAATATCTCAAGAAAGAGGCTTTTTCTACTAACTTTGTGTCATCATTTTTATCACAGTCCCTGGCACATAGGGCTCTATAAGAATTTATTAAATGAGTGAATGAATAAAAACAGTCAGACTTACAAATTTTCCATGTGTTTTTCCCAGTGGCCCAATGAAGGGGTATGCAAAAGAAACTTCTCCAATTCCAATCCAGACTTGATTCTCAAAAGGCCTTTTCAACTAGGCCTAAGATTTCCCAGCTACTATTGGTTTCTCTCTATTACCTACCAGAAGTCACTTGACAATATTCCAAAGAAGAAAACACTACCTCCTCATCTAGAAGGGAGAATCTTTATCAAAATCAAAAGATCCATTTCTCCCCATTTTACGAGGGGCTACTCAATACCAGCACAGTGATCAAATGGTGGAAGATGTCCTAAAATACCTTCCGGTAACAGGGTAGTAAAACTGTCTTGAATGACTGATAAAGGAATGAAAGTTTTAAAATCTTTACTCATTCATCAATCCTACATTTTAGAGTGTCCCATTTTATTGTACTGATTAATCATATATGCTCAGAAGAAGTTGGCAAAAGCTATCAAAAGCCAACCAGTATAACTTGAATGCCAACTTCACAAAATAATCAGGGTCTGGTGGGATATGTCATAAAATATGCCAAGATGGGTCATTCTAACGCACTCTTGAGAGAATTATACATATTCATTCTCTTCATTTAGCACCTGAATGACAACAGACGGGTGAAAGCATCAGAACCAATGCATCAAACCAGACAGTTACCATTGTGAACAAAATATAAAAAGAGAATGACGGGGCTGAAAAATGGTTAAGTCTTCTACTCAGACATTGCATGCATTGCTCTCTTTTGATAGGGAAATGAAGCTTGCTGAGGGAGAGAGACCTATGTCTTATTGTCATTCCTGCTTACAGTTTGGTGGCAAATTGACATGAAATATATATTTCTTAATAGAATTCACCATAGCTTTTTAGTCTGTTTGTTTTAGAGACATGGTTAGGATAGAAAAACCGTCAATCTAAACTAAATGTTTTCCTTAAATATCTAAGATTGTCTTTGAGCAATGGAGGGCCCTATTAATCACTAATGAACTGCTAAATGCCACCTTCAGCTGAAATAATGATAGGTAAAATTATACCGTGACACACTGAGTGACAAAAAACAGCCCCTTTACCTAATTTCCTGGTGTGATATTGGACTACAAGGCATTGTTTTTAAAAAATGAAATAAATATCTAATAGAATCTGGTAGAATCAGATCTATTTCACTGTATGTATATGTATGTGTTGTATGTATATGTTCTTCACCTAGTTTTGACAGTTGTCTATAATCTGTCAGGCCACTAACACTAACCTCCACCTGTTTACCTGTCAGATCTCAATGACGAGGGCCCTGTTTTCTGTAATTAAGATAACCCTACTCATTCTGGAACTATGTAATTTTACACAGATAAGTTAAGCAAAAATAGTAATTCAAACTCTGGAAAGTGTTAATATTTTCAGAGACCTACAAGTATTCTCTTAATTGCTCTATATAGCTTTCAGGAATTGGACGAAGTGAGAAAGGATCCAACTTCCCAATAGTACTTTTGGAACATAAAATAAAGGGTGGAAGAGTTGGTTGCCTCTTTGAGTGGAGTTTGCAGAGGTCATTCTTAGGCCTTCACAAAGAGTATCAGTGCTGATAAATTAAGGAGAATGTTCTAGACTCCCCTGAGTAACCTGAGCTCCTGCCCTTGGCTAGTTTTTGCCCTACTTAGCCTTCACCCAAAGATGCCCTAGGGAGTCTGCCTCATGTATTTCATTCCTGGAATTCTGGTATCTGTAGTATTCCTGGAATTCTTGAATCCTCTAGGAATGGCTTCCTGGCCAGGGCTTCAAACTTCTCTCCTTCCGTGGGACCTGGATTTCTTATTCATCTATGGCCTTTTGTATTCTCTTGTTTTACCTAGCTAATGTCTAGAATAGATGGCTTGCCTCACAGAGACAACACTAACACTGGTTTGATGATCAAAGCAAGGAAATCAAACAGCAGACTAAATTGGTAAGTCTAACTAAGAATAATCTCTGCACTTCAGTGAAAAAATTTCTCAAAGAAAAAAATCTGTGTTGCATAGATTAAGAAAAGTTTTTTGTAGATATTTAACTTTAGCCTTTTATTTTTTAGCTTTCAGTGTTTCCTTATGGTCTAACCACATTTTACCTCAAGTAAATTTTTTTCTTTTCCTCTTTCTGTTAATTTGAAGATATTTAAAGGATGGCAATAGAAAATTCTGAAGTTATAACTGTCGCCTATAAACTGCCTGGGCTACTTAATTCTCCCCTGAGTTTCTCACCTTTATTTTTTTTCTGCTTTTTTTTCCTCCAGTTATTATGGCTCCTTTTAAATATCATTTAATTCTAAAAGCACAAATATTTTGAAACTACATGGCCTGCTGCCTAAGTTGAGACAGTGAACAAAATCCTCAGACTCTCAAAATATCTACAAATTTTCACACACAGTATTTAAGGGAAGCATTTAGTTTCCTATCCTTGGGAAGGAAAATGGTTAATGTGAAACCTCCTCCCATGCGCCACTGCAAAGCTGTGGAGGAGTCTAAGACTTAGGATTCTCCTGCAACCCTTCCCCAAGAGGAGAGGTTCAGAGAAGAATGAGGAAAGTTCTATCATAGCACTTGCTGGTTCTATCAGTCTCCTATTGAGGTGTGAACCAACTCAGTAACTCAGTCTTTCTGCTGGGCGGCCCATAATTGCACAGCAGGTGCATAACCACAGGTGGCTTTCAACATTTCTTCTTGTATTCAACTAGAAGTCTTATTACAGTGGAAGCAGCTGAGAGAAGTAGAAGATGGCAAATAAGAGAACACATTGAGTGGAGACTTGTCTATGATTCTGCAGCTCTTTCCTATCTTCATTTTCTGCTGCCCTTGTGCCAACAAATGTTTCTGCCCTGTCTTGTCTTTTTCATCTCCTTGCTTGTAACTTTAGCCTTAAAAGGATAGACCACTTTATTTGTCTCTTGGCAAGCTATCATTAATTCATTCATTTAATAAATATTTGTTAAGTATCTATTTTTATCATGTATTATTTTCAATGTTGCAGAAATAGCAAGGAAAAATAGACAAAGTTCCTGTTCTGTAACATATATTTTAGTGGTAAAAGATAGAAAAAAGGCAAAGATAGATTTGTTGAATCTTGCATTACATCCATATGTTGCATTTTTAATTACAGTTATTGTAATTTTCAGTTACATAATTTTCATGACTCTTTTTAATAGATTCCCCATCTTGTCATCTATATTCTTAGACATGTTTATCATGTTTATTTAAAAGTCTGTATTTAGTAACTGCAAAATATGGATGTCCTGTAGATCTCTTTTTACTGTTGCTTTTATTCTTTTTTTGTGTGTGTGTCATTTGGCAGTGTCTCTTGGTATGTATGTAACTTTTGACTAAATGATAATTACTGTGTGTGAAAATTTGTAGAGATATTTCGAGAGTCTGAAGGATTTTGTTCTCTATCAAAGATTTATCTTTTTGCTTTGTTTTTGGTTTTGACAAGTCTTTAAACCAGGGATAAAACAGATTAACCCAATCTATGATTGAGCTGATGAGAGCTAGATGTCAATGCTATAAAAGCTGATACATTTTCTGATTTGCTCTGACTCACAAGATGCTCCGTGGTTCTCTTACTCTCACTCTCATAACAGGTACCCTCTAGGAATCCCAACTAAAAGCCCAAGCATCCCGCTTTGACAGTGCCCAACTCCAAGTTTCATCTCTCAAGCTCTAGGAGACTGAACAAAGGTCTGGAAGCTTTTTAGCCGTTCAGCCACCATTTACAAATGAGTAAACTGCTGGAAGGGAAAAAACAGAACTGAATATTAGGCTCCCCTCTCTGTTAGTCTCTTCTTTTCAGGATTTCTTTGAGATTTTGGACTCCCTAGTCCTTGCTGACTTTCCATTTTGTTTCCAGTGTATTCAAATAGATTCCTCTTTGTTCTATCCAGCTTGTATAATTCTTAGATGAGGAAAGGCTGGTCTTTACAAACTAATTTGTCATAGCCAGAAATATAAGTTCCTTACTGTAAGATTTTAATCTTTTTGTGTAGCCAAGGTTCATTTTATCATCATAAGGGCCTGGTAGTTTTATCCTATTCTCTGGCCAATGACTATAGCTCTCTCCACGAACACTCATAAATAAAGGCTATTATACTAAGGGACAACTAGGTGTGGATGGATCATCTATCTTCACCACTGAAATAAAAATGCAGAGTGCTTGCACTACTGAATAGGCATTGGGCACAACTTCAAATGAAGATAACAGTTTATTTTAGCTTCTAGAGTCCTACAAATATTTCCAGACTATGAAAACTGAACATTTTTTAACACTTCAAGTGATTTTATGACTTCTGAAAAATGACTACAGATCAACAATTTAGTCACCATAGAGATTTCAAATACTAAAATATACTCTTCTTTTTTTGCCTGACAGTAATGTCAAATAAGACTCAGGACTGGTTCGTAAACCTTTCACAGTGTTCCAATATCTGTGTAACTTAGCCGATTCACCGTGAGATTGACGTTAACTTATCCTCCCTGGCATGAACATGATTTATCATTTGAAACACACACATACATACACACACACTTTTTCAGTTTCTGTTTCCAAATTTTGAATAGCTATTATACTTAGTGATCCTCTTTAATCTATTTCAAATACCCAAATAGGAAACATTTTGAGCTACAGGGAATCCTAGCTGAACTATCAACTAGAAGTACATTTCCACTGAAATGCAAAATTTGTATTTCAAAAATTAGAATTCTCTATTTTGGGTCATTTACTTTTCAGAGGTAAGTGATAATTATTAGAGCTCTTCATGGTCTCCAGGCATAAGAGTTTGAGTTACCTGACTACAGTAGATACTGTTGAGGGTTCTCACAAGCCTGACAACTACCCCTCTCCCCACAAGAAAGAACTGAGCAAGAGGTAAGTGGTACAGGGTGTCATGGCATTAAACAATTGGATTATCCAACTCCGTTATCCAACTCCATTGCTATGACTAAAGTAAAATGTAGTATGGAAAATGAAATCCTGCATGGTTACCAGGAGTTTATATTTTACAGCACTTAAGCGTTTGGAAATAAACTACTTTTTGTACTCATAAACAGGCCTAACACCAGGTTGGAGATCTAGTACACAGTGGTGGATAAAGCCATAATATCCTTCCAATCTCTGTAAGGCACCCTGCAAAGTGTTGGGTTTAGGGTGGGGAAGAAGAAAGAGAACCTTAAACTCTACTGATAAGAACAGACCAAATAAATTTAAAATTAAATAAAAACTCAAGAGGCCAGTATAACCATAGATGATGTTCCAAAATACAGCAGATAGATACATTAAAAGAAGTATTTCAGGAAGTAGAGGTAGGGGTAGGAAATGAAATGAGTACTAGGGGTACTCAGGAACTAGGGGTAGGGGTAGGAAATGAAAATGAGTAAAAAAAAAAAAAAAAAAAAGGAAATGCTTCACTAGCAAAAGAGGGATTTTAAATAATGTAAAAGAAGGAAGTTTAAATGCTATTTTTAAAAGCATTTTTTTCAAATGCTGCTTTCCATTAGGAAGCCCTAAAATGAGCCACGAAGACAACAGAAAAATTGGGCAGACCTGAGAATGGGCATCTGGCCCTCCAGCCTCCACTTCAATTGTTGGACTTATGTTTGCATTTTAAACTTTATAAGATTGTGTAGAAACAAAGGGGGAGTTCCATGACTCTCCCACTCTTGCCCTTGCTCTCTCACTTGTCCATCTCTATCTTTATTTGTATTTAAATCTATATGTATATATAAAATTGGAATCAGAACTTCATTTGTGAAAGCCCTGCTTTTTGTTTGACAGTTCTCTTTCCACTCCTCCCTGCCGTCAATTTTGAGTAATTTAGTACTGAGTGACCTTTCTTAGATCTGTAACAAAGGCCTCTGTCTCTCTCAACCTTTCTTCTCTTCTCTCTCCCCTCCCCAGCTATCTACACACACACACACACACACACACACACACACACACCTCCCTATGTCTACTCACTTATCCATCTACCTATCTATCCTTATTTCTATCTCTAATCTCTCTCATTCTCTCTCCATCTCCCCCCTATACACACACTCGCACACATACACACATCTCCCTGTCTCTGTCTGGTTGGTCCATCATCTATCCATCTATCTATCATCTATCTCTCTCTCCCCTCCTCTCTTCTGTCCCCCCACTCTCTCTCTGCATACACACACACACACACACACCTCCCTATGTCTACCTATCCATCTACCTATCCTTATTTCTATCTCTAATCTCTCTCTCTATCTCTAATCTATCACTCTTTCTGTACCACTCTAGCTATCTACCTCTATCCATACATCTAAAGAAAGCATGCCTTGAAAAATATATGTATAAATTTATTAGATTTATTATATATAATAAACTACTAGTCTTCTCCTTCTTCTGTAGTTGAAAAAACCCAGAGCTCAGAGGGTTGAAGCACTTCTCCAATTTGTTTAGTTAAAATCCAAATAGAAACTTCCACTTCTCCCATCAGTCACTTTGAGTAACATCTACCACTCATCAGCGCTCCTCATATGTACCTCTTACAAAGGCAGACAGTGACATCTCTATTCTGCTATCTAGTCTCAGACTTCAGTGACTCTTTATTCAGTGCCCACTTTTTCATGTATTAATCATTTCCAGAAGGTTCTGAAAGGAGGTGTGCATGTTTGTCAGAAACTCAGTATATGTATATGTAGGAAACTTCAAAGTAACTGGATTAATTCCTCCTTTAACTCAAACAGCCATTCTGATGAAATAGTGGACATTTTCAAGTAGTTGAAGTACCAAAGCTTAGTGGGAATAATAGTCTGACTAGAATTTATAAATATTTTATTGAACCAAATATTTGATATAATTACAAAATGAATAAATGCATTACAGATTTTAAAGTGAAAATGTTTATACTATATATTAAAACAGGTTGCCTTTCTAATATAAATTATTTAGAGATAAAATAACACATTCCTAAGATAACACACTAAATACTATATAAGATAAAGGAAATTTAATGAGTCATTCAGGTAGAAAATAAAACAATATTAATCTTTTTTAAAGTGTGAGATTAAAATGAAAATGGGCTTAAAATGTCATTATTCAGTTATGAAAGTATTTTTGTGCAGATTGTTCTAGCTGTGGATAAACCTCTTACTTTACACTGGGAAGGAATCAACTTTTACAAGAGTTGATAGAACAATGAGAAGACAGTTATTACTGTAGTTCAGGGTTTAGCAAAATTTTTCTGTAAAAGGCCAGGTAGTATGTTTTCAGCTTTGCAGGGCACACTACTTAATTCTGCTGTAATTGTAATAGTAATTGCAATGCAAAAGGCAACATGTAAAGGCAGCCATAGGCAATGTGTAAGTAATTGGGCATGGATATGTTCTAATACAACCTTACTTATAATATGGCCAATGGCCAATGGGCCAGATTTGTCCTGTTGGTCATAGTTCTCCAACCCCTGCTCTAGCTCTAAGTATTTTCTCTTGAATCCACTTTTAAATAATCACCTCATAACTTGCATGAGATATTTTTTTGAAAAACCTTTTAAACTCAGTGAAATATGAATTTTGTAAAAAAAAAAAAATCCAGTTTTCTTCATTTTCTTTAGATTTAGCTTAAGTAGATGGAAATTCTATTGCAGAATTGCCCGTATCAATTTCCATACTTGTTTGGAAAGCCTTCAAATTCAAGAAAGAATTATTCTTCCAATAGAAGTTTATTGTAATGCAAATATACAGGAACGGATCTATCTAAGCTTTTAATCTATGTGAAGGACTGTGTTTTACCATATTTCTAATGAGTAATTGATTTTGACTTTAAGATATAACTGAGTTTTCACATTTTATTTAAACACCTAAATAAGAGCTTTTGTGGCAGAAATAGAAAGCTGAGTACCAAAGATTTGTGATCCCATTTCATGGTGTAGAATTGTCACTTGGAAGCAGCCCCTAGATTCCCTTAAACTAGATGGGACCGTGTGACTAGTTCTCACTGCTTTGTGCCAATTCCAGGTGAGAAATTTTAAGAAGTGAGTGTGATTTCTCCATTCTCTTCTAATCAGCAGGCTGAATATCACCTGAAAAGGGGACCCGACAAGAACACCCCTCCTGTCAAATGAGTTTTACTTGACTAAAAAATAAGCTTCTATCAGGTTAGGTCACTAAGACTCAGGCTTTAATTGTTGGAGTAACTAGCATTACTCAAACTAGTAAAATTCTAAACAACAAAAAAATTCTGATATTTTTGGTGATGGATGACCGTATATTTCAGTATTTAAAAATGCACATTCTATTTGAAATGCTAAAATCCTGGAAATACATGTCATAATCACTAGACTTGTTCTCCAATATAATTTACCTCTTGCCAATAATTGAGGTAGTTTAATAAAGAATAGATTCAGAATAGGTAGAAAAATGTAAGAAGGAAATTTTACAAAAAAGGAAACTGAGCAAAAGCGTAGAAACTTTACATTTAAGTATGCTTGACATTATAAACAAGCTTAATATTATATTTAAACATAAAACATCATTGCTTAATGTACGTGGAATGGTTTAGAGATGACATTTGACTACATATATAAAGAAGCTAAATAAAATATCACTACTTAAGAATAGATAATTTCTCTGTAGAAAAAGAATTGGGAGTCTTTTTTTAATTTAATTTATTATTATTATACTTTAAGTTTTAGGGTACATGTGCACAATGTGCAGGTTAGTTACATATGTATACATGTGCCATGCTGGTGTGCTGCACCCATTAACTCGTCATTTAACATTAGGTATATCTCCTAAAGCTATCCCTCCCCCTCCCCCCACCCCACAACAGTCCCCAGAGTGTGATGTTCCCCTTCCTGTGTCCATGTGTTCTCATTGTTCAATTCCCACCTATGAGTGAGAACATGCGGTGTTTGGTTTTTTGTTCTTGCTATAGTTTACTGAGAATGATGATTTCCAGTTTGAACTTTGCTTCGTTAAATGGCGCTAACTAGTTCCACACTGACTAATTTAACTCCTGTGAATCCTTTTCCCTATGCCCAGTACCAGGATAATCTGTAAAGCCCAGTTTGAATGTTTAGCCCAGCTATGTAAACACATACAGAAGCTGGCTTCTGTATCCTGAGTGCCTAGAATGGCATGTTCATCTTGTTTTTTTTACCCTAAAATAGTATTTGAAACAAAGAGAATGCCCTGGTTATAATATAGAAAACTCGGAGAAGGTAGTCCAGCAAAGGAATGAGAATATATTTCCCTCTGAATTACATGTTTTCTCCCTTGACTACCTGTGATGCCAACTGATGCTACAAGGAACATTAGGAATCCTAGAATTTTCCCTTGAGTGGAGCATAAGAAGTAACTGGCTTTACTACTCTCTTCTTGAAGTTTCTAGGAGGCATTTTGCCAGACAGGCTCCCAGTGTTGCCAAAAATATAAAAGTGAAAGAAACCGGTAGGAGTTGTTTTTGATTTAAGGATTGAGGAAACATAAGAAGATAAGTAAGCCCAAAATGAACTGGGAAAACGAAGATTAAGTACTAAGTCCTGATCTAATAGAGATTTTTAAAAGACCATGAATGGAGATGCTCCATTTCTCTCTTAAATTCTCTTTCATTTCATTAACATCACTTATTAAAGCCATTGTAAAGCCACTATTCAAATAGGTCTGGGCCACATTCTTCTCCTATTACTATTTTTCTTAGTTATGTCGACGTTAAGAGTTCTGCCATCTCCTTAAGTGGTCAAAACCAGTAGGGTCTTCTACAAAATTATGAATCTTGTTAACTTGCACATGAAGAAATTATTTTCAGTTCTAGAATGGCAAGAAACTATTATGATCATACAGACAATGAAGAATTGTTGAAGATCTTGTAGGGCAGGAATGTGCTCAAAGTAGTATTTTGGAAAAATTACCAAAGATCTGTTTTGAACAGGAAAAAAAATGAAGGTGGAGAAAGTGGTTAAAATAGCATGCAGGTAATAAATCAGTAACAATAAAAATGCAAAGGGCATAGTGAATATATAAGAATCATTTAAAAAAAGGGTAATATTTGTTTTAAAACAGGGTAAATTGTATGTAAAAATGGAATACCCAGCTGAAGGTGTTCAACAGACAACTGAAAATTCAGGATCTCAGCTTGTCAAAGACATTAGGTCTGAAGATACTAATTTGGAAGATAACCTGGTAATTGCATTCAAAATGATCTAATGTGCCCTTCAGCTTGACTAAACGTTGGACAGGTTTATTCTGGTCTAAATACTCTGACCTCAACCCTCCCCCAACCCGCCCCCCACCCTTCTTTTTTTTTTTAGAGCACTTACTTTAGAAAATGCAATTGTAAATTCCCCTTCTGCCGCTTTGAGATGTAACTCTTCTCCCAACCTCTTGCCAGTTTTACAACTGAGAAATGGCTTTTTCAATGATTTGGGAGCCATCCCTTTGACATGTAACCATCCAGAAAGACAGAGACATTATCTCTCAATCTCTGTGGGAAAGTAGGAGCCTAACTTTAATAAATACCAATTAGCAAACAATAATGGCCTAATCCCATTGACCATTCTCCCTCTTCACATCTTCCAGCACTTTTCCACTAGCTCATCCCAGAGCTTAAAACTCTCCTGCCTTTTGTTTTAGTGGATTTGAGTTCAATCTCTCTCTCCTATTATAATAGTCTTAAATAAAGCCTGTTTAACTTGTCTAGTGCAGTTTTTCTTTGACATAATCATTGGAGCCATAAAAGTATTGGAAATATTCAAGAAAGACAGTGAGAAAGAAAAAAAAGGCCAGTTAAGTATCTTGAAGAAACTCAGCATTTTAATTACAGGACTAGAAAAGGAAATGAAAATGTAGAAAGAAAACCCAATATGTGTAACATAGAATTCAAAAGCCAAGAGAATTTCAGGAAGGGAGATGTCAACAGCATCAGTTCTGCATATGGGAAAACAATTATTAAAAAACTGTGAGAAAAAGTAATTGGGTAAAATGAGTAGGAGATAAGGACTGATATTTATTCTAACATCTTTATTAAGTGTGTACCATGTGTTAGGCAATTTCAAAGCTTAGGTCTTAGAGATAAGACAAACTAGGTCCCAGCTCTCATACAACTTAAAATTGAGTTGGAAGAGAAAAAATAATAAGTACCAGAAATGTTAGATACTATTCAGGAATTTGAAGAGAATGTGTGAATATAAAGTGACTCGTGGATATTTTGGATTGGATTGGAGGGGAGGTGGGGACAAGGAAGGCCTGAGGGAGGGATAACTTGGCTGTAATCTGACTGACCAGAAGGAACCAGGAACAAAAAGCAGGTAAGTTACAGCAAAGTTCCTATTGCAAGAAAAAGCTGGTAAAGTTCAAAGATGCCAAGCCTGGCAATAGCACAGTGAGCAAGGCTGAGAATTATATGAGATGAGGTTGGCAGAGTCCATAATATTGTAGGCCAGTGTAAGATGTTTGGAATTTATTTTCAGTGTGATATGAAGCCACTGGAGGGATTTAAACACAAGAATGGCACCAAGTTTGTGTTTTAAAAGGATAACTGACAGTTTTATGGAGAATGCATTTTAGAGATGTATGATGGGAAACAGAGCTATTGCCACCCTCCAGATTAGAGACTGACTACAGTGTCTTTGACTAAGGTTCACTAAGAAAGCAGTTTCATTGAAAAAGAGGGGCTGGGTGTGAAATTTGCATGGGTGCAGGGACAGCTGACATCTTTTTTGTTTATGTGCTTCAAATGTGAGATATGGATGCTTGAAATGAGGAGCATATTACTTTTCTACATGTAAAACAATATTGAGATTTTCAGAAGAGAAGAATGAATATAAAAAAGTAAGTTCATTGCAGAAGGAGTTTACATTTTGAAAGAAGAGCAAGAATAACAAAAGCAGTTCTGTGAAGATGGTGCTTGGAATGTAAACTTTTCATAGTTTATAAATAAGCATCTCTTTCCATTCTTTCCTTTCTCTTTTAGAAGAGAAGAGTGTACATGGTGGTTAAGAAAATAGCAAAGCCCAGCAAATTTGAGTCACTAGAGCTTCGGTCATTCTTTTGGGATTTGTAGATCAATGTCAATGTATATTTCTTGTGTTAGGTGCCACTGGGCTCTCTCTGGGTTTCAGAGGAACTGAGCAGAAAAGTCGGGATGTAAGACCAAAGCAAAAACAAAGCAAAACAAAACTAATAATAAAAACACATTTTTTTTCCTAGGAATTTTCCTTCTGAAGAGGGCCAGGTTATGAAAATAGGCCTAGGAACAGTGTACACTGGGCAGGAGACTAGTGAAGCTCTGAAAAGATTCAGAATATAAAATTCCTGCCGAAGAGTAATTTAGCGCACGTGACCAAGCACTTCACTAATGTGACCTTCCAGCTCCTCAGCTGTCTTATATAAGATCATGAATACAACAATCAGAGGGGAACCCTTGTTTCATAATCTATTGGTAATGACTTTCAAGAGGAGAAGAAACTTTTGCAGCTGCAAGAGCAGCTACAGCCCACAGGATGGAAATTTTTTTTTCCTTGACAACCCAAAAAGACAAAGAAAGTTGAGCTTTGATGACATGTATTTTTCCTAGAGGATGTTCTCTCAAGTAGAAATTAATCTCTTAAGTCTCTTCGTTCCCCCCTAATGGATTCTTTCTAGGAGCTAGACAAAGAGGTGAAATATTTTGGTGGCATTATGTGAGCATATTGTAATTCATTTTAGAAAATGTGTCATAATAAAGATTCTTTATTAGATATACCATTTGTTTCAAGAACATTGAGATCTGCCAGATTTCCAGAGATAGAAATTATTATCATGTTACTGACAAGAAATGAAGAGATCTTTATAGTAGCTGGAAAGTTGGCCCAGAATATCACCAATATCTCTTGTGGTTCTAAGATTATATAAAGTCCACGGCTCCTATTGGAAGCAAGGGATTGAACCTGTCATCTTGACTCCTGAGCTAAATCCACAAAGTCTGACCTTTTGGAAAACAGTTTGTGTGCATTGGGGGCGAGGGGGAGTGGAAGATGTTTTCAAATACTCCAAGCACAGTCTGCTACTTGTTTTTTAAAGCTCCCAGGACTTCTAGATGTTATTTTTTCCCATAATAAGCATATGAAAGGTGAATTTTTATGGCTTGGGGATTGGTATGAGTTTCATTCATGGTCTGCTTTGCTGTACTACTTTTAAGAGCTGAAAGTGTATATGTCATCTCTAATTGGAACTCCCAGGCAGAAATGATGCCATCGGGGAGCTTAAAATATGTAGCCATATGAATCACCCTGCAGACCAACCATATTGCTATAAAGCAAATAATTTACATTTAAATAACTTATCTGCATTCACCTAATTTAAAAGTAATCTTTATTCTTTCTCAACTAATCCCCAAACTTATGGACTAGTTTGATCATATTTGTGCAATAAAATTGAAATTTTCAGATATAGTAGGTAATCAATTTTAGTCACCTCATCTGCGTTTCCAATCTCATTACAGATTGCAATTTTCAGTGCAGATTACATGATGACCCATCAGTGGCTTTGTTGTTTCTGAATTACCGATTCCTTGCCTACTGCCAGATAAGAACAAAGCCTATGCATCAGCCTGACAGCTTGCAAACAGAAAATGGGCTTGTAGGATTGGATTTAAATCCCAGGTGTAGGGGATAATTACCACATCACTCATGCAGTAACTGAAAAATGGTATTTCAACAAGAAAAATTACATTCCTTTTATAGTGCCAACAGAAATCATTATTTGAGGCTTCACACTGATTCACTGTATCATTACATGTGCACTGTACTCATTAACTGTAATGTTTGTTGCAACATAAAAAAGTTATTGTTTTAGGTACTTTGGTGGAGAAGGTAGCTTAAATTTAAGGTTTATAGAACCTTGATGGTGTAGAGGTCGTTTGGACTCTAATATATACTGTGCAAGAGAAATGACAACCCAGACATAGAGCTTTCAACCGGCTCCTATTACAGGAGGCGTGGATGGATAGTACAAAGAAAATGGAGTATAAATCTTTTGTTTCAAAAACCCCAGCCATTTAACCCTACAGTCTGTCCAGACAAAGAGGACAAATAATGATTCAAATCTCGACAGAGCGGTGCTGAATAGTGCATATTTTACCATTAGCTTTGAAATCATTGAAGCTCAACATATACCTTCTAAAGAACAGAAGGACAGAGACCATATTCACTTGAGAAATCATTAAAGAAAACAGTGGCAAACACACTGGAAGTGCACTCCTCACTGCTGGCATTCGGTCCATACCCACAAAGCTGCGGTTGTTTCCCAATGATTGTGCAAGCAGCACAATGATGAAAGCGAGATTCGGCAGAGTCGTTCGTGTGTAGGTGCAGAAGGCTATGTGTCAACTGCTGAGAGCAACAACTTAGGCTGCATTCATCAGAGCCCTAGTTATGTTTATGGCCAACTGGCTTTCTTATTATGATGATCAGAATAGTGTAAAAAATATGACTTCAAATTTGCTGTATTCTTGCACGAATACCACAAGGAGCCATTGACTATTTGATAGACATAGGTAAGTAAGTAGGTAGGAAGGTAGGTAGGTTGGATGGATGGATAGACAGACAGATAGAATTTTATGTATCAGCTCATAGCGTCTTTGCCTGGAATTCCTAAATTAACATTTTTAGCCTATCCTCCCATGTGCAGGGAGATACTTTTGTGAAGAGGCTTAAAATGCAATTGTGAAGTGCTGAAATATGTCTTTCTAATCTTCTACTCCTCTCACCTCTGTAGTCTTTTGTCTTGACAATATCTTCAGGGTGGCTGAGGCCTTGACAAATACTGAAGCAGGCCTGAGTGTGTGGAAGATGTGCAAGGTTTTCAAATTCTCTTTAAGCTTAGGAAAGTACTTGAGGCAACAGACTTATTTTTCTAAGAGCTGGTTCCTATTCCTTTATATCCTAAGGAAAAATTCATTAGGTGAGGGGTGGTTTACGCAGATCTGCTGCCTCTTCTCAAAGAGGCTTCACTCTAGGTAAGGAAACGAAGGACATTAATGTAAAACAAATAAAAAAATAAATAGTAACGCAATTATGAGTGTTAGGGGCTAAATGAGTAACAAGGTCATAGATCCTACAGAGGAGGCAGTAACCTCTGGTTAAAGGGAGATGAGCACAGAAAGGGAGACAATAAAGGAAGATAAGTCCTTAAATAAACTAAAAAGAGGGCTGAAGACCTCCAACGTAAAATCTTCTTTAGTGATAAGATGAAAAGATAATGTGCTACTTTCCTAGAGGTAAGGTTTTCAAAAACAGGAGCTGGCATGTTGCTGGTAGTTCTCAGGCATTCAGTCATGTTAATCTGAACCTTAATCATAATAAAAATGGACATTTATGTGCACTTTTTCTCTAAAGCACAGTGCTAAGCACTTAAGATGACTTATTTAATTCTCACGCTCATCCTATGAGGTTGTTGTCACACCATTTCAAGCACGTGAAAATTGAGACATGGAGGGATGAAGTAGTCTGCCTGAGAGACGGAGCCTGGATTTGAACCAAGTCTTTCTACAGAGCCTGTACTCTTAATCCTTAGACTACATAGTTATTATGCTGTCACAGTAGATTAGAAACTGAAAAATTTTTTAAAGTCCTTTTTGTTCTCACGTACAAAGCCAACACCACCTAGCCCCAGTCATTTAGCAACTAAAACACAACAAAGCTACTAAGTAAATATGCACTGTGTTGATGGCCATTTTAAAATAATGACTCAAACATCCAACTAACAGTCATAAAGACTCATATCTCAGGTGTGGGTTAAATCTTACATTTTCTTTAAAGAGCACGCTCTGAGCTCCGGCAATGCCAGTATTGAAATTCTGTGTTGTTGGTGGCATTTCATTCTGTTTCTTGAAATGCAAAGCATAACCTATTCCACCCACTCAGAAACTCAGCAAACTTAAAGAGATAAGTCCCTTTGCAAAGATGCCTTGGAGGAATTTATTCCCCAGTCTTATCAGAGAGAACAATGTGGGTTTGGTTCTGGATCAGGTGGTCATATTAGAAAATACATTAAAATGCAGGCTGACAAACAAAACCAAATGCAAAATTACCATTCTGTTCTGCTCCTGACAGCAGTGTGGAAAATGTGATTTCTCTGTATTCGTCCCATCAGGGCCTTACATGGTATGGTTTAATTGGAGGACAACATGTGGTTGAACTGGAGATTGTAAGCCATGTTCAGAAATTAAAACTGACCAGACATGAACGTTGTTTCTCAACTGCATAGTCCTTATGGTACGCACGCCAAATTTTCCACATAATACCTGTGCCTTCTCAGCACCCCATCTCTGGTCACACTTGCTCTGCAGCTCCTAATTTAGTAAGAAACCGAACAGCCACATTCATCTAAGAATCTCTGTGCAGGGAGGCTGATCAATTGCTTCCCCTATGTGAATAAATCTGCTGTGTATTCTTAAAAGGAATGCGATCAGAGCATGTGTGATTTACAAACTATCCAGTATTTTCATTGAGACATAAAAATAAATGGATTTGGTCCTCATTGCAGCTCAGCTCTTTCTCCTGGGGCTGGAGGGATTGCTCGTTTGGCCCCATGGCATGCCCTTGTGAGAGCGGTGAGAAAGCAGCCGCTTACATTACCTGAGAGAACTCTCTTTAAAAGCCTCTGTTGCTCTAAAGAGCTTCGCTGCTTAATTTTGTTTTTCCTGAACGTGTTAGATGTCGCCCGTTGGTGCTGCCTCCTGCTGCCTCATTGTTCACTGCTGGGTCGTGCAATGTCTCCATGCTTGAGAAAGGTGCTGTACAAATTGCACAGAGGACATCTCATCGTGTGGGAGTCTGGGCCAGGCTGGGGAGATCTCGGAGCATTAGCAACTGGCATGCCTGTAGCCTGGGAGGTAGGAGTAGGAGGTTGGGAGGTGGTACTCTCTGCAAGCCATGTATGAATAAGTGAAATGACTAGCCTGAAGTCATATAAGAAAGGAAAGACATGCACAGAGCTAAGGGAAAAGCTTGCACAGAGTTAAGCAGAAAAGAAATCATACATTTGCCTTCCCCATTGCAACATTGCACCTCTTCGTTCTTTGTTAACTTGGCAAAATGGCTTCATGTTTTTCATGACAGGCAGCAGGTTTTCCTCGCTTTCCTGTTGCTGGTCTTATAACTTTCAAATGCTTCACATTGTTTTTTAACTTGCCCTATGAAACATGATTGTGTGAAGAGGAAGAATAAAATTTGTCCCCTCTGGGCAAGACCAAATGTGGCAATGAAGACTGAGACATTAACTGGCTATCCTAGGTTTGTGGGTGGCAAATGTTGCCATGTGCCATCAAAGATGAGCTTTGAATTGTTCAGTGGTAGAAATGTGAGTAAATTGTTAGACCTTGTAAAATGAGACACAAATTCTTTTGCAGTTTTTAGAATTCTGGGGCAGCCAATAAGGCCATATTGGACATAATTATTGCTTAGCTTCATACATGAAATTTAAATTGTCATAGCATCTTTAAGTAGAATATTTTGTAAGACCTGAAACTAGAGATGAGCTATAACCAGTAGACTATTTCTGAGCTTTCCCTAACTGTTCTTAAACCCAAAGTTTCAGTAGAATTGCTCCAGGGCTGTCTTGTTCACTTAATTAATATTTATTAATCACCTGCCAGCAACAAAACTCTATGTGTTTGGTGAAAAAGGAACAACACCAGAATCTGTTTTCAATCATTTTATAATCTAGTAATGGTTAAAGCCTCTCACGGAGGTTATAATATCAGATAGATGTCTGGATTATAGACCCTAGAAGACAGAGGTCATTTTCAGTGGGTGTAACTAGAGAAAGATTCCTACAGCAGGTGCCTTTGAGTTAGGTCTTAATGAGAGGGTGGAATTTGAAAAGCAGAGATAAGGAAAAAATATATAGGCGGAAGGAAAAGCAAGGCAAAGCTTTGTAGCTAGACTAGAACATAGGCTGTATATTTAGGTGTAGAGGAAGAGGGCTGCCAAATACCAGCTCATATTTCATTTGATAGATGATAGGAATGGAAGACAGTGGATGCTGCAGTTCAAGAGAGCACCATAGGCAAAAATAGATTTTAGGAAAATAGAGCTAGAACTAGAGGCAGGGGACCAGTTAGGAGGCTATTGATGGCCCAGGTGAAAATAACAAGGCCTGAAATGACAGTGGGAACATTGGAAGAGGAAAAGAAGAGACAAAGATGAGAGGCATGGAAGGGTTGCTGGACCCCGCCATAGTGCATGAATAGTGGCAGAACTCTGTGTCGGATGGGATGCCCATATCTAACAGAAAGCAGGAGAAGGATGCACCAAAAGGAAGACATGGAAAAAACAAGAGAGAATTCAAATCAGCATTGAAATATATCAAAGGACCAAAGCAAAGAGAGATTTTTCAAATAGGAGCTCAAGGTCAATAATATCAAACACTGTAAGGTTAATGATAAGAATGATAAATAGCCATTAGAATTCAAAATTGGGAAGTCATTGTTCACTGCCAAGAGAAGAGTTTCCAATTACAAAAATTCAGGGGGAGAACTGGTAGGGAAGTAGACATATAGCTCCTTCAGGAGAGTTTATAGTGTAACTTCGTGAGGATGTGAAGTAAGCAAGCACAAATATGCAGATTACGGTAATGTACACAGGCAGTCTTCCTGGAGAGCATTCTGGTGATGAGAACTTGAAATGGGTACCCCTTTGATCCTGCAAATACTTCTTTAAATTTATTTTAAGGAAATATTGTTGCTCATTAAAAAATGATCTACAAGGATGTTGTAGGTTTTTATATAATACTGAAAATTTTGAAGTAACTTAAATGAATGTTGATACATGTGCCATAGAATGTAGAACCATATAATTCTATGAAAATATATTGTATTAAAAGATTCCTGGCACAGAAAAGAGTTTATAATGTGTCTGTTATTCAGTGAATTAAACAGATTATAAGCCAATAAGGTGGGATTTCATTTTTAAATGTAACTATACATACCACAATTGTATACCTGTACACATATTTGTGTAATACACACATGTGCACATGTATGCACATATATATACACACATATATGCACACAGTTATTATACATATAGCCAGATATTTTTTGTCTGCCCGTTCAGACTACATCTCTCCCTTGCACTCTGCCTCCTATCTTCTAACATAATTGGGCCACTTCCACAGGCTTGCTTATGCAATACTTGGGTTACGGCTGTATGAGACTAAGGCATGAGAGTGGTGGGAGAAAATGAAGTGAGGATCTGTATAGTATTCCCCCAACTGTCCTTCTGTTTATTCTGGTCTCTTTTGCATTTCTCAAAGTACATAGCTCCTCTCCAGGTTAAGTCTTTCCTATGGGTTCATTTCTTTTGGGTTCTAGTTAACTGCTATCTCCCCTCACTCCTTAAGGCCCAGGGCTGGTAACAGGTAGGTAATAGGTATGATGCACTATCCCTGATACCCACTATACTCTGCCCACACTTTATTGAATTCTCCTTGATTTATCCCTACTTGAGTTTGCCTGATGTGGGTGGGATCCAGAATAATATGTGATATCAATCTTTATACAGACTATTTTTTCTACTTGGAAAATTTCACGTTTGCCTGGAAAATTTAAATTTATTTACCCTGATTTATACTGCCTGAAGTTTATATAATTTTGGGAGCCCTCTTTGAGGAAGATGATATATATTTATAAATGTAAATTTAAGTATAAAAAATAACATGTATTTAGAAGTAGAAAATCAATTATATATTTTAAAAGCTAATGAATATTACGTTTTCCAAATCTGAAAAAAAGCATGTTTTTATAAGTTAACCTCTGATACAGTTCTGTATTTTTCCAACATTTCTTGCTCACATATTCTTTTTTATAATTTTGTAATCTTCAGTAGAGAGAATACAAAAAGATGTTGACTTTTCTTTTAGCATGGATGAAAAATTTTTAATTGATATTTTAGAAAATTTTATTTAAGCTTCTCATTTCATTACTGATAAGGTCATGCCAGTTTTCAAGAATGTGATAAGATTTGTGAAAATCTATATTATCATTTGTATTTATAAATTCTAACATCTTAAGAAGTTATTAAGTATATTTCTTGCAAGAGAGAACTTTCATTTTGACTGTTTATCAATGAGATCAAATCTTCTTCCTTTGTTTATAATTTTACATATCAAGTGACTGGAACTCTCCACCTATTAATTTCTGGTTCTGCACATTTTAGATCTTGTTTCTCCCCTACTACCCAACACACCTACCACATTCTGATTGTGTCAGGTCCACATCATAGCTAGATGTGACCTCTAGGCTCATACCTTTGTGTCCCAACCATAGGCGAGTTTACACAATATATGGGAGGAATATTCCTGAAACATATACCTACCGTGGGATGGCTTGCTATAACTTAACTACATATGGCTATGATGGCAAACCACAGAAATATATGCCACTAACCCAAACTGTCTCCCAGTCAACATTCTCCTAATCATATACCACAAAAGCCTGTGGCCTCTCCAAGCCACCTGAGCCAGGCAGAGTATATGGGAGGAGATGTTGGAGTAGAAAGAGAAAGTGATCTTAAATAGCAATGGTTAACATACCCACTTTTGTAAATAGTAGAAAAACATATGACCATAGGAACACATTGGAAGAGACCCATGCAAGTGCAGAGTCCTAAAGTTAAGTTTCACTGGGAAACCCACTTTGGGGTTTATCTCTTAGATGCTGTCTTAAATGTTCCCATTGAGTCTCTTATCCTCCAAATCAAGCTCCTTACATTTCACATTACAGGCAAAATTAATCCCTCTTCTCTGTATTCTCATCATTCATTGAAATTTTTCTTGCTTCACTTTTTTGGAAGTTCTTTATAAGTAGTTTTTGCATTATAATTAATGGTTACAAAATATTTTTTCTATTGTAAGACCTTGATTTTGTCTTAGTCACTGAAATGGTTTGGCTCTGTGTCCCCAGCCAAATCTCATCTTAAATTGTACTCCCATAGTTCCCATGTGTTGTGGGAGGGACCCAGTGGGAGATAATCTGAATCATGGGGGTGGTGTCCCCCATACTGTTCTCGTGGTAGTGAATAAGTCTCATGAGATCTTATGGTTTTATCAGGGGTTTCCGCTTTTGCATCTTTCTCATTTTCTCTTGCTGCCACGATGTGCCTTTCACCTCCCAATATGATTCTGAGTCCTCCCCAGCCATGTGAAAACATAAGTCCAATTAAACTTTTTATACCCAGTCTCAGGTATGTATTTATCAGCAGTGTGAAAACAGACTAATACAGTAAATTGGTACCAGTAGAGTAGGGTGCTGCTGAAAAGAAACCTGAAAATATAGAAGTGACTTTGGAACTGGGTAACAGGCAGAGGTTGGAACCATTTGGAGGACTCAGAAGACAGGAAAACATGGGAAAGTTTGGAACTTCCTAGAGACTTCAGTGGCTTTGATCAAAAGCCTGATAGTTATATAGACTATAAGATCTAGGCTGAAGTAATCTCAGATGAAGATGAGGAACTTGTTGGGAACTGGACCAAAGGTGACTCTTGTTATGTTTTAAAAAAAAGGCTGGTGGGATTTTTCTCCTGCTCTAGAGATTTATGGAACTTTGATCTTGAGAGAGATGATTTAGGGTATCGGGTGGAAGAAATTTCTAAGGAGCAAAGCATTCAAGAGGTGACTTGGGTGCAGTTAAAGGCATTCAGTTTTATAAGAAAAGCAGAGCATAAAAGTTCAGAAAATTTGCAGCCTGACAATGTGACAGAAAAGAAAAACCCATCTTCTAAGTAGATATTCAAGCCAGCTGCAGAAATGTGCATAAGTAACAAGGAGCCAAATGGTAATCCCCAAGACAATGGGGAAAATGTCTCTAGGGCATGTCAGAGGTCTTCACAGCAGCCCCTCCCATCACAGGCCTGTGGGGGCCTAGGAGAAAATGATTTCATGAGCCAGGCCCAGGGTCTCTGTGCTATGCTGTGTGCAGCCTAAGGACTTGATGCCCTGCCCCACAGCTGCTCCAGCTGTGGCTGAAAGGGGCCAACATAGAGCTCAGGCCATGGCTTCAGAGGATGCAAGTGCCAAGCTTTGGCAGCTTCCACATGGTGTTGAGCCTACAAAGGCACAGAAGTCAAGAACTGGGGTCTGGAAACCTCTGCCTAGATTTCAAAAGATGTTTGAAAATGCCTGGATGCCCAGGCAGAAGTTTGCTTCAGGGGCAGGGCCCTGATGGAGAACCTCTGCTAGGGCAGTGCAGAAGGGAAATGTGGAGTCAGAGTCCCCACACAGCATCCCTACTGGGACACCCCCTAGTAGAGCTGTGAGAAGAGAGCTACCATCCTCCAGCACCCAGAAAGGTAGGTCCGCTGGCAGCTTGCATAGTGCACCTGGAAAAGACGCAGACACTCAATGCCAGCCTGTGAAAGCAGCTGGGAGGGAAGCTGTACCCTGCAAAGCCATGGGGGCTTCCCAAGACCATGGGAACCCACCTCTTGCATCAGTATGACCTGGATGTGAGACTTGGAGTTAAAGGAGATCATTTTGGAGCTTTAAAATTTGACTGCTCCACTGGGTTTTAGATTTGCATGTGCCCTGTAACCCCATTGTTTTGGCCAAATTCTCCCATTTGGAAGGGCTATATTTACCAAATACCTGTACCCCCATTGTCTCTAGGAAGTAGCTAGCTTTTGATTTTACAGGCTCATAGGTGGAAGGGACTTGCCTTGTCCCAGATGAGACTTTGAACTGTGGACTTTTGGGTTAATGGTGAAATAAGACTTTGGGGGACTGTTGGGAAAGCATGATTGGTTTCGAAATGTGAGAACATGAGATTTGGAGGTGCCAGGGGAAGAATAATACGGTTTGGCCTGTGTCCCCACCCAAATCTCATCTTGAATTGTACTCCCATAATTCTGTATTGTGGGAGGGACCTGGTGGAAGATCTTTTGAATCATGGGAGCAGTTTTGCCCATATTGTTTTCATGGTAGTGAATAAGTGTCACGAGATCTGATGGTTTTATCAGGGGTTTCTGCTTTTGCATCTTCCCCATTTTCTCTTGCTCCCACCATGTAAGAAGTGCCTTTTGCTTCCCACCATGATTCTGAGGCCTCCCCAGCCATGTGGAACTGTAAGTCCAATTACACTTCTTTTTCTACCCAGTCCAGGTATATCTTTGTCAGCAGCATGAAAATGGACTAATACAGTCACAAACACATAGAACTTAGCAATTGATGAAACTTACACATACAGGTAGGTGTCCATTTTTCTTTTAAATTAATTAAGATGTAAAACTTAAAAAGAAAACCAAGCCGATAGAAAAATTATAAGTCTCAATGTTGAAGGAAAGAAGTCAGATAAAAGAGGGTAAAACAAATCTTAAAGAAACAGGGAAATGATGCAGTGGAGGAGAGGAAAGTTGAGTAAACTCACCAAAAATACCATCATTCTTCTTAGCAAAGGAAGGAGAGTAGCTGGCATGACACAGAATAACTGAGATTTAAAGAGCAAGAGACTAACCAGTTAGAACAGTGATAAAAGCATATTATGAAGTAAAAAAGGGAGAAACAATAGATGGTGGTAGAGGACTTAGGGTTATGTCATAACTAGCTCAAAATATGAATATTATTTTATAATTCTGCCTTTTGTAATAATCCATTTTGACAGTCCAGCCACTATTGTTAGAGAAAGATTATCAGAATATTGCAATGAAGAATTCAATGTCTTAAACTACTACCAATAGAACCAAAGCTCTCCATCGAATTTCTTGACAGAGTTATGAGAACCAAGTAAAATATATCTGCAGACTTAATCCCGCTCACAGGCAACTGGTGTGTCACCTTTACTTTGGAGCCATTCAATATATATAAAAATTATAAAGAAGGACTTTGTTCCCTCCCCATCATCTCCTCCAATGAACATCATTGCAAATCCAGAAATGGAGCCAGTGAAGGCTGGGAAATCTCACTATTCTTCGAAGTTTATTAAGCATATTCATTTGTTTATGTCATAGTGATATACTCATTATTCTAAAACTAATGTGATTAGCCCTCAACAATTATGTGTCAATAGAAGTGATACCAAAATTAAAAATTGATGAGTTAAAAAAAAAACAAGAATGCAGTTGATTTGTCTGATTTTCATAGGACCTCTGACCAATGAAGGTTGAAAACAATGGGTATGCATGATAAAGTAAGTTCTGTTTCCCACTTCTTAGACTACCACAAATAAAGAGCTCTACCTTGTTGCATGCAGAGTTCTGTTTCTGATTATATACGCCTTGACTGATAGAAACTAGGATTCTGCTGGAGGAGTGCCTGTGGGGAAAAGAGATTTGATTTCATTGTTACACTTATTAGAAAACTAACTCAATTTAACAGCATTATCAACAGAAACTAAATGCTAAGTGTGTACAGATGACTCCACTAGGGTTTTTTTTTTAAACAGTCATAGACTAATAGCTTCAAACTAATTCCTTCAAAACAAATGTTTAATTCAGAATTCAAAAGAGATATGAGTTTCATCACTAGTGATAACTCTGGTACTTAAGCCTTATTCTCCAGAGTCACAAGTTAATGCTTAAGGAGAATAGAAGGGGGGATTTTATAGGAAGGGCCATGAAATGCTTCCTTTCTATACGGTGTTAAATATCAGGCCCAGGTAGTATGGATTCCCTCTCTCTACTGTTTCTTAATGTAGGGGGGAAAAAACTGGATTGCCTACTGTGAAATATGAGATAGTGACTCTTGTTGAACTTTAGTCTAACTACACTAGAAAAAAAAAGAAAACTTACAATGAAGATATTTCTACATTCTCAAGGGAAATTGTTCCTATGTCTAAGTGACCTTTTCTCGACGCATTTCTTTTAGTGTTTAACCTGAACCTCCTATTGTTTCAGTTTAATCCCATTTATCCTGGTTCACTCCCCAGTGGCCACACTGACTAAAAAGTAATGCTACCTCTGGGAATGAAGTTACAGTCTTGGATAGTTAGGTTTATCAAGTCTACCAGTGCAGGACAGGAGATAAGAGGAAATGTCTCACAAAGTCACACATGGTTCAAAATCCAATATAGGTGGCATTACACATTCAGTATTTATGAAAAATTATCTAAGCTAAAAACTAAATGTTTCAGTGGAAGTAAATAGAAAAACAAGAGAATGAGAGACTATTTAATATATCTGTATATTTTACAATGGTTCCCTAAAAATTTTCTAGAAGATTCTTACATCAGTACTTTTTAATTTCAGGAAAAGAAGCTTTAATAACCAGAATAGATTCACTGAGAATAATTCAAGTTAAGTAAACTTATTTTCTTATTTTATAGGTTTCTAGACTGATAAACTAGAGAAATGAACTATTTTTCCCAGGTCTCTGGTTCATTCCTACTTGTTTGGTATGGGATAATAGTGAAATGGTGAAGACTAAAGGAAAACAAGTTTAGGAGAAAGAATACATTAAATTCATGGTATCTTGAGATATACCTGTAGTGATGTGAGGTAGAGAGTTGAATACAAAAATGTGAAGATTAAAAGTATTGGTTGGAGAAATATATTTTGAAAAGGATGGAGAGGCAGGAGAAACAAAGTAAATGGAGAGGTAGAAAACAATTGGATCACGAGGTCTCTTAGAATTTGGAAAAGAAATGTTTCAAGATCATGGTAGTAAACTGCATTGTTGAGTTCTGCTAGGGAATTTAGTAAGGTCAGGAAAGAAACGTTTCCATTAAGTTTGGAAACACGGTATTTCTCTAATGACTTATTATTATGTCTTCAATGTAATTTTTCTCTTATTTGTAACTTCAGTTTCTCAGTTGTTACCTGAAATAAGTACAGATGAAGTTTGTCAAAAGTAATGTACATCTCTTTTTCTTATAGAATATCACTCGTTTGCCTGAGGAAAATTCACATCTTAATTACTTTGAGGAAATCTCCAAGTGCACTGACATTATCAATAGGTCAGTACAGGTCATTCCTTGCTACCTGTAGAAATGGACGCCCACCGTACCTGATGCCAATGAAACACAACTGTGGCACTCAATGCTGGAGACCTGTGATGCTTTTGTGAATAGAGAGGCAGATGGATCCCTCTGCTTATGCTACAATAAATCTGCTCGTATACAAAAGTATACAGAGGGTAGTGAGGCACCTCTATCATTTCACATACATTCAGTCCCATCCTCAGAAAGCACAACTATCTTCAGTATAGCTAGGCTAGCTTGACCTGTGGCTTGTCCTCCATTTCCATAGTTGGCAAATGTTAGACCTGTGTATACCACCAGCAAGTCTCCTTCTTCCCTATTGGGAAGTTCCACCTCTAGGGAGATTCTCATTATCCTTCCAGCAATCTGGTTTCCTTTATTGCCCTGCCAGTCCATCAGACGTATGTGAATATGGCAGAAGATGAATGGAGAACAGGGACTATGTGTCCCCTGCAGCAAACTTCTCAGCCCCTTTGCAAATTAGTGGTTACAAATGGGGAGGATGGAGTTTGTACAACTTCATCAGCATTGGAGCTCTCTCTTTCACCCATCTAAGACAAGTTGTTACTTACATTCACATCACTTCTGTGAAGTTTGAAGGGATTCTAAAAGAATCAATTTAAAATAAAAATGAACAGTTAAATAACTTGTCCAAAAGCACATAGCACATGAGTGAACGTGATGAGCTTTAAATCTAGATATAACTGACTTCAGACGTATATTCTTTATATAACAACTTTATTGAGGTGTACTTGTGCAATACACTGCACATACTTAGTGTGTACATTTTTGTAAGTTTTGGTATGCTATACACCCATGAAATTATCACCACAGGAAAATAAGCATATATATATATATATATAAAACAAAAGTTCCCTCATGTCTTTCTTTCTGCCCCTCCCTGACCACCACCCTCTGCATCTCAGGCAACTATTCATCTATTTTCTGTCTATTGATTAGTTTGCATTTCCTAGAATTTTATAACAATGAACATTCATAGCACACACTTTTTCCCTCAATTTCTCTCATTTAGCATGATTGAGATTATGTTGTTTGTATACAAACAGTTCATTCCATTTATTGCATAACAGGGTTCCATTATACTGATATGACTATTTATTCATTCACCAATTAATGAATATTTGGGTTGTTTCCAGTTTGGAACCATTGCAAATAAAGCTCCTATAATCATTAAAGTGCAAAATGCAATCTTCATTTGAAGATAATATGCTTTTATTTCTCTTGGATAACACAGTGGGTGTATGTTTAATTTCTTAAGAAACTGCAACACTGTTTTTCAATGTGGTTCTACCATTCTACATTCACACCAGCAGTGTTGAGAATTCTAATTCCTCTACATCTCAACCAATACTTGCTGTGATCAGTCTTTTCCATTTTAGCTATTTGAATAGGTGTGTTGGGGTATCTCATTATGATTTTTGTGTTTCCCTAATGACTAATGACAGCATCTTTTTTTGTGCACTCACTTGCTATTAGTGTATCTTCTTTGGTAAAGTGTCAATTCAACTCTTTTGTCCATATTTTATTGGATTGTTTTCTTATCGTTGATTTTTTGAAGCTTTGTGTGTTAATACAATCCTTTTATCAGATGTTTGATTTTCAACTACTTTCTACCAATCTGTGTCTCACCTTTTCATTCTCTAAACAGTGTCGAAGAGTAGAAATTATTAATGAAGTCTAATTAATATTGCTTCATGTATTATGCTTTTAGTGTCTAATCAATGAAGTCAGCCTAACTTGAGGTAACAAAGATTTTTCTCACGTGATTGTCTAGTTTTTAGTTTTCATTTTTACATTTACGTTTTTACATTGCATACATTTCATTTTTACATTAGGTAATATAATATATACCTAATATATAATTCACTTGGAATAATTATTGGTTTTGGCTCAAGTAAGAATTACGCAATTTGATAGGAAGACTATCGCTACTCCATTGAATTTGCCTTTGTTGTTGTCTATATAGGTATGAGTCTATACTAAACTTTCTATTCTGTTCCTTTCTACTTGTCTATATTTAAGCCAATTCCATACTTTCCTGATGACTAGCTTTATACTAGTCTTTTTATATGTTATGAAAATAACTATTTTTAGCTTCCCAGCATTTTTATTATTCAAAGTTGTTTGTGCTATTCTAGCTCTTTCATATTTTCATGTCTTTTGGAATCCATCAGTTTCTTCAGAAAAGCTTCCTAGGATTTTGATTGTGATACGATTGAATCTACATATCAAGTTAAGGAAAATTGATGTCTTAGTAATATTGACCCTTCTAACCCATAAACATGGTTATTTTTTCACTTAGTTTTTTTCTAGACAATGTTGTATAATGATTATCTCTAAGTAACGTTCTATATTTTTCAGGTTACAGATTTTTACATATTTTTGTCAAATTTATCTTACGTTTCTCATATTTTGGATGTTATTAGAATTGTTTTTGTTTTCTGTTATTCACTGCTAGAATACAGAAATGCAGTTGGGTTTTTGTATAGCTGATATTGGATCCTACAACCTTGCTAAGCTGACTTATTTGTTCTAGTACCGTTTTAGATATGTCATACATTTTCTACACAAATGGTAATGTCTGTGAATAGAAAGAGTTTTACTTCTTCCTTTGTAACTAGATCCCTGCTACATCTTTTTCTTGCTTTATTGCACTGGCAAAAATCCTTCACTTAGTCATTTAAAAAATAATTTTGATTGCCTATTATTTGTCAGACATCATTATATGTGAGATGAAAACAGTGTAAATGAAACAAGCAGGGTTCTTGCTGTCATGGAGCTTAAATAACTATTCAGTTGTCTGGGAAAATAGATGTATTTAAACATGAGTTTTAATATGTGTAAGGAATAGCTAGTGAAAATAGGGTTATTTAGCCTAAAAAACACACACAAAAAATAATTCTGCCTTCAAATATGCAAGAGATTATTTTGCAAAAAAAGGATTAATTTTTGTTTTGTGTAATTTTGGAGGACTTAACTATGATTAGTGGTGAAAAGTTGAGAAGGAAAGAAATTTAAGAATTTGCTGCCTGCCATAGGCTGGGCGCGGTGGCTCATGCCTGTAATCCCAGCACTTTGGGAGGCCGAGGCAGGTGGATCACGAGGTCAGGAGATCGAGACCATCCTGGCTAACATGTTGAGACCTTGTCGCTACTAAAAATACAAAAATTAGCTGGGAGTGGTGGCAGGCACCTGTAGTCCCAGCTACTCAGGAGGCTGAGGCAGAAGAATGGCATGAACCCGGAAGGCGGAGCTTGCAGTGAGCCGAGATCATGCCACTGCACTCCAGCCTGGGTGACAGAGCAAGACTCCGTCTCAAAAAAATAAAATAAAAAATAAAAAATAAAATTGCTGCCTTAAAAAAATTATTTGAAATTGAAACAAGCTGCCTCATGAGAATCCTGTGAAAAGTTTATTGAGAGGCTGGATGATCCTTTATTAGTATTCCATAGAGAGGCATCATTTTCAGGTAGAAGACAGAGTGGTTTCGGATTTGGACAATCAAATTTTATGAAAGCAAAGATGAATGGAACAAAAACCCTGCTTATGTTTATAATCTCATTGGAAAGAAAAATAGATTTATGATACTGATAAATAAGTCAAATTATGGTTTGATATCAAATGAAGACATTTACAAAGTAGGGAGTAATTAATGGATATATAATTGTACAAATTATATATTCAACAAGAAGTGTCTTGGCCGGGCACGGTGGCTCACGCCCATAATCCCAGCACTTTGGGAGGCTGAGGCAGGAGGATCACCTGAGGTCAGGAGTTCGAGACCAGCCTGATAAACATGGAGAAACCCTGTCTGTACTAAAAATACAAAATTAACTGGGCGTGGTGGCACACGCCTGTAATCCCAGCTACTCGGGAGGCTGAGGCAGGAGAATCCCTTGAACCCAGGAGGGGGAAGTTGCAGTGAGCCGAGATTGCGCCACTGCACTCCAGCCTGGGCAGCAAAAGCGAAACTTCGTCTCAAAAAAAAAAAAAAAAAAAAAAAAAAGAATTGTCCAAACATTTGCTGTCAAATCAAATATATATATAAATATAATCTTATTTCATACACTCTGGTTACTCTCCACTTTTCCCATTTTCTTTGTCTTGAGTGCCCTTTCTTTTCCTTTACATGGTTTCCAACTAACTCGTAACTCCCACTTCAGTGTTGATCTTGAATCCCAAGGGCTTCTTTTATGAAAATCTCAAAGCTCTAGTCCTCTGTGGTCATTCTTTTTCCCCACTGATTATTTACACTTCAGTTAGGTCATCTGGAGAGAAACTATGTCTCACATCTCTAAGTATGCCTGATCCCTGCAATAACATTGACAGCATAAACTCCATAAACAGGAGCTAATATTAACAATGACAATAATGCAAAAAAGAGAAGAGGGAGAAAAGACTACCATAGCTTCAGGCAACACAGTCAGAAGATGTTTTTTTGAAAAGAGGTGACATGTTTTATCTCCTACTTTTCTCCTGATTCATTGATACATTTATTCATTAAATATTTTTTGATGACTCATAAGTCTCATCTTGCCAGAGACTGGGGACACACACACATACAAAAACGAGGCAGACATGGCCGCTCCACTCAGGAACTTGCATTTTTGTTGTAGAAATAAGAAAACAGGCAAATACAGCGACAAATAAACAAATTAAAAATTGTGCAAGAAATAAACCAGAGACTAGCTTTCTGTAGAATGGTCAGGGACAGCCTTTCTGAAGAACTGACAGGCTGAAATCTACAAAACAAACATGCAAAGACTGATGGGAAAAGGGAAGCAGGGGATATATTTTAGGCAGAGAAAAAGTTTCTACAAAACGTCCTGTGAAAATGACCTTAGTTTTCGGGCATGAGTGTACAATGATTACGTGACTGGCGCATATGGGGCAAGGGGAAGTTCTAGATGAGATGAGCTTCAAGAGGTAGACAGCCCAGCTTGTGCAAGGCTTTAAGAGCTATGGGGAAGAGTTCACATTTCATTTTAAGAATAAGTCAAGATGTTAAAGGAATTTAAGCAATAGTGTGATAGGACATGATCTTGTTTATACTTTGAGAACATTTATTGCTCTATGAAAAATGGATTGACAAGAGTAGAGTTGGAAGGCAGTTGGCAGTAACCCAGGGATGAAATGACACTTAACTGAGGAAGGATTAAGTAGCAGATTTGGAGAGAAGTTGACAACTTTCTACTTTGTGACCTGATGTAGACCCTTTAAGGAGCCCTTTGAACTTTAGGAATAACTGAATTATGCAATTCTATCCTGAAGTCCAAGCATAAAGAAGTGCTTTGTTTGCCTAGGAAGCACATTGTTCTTTACGTGGATGCTATCATCTTATGTATAATTTTTTGGAAGAAGGCTGCTTTTGAACCAAGTTTATGGATGTCCCAGGTCTCTACCAGCCATGCTTTTGTGACACTTCAAATGACCCTTCCAACACAGCTATCTGCCACTCTGTCAGCAATAGGGCCTGCTTCTCTGCAATGCCAAGAAGTGGTATCTGCTGTGGAATATAGTTTGCCATAATACTTGCTTCATTAAGAAGAACCAGCCAGGTCCCTTTGTTATCAAAGGCATATAATCTAGCTAAGATGGAAACCTCATCATGAATAGCTGGAGGGCAGACTGGATACGTAGGCATACTCTCATGGATTAAACGATGAGTTTCATAGCCTGGGAAACATTGTCCCCTTTCCAACACAATGCAGGCATTGAACAGAAGCCATTTTAGAAGGGCAAGAAAGCCACATACTTTTGAGATTCGGCTACTCCTACAACCAGGAAATACCCTGGCTCACTGGTAAAGGGAGTTTATTCTAGTCTAGCCATTTTTCCATTTTTTCAAGCCCAACCTTAGGTCCAAGTATTCTCTGGCTACCTTGGAACAATATATGTCAGGGCTGGGCCCACTTTTCACCTTATCTACTGCCACATACACTGCTTGCAAAGTAAGTAAGTGGCACACGGTCTATGCCACTTATGCTTGGATTTTAGCTTACCAAAGTCTTCTGATGCTAGGAGGCAGAAAAATTGCCCCATAACTCCCAGGACGAATGCTGCTAGCCCAGATAATTTGTGTTAAACCACCCTCTCCAAAACGTGTGCAGATCTGCGTAGAGTAAGAAATCTATTCCCCCTATAAAATACTGTAGCAGTGGTTTATTTGCCGTGTCCTTATTACCTCCTGGTGCCCCATATAGTACACAGAAACTGCCTACTAAGCCTATCATCATAATTATCACTACAATGGGTTTGTTTATCTCTAACGTGCTAGGCAAATTTCTCTTTATTTGGGTGCTTCAAAATTGGACCTCCAGGAGGTATATAACATGGCTCACATCCAAAAAGAAGGTAGTCGAGGCCGGGCGCCGTGGCTCACGCCTGTAATCCCAGCACTTTGGAAGGCCGAGGTGGGCGGATCACGAGGTCAGGAGATGGAGACCGTCCTGGCTAACACGGTGAAACTCCATCTCTACTAAAAATACAAAAAATTAGCCCGGCGCGGTTGCAGGCGCCTGTAGTCCCAGCTACTCAGGAGGCTGAGGTGGTAGAATGGCCTGAACCCAGCAGGCGGAGCTTGCAGTGAGCCGAGATTGTGCCACTGCACTCCAGCCTGGGCGACAGAGCGAGACTCCGTCTCAAAAAAAAAAAAAAAAAAAAAAGAAGGTAGTGGAAAGATGACTTCCAAAAAATCCAATTCAGGCAATTCAAAAACTAGCCCTTAGTGGACACAATGAGTTATAAGGAGGAGGCTGCTAGGATGTTCCAGGAAAGCTTTTCTCATTCTTCAAGTCACAGGAAAGGAGTGGGCCCACTTCTGCCTCTGGAGATCCTGCCTGAACACGATGCTTAGAATGGCTACAGCAGCGTCAGCACAGAGAAGGAAGTGAGCTGGGGCTGAGAAAAAAGGGGACGCCTAGGTCCTAGGCATCTTTGAGCCTCTCCAGTGGCTGCTCCGCTTGTGGACTCATTTTACATGAGATAATCCCCTTATTATTGAAGCCAGTTTAATTTGTTTTCTGCTTTAAGATCCGATTTAAGTTTTCTGCCTGGTGGGGTGTGTTGAGAGAGGATTCCCAGGGTGTTCTGGAAGGGCTTTGGGTCTCTGAGGACTATCAGGGTAGCCTCAGAGCGTTATACACTGGAGGGACCAAACCAACTTAGGGATGCTCCCAGTGAAATCAGTGCCTCTTGGTGGCAGGCGGTTCCTCATCTTTCGGCTGATTTTCAAAAGATCTTGAATCTTCTCAGGTGAATCCAAGACCTGCTGCCCCTGATAGTTCTCTAAGTGCCTTCAGACCTTGGCATGCATTCTCTTACAGGCATCCTCCATTTATTGATGTTTTGTGTTTTCTGATTGCACAAGCTCTTTTAACAGGAGAAAAATATAAAATTTTTGAAAAAAACACTTGTAATCCTCATATTCAGACAATGTTTAACATTATCTTGATATATATACTGTGTATGTGTTTGATTCATATTTACCCTTTCAAAATGTGATCGTCCTACTATACATATTTTGTATCCCATTATTTGAATTCATAACTATATCATGAGCATCTCTACATAATATTAAACATACACCCAAAGCTTTAAAAAAGCCCTTCAGTCTGAGAACTGCCTCCAGGGGATTCTAGTGCCTGATGAGGGCACTAAGGGATGGGGCAGGTAATTTTCTATCTTAAATATTTTCTTTAAATCTATTTCTTAGTACCATTTCTAGATTTTATCTAGAAAAGTGGATTGATGATTCTGAAGGCTCCTGTTCTAGGCCATATAATCTCTACTGAGGAAGCTGGAACTTTTCCAGCCACTGAAATGACAGTCCATGTATTGCCCACACAACTCTGTGGAAGAAAAACATAATGTGGTGCTGGAGAGCACGTCTGCAGGCTTTCTGGGTTCCCCAGCTTTGCTGGTTGCCTGTTGGGGGAACCTGGGCCTGCTATTTGCCATCCCTAAGTCTCCTTTTCCTCATTGGTGAAGTGAAAATAACGATAGCATCTATTTCATCAGGTTGCGGTAAGAATTAGATGTGATAACTCTGCATTCAGTAAGCTGTCAAATGCTAGCTTTTTCTATTATTAAAGCTTTAGGGGTATTAACATGAATTTATACTCACCATACTAGTCTAACTATTCTTCATAAAAGGAGGGATTAGGGATTCAGTAGGTATTTTCTTCATCTTTGCCCCAACACCAGCTGCCCTCATCTAGCCCATCTGCATTGCCTCTGACTCTCACCATATGTAAATTCACATCATTCCTAGAGTACAACAGACCTTTTCATAAGTGATTTCATAATCACTTGTCTACACATGGTTTCTTCTGATAGAGTATGCACCCCCTCGTTTCTTCACCCACCTGCCAAATGCTTGCTCATCCTTCAATATCTCCTCCTCTATGGAGCATTTTCCCAAATCTCCAAAGAGGAGTTGTTCTACTCTGCACTCCCACAACACCATTTTAAAGCCAATATCCCTAACATAGCACTTAGCAGGGTGTATTTGTAAACTGCTCTGTTTACATGTCTGATTCTTCCACTGGAGCATATGCTTTTGGGGGTCCAAGGACCATGTCTGTCATCTCCAAAGAGTACAATAAATACTTAATGAAAAAAACTATAAGCTGTGCATTTCCCTCAGGGGAGAAAATATATGAGCTTTTAGGAGTCCAAAGGGCAGATCAGTTCCCCTGCTTTGTTCTCTATGTGTTTAAGACAAGAAAAAGCCCCCGATGGAGTCAGAAGGAAGGGTTCCCTTCAGCACACACCTAATTACAGTCCTCACTTGATTCCATCTTATAAATGACAACCATCAGATGCCAAGTTGTGGCAGAATGACATCTGGCTCTTTGGCAGACACCCCTGGCAACAGCGTTAATGACTTCGGAGATGGCTCTGGATGTGTAATGCTGTTAAGTTTGTTGTGTGGATTACATTATCCTCTTCAACTTCTTTTTACATTGTCCTCTAACTCACTTCAGGTTCCGATTCTGTGAAACCTGGACACATTTATCCAAATTTGCCCAATGCCCTTCATGGCCTTGACATGGCGGTCCTTTAATACATTTTCATCATCTCCTGTACATTTTTCACAGAGACTTGTGAATGTACTTCACAGCCAGTTTGTGTTCTCATAGGCAACTCAAAAGGTTTTAGTCGTCTGGGAAAAAGCTCTTTAGTACTCGACCAAATTACATTTTCTAAGATGACCACATTTGGGGCTCCTTTTGAAATCATGCTATATAAAGAAAAAATCCCTCAGTCAGTACATATGCTTTGAATTTGAAACCAATATGCAATGCTTCATTAGCTCCCAGGATGAACTATAAAAAGGCAGGGGTTGCAACCATAACAGTCTTGCCTCTGACTGAGAAAAATATATACATTTTAATTTTTTCCTAGGCATTAAAAATAAAGCCTTTATCTGAAATTTCATCCAGTTTTCAGAAATGATGCATTTAATTTTAATCTGAGTTCTTTTTTGTCTCTTTTTTTTTGCCTCTACCACGAAGAAACAGGAGGCCAAACTGGGGAAAGATAATTATATGAGAAAAAAACATTCCCTAATGCTTTCTTTTGCCAGTTATTGTGATTTTGAAAGAAACTGAAATAATCAAATAGGAGATATATGTTTATATTCAAAGGTATAAAACATTAAGAGAAAAATTAGGACCCAAATGATAAATCATTATAGCAAATGATGATAATAAACAACACTTTTAGTATAATAAGCCCCTGGAATTGACAAGCTGAAATGTTAACTTTGTTTTATAGGTATTTTGACTGTTTGCTTACAAAATAACTGCAATACTCACAATTGAAAAAAAAAGGGAACATGATCTAGTGTTTCAACTTATTGGGGAAACATTTCTGTGTAGAACCAATGCATTTATCATGCTTAATTGGAAATTAATGGAAAAATATTTATATTACTTGTGTTTTTACTTTTTTAAAAATTTAGGCATGCCATTTTAAAAATGGATTACATTTATTTAGAATGCTGATGGAAATCATAGATATAGAATTATGAAATGTCAAATGTAAAATTAAAAAGGGAAAGATAATTTTTTAAAACTACATACAGTAGTTCTCAATTATACCATGGTACTCTGTAATTCCTCAAAATTCTGAAGCGATTTGTAGGAAATAGGAATATCTATGGTTCAAATATGTGAGTTTCAAATACTTTTTTTAATAGAAAAGACAATAGACATCAGAACACAATTGTTCAGGAAATTGCAAAGTGATTTTTAATTTATAATAACTAGCTGATGAGGAATGAAGGGATCTTTCACTGAGTTGTCAAATATTTGGCCAAAGTCTCCTGTGCCTTGGTTAACAAACTTTAGTCCCCATAAATATATTGATGTCTTCGCGAAAGGTGTGAACAGATGCTTTATCTCCACATTGTGTGCATAAATGTAAGTTCTGAGGTGTAAATTGATCAGACTGTAGAAACAAATCATTTAAGATTTGTGCAGTGATTAATAACAGAAGCCAGTAATCAAATCTCCCTGCCACCAGCACATCTGTTACACAGAGTTTCTAGTTTGCCCTATTATGCAAATGTGCAATAAAACAAATACATTACTTAATTTAGCAGCTGGTTCAAAAACATTATTTTAGGTGATTTCTTTATGCTTTGTGTACTTTTGCCATTGATGGTGGTTAATGTGAACTAATTCAATTGTTTATGAGATGAAGGCTTCCACATAAAAAATAGCCCTCAGGAAAGCCAGCTTTGAAGAAATTCATTGTGACCCTGGTCTCTAAGAACCAAACAGTGCAGCAAACACGGGATATGTCATGGCTCTCAGACCTCCATTCAAACAGCTCAAGAACCTTTAAGCGCTTAAATGTGAGCTCATATGATTTCTATATCCTGGAGGATCGAGGAAAATCTCATGACTAGTTCTAAAACCTGTATGATTTTTAAGTTGGTTGAAACCTGGCACCATAATTGGACAGCAGATAGTTGAAAAGTACTATATACGCCCAGTTCATAGTCAAGGTATCTCGGTTAATATTCAGGCTTTCAATCCTTTCCATTATAGACCCATAGGGCAATTTCTAAAGGACCATTTAATTGGTCATTTATAAATCCACTTTCACCAATGGCCAAAGTGAGGAATTACAAGCATGCTAACATAATAATATCTACAGTAATAAAAATAACCAACATTGATTGAAGACACATTTGCATAGCACTATGAAACATCCTTAAATGCAATAGCCTTTTCATCTTCATATTTTACCAATGAGGGTTGTGGGATTCAAAGTGACTTGCCCAAGGTCACAGGGCAATGAGACTGAATGAAGGTCTGATTCCAAAGCTCATGCTCATAATTATGATATCTTGTTTCATAAACCAAGGTTAAATTTCAATAGGAGACCTGAGGATAAAGAATAGGTGTAGAGTATGTTCTTAGCACCATAGAAATAAGAGGGAGAAACTCTAAGTTGCTAAATAAATAGTATTCACTTGCATCTTCTGCAAAGTAAGTAAGACCAGAGTGAATTGAGAATTCAGACATTAACATTAGGAAAGAAAAGGCATGGATTTAGGACACTTGACTGAGAACAGGCCTTTCTGAAATGTGGATTACTCAACAGAGAGAATTAAGTTCTCCAGAAGAGAAAAACAAAAACATAAAATAGAATGTGAATATACATAGAAAGAAATTTATTATAAGGAACTGGCTTATTGATTCTGAAGGCTGGCAATTCTAGAACATGCAGTGTGGACCTGTGGACTGAAGATCCATAACAGCTGATGGTACAGATGAAGTCCAAAGGAATTCTGCTGAGAATTCTCTCTTGTTTGAGGAGACTAGTTTTTTTTTTTTGTTTTTGTTTTTGTTTTTGTTCTTATTTGGGCCTTCAACTGAATGGATGAGGTCCACTTATATTGGGGAGGCCAATCTGGCTTACTCAAAGTTAATCACTTTAAATGTTAATCTTATCAGAAAACACCAATCAAATTGACATGTAAAATTAACCATCACACAGACCAAATTTATACTCTGGATACCAGCAAAATGAGGTACATAAAAATAGTTTTTGAAATAATGTATTTCAGAAAAAGCAAACATCATAGACAAAACTAGGACTCTGGCAAACTTATTACTATTTTTCAGTTTAGCATTGTTTATATTTTGAATTACTTAGAGGGTGAAAAGAGACAAAAAAAAAATTCTCCATAATCACCACAATATTTTAGTGCTTAGGAACTCTAAAGACCCTGCCTTCTAACCATTGCTGGAGGTTTCAAACCATCATTATGAGTTTGTACTGTCTAATCCTTTAGAAGTTATAGTAAAAGTGGCATGAATTCATTTGGCAAACATTAGGCCTAACAACAACATTCTTACTTTCTGTAGAAAATGTGAGGGCAGCATCATATAACGGGCAAGAAGGAGGCATTGAAGTCAGAAAGGCTCATTTCCTTACACTTTCTATCAGTGTGATTTTTGGCAAGTTACATAACTCTCTAAGCCACAATTTCCGTCTATATAAACGAAAGATAATTGAGCCCATTTTCCTAGGGCTACCATGAGGATTAGAGGAGTTAAGGCATTTGGAGCTCTGAGCACAGCATCTGACATGTGATAACTCAATAAACATTATACTTGTAATAGCCATAGGAGAAAGAAAATCATTAGAGTAAAAGGCACAATAGTAGAAACAAACCCACCCATACTTTCTACATGTTGAGCAATGAATATTCTTGGCAAAGGCGCTATTGAGTTAGTAACAGGATCATTGAAGAACCATCATAGATAGACCCTAGGCCTCTATTTTTGGCAACCACACTTCTATATCATAGCAACATAATGCATAGCAAAATCATAGCCAGCATACTCAAATTTCACATTAAAAATAAATTTGGAATAGGAACAGTTTCCAAGGTTTTTTGCTTCTGCAATTATTTGGTTCTAAACTAATTTGTTATTTATTGACTGCAAATTTTAGGAATTATATGCATGGAAATTCCCTCAAAGGAAAAAAAAATTAATGAAGTAGAAGTTTTATGGTCTTGAAATTTAATGATTGTCAATAGTATGTATTGTAGACATTTTACTACACATTTTTAAAATTTGCAATTTTTGTTACATACTTTGGAGTCAAAGTTTCTTTACAGTTTACAAATATTATGGAAGTTTCTTGAAAAGTTAACAGATCCTAGATATTATTCATACAGTGCATAGTAGTTAAACTCTCTTGCATGAATTTTGATACTATAGGAAGTTACATGGAGAAAGAAATATAGAAAGGTACATTTTCATCATTAGATAAAAACGTCTTGAATTAAAGCAAGATTTTTTTAATCATGAAGCATTTTAAACATTTTGAAAGGTATTTTAAAAATGAAGTACAGTCTATCATTTATTGTATTCCCCACCTTAAAGTTAATTTTCTTTTTTCCAGAAATATTCAATAACTATTTTGGGTTCACAGTTGGATGCTAGGTTAGCTGAATATAAATTTCAAAACTAATAATTATACTCAGCACTCTAAAGGTATTTCATTGTCTTTTGACATTTTATTGCAATTGAAAAGTTTGCTGTCGATGGACAGTGAATTGCCTATTAGCTTCTCGGGTTTGCTCTCTTTGGTATTCTATAGTTGGTCTATAGTCTGCATAGGAATGAAATGAATGCATAGATTGATTGATAGATCTGTGTGTTTTAAATCTGAAGATTCTGGTCATTTATCAATTCTGCAAATTTTCAGACATTTGGTTTCCAAATACTTCTTATATGCCTCATCTTTCTTTTCTGAAATCCTATTAGCAGAATGTTGAAAACCTTGACTCTTTAAGCCTCCTTGCATGTTTTTTTGTATTATTTCTATTACTTCTTTCTAGTAGTTTACTCAGATTTGTATTTCAAATGACAAATTTGCTCAAGCTGCTTTGTTCTCTCCTTTGCTCAGTTTACTACTTAAACCTACCCTTTTTTTTTTTAACTTAGTGACAAAAATTCTTCATATCTACATGTTCTATTTTTATCAATTTGAAATTGTGTATTTCATGGTATCTTATATTCTTGGATTTCTTTTTAAAATTTCTTTAAACTTTTTAGGCCCCCTTTTTTCTTTGTGTAATCTTTAATTTACTATTTCAAGTTCCTGGCTGCTAATATTCTTGGTTTTGTATCTGTTGACTACACTCATGCTGGATTATAATTTGTTTTTACAAATTCATTTTTCTCTGGAAACCTGGGTTGTAGGAGAACCTCTATAGAACAGTTTTTCATTTATTTCTGCTTGTCTCAGGGATTCCACCACCAAGGATAAATTTTTCTCAGACCATGCAAATTCAGTCAATTTAAACGCCAAACTTGCATGATTAGTGGGTCCATGATTAGGACCCACTAAACAGGTGCTTTAGGACCTGTTTTTCACCCATCCATTTGGGAAGTCAAAGTCAGTAGGCTCTGTTATTGTCTGAGATATTGGGTGGATTTTTTTTCTAGCCTATCCTTTTAAATTCTTAGATTTCTACGTACATATTAGTGCCAACATCCTGCCATGTACAAGTCAAAGTCTCATGTTCGTTATCTGGTGGGGAACTAAAATCCAATCTATTATATTAGTTGGACAATAGCCCACTCTAGTCAGCCTCATTGTCAGTACACCTTATAGTTTAAATTTGTTTTTTAGCATCTGAAGATTTACTTTCCTGTGAATTCTACTGACATTTTAATACTTTTTGTCAATCAAAATGAGCAGTTTCAAACGTTTATTGTTGGAGAATATTTTTGTTAGTGCTATGGAATGAATTGTGTCCCCACTCCCAAATTCATATGTTGAAGCCTGAGCCTCTAATGTGATGATATTTGCAGATAGGGCCCTTGAGACATAATTAGGTTTAGATGAGGTAATACATGTGTAATCGTCAGACCAGATTAGTGCCTTTATAAGTAGAGATACCAGAAAACTCTGTCTCTCAGCCACGTGAGGGCACAGGGAGAAGGCAGCTCCTGCAACCCAGAAAGTGAGCCCTTACAAAACCCACCAGTGCTGGGACCCTCATCTCAGACTCCCAGCTTTCAAAACTGTGAAAAAATAAATGTGTTGTTTAAGCCAGCTACCTGATGTTATTTTGTTTTGGAAGTTTAAAGAGACTAAGACTATCAGCCGTCTTTCTGAAATGTTGAGTCTCCAACTCCAATCCTTTGCTTGTTCAATTAATACAGATGACTTTTAAAGAAATAAAAAAAAATTATTGTGGCTTTTACCTTTAAATCAACAACAGGAGCCCACTAGTATGAATGCTGCATTTGATTCTCCCAGGATTTAGGTAAACCACAGTATCTGAGCAAGTGACATACATTAAAAAAAAAAAAAAAGTCTACTAATTCATTTGGAACAAACAGTTTAATTCCTGTAAATCCCAAATGGATGACAAGGGAAAGAATTAAATTCAGAAGAACAGCCAAGAACAGAATTATTTTATTTTGTCAAAGCAAAAAGAAAAAGAACAACAAACAGCCTCTATATGAATCCAGAAACCAACTGCTTTGGTTTAAATGTGTCCTCTAAAGTTCATCGGAAACTTAATCCTAACACAGTTTTGAGAGGTGGGGCTTTCAAGTGGCAATTAGGTCATGAGACCTCTGACCTCACATAATGGATTTAATACCATTATCAAAGGACCTCTCCTTTGATTAGTTAGTCATCATATAAGTGAGTTCCTGATAAAAGGAAAACATTCAGCCCCCTTTCCTCTCTCTTGCACAGGTTCTTTTACCATGTGATGCCTTCTGCCATGCGAGAAAGCCCTCACCAGATGCAATCCCTCAGTCTTGAATTTTCCAGCCTCCAGAATCATGAGACAAATTTATATTATTTATAAATTACCCAGTCTGTGGTATTCTGTTATGGCAACAGAAAACAGACTAAGACACCAATCTATTGAAGCCTAATAAAGTAAAAACTTCTGTATTGAAAATAAAATATCTTGGGGGGAGTTTGTTTAATAAAAATGGAGCTATAATTATTGTTGTAGCTATAAATTATTACCAAGAGTCCTCTAGCTAATTTGAAGGCTTTAATGTGTCTATAGTTAGAAATGAGAAATTTACTGCAATAAACTACGTAGTATCTGTTGCTCTTTGAAAACAAAGAAATCTGTTGTATGGCAGCCGTATAGCCCTGGAGCATCCTGATGAACTGTAAACAATCCAGGCTCTACTGTGTGTGGGGTAAAAAAAAAAAAAAAAAAATTAGCTGATGTTTAATATAGAATTGTATTCTAGCCGTGTAACCAAAGGCTTTAAAAGCACCTTTTCCTTCTCTTTCAGAGGCTGGTATTAATAAAATTACTTGGTAATTTGGCAGTTGTAAATTGTGACCCTCTGTCAGTGGCTAGGTCACAGATGTCTCCCTCCTTTCCTTTTTAAACACTGATGGGTTCAACACAGTAAACATTGACTTCATAAATAAGCAGAGTCAGAGTACTAGGTTCTAGTCACTTCCATAATGGAAAGTAAGCAGAGCAATTTAATAGTGGGTGTGGGAAGTGGAAGGAGGGGGAACCAGGATCATAGTCAAGCAAATAATGGAATGAATACCCTATTTAAGTATGCCAGACATACTCGTGTAAAAGAAGCTTGTGGGTCACCAGATACTACAGGAATGGCATGCTGGGTTGATCCCATAATTAAGGGAGAAGACATAAGTCAGGAGCATCTCAGACCAAATGTCTTGCGCTACTATACACTATAATTATTACTCTTATGAGTCTTACTTCAATAGGCACTTTGCACTGATGATATGAAATGCCTTCTCCTTTCAGTATCAAAAGTTAAAGAGTAAAGTGTATGGAAGATTGGAGAGTCAGCTAATACTCCCTCTATTGCAAAGACTGTGACCATCACTCTATTTTGCAAAGCAGAACAAAGCAGGGATTTTTACAAGGTAGCATAAAAAATGTTGGTTCTAAAAGTATCCATTACTTTAAGGACATCACATACCAGATGACTTTATCCCAGTTCTTTCCAAAATCAGGCAGTTAGTAATCAAAGAAGAAAATGGTCAAACTCCCACTTCCACTAACACTATTACTACGTATGCACGCGTGCACACAACACACATTTATGTCCAGTGGAAGCACTGACATATTGGTTTTTCTAAAATCTTGTCCCTCAAAACATTTCCAGATATTTTTATGTGGAATATATGATTAGATGTTATTTTTCCTTGTTAATAGTGTCTGGATTTGATTTGGGGCAGAGTATGCCCATTCCTAGGCAATGAAACACGATTGACTGAAGCCAATCATAACAGTTCTGTCACTTTCAAAACTGCTAGGAATAATCATGTACAAAGTTCAATGAGACCCGAAAGGGAGGCTTCCCTGTAGGCTCCTGGGAAAACACCTTTCCAGGTAAAAGAAAATAGATACCACAACAGGTGTTACCCCTCCTCTTCCCTACATATTCCTTTCTAGACTTCTTCTAGCTGGAGCCACTGCAGTTGTGTCTGATCATGAGAGAAAGGTAGAATGAGCTGAAGAGATATAGTCCCTGACTTCACTGAGCTGCTGAACAATACCAGCCTTAGCTAATCTCTGCTCTTTGCATTATGTGGGAAAAATAAATTGTTTAAACTACAGTTAGCAAATTTTTGTTACTTGCAGTCAAATCCATTTTTAACTGATACAAAATATATAGCACTATTTGATAACTGCCTACTATCTAGCTAGCATTAACAGGCATACAGTATTTTATTTTCATAACCCCAAGGTAAAGATAGCTCACTTCAAATCCCAGGTTTACATATGGGAAAGCTGACATAGAAAAAGTTATTGAGTTACTTTGGGTTACTCAGTTGGAACATGGTAGACACAGACTTGAAGATGTGGCTTATGTCATTCTTTGTTTTTTTAGTCATTCATTCACTTATTTGAAAGACTTTTAAGGACTTATGAGGCAGAAACGTCTGTGCTGTGTACCAGAAACATGAATGTTAGTAATTAGTCTGTGCTCCCAAGGACCTCACAGTCTACTGAGTTCATAGTCTTTGAACTCTTAGTTCAGTTGTCTTTTAATTTTATCAGTCTGACTTTTTGTTCATTGCCATAGTTGGGTGAACTATTTTTTTAAAAATCAAAATGCAGGTGATCTCAAGGACATTTATCTAAACAAAAGATGTATCTTTTATTCACTGCTAGGACATGGAAATAAATTTCTAACATAATTTCAAAGCCAGAATTTTCTAAACAGCTCACCTTCCTTTTAATAAAAGCTAACCTGCTAATTTTTCACCCTAACACTTCACCTGAATGGCTACTGCACTGAGCTAGGGTGAGGCAGTCACAGGTCTAAAGCTCAAAAATCACATTGCATAGTGACATATCATAGGTTATAATCCAAGAGAAGGACTGAACACAGAGGTGGAGGAATATAGGCCAAAAATATGCCACAAAATCCAGAAAGATGCTGGGCTCAAATGCTGACTTAAATAAAGGGTCAAAACATTGTACCAAATTCACAGAGGCCTGGAAAATAAGGATATACTAATGAAAGTGCCTGTAATATGTAGAAAGAGCACATAAAATGAATTATGCCAAGAGTCAAAGGACTAATTATGATAAATATTTCAATCAATAATTTAATCTATTGTCAAAGCAATTAAGTAAAAATAGATTTTTGAAAATTATGTGCTTAGAAATATGCTAAGAGCCATAGAGAAGAGCAGGACATAAAAGAATTATAAAACGTCGCCTTTTTGGTCAATTAAGTTAGAGTTCAGTTGGAGATGCAAGTGGGGCAGCAATGCATATGGAAAAACTTAGACAACATTCCAATGGGACAGAATGCAATGCCAGGAGATAAGATGCAAAAAGATATTTCAGAACTGAAAAAACATGATGTATGATGCAGAGAGTCTGGGATTGGAATTTGATAACTTGACCACAGTTGCAGCTCTACAAACCTACAAACTTTATGATCGAAAGGTCACTTTAACCCCTGCTTCTTGAGGAAGATATAATTTAAGAATGCAAAATAAGAAAATATATAAGACTTTTTGAATTGCTAAATATTCATTATATGTTATTTTCACTGGAGGCTAGGGGAAGAATGTTTTATAGAAAAAAGAAACATCTAAAAAAAAGAAGAAGAACATGAAAGAAAGGATTTACACACCCTAGAAAATGAGAGTAATGCTTCCTGAGAAAATCTAAGCAAAGATGAAGGATACAGACAGAAGTCCTGAGCTCTGATTTTAACTCTGTCCCTTAATAGCTCACTGAACCTGCTTTTCTCATCCACGAAACAGAAAGAAAACACTGTCTCTTCAGCATCTCCTATAGGACTTGAGGATGAAATAAAATCAAAAACATGAAATTGCTCTGCAAATACATGTTCTTTTGGCTGTAAGGATTGCAGCCTGACTGGAGCAAAGACATTAGCTGGAGGTTAAATGAAATAAAAGGATGGTACAAAACCAGGCAAAGAAATGCTATGTTGTGTCCCTGCCATAAAGTGATATCAATATGACAGCCTGAGTTGCCCAGCCTGAAACACAATCCAATGGAACTCAACTATTATGAATGGAAAAAGAGTGCCCTAGCAATGAAAGTGAGATACATAGTTCAATGCCTTAAATTATGCAAATTACACAGGTCAAAAGAGAGATAAGCACAGATACTGAACTTTTCCCACTACCCAATCACAGCTCTGCAATGGATCTACTGCCCCAGGTGCAGGCAATAAGAAGGTGCATTGTTCGCACCTTCTAAAATGGACTAAAAGACTGTATGCTTTTTTCATTATCAACATGCTCCAGCAGTTCTAAACAATGCCAGTGATGAAATACTCGTTTGCAGAAAAGTATCTTGTTGGTCTCATTTCTAAATTACTGAGATTACTGTTGACTTTTAATAATATTCCAGTATGTGACCTTCAAATTAGCATTGTTCTTTAATAAAATCTATGTTCTTTAAAAAATGCCATATTCTACATGAAATTTGAAGTACTACCAGTTCATAAGACATTTGTAATGACTCAACATCCTTTGAGTTTGCCTCTCCAAATGCTGTTCTACATATTCCTGAATTTAAACACTAGACATACAATGACTGCACATGATTGTAAAAATAAAGAAAAATAACATGAGCTCTTCAGTTTTGTCATTCTGGGTGACTACTTGAAGTTCATGTTTAAAATTTCCAAGAAGGAAACAATGGAAAACTGCATATCATTAAGTGTCTATTTTAGGTCATACATGAAATACTTCATTGAATTTTCATAACTGTTTTCAAGTTGAAATTTTATCTTTCTTAATTGTTCATTTTTAAAATAAAGAATACATCAAATTAATGATTATCACTGATTATTAGGAGATCACTGCTGAAGATACCGTTATATAGAAGGGAAGGGTGTAAAAAACCGATCCACTCTGAGAATTAAATACTCCAAGTACACCAGAGGGAAGGAAAATTCAACAACCCCTAGGCACTGTTCTTTGAAAGAAGGTTAGTCCTTTAAGTGTATTACTGACAGACAGTGCTACTGGACAATCAGTACATTTTAATTCACCACCGCTCTACACCAGGGCATGCCCTAAGAGGGAAATGCATTCTCTGATACATTGGGCATGTCTTCCCTCCACCCACTTAAGACAAAATCTTCGACACTGGAAAACCCTTCAACACCCCATTTACGCTGTGACCAGAAAACACAGTGCAGTATTGAAAGATTACTTTTGTTTGGAAGCTATAATTGTGAGGCTTCACCCAGAAATATAGGTCTAACTGTGCTATCTAAGCTCAGAATCTCACTGTTCTCACACATTGTTGTGGACAAGAACCGCCTGGGATGTTTGTTTAAAAATACAGATTCCTAAAACCCAGTCCCAAGGATTCCAGTTTAGATCTGAGGTAAAGTCTGAAATCCGTGTTTTAAATGAGCTTACCAATGATATCATCTAGGTTATTCTTGGGCCAAGCTTTAATAAGTATTTAGAAACTGAAGTTCTCTGAAAAGTAGAATGATTTTTATGATTTTTTTCTGTTGTCTGTTAAGACTTTTAATTCAGCAAGTCAGCATGTTTGCACGAAGGATAAACAAACATATAAATGCATAAATTATATCCACCACCCCCCAGAAAATAAGAGGCCAGAACAAGCATGGTTGACAAGAAAAGTTTCTGTTGAGAGATATAATTCGGAGAAAAGCACCTGGAATAGTGACATGGTCTGAAAGTACCTTGCCAGATTCAAAGGAAGGAGAGATCATTTTATTTGGAATTTATAGATTCTGGCCTTAAATTCCACTTCTAAGAGATTTTAAAGTAGTTATAAACAAGAAACATCATTTTTTTTCCTTAAAAATCTTCTCAAATTTTACTTTAACTAGTAATGATTTTTATATTTGGTCAACACTTTCATTCATAATTATCTATAAGGCCCCCATTAGGTTTCAGGAATAGATAAGCTGTCATTGCCCTTACGGAGCTTTTAGACTAGCTGCAGACATGGACAACTAAGGGAGTAGAGGCCCACCAAGGACGGTGCTTGGCAGACACCAAGCAGCCCAGATTATTACCACCACGTATTGCTGGAGTTGCTGGTTCAGGCCTCCCTGTGGTTTAGCATGATGTGGGGAGGCCATATGTTTGTGTGTACACATATGATCACGCATGCTGGTAAGAGGTACTAGACACATGTTTCCCAGGGGTAACATCTCTCAAATAAAATCACATTGCCATCTGAACTGAGTCCCTGAAGGAAGTATTTACCAGTGAGATAGAATATAGAAGAGGATATGCCAGAAGAAGGATGAGCTGGGAGAGGAAATTTTTTCTTCTGCAGATATAAGTCCCACTTAGGTCCTGTAGCAGCTTCTCATTATTACCTACCTGGGCCTGGGGGAATGTAACAACCTGCCTCAACCATTGGACAGATTTGTGAAAAATTTCTATTAGATATCCTTTTCCTTCTTGTCACTTATCATTTTGCCACGATAGCCAGATGATGCTGTTTCTGCCATGGGTCTCTCCTCAGCTATAGTCAGGCACCAGGAAAGCAGGGAGACCATCTTGTTCTTATATTAAATATAAGCCCCAAGGGTGATGTACACAACACACTGTATTCTTTAGAGTTGTTTCAAATGAAACAAAAATGTGTGTGTTGGTTAGTGGTTTTAAGACATTTCATTTCTGAAAACATAGAGATGATAACAAGCAACAAAAGAAAGGTTCCCAAAAGCAAATATTCTTTTTTTTTTTTCTTCCTCTAATAGAGCCCATTCTCCTCCTGAGGGAGCCCTTTCCTGCTCAGCTGTCATTGAGCCTTCAGGGGAGTTTTCCTCCTGGTAATTTCTCAGAGCCTAATAGGTCTGTTCCTGGCCCACTGGGTTTTTCTGAGGGCTGATGTATTCCTCTCTTCTAGATTTATCCTCCTTCTCATTTGTTCCTCCCAACTCCAGTGGCCAGAAAAATCAGATTCGCTGGGAACATCTGGGATTCCAGAGAGCTCTGATGTGGGAAAGGAAGGGCATCGTGATCTCACAGAAACCCTCCTCTGTAGAGTAAGTACAGGGTCACTCTGCCTTACCACACCTGCTGTCTCCCAGAAATTTCCTACCAACTTCACAGCAGCAGCTCCTGCCAAGTTACCAAATATGACAGTATTTCGTTACTAAGTTAAAGAATCTATTCCTCCCAAACTCTAGTTTCTGAAGATTCTGACATTGATATTTTACTTTTACAAATTATTTGAGAAAAAGCATTTGAATTCTAAGCACACAAACATGACAAAAAGGACATAGCTACAAAACGTCCCTTCCCTGGGCATTACAGTCTGCCCCAGCTGCCCCCTCCTCATCCATTGAGGTGTGTAGAAAAGAGGCAGAAATTGCCCATAATCACGCTATGCCTTTCTACTGTACATCCAATATGTGCTGTCATTATTTCAGTTTTTGAAGCTTCATGGCAGCATTGCCAGTGAAGATAATAGGGCCTATTATTTTCAATGAGCTCCATCAGGAGGTTTCAATGGGCCTGCTATCACTCGAACAAAGACACATTGGGAAGCAACCCTGCTTTCTTGTCATCAAAATGGCCGTTAGTTTGTGTGAAGCTAAAGAAGACCCCTTTTCCTTTTCAGTCTGTTGGATTTGAAAGGGCCAAGAAAGGCAGTTTAGAAAGAAACAAGCCTGACTCCTTGCCTGGCTAGATGTATATATGAGCAGCTTTCGTTTTATAGAATCAATAAGTTCAGCAAAGTAAAGCCTGCCTACCATTGATTTCCTATTTACAGCCAGAAATATGTTCCCATGGAAAAATATCTTCAGATAAAAACAATAGAAAAAGCAAATAAAAAACCGAAAATCCTGCCAGCAAGAAAGTCATTTAGCGATAGTTATGTTTAAGGCAAATTAAGTGATTCTTCACCATTTGTTGGCTCAGACTTGAAATCTCTTTTCTACCCCATTCTTGCCTGAACTTGAGTTTTTCCTTGTCTTTACATCCACAGCAACTAGGACTCCATCCCAAAGCTCCTTTCATCTGTGTATTACAGTGTCTTAATACTAACCCTTTCTGAGACCACCATAACAAGATTACTAGTTTTACCCTTCCTAATAGTGGGCAATTTCAGGATTGGTATAATGTATTTTTATGAGTTTGTTAAGTAAAAAATAAAACTCAATAAAATATTTCAACTCTTGAATACTTATGTACATGTTTATAAGTGTGTTACACACTTATTTAATTCTCATAACAGCCCACGAGAGAGTGCCATCATTATCCCCATTCACAGAGGAGGACATCCTTGAGGTCTAGAAAGGTGACTTGTTGAAAGTCACTCAGATAACAAGCACCAGAACAGGAGTTGAATTCTACAATCTCATTCTAAGGTTCATAAAACATATAGGCGTCTACAGAAAATTCAGCTGTTATAGAGTTGTTTGAAGTACTAATACTTTTGCTTGCTGTATATTCCCTTACCACCTCCCCACCTGTTCCTTTTCCCTAAATATCTCCATACATGTGGTTAATAGAGTCCTGGTCCATTTCCTCAAGTTTACCAGGGTAGAAAGCAGAAATAGCTTCAAAATTGCTGTCTCTAGTGTTTTTAAGTTTCTAAATTCCATTAGATGAATTGCTTTAGATGCTTCTATGTCAAAAATATAAAAATGGAGGCAGTGCATTTGAGAGGAGAGGAATAAAAGATAAGTTGTTTGTGGATCTGCATGTTTTCTACAGAAATGAGCAATGTCTCAGGAAAGCACTCCTGGCAGAAGGATTTTTGTTGTGTTCAAAAGCCCTGTGGATGCCATATCATAATTTGCAGACTGTCTAGTCTTCACTCCAGTGAGGTCCATCCAAAGCCAGAAGCCAAGGCTTCAACGGTTCTACCTTCACATCAGCTGCAGGGCAGCACTGACCTTCTCTGGCAGGCCCCAAACCCCACTAAGTCCCAGTGGATGTGGTGCCCTTCTGTGCCTGCTGAGCTAGCTTAACCGTGTCCAACTTATCTCTACTCTGCAACATTAAAGAATGCCTGTAATCCCAAGAGAAGGAGAGACAGTGGAAGAAGGGGTGGTACTGAATAGAGCCAACTTAAATTTTCCTGGACTGGGACAGTGGTTAGATACAGCTGTATTATACCAGGTTCATCTTCTGCTGTGTTTGAAATAAGTACAATCAGGTTTTGACTTACTTAGGCAGGAAAGAATGCTGCACAGCTAGTCTCACCACTTCAGTTGCCTCTCTAATAAATATAAAGTACTACAAAGTTAACTGACTCTTAAAAATGGTGTTATCTATGAAGAATGATTGGAAATGTTTGGAATGACCATGGTAAGGTAGCGAAAGATCCCAATGCCACTTGACTTCTGGTTTACATGTGAGGCTAAAGGGCACAGACAGGAAAAAGTGTTTTATTGATCAGTGTGTACAATACGCATAGTTAATTCTGGATAAGGTTATATTTGTTTACTTATGATCTCATTAAAAAACATTTCAATATCTGAGTCTAGCAAAAGTAACTTCCACGATGTATAAATATGCCCCAAATTACTTTGTACCTTTAGCCTTATCCCCACTGGTATTCTTGTCACCCTTTCACCAGTAATTGTCATCTGCTTTTAAGAGACCAATAATGCCTACATGTTTAAAAACTTATTTTTAGGAGAAAACATATTACAGTCCCCAAACTCCTTTCATATCCAACAGTCAGGTTACTTCTGATATCTACTTTTTGAGAAAGTAGATAAGTTCATAACAACTTTACAGGTTGGAAACCACTGACTTGTCCACAAGCCAGTAAGATGTCATAACCTTGGAGTCTGTGCTGTGATTGGTAGCTTAAGCATTTGTTATACCTCTGGACTCTAAATTTCTTAAGCAAAGACCATGTCTTTTTAATGTTTCCTAAGCACTATTTAAACACAGTCCATGGGATATAGTGTGTGTTTAATAAATGCTTCCTGATGAATGATCAAATATTCTTATTCAACTGAGGGCAAGCTAGACAACAGAGAATATGAGTGAGATCCTCGCTCATCTCCATTACATTACATTAGTTATTTGTAGTTTGTTACATTAGTTTGTTGTAGTGGTAGGAGAAAATGATACTTAGCTAACAACTATTTGTCCTGTTCTTTCTCAATAGTATTTTTTTATAAGCCTGGCAGAATTCTAATTATTTTAAAAATATGATTATTTAATCCTCATAATGACCCCATGAAATATTGTTAATGTTAGTATTGTCTGCCTATTTTACAGATGAGAAAACTAAGGCATATGAGAAGAGATCTACCCAAGGTCACATTATAAGCTTATCAACAAGAATCCTTAGGTGATTCTTCACAGAAATTATCATTATGTCACATTATACTTGTACAGATAGTTTAGGTTGATGAGAAATTATGAGTGAACTGGTTAATTATCTATGTTTAAAATTAAGTCTAAATATATTTGTTTTAGACAGATTCTCCACTTGTCAATAAATTTCTGTAAAATAGCTTGGCTAGGGGTGAGGCTGGAGGGATTCCAGGTTAGGTGTTTTAGGCTCCAGATTTAAGGTAAATGTTTATGAACCATGATTTACTCTAGAAGTCTACATCAACAACTTACTTAGATGTAGTTATTCATAAGTCACTCTCAATTATTCACAACATAAGTAAGCTATTTTAAAATATAATCGTCCAAGGCTTTTATCACACACCTGCCCACCTAATTCAGCCTGTCAATATATCAATGTAAGTGGATAAAACTTTGCAAATCATATGTTAAAAGGTGGCATGACAACAGTTAATACAAAAAGGATCTGGGCATATTCGTTAGCCACAAGTTCAAAGATGCCAAGATTATGACAAAATGAACAGAACAGAGCCCTCAGAAATAATGTCACATATCTACAACTATCTGATCTTTGACAAATCTGAGAAAAACAAGCAATGGGGAAAGGATTCCCTATTTAATAAATGGTGCTGGGAAAACTGGCTAGCCATATGTAGAAAGCTGAAACTGGATCCCTTCCTTACACCTTATACAAAAATTAATTCAAGATGGATTAAAGACTTAAACGTTAGACCTAAAACCATAAAAACCCTAGAAGAAAACCTAGGCATTACCATTCAGTACACAGGCATGGGCAAGGACTTCATGTCTAAAACACCAAAAGCAATGGCCACAAAAGCCAAAATTGACAAATGGGATCTAATTAAACTCAAGAGCTTCTGCACAGCAAAAGAAACTACCATCAGAGTGAACAGGCAACCTACAGAATGGGAGAAAATTTTCGCAACCTACTCATCTGACAAAGGGCTAATATCCAGAATCTACAATGAACTCAAACAAATTTACAAGAAAAAAACAAACAACCCCATCAAAAAGTGGGCAAAGGACATGAACAGACACTTCTCAAAAGAAGACATTTATGCAGCCAAAAAACACATGAAAAAATGCTCACCATCACTGGCCATCAGAGAAATGCAAATCAAAACCACAATGAGATACCATCTCACACCAGTTAGAATGGCAATCATTAAAAAGTCAGGAAACAACAGATGCTGGAGAGGATGTGGAGAAATAGGAACACTTTTACACTGTTGGTGGGACTGTAAACTAGTTCAACCCTTGTGGAAGTCAGTGTGGCGATTCCTCAGGGATCTAGAACTAGAAATACCACTTGACCCAGCCATCCCATTACTGGGTATATACCCAAAGGACTATAAATCATGCTGCTATAAAGACACATGCACATGTATGTTTATTGCGGCACTATTCACAATAGCAAAGACTTGGAACCAACCCAAATGTCCAACAATGATAGACTGGATTAAGAAAATGTGGCACATGTACACCATGGAATACTATGCAGCCATAAAAAAGGATGAGTTCATGTCCTTTGTTGGGACATGGATGAAATTGGAAATCATCATTCTCAGTAAACTATCACAAGAACAAAAAACCAAACAACGCATATTCTCACTCATAGGTGGGAAATGAACAATGAGATCACATGGACACAGGAAGGGGAACATCACACTCTGGGGACTGTTGTGGGGTGGGGGGAGCGGGGAGGGATAGCTTTAGGAGATATACCTAATGCTAAATGACGAGTTAATGGGTGCAGCACACCAGCATGGCACATGTATACATATGTAACTAACCAGCACATTGTGCACATGTACCCTAAAACTTAAAGTATAGTAATAATAAAATAAAATCAAAAAAATTTAAAAAAATAACTGAGAGGGGAAAAAATAAAAGATAATGTCATTTTATAATAAAAGATAGCTGTACAGTGTCTGGTTAGGGGTGATGAGTCTATATTTGAAGTGTGGGTTTCAATTTAAGAACCTATTTTTAAAGAAGAAAAATGACAGATTTAGATTACTCACCAAAAGCATGTTAAGGAAGACAAGGATATTTCTAAATTGAAGCAATTAAAGGAGTGGGAGATGTTTGGTCTGAATAACTAAATGATCTAGAAAGCTCAAAACAGTGTCTTCAAATATTTGAAAGAGCTTCTGTGGTGTGGGATAAATATTTTCACTTCAGACTCCTGCTTTTCTTTTCCGAAATACACCTTCATCTCTCTATTACCACTGCCTCTGACCTAAAATGCCTCCTTACTGAAATAATTTTCTAATTAGTGTCTTGGCATCTCATATTTCTCCCACATAAACCCTTCAGAACACACCAGAATTATCTTTCCCAAACAAATCTTACTGTGACATTTCCTGGCTTAAAAACCTCCCAATTGCTCCTTAATGACACAGAGTAAGCGTGAACTCTCTCAGCCTTACTAGGTTTAAGACTAAAATTCACATTTATATCCTGATACATCTCTCCTATCCCAATACCCCAACCATCAACCTTTCCTCAAGCCTATCCTTAGGTTTCTTAGAACAAATTACTCTGAAAGACTTTATACTTTCAAATCTGTATTCCTTTAAGCTATTATTTCTCTCTGTCAGCAATTCACCACCCCACTTCCCACTTCCAACTGATGAGATTCTATTCCTCCTTTAGAACCAGCTAAAATATGTAATCTCTTCTGTGAGCCCTACCCACCCACAACAGTCAGAATTCAGAGCTTCTTCAGCATACCATTCGCCCTTTGTACTTCACCACTAGATTATTGTTATTCGTGTGCAAGTCTTTCCACTTGACTTATCAAACAAATAAGTTTGACAAATCTTCAACTTATCAAACTGATGTCTTCACAACCTATGACAAGTTTTAGGTCAAGAGAATTAATTTTTCTTGAGTCAATGAATGAGGATAACACATGGAAAGACAATACACGTGGGCTCAGTAAAATAATATCAATTATGATATTTATAGTAATAGCTACCATTTTGAACCACTTGCAAGGTACAAGGATCAAGCAATACTACATACACACACACACACACACACACACACACACACACCAGCTTTACCCACACAACCCTAGGCAGTGGGTTATTTACATACAACAAATCTGACAGACAAAATGGCTTGCCCCAGGTCACACAACTAATTATAAAACTGGGATTTGAAAACAAGTCTGTCTGTCCCTACAATTCACTCCCCTAACGATACACCAAACTGCCTCTTTAAACCTCCTAAGAATGGGAAGTATCCAGTTGATTCTGTGGCTTCCTCATGAGGTTTGTTTCTGACGGCTGAAAGTGAGTGTTTCTCAGATATAATTTAGAATGATCACTCTTTGGAAGACTGGACTCTACACAGATATGGCACCGAAGGAGGCATGGCTGAGAAGGGGCACTACCCAGCCACCATCTCACGTAATCTCCATCAGTACCTTCCTAGACGCTTTGAATATTTACATTATTTAAATAAAACTATGGTGCAGGCTTACATAGGAGATACCGTAGGTTCAGTTTAGACCACTGTAATAAACAGAATATTTCAATTAAGTGAGTCATAGAAGTTTTTGCTATTACAGCATATATAAAAGTTATGTTTACACTATTGTGGAGTCTATTAAGTATGCAAAAATATTGTGTCTAAAAAATGCATACATCTTAATTTTAAAATACTTTATTGCTAAAAATGCAAATGATCATCTGAGCCTTCAGCAAGTCACAGTCTTTTTGCTGGTGGAGTGTCTTGCCTCAGTTTTGATGGCAGCTGACTGATCCGGGTGGTGATTGCTGAAAGTTGTGGTGGCTGCAGCAGCTTCTTAAAATAAGACAACAGAGTTTGCAGCATTAACTGACTACTCCTTTCAGAAAAGATTTCTCTGTAGCATGCAATGCTATTTGATAGCATTGATAGCATTTACCCACAGTAGAACTTCTTTCAAATTTAGAGTCGATCATCTCAAACCCTGCTGTTTATCAACTAAGTGTATGTAATATTCTAAATCCTTTGTTTCATTTCAACAATGTTTACAGCGCCTTCAGCAGGAAAACTTCATCTCAAGAAATCGCTTTGCTCATCCATAGGAGGCAACTCCTCATCCATTCAAGTTTGATCATGAGATTGCAGCAATTCAGTCACATTCTCAGGTTTCATTTCTAATTCCAATTTTTGCCATTTCTACATCTGCAGTTCCTTCCTCTACTGAAGTCTTAAATCCCTCAAAGTCATCCTTGAGGGTTATGATTAACTTCTTCCCAACTCCTGTTAATGTTGATATTTTCACTTTCTCCCATAAATCACAAATGTTCTTAATGACATCTAGAGTGATTAATTCTTTCCAGAAGGTTTTTTATTTACTTTGCCCAGAGCCATCAGAGGTATCACTATCTAAGGCAATTATAGTCTTACAAAATATATTTCTTAAATAATAAGAAACATCCATTCTGCACCCCATGGATCAGTTATTTTTATTTTCAAGTCTTATTATTTAAGAAATATATTGTTTAAAGCTATAGCTTCCTTAGATAGTAAAAACATTAATCTCTTTGTACATCTCCATCAATGCTCTTGGGTGACCCATTGTATTGTCAATGAGCAGTAATATTTTGAAAGAAATCTTTTCTTTTGAGCAATAGATGTCAGTTGTGGGCTTAAAATATTCAGTAAACCATGTTATAAACAGATTTTCTGTCATCTAGGTTTTGTTGTTCCATTTGTAGAGCACAGGCAGAGTAGATTTAGCATCATTCTTAAGGGCCCTAGGATTTTCAGCGTGGTAAATGAATGATGGCTTCAACTTAAAGTCACCAGCTACATTGGCCTCTAACAAGTGAGTCAGCCTGCCTTTGAAACTTTGAAGCTGAGCACTGACTTCTCTTCTCTAGCTATGAAAGTCCTAGAAAGCATCAATAAAAGGCTATTTTGCCTACAATGAAAATCTTTTGTTACATCTTGCATTTTTATTTTACGGAGACAGCTTCTTTCCTGAAACCTCATGAACCTCTGCTAACTTCAAAATTTCTTTTGCAGCTTCCTGACTGACCTCTCTCAGCCTTCATAGAACTGAAGAGTTAGGGCTTTGACCTGGTTATGCATGGGCAGTTGGAAATGTTGTGGCTGGTTTGATTTTCTATCTGGACCACTAAAACTTTTTCCACTGAAAGTTATTTCTCCGCTGAAACTTATTTCAGCAATAAGGTGGTTTCACTTTCTTATCATTTATGTGTTCACTGGAATAGCACTTTATTTCAAGGAATTTTCCTTTGCATTCATTACTTAGGTATTTTTTTAGAGCAAGAGGCCTAGCTTTTGGTCTATCTCAGCTTTCAACATGCCTTCCTTCCTTACTATGCTTAATCATTTCTAGCTTTTGATTTAAATGAAAGAAATACGAGTCTTCCTTTCACTTGAATATTTAGAAGCCATTGCAGGATTATTAATTGGCCTAATTTCAATATCATATGTCAGGGAATATGCAGGCCCAAAGAGAGGGAGACAGATGGGGAAATGGCCAGTTGTTGGAACAGTCAGAACACACACAACATTTATCCATTAAGTTCACCTTCTTTATGGGTGTGGTTTGTGGTGCTCCAAAACAACTATAATAATAACATCAAAGATCACTGATTACAGATAACCATAACAGATGTAATAATAAAGAAAAAGTTTGAATTATTGCAAGAATTACCAAATATGACACAGAGACACAGAGCAAGCATGTGCTGTTGGAAAAATGTCAGTGCTAATAAAATTGCTCGATGCAGGGTTGCCACAAACATTCAATTTGTAAAAAATGCAATATCTGTGAAGTGCAAAAAAGCAAAGGGCAATCAAATGAGGTGCGCTTGCCCATACTTGTAAATGATCAGAGTCTCCAGACACATACTCTACCTCCATTTGCCCTCTTACAAGATTAATGCCCCAATCTCCTCCTGTTAAGAAATGTGGGAGCTGCTACTGACTGCACAGGCCCTAAGGATGCCTTCACATCTAGCATGCATTGAAAAACAAACTCAATAGGAAGAGCAGAGATGTAGACAGTATTAATTTTTAGATCCTCTGCTTTATGTTCATTGTGTACATTCTGTGTCACTCTCTTCTCACCCTCCACAGAGAGCTTTCTTTCTAGATCTGCCAAGGACTTCTTTAAGTTATTAGGACCATAAGTTCTTGCTTGTATTCTTGGCTATTTAAAAACCTAAGAAACATTTTGAAGTCATTTACTAAACTATTGCTTTCCATTTACTTCTCTTCCTACCAGGGGATATAAGCAAGGAGAAGTTTAATGCATTTATCTTTCCTCTCTGATCGCATCTTGCCATCTGTGGTGCAGCCAAGAGGACCATAGAGGACTGCATCTGTAATGATTTTGCTTTAATATTCTGGATGCTACTATATATACCAAATAGACTTAGGAGGGAACTGAAGCCTGGGGTCTAGATGGGTAAATTCAGCTCAGTTACCTTTCTTTAGATGACTTGCCTGAAGTAGAACATACTAAACTTTCAGGTTTGTATGTGACATCTTTTAAAATAGCTCTATATGTGTGGCCAGCTCTGTTCAGAAAATGGAACGTCAAAGGTGACTCAGCCTAGCTGAGGCCAGAAGTTTAATTCAGAACATAATTTGCTTTCCTTCATTTGCACACTGCAGTTCTGGGGAATAAAAGCCATTATGGAATCAAAGGACAATTTGCTTTTTTGTTGTTGTTGTTGTTCTGCACTGAATTTTTAAAGGCTTTTTTTTTTAAAAAGAACGTAAACAGATGAATACTACCAGATTCAGTACAGCTTAAAACTAAGTACCTTGAGCTCTTTTCCATGATAAACAGAAACCAGTCTTGGCTCTCTGCCCCCAAGCGCAGTGCTGCTGCATGTACTCAGTGAGTCAGATTCTCTTCCTTCTCTGGGGGAAGGAAGTCCAGTCAGACATGGGCAATGATCCTCAGAGAAATGAGAATTTTAAAAGATATTCAATTATAAATGTTTTGGTATTCTCCCTCCCCTCGCTCCTCCAAAGCTAAATCTCTCACTGCCTTTTCGTTCTCTCTCCAAACTTTTAAGGGCAATTTTGAGTCTATCAGAGAAGTCTCTAAACCTTTCTATGCATCCTGTGAGGTGGGAAGAGTATCATTGGGATGGTGATATCAGGGGAACATATATCTACACCAAAAGGAAAATAGAAGAGATGACTTAATAGATTGAGGAAGACAGCAAATATTCAAGAGCCATATGAAATGTGCTTTTTTTTTTTTTTTTTTTTTTTGAGACAGAGTCTCGCTCTGTAGCCCAGGCTGCAGTGCAGTGCAGTGGTGCGATCTCAGCTCACTGCAACCTCCGTCTCCCGGGTTCAAGTGATTCTCCTGCCTCTGCCGCCTGAATAGCTGGGATTACAGGTGTGCACCACCACACCCAGCTAATCTTTGTATTTTTAGGAGAGAAGGGGTTTCACCATGTTGGTCAGGCTGGTCTCGAATTCCTGACCTCATGATCCGCCCACCTTGGCCTCCCAAAGTGCTGGGATTACAGGAGTGAGCCACCATGCCCAGCCTGAAATTTGCTTTTTAAAGATTTTTGTTGTTGAATGGATTATAAAGCATGGAGCCAGAGGTTTTGGAGGCAGTGGCAGAGTGTGAGGATATTGATATGAATTATCTATTAAATCCTTTGGACCTTCTTCAAGAAATGTCAGTAAAAGGTGGAGTTGCTTTTAATTACTTTTTGATTGTTAGTCTACTTCTCTGAATGTGACACTGCACAAAGAATAGACAATGTCAGCTCCCATTTTATAATAGAAATTAAAGAAGAAACTCAGTCTACACTAGGAGGGAGACAGCAAGTCTCTATAGTATTTCTTGAATCAATGATGCTTCATGTATCTCTAAAAAGCCTGTGAAACCTTGACCATGGAGGAGTCCCCAAGGAGAATGCTGACCTGGAACATGGCGAGGGCCTTGGAAAACTTCTCTGTACCAAGCACCTATCTCTACAACATCAGGACTCTCTGCTGGCCACTGGGTAGCAGGATTCATCACTACCATTAAGAGATCCCTTGCTGTATTCAGGAACAAAAGATAAGAACAATTAATGATACATCAGGTATCTACCAAGGGCCAAGCACTGGGGCAAAGATGAGTACAGTGTAAAGTTCTTACAGCTGCAACCACTCAGGAAGCTTACAACCTGGCTAAGGAGTCACGCTTACACACAGGGCACAGCCGTGGACTAGAAAGTGCTGGAAGAGTCAGGAAAGACACATTCAGTGCACATCTTAGGAAGGGCTTCTTATCTACCCCTAAGCCAGTCTCCAAGTATGTCTCAGAGCAGAAGTTGCAATTGCTTGGGAGTTACCCATCACTCTGGGTTGGGGTTGCTGGCCTGTCAGAAGTGGAGACTGACTTCCCTGTTCCTGGTCAGGGTCGCATATTTTCACTGCTCTGAGCACTGAAAATTATTTAGTTGGCTCTGATGATGGGTAATGTTCATATAAGAAAAATGGAGGAAGAGAGAGGATTGCAGGCAGCGAAAATGCATGGGACTTGGCATGGTAAGAAGAGGAATTACTTCTCTTTGTATTTACAAAGATTCATAAGTGCTCTCAGCTCAAGATAAGAGATCATGAAAACATAATTGTTTCCTATATAATTACACCGTTGATTGACTCTCCAGAACCTGCTTGTGATTATTTTCACCCTTGCATCATTCTACCATAAATGCTGGAAAGAGCAAAACCTCAATTTCTCATTCTACCTTCCTGCCAGGATTAGGCTTGTGACAGATGTGGCCAACAAGATATCATTAGTAGTCCCTGAGGTTTGCATTACCTCCCAAATCAAAACGCAAAATTCACTACTAAGGCTTAGCCCTCACCCTTCTTCTTGTCAAAAATGCTGACATACGTGTTCGTCTCCCCTGAGACAGGAAACATAAGGGCCAAGGAATGGATAATAAAGATAGAACTGAGAGATGGAAACAACTTTAGTTCCTGATGGCATCATTGAGCCACCATGACAGTTCTGAGTTTCTTCAAACTTCCTGCTTTATGAGACAAATAAAACTTTAACTCACAGTAATTGTTTGTTATTTGCCACCTAGTGAATTTATAATAGAAACTCAACAGGAATGCCACTTATTCCGTTGCTCAGGTCAATGAGTTATCATCCCACAGGGGCAAATCTAGTTCTTTAGGCTCCCATGGCTCCTTCTGCAGCCCATAGGGTCTCCCTGAAATTAGAGCATAGCTTCCACTTTTCACAGGAAACAGGTAACACTCAAAGTCCGTATTGATTGCCAGATGTTTCCAAAGGTACGTCCCATAGTCTATGAAATTATAAGATTATATTTAGCCCCAAATGGGCCCTAGATTCTTTCAAAGTCAAGCTTATATTTTAAGCTAATAGCAAAAGACATGCCATGTATTATTAATTTTCCAGTAAATAAGGTGACACACCATGGAATAAATATATTAATTTATGACTGAATCTATGTGATTTTAAAACAGCTGGTTTATAAATACCAAAATTATTCAAGCTACTCTCGATTAATACAAGTAAAAATCAACTTAAATATTTTCTAAATTCTCTCTCTCTACATATATATATAGTCAAACCAGTTTATATTATTTTGACCATATCAAATATATTAATACCCAAAAGTTACTATTTAAATCTGTACTTGTTACCTATTTCAGATTTTTTGAAATGTATTTCTGTATTATGAGATGTTGCGATGTTTATTCATGATTTTTTCTTGGGTGGCAGGGGACAACTGATCTGTCTCAGGATAAATTTAGCTCACTTGGGATGCAAATTTTGTGTCTTGAGCCACTACTTAAGAACATCATTGTTTATTTACCAAGAATTTTGTAGGTCAGCAATTGCAGGATTGATTTAGCAGCTCAGTGATGAGATAAAGGACACTGGCTCTTTCCATTGCTCAAATCCTCTATCCTGCTTGTGTTCACCGTCATCCTTACTTTTGTCACTTCATGGTCACATTATGGCTGCCATAGCTCCAGGCATGCTATCTTTACCCAACAGTATCCAAACATGAAGAGAAGGAGAGGAGAGCCAAAAAAGACATGCTACTTATTCAATCCTCTTTCAAGCGAGAGGATTAGGCTCTAGATGCCCTCAACTTCCTCTTTAGGAAATCATACCAGAATAATCTCTGTAAAGGGTAAGACGACAAAAGAAGTGTGATTATTGGCCTGGAGTAATCATGACACACCCGTTGGATTAGCTACATTGCCATATAGATTCTGCTAGCAAGGAAAACATGTTCAAGGCCAACCAGATAGCCAGTTACAAAGCTATAGGACCAGCAATGGGTCCTTCATTCCCTGATCATTGGAATGTTATTATCATCTACCATATTCGTATATCTTCACCAGAAGTTAAATGTCAATAATAAATTGTTATATAAGCCTGTAATCTATATTTTATAATGAGATAGTATTCACCTTAACCATAGCAAATCTAAAGATTTTAGATGGTTATCAAAATGCAAAGCCGTATAATAAATGGTATATTTTCATTTATTTGTTTATTCAATAAAACTTTACTTAATAGCTACTGTATGCAAAACTTTAGGTATTTAATATTTATCAGGAGAAAAATATATGAAGAATCCTGTCCCTAATGTACTACTTGGGGGAACAAATAATAAATAATAAACATTAATGAGTATTAAGTCCTTTTCTATGGGAGGATTACACTTTCTACATTTCTTACCTCTAGCTTGGTCATATTATTTGTTTTAGTTAATGAAATGTCAGTGGAAGTAACAGATGCTACTTCCAAGAAGAAGTTTCTGCTCTTTTCTATCAGGAGAAAGGCAATTCAGCCTGGAATATTCAGAATGAAGACGACACTGAAGTCAAGTCCATGGAAATAAAATGTTTTTGTAAGTGATTGATTGAGGTCATTTGGTACCATAGCATGATAGACTAAGCTGGTTAATACTGTAAATTATATAGAGAGAGTATATAGACACTAAGTATTGTGAAAAGAAAAACAGTTGTGCAAAATATGGAGGAGAGTAGTAATGTAGGGTTATGTTCAGGTAGCAGCATTAAATAGGACAGTCACAGTAGACCTCACTGAGGAGATGAGATTTGAATTTGCATTCTAGAAAAAATGTGAGGAAATTTTTTCCAAGAGAATATGTGAGGAAGGAGTGTTCCAGGTAGAAGGGCCAGCTGGAGGAAAGACCCTCAGATGAGAAGATGTTTACAATATTTGGGGAATATCAAGAAGTCTTCTGTGGCTGTAGCAAGTAAGAAAGGAGAGAGTAGAAGGCGAATTATAGGCTCATGGAATGGGGATTTAGGGCTCATGAGAAAGACTTTGGCCATCACTCTGAGCTAAATGGGGAGGCATGGCAGGGTTTCCAGCAGAGAGTAGAATAGTACCACAGTGACACTTAAAAAGTGTCACTTTGGCTGCTGTGTTAATAGACTGCTGTTGAAGGGTAAACGTGGAGCAGAGACACCAGTTAGAAAACCACAGCAAGACTCCAGGCTAGATATGATGGTCACTTGACCAAATAGGCAGCCGAGGAGGTAGTAAGGGATAGTAAGATTCTGGATCTGTGTTGAATATAGAGAAAATAGTATATATGTGGATTGGGTGTGGGGTGAAGTAAAATAAGGCTCCATGCCCCTCTGACAGAATGAAAGTAATTCTCTCTCTAGTCATGAGGAGAAGCATTCAACACTGTCATTCCTGCTCACTGCTTGGTGTGACCGCCGGTTGTTTCCATTAGGCCTGTAAGATACAAAATGCCACCAGATCACTAGTTAGAAGTGTCCATGACCACAGTGGTTTGTGGGTATTAGAAACTGTCTAAGCATGTATAGATGAGAATCTGAGCATTCTTGCTACAGTGGTTTTATTATGGATCATATTACCACATGTCATGTATGGTGTGGCATAAATCTAAAACTGTTTCATTATTTTGTACTGCTTTGTGATAGCTTGTGATGAACTTCTTTGGCCTCAATAACATAAAAAATAAAACAAATTCATGTTTAATAAAAAAAATACTGAATATTCATTCCTCAAAGTTGATAAATATGGAACTTACACAAACTCATTTACCATCCTCTGTGGGGGTCATCAGGATACCACAGGTCAAATGAAAACCAGCACACAAAAATATAATGAAGAAGCATCAGCGTCTGCTTTAAGTCAGCTGTTAGTTGAGAAAGACTGTTACCAAAAATGATTTAATATGTGTACCTGCAAAATGTCGTTTTAAATATCACTAAATGAAGAATGACTTTTCCTTTAGATCAATGTTCGTTACTGTTATTTTAAATTACTTTTGTTCAGTTTCTAATTCAAGCTTTCTCTAAGTTCATTAGTTGAGGGAATTTTTGAATAATAAAGTGATGCTGATGTTATATGAGTGCCATCAGATTCTTCAAATAGAAAAATCAGTTAACTGAGTAATGGTTTGATTATTTTACTCATCCAGTTCAAAGTAAAGCTTTTTACTTGTCATAATTTTGAAGGTAAAATTATTTAAATGCTATTATTTCACATGCCCTTTGGTTAAGTGCAACAATAAAGATTGTTGTATAATAAAAATGTGAATGCAGATTTTGTAGGACACAGTATCATAATGAAAAGGACAATGTACTCACAAATTAAGGTCCGTGTGAAGTAGAAATATATATGGAATTGATTATGGAACACATGTAATTCAGACTTGAGTTCCAATTCGAGGTGATGGTCTAAAAATCAAAATGGAAGTTGTCAAAATTGGCAGTTTTTATACATACACGGAAAAAGTGAGCTACAAAGCTGATATTTAATTTTAAAACATATTTTTACTTTTAGTAAGTCAGTTCATGCCACGTTTGATCTTTTGAAAAACTATTCAGTGGTTTATGATAGCAATAAGCTTTTGTAAGCAAGTCTTCTAAGTTTTGAGTGATGTTGCCTCAAAATTATTTGGAAATTTTTAATGGAAGTATTTAAGGATTGGAGAACAAAACCAAACCAAACTAACAAAAATCCAGCTTCTAAAGATTTTGATGAATTACAGCTAATTTTTTAAAAAATAAAGCCTAAAACCACAAAAAAGAGTCACATTTATCTGTATAAAACAGTGAATAACAAAACAAAATAAGTGATTATAGGTCAAATGAAGATTTAACTTTGAAATTTGATTTTTATTTTTTTTTTTAATTTTATTATTATTATACTTTAAGTTTTAGGGTACATGTGCACAATGTGCTGGTTAGTTACATATGTATACATGTGCCATGCTGGTGTGCTGCACCCATTAACTCGTCATTTAGCATTAGGTATATCTCCTAAAGCTATCCCTCCCCCCTCCCCCAACCCCACAGCAGTCCCCAGAGTATGATGTTCCCCTTCCTGTGTCCATGTGTTCTCATTGTTCAATTCCCACCTATGAGTGAGAATATGCGTTGTTTGGTTTTTTGTTCTTGCCATAGTTTACCGAGAATGATGATTTCCAATTTCATCCATGTGCCTACAAAGGACATGAACTCATCCTTTTTTATGGCTGCATAGTATTCCATGGTGTACATGTGCACATTTTCTTAATCCAGTCTATCATTGTTGGACATTTGGGTTGGTTCCAAGTCTTTGCTATTGTGAATAGTGCCGCAATAAACATACATGTGCATGTGTCTTTATAGCAGCATGATTTATAGTCCTTTGGGTATATACCCAGTAATGGGATGGCTGGGTCAAATGGTATTTCTAGTTCTAGATCCCTGAGGAATCGCCACACTGACTTCCACAATGGTTGAACTAGTTTACAGTCCCACCAGCAGTGTAAAAGTGTTCCTATTTCTCCACATCCTCTCCAGCATCTGTTGTTTCCTGACTTTTTAATGATTGCCATTCTAACTGGTGTGAGATGGTATCTCATTGTGGTTTTGATTTGCATTTCTCTGATAGCCAGTGATGGTGAGCATTTTTTCATGTGTTTTTTGGCTGCATAAATGTCTTCTTTTGAGAAGTGTCTTTTCATGTGCTTCACCCACTTTTTGATGAGGTTGTTTTTTTCTTGTAAATTTGTTTGAGTTCATTGTAGATTCTGGATATTAGCCCTTTGTCAGATGAGTAGGTTGCGAAAATTTTCTCCCATTTTGTAGGTTGCCTGTTCACTCTGATGGTAGTTTCTTTTGCTGTGCAGAAGCTCTTTAGTTTAATTAGATCCCATTTGTCAATTTTGGCTTCTGTTGCCATTGCTTTTGGTGTTTTAGACATGAAGTCCTTACCCATGCCTATGTCCTGAATGGTAATGCCTAGGTTTTCTTCTAGGGTTTTTATGGTTTTAGGTCTAACGTTTAAATCTTTAATCCATCTTGATTTAATTTTTGTATAAGGTGTAAGGAAGGGATCCAGTTTCAGCTTTCTACATATGGCTAGCCAGTTTTCCCAGCACCATTTATTAAATAGGGAATTCTTTCCCCATTGCTTGTTTTTCTCAGGTTTGTTAAAGATCAGATAGTTGTAGATATGCGGCATTGTTTCTGAGGGCTCTGTTCTGTTCCATTGATCTATATCTCTGTTTTGGTACCAGTACCATGCTGTTTTGGTTACTGTAGTAGTAGGGTAGTATAGTTTGAAGTCAGGTAGCGTGATGCCTCCAGCTTTGTTCTTTTGGCTTAGGATTGACTTGGCGATTTGGGCTCTTTTTTGGTTCCATATGAACTTTAAAGTAGTTTTTTCCAATTCTGTGAAGAAAGTCATTGGTAGCTTGATGGGGATGACATTGAATCTATAAATTACCTTGGGCAGTATGGCCATTTTCATGATATTGATTCTTCCTACCCATGAACATGGAATGTTCTTCCATTTGTTTGTATCCTCTTTTATTTCCTTGAGCAGTGGTTTGTAGTTCTCCTTGAAGAGGTCCTTCCCATCCCTTGTAAGTTGGATTCCTAGGTATTTTATTCTCTTTGAAGCAATTGTGAATGGGAGTTCACTCATGATTTGGCTCTCTGTTTGTCTGTTATTGGTGTATAAGAATGCTTGTGATTTTTGTACATTGATTTTGTATCCTGAGACTTTGCTGAAGTTGCTTAAGGAGATTTTGGGCTGAGACAATGGGGTTTTCTAGATATACAATCATGTCATCTGCAAACAGGGACAATTTGACTTCCTCTTTTCCTAATTGAATACCATTTATTTCCTTCTTCCTGCCTAATCGCCCTGGCCAGAACTTCCAACACTATGTTGAATAGGAGTGGTGAGAGAGGGCATCCCTGTCTTGTGCCAGTTTTCAAAGGGAATGCCTCCAGTTTTTGCCCATTCAGTATGATATTGGCTGTGGGTTTGTCATAGATAGCTCTTATTATTTTGAGATATGTCCCATCAATACCTAATTTATTGAGAGTTTTTAGCATGAAGGGTTGTTGAATTTTGTCAAAGGACTTTTCTGCATCTATTGAGATAATTATGTGGTTTTTGTCTTTGGTTCTGTTTATATACTGGATTACATTTATTGATTTGCATATATTGAACCAGCCTTGCATCCCAGGGATGAAGCCCACTTGATCATGGTGGATAAGCTTTTTGATGTGCTCCTGGATTCAGTTTGCCGGTATTTTATTGAGGATTTTTGCATCAGTGTTCATCAAGGATATTGGTCTAAAATTCTCTTTTTTGGTTGTGTCTCTGCCTGGCTTTGGTATCAGGATGATGCTGGCCTCATAAAATGAGTTAGGGAAGATTCCCTCTTTTTCTATTGATTGGAATAGTTTCAGAAGGAATGGTACCAGTTCCTCCTTTTACCTCTGGTAGAATTCGGCTGTGAGTCCATCTGGTCCTGGACTCTTTTTGGTTGGTAAGCTATTGATTATTGCCACAATTTCAGAGCCTGTTATTGGTCTATTCAGAGATTCAACTTCTTCCTGGTTTAGTCTTGGGAGGGTGTCTGTGTCGAGGAATTTATCCATTTCTTCTAGATTTTCTAGTTTATTTGCATAGAGGTGTTTGTAGTATTCTCTGATGGTAGTTTGTATTTCTGTGGGATCGGTGGTGATATCCCCTTTATCATTTTTTATTGCATCTATTTGATTCTTCTGTCTTTTCTTCTTTATTAGTCTTGCTAGCAGTCTATCAATTTTGTTGATCCTTTCAAAAAACCAGCTCCTGGATTCTTTAATTTTTTGAAGGGTTTTTTGTGTCTCTATTTCCTTCAGTTCTGCTCTGATGTTAGTTATTTCTTGCCTTCTGCCAGCTTTTGAATGTGTTTGCTCTTGCTTTTCTAGTTCTTTTAATTGTGATGTTAGGGTGTCAATTTTGGATCTTTCCTGCTTTCTTTTGTGGGCATTTAGTGCTATAAATTTCCCTCTACACACTGCTTTGAATGTGTCCCAGAGATTCTGGTATGTTGTGTCTTTGTTCTCGTTGGTTTCAAAGAACATATTTATTTCTGCCTTCATTTCCTTATGTACCTAGTAGTCATTCAGGAGCAGGTTGTTCAGTTTTCATGTAGTTGAGCAGTTTTGAGTAAGTTTCTGAATCCTGAGTTCTAGTTTGATTGCACTGTGGTCTGAGAGACAGTTTGTTATAATATCTGATCTTTTACATTTGCTGAGGAGAGCTTTACTTCCAACTATGTGGTCAATTTTGGAATAGGTGTGGTGTGGTGCTGAAAAAAATGTATATTCTGTTGATTTGGGGTGGAGGGTTCTGTAGATGTCTATTAGGTCCGCTTGGTGCAGAGCTGAGTTCAATTCCTGGGTATCCTTTTTAACTTTCTGTCTCATTGATCTGTCTAAAAACTTCAACAATAGTATCCCAACTGTGGAAATTTTTTTTATGGAACTCTTATTTTAATTGAATGTGTGCATATTTTGTGCCAGTGAAATGAAATTGCAAAGTCCTATGATTTTGCTTCATCTAAATTTTGTGAAACACTAAAAATTATGTATAGACAAAATTATTTTACAGTATTTTCTTGTAAAAATATTTATCAAAGAAAGGTCCTCTTTGACAGAGGCAAAAACAAAGAACATAGCATATTTGAGATATACCATATATACTTTAATAAAATATATACTTTAATAAAAAATAGAAGTTAGATATCCTCCACTTAGAATTTTCTCTGATTTTCCTAAGTCCTGTGGCACTTATAGTATTTTTCTCACTTAAAAATATTATATCATAAGTATCCATTGAATATATCAGCAGTTCAAAATTAGTTTCATATTTTTAATATAGAATATGTGTTAATTTTATGAATAATTCCATTTTTGAAAAAAGTTTTGAATAAAATCTTTTCTAGATCCTTAATAAAGTCAAATCATCCATTGGAAAAATCTCTATTTCAAAAATTATTATTATTTCAATTATTTTCACCTCCTTTTCCTCTCCCAAATGTGTCCCAGTTTGGATTACAAATTATATGGTCACTTTAGTCAAAGGTGACATTAAGGATTTTGCCAGAACAACGAGATGGGTGGATTTGTCATGAGTTATGACGGGGAAGCTGGTGGATCTCCGGAGTGGTTTCATCATTGAAAAGAAGAGGGGTTCCGTTTTAGATATTCAATTTGGATGTCCACGTAGAGACGTTAAGTCAGCATTCAGATATACAAGTCTAGGCCTAATAAGGATATATGGGCAGAAGATGCAATTTTGAGAGTCACTGTTACGTAGATTTTTTCTCCCTGTGGATTGCCCAGTACAGATGTAGATTCATGCTATCCCAATTTGCCTGTACCTTTGTGATGTGACTTTGCCCCTCCTCCCATTAAGAGGTGAATTTTCATTAGCCTTGTGACTTGTTTTGACCAATAGACTGCGGCAGAAGTGATGCTATGACTTCTGAGGCTAAGTCTACATAGGCCCTTCAACTTTCCCTTTCACAGTCTTAGAACACTGCACTGAAATGCCATGTAAGGCAGCCTACCTGACATCTAGGAAGGTGAGAGACAATGAGGAGGAAAACCAAGGTAACCTAGCTGACAGGCAGCATCCACAGCCAAATCTGTTGTGTGAGGCCAGCTTGGACTTCCTGCCTACCTTCCTTCTAAATGCAGCTAAACAAGTGATCCAGGTGACACCAGGAGAAGAACCATCTAGTCAATTCACAGAAACATTAAAAGAAAAGTTGTTGTTTTACACTGTCAAGTTTTGGAATGGTTAGTTACACAGCAACAGAAAACTGATAAAGTATGTAAGCAATGAAATTGATTACAATGATTTAAAAGAGATGGATCAGGAAAGGATGAAGATCAAGGACTCAGCTCTGGCCCATTCCAATACGAATATTATAGCAAATATCTGTATTATATTAGTATATATCATATCTACACTATGTGAAAGCATGACTAAATCATTGGGAAAAAATATGTATTTGTAGTTAAGAATAGCCATGGGAGTGATCCTCTGTTATTACAAAACTGTTAAGCTGATGTGATGATTTATAGTGACAATGTAATCCTGTGTTTACCTATATGAGGCTTACAAATCCTAATATAGGATTAGAATTGTAAATATGGACTGCCCATGTTTACAAAAGGGTACACATGAAAGTTTTATTGAATACACACACACATATCAAAAATTTTCCAATGGCTAAACCATAGGGGGTATGTGTGTGCATGAGTATGAGCATGTGTGCATGTAGCCTATAAGAACTCTAGTGGGTAGCCAGGGATATAATGACAAAGACATGTGGCTTTATGCCATTATGAAGTGTTTGATTTAGTGAGGGATACAGATAATCAAATTGGCAATTACAATGCAAAGGGAAGTACAACTTGCTGTGGGAGGACATAGAGCACCTTAACCTTAGGTTTGTGAGAGGACCTACGTCAGAGAAGTTTCAGAATAAAATAATGTCTCAAGGTAGTCCTGGATAATACACAAATGCTAACTAGCCAGCCAGAGTCACGAGATGTGAAATCCTGAAGATGAGAGAAAGAGATCTTGGGTCTTCTAAGAACTCCAAGAAGCTGTGGTACATTGTGTGTGTGTTGGGGAGAGGTACGGGCATAGGAATACTGTGGAAGATATGGCTAGAAGTGGGAATCAAAAACCAGGCTACACTAAGCTGTGCTGTCAATTCAGACTTCAGCCTAAGATTTAAAGTTAGGGTTTCAGTGTAGCGGTAGGAGCAGAAACTAGAATACAGTCGATTGAGAAATGTTTAGAAGAAAAGAACAGGCACAAAGGTGGTCAACACTTTCAAAGTCTGTGGCTATCAAATGGGGGTGATAAAGAGAGGAGTGGCCAGAGAGAATATCATATCAGGAAGAGGATTTCTTTTTAGAAGTTAGGCAACACATGGACATGTTTAGTACTGATGGAAGGAAGGAAGCTCCAAGTAATGGGAGAGTTAAAGATACAGGAAAAGGAATTCTCTTCATTCATAAAGTGAGAACACTGAAAAGGTGAGAAGGACGGAGATCTGGAGCACAGGTAGAGAGATTAGCATTAGGCCATTAGTTAATATCCTAAAATGAGAGGGAGAGAAAGGAAGATAAGTGCCGGCAAATAAGCTGCTTTGGTTGCATGAAGTTGAGAAAGTTATATTAATAGGCGTCTATTTTCTCCTTGAAGTAGGAGGGTAGGACATATGCTGAGGGGTAAGAAGCAAACTGGCAGGAACAGAGGTTTAGGAAGAAGGGAGAAGGTTGGAAATAGCTGTTGCAAAGAACGAGGGTGAGGACTAATTAGGAAACAATAGCAGTCCAGTTGAGGTTAGATATCACAAATTTAAAGTAGAGTTGATCTGCTAGGTGCCTCATTAGTGATCAGCATTAGGGTATAAGTCCAAAGAAAACAGGAAGTTAAATTTAGTCAGAATTAGCTTTTTCCAGGTGGATTTTTTTAAAGGGTGATGGAGTCATATAACAAGCATGCTTTCCATATAAGGCAGATTAAGATAAAAGCCACGTAACACAATGTGGGTAAATATAGAGAAAAGACACAAGTCAGTATTGGCTGCATTTGTTAAATAGAACAGTGGAAATTTTCTAAGATACATGGGAAATGGCACAGGCATTCTAGGTAAGGAAAACTCATTTGTGATGGCTTGGGCATAAAGAGAACACAATGTTCCTACAGACAGGGTAAAGAGTTGCAGCAATGGCAGGTCCATGGTGAGCCACAGTGTGAACTATATTCAACAGGTAGGTGTGCCTAAGTCTAGTAAGCCTTAAATATGTGTGTGTGTGTGTATGTAAAAGTTTGGAGCTACTGAAAGTTGAAGTAAAGCAGTGATACACCATGGGTAGTAATAGTGAATAAATAACATACAACACATATACACACACATATACACACATTAACTTGTATCCTTTTATCAACATCACTATTGAAGTAGACACTGATGCTTTTACTTAATAGATGCCTACAAATATGAACAAAAATGTGATACCCATACAACTTACAAGATACCATGATCTAGTAAAAGTACTTTTGAAAACTCAATAAATGTTTTGGTTTCTGCAGAAGCCTAGTTTCTCTCAGTCCTTCAACAAATACTAAGTATCAGGTACTGTTCTAAGTAAGCTAAGAGCATGAAACAAACAGAAAAAGACATATATATCTTCTCTCAACAAGCTCAACTTTAATAGCAAAGATAGACAAAAATAGTAAAAATATATGTTATCCAATAATGTGGTACATCCTTTAGAAAAAAAAATAAAGCATGGAAGGGAAGTAGGCAGTGGCCAGGCCTGGAGGATATTTTACAATTTAATATCAGTGGTCAGAAAAAGCCTCACTGTGAAGTCAACATTTGAATAAAAGTTGTAGGATGCAGTGAAAAAAGCCATTGGACAATTTGAGATGACTGTAAGGACTTTGGCTTTTATTCTGAGTAAGGTCAGGGCATTAGTGTTTTTTGAGCTGAGGGGAAACATCTAATTTAAGTTTTAAAAAGAACCAACTTTTAGCAGCCGTACAGAGAATAGAGTGGGCAGGAGAGAATACAAATGGTGAAGTGAGCAGTAAGACTATTATAGTTATTCAAGTGAGTAGTGATGCTGCTTTACCCTGAAGGTAACACTGCTGTTGGGATAAGATGTTTGAATATGGATATATTCTGAAGATTATGCTTAAGGAATAAAGTATTTATCAAAGGGTAAAGCCAAGGATTACTCCAAAATTTTGGCTTGAGATAAAGGATGGATTTATCATTTACTAAAATGGGGAAGGCAGCAGGTTGGGGATGAAAATTAGGAGTTTACTTTGGGGCCTGTAAAGTCTGAGATGCTTATTAAATATTCAAATAGAGGGAGATATTGAGTAAGCAACTAGGTAAATGTATCTGGAATTAAGGAAAAAGTCCAGAGTAGGCTAGAGATATTAATCTTGGGTATGATTTCTTGTAGAGGAGTGTAAATAGAGCATAAAAGAGCTCTGATAAATGGGCTCCAGGGCCTTGCAAAGTGCAGTGGGAGATTGAGGAAAATAGCAGTGAGGTAGGAAGGCACAAAGAGGAAGGTGACATCCTGAAGCCAAGTGACAACAGGGTTTCCCAGGGAAGAGGATGATCAACTTTTTCATGCTACTGAGAGGTTGTGTCAGACGGTGGCTGAGATTTGACTGTTGCTTTTAGCCAAATGGATACTATTGCTAAAATTGACCAGAGCATATTATGTAGCGTGAGAGACTTATTGGTGTGGATCCAATACAAAATAAAGGAAGAATCGTTAGAGATAGCCCATATAATAGCTCTTTTGAGGAGTTTTGCTATAAAACAGTGCATATAAGAAATGAGGCATTAGCTTGAAAGGGACTTAAGAGTAGAAGTTTTAAAAGTTGTCATAAATTTCAGTACTTTTGAATACTTATAGAAATGATCTGGTATAGGAAGAAAAAGTCATGATGTGCAGGGAAGTAGAGACAAGCTAGTGTGATACCTTTGAGTAAGGAAGAGGGAATGAGATCTAAGGGACAAGTGTATAAATTGGTCTCAGACAACAGTATGGACACTGCATCCATAGTATCAGGCAGATAGAAGAGGTGTATGAATAAAGATGCAGGTAAGCCAGACTTGTGGTAGTGAGAAATTGTGGAAATTCCTGATTGGTTGAATTTTCTTAGTGAAATAGGAAGTGATTTATAAATTTAAAAATAATGGTATATTGGATACAATCAGATACAAAGAACCAAGAGCCCATTTGAGGTTTAGTCATCATGTATTAAAGGGTAGGTCAATTAGCAAGTCAAGTCATGGGTTGTTTTTGTTTGTTTGTTTTGAGATGGCGTCTCACTCTGTTGCCCAGGCTGGAGTGCAGTGGTGCGATCTCAGCTCACTGCAACCTCCACCTCCCTGGTTCAACAATTCCCATGCCTCAGCCTCCTGAGTAGCTGGGATTACAGGCGCACGCCACCACACCTGACTAATTTTTTTGTATTTTTAGTAGAGATAGAGATGGGGTTTCACCTTGTTGGCCACACTGGTCTCGAACTCCTGACATCAAGCAATCTGCCTGCCTCAGCCTCCCAAAGTGCCAGGATTGTAGGCATGAGCAACTGCGCCCAGCCTACTTTTTTCTATACACATTGACTTGTGTGATTTCAAGAATAGAATACTTAGGAATTTAGATGTAAGTGGGATTCAGATTTTGTCCAGTGAATATGATAAAGCCAGAGGACCCCAAGTGAATTGGAGATACATGCTATAAAGTGAATACATTTTCTCTTGGTAAGAATAGGGAGAACATGAGGTAGATGAAAGACAGGGAAAAGACTGTACAGTTGTTGAACTGTAGGTCCTAATGGGGCAGGAGAATTTTATTATTGCACTGACAATTACTGAGTTTTTATAGAACCGTTAACAGGTTAGCCAATGAGTGAAAGACTAATTTTTAAACTCAGGTATTAGTAAATGTCCTGATTTCATCACAAGAGAATTCTAAATCGAGTCAACTTCTGGTTCACCCAGGATTCCTTTTTCCCCAAAAGGAGAAATCTAGAAAGAATGTTCCAATTTTGTTTTATGTTAGGAAATAATATATTACCTCCTCAAGAGAGGAAATACCACATAAATTAAAAAGGGCATGGTTGTCACAAATACTTTCAAAGTTTAAAAACTTCTATTTCATAAATACTGGCAAACACTGCCTCTTAAAGATAAAATTATGGTTTTCAGTTTTTCTGTACTTCATCTCTTGTCTAGCTTTCCACCCCATATAGGTAGTACACACATGCATTTTATATGTGTTCAGGATACAGGGACTCCACCTATTCTTGACAACGTAAGTACAAAAGTTAATATAAGCTTATGGACACTACATAATAATGAGGGAGCCTAGGAAGTGGTACAAGGTGATAATTTTTACTGTCTGCTCACAACAGTGCAAATGTATGTCCTCCTGAAATTGATATGTAGAATCGAGCAATTCTGGGTCACAGTAGTCTTTTTCTCTGGGATGAGCATATGGTAAAAATCTTATAAAAGAATTTAGAAATTGAAAATTATTTTCCAGCAATTATGCAGAGGAATAAATATGAAAACCAGAGACATGTTATATGGTACTGACTTCTCAGCTTCTTTTTGCTGTGATTGACACACTCAGGTAAAAATCCCTACCATTCCCTCTGTATCACTTGACATCTACTTGAGGGCCTAGTAAAGCTGTGGGAAGTTTCATACACTTAATTTTCCTATTTATTTCTCTATTTTTTCCTCTTTTTATACAATACACTTGCCTTCACAGTCTTGGGCATTACTTCAGAAGTAAAATAAGTTGGATTCAGATATAAGATTAGCTGTAGGCACAAATATCAAGTAGGTATTTATTTTTGGTGACTACTCCTCGTAGAAACTTTGTACTCTTTGAAACAACTATAAAAACAAATAGGCAAAATGTATGAAATGACAGTTTTTGGAAATTAGGAAATAGGCAGGCAGGGCAGTGATCCATTAGAAAAGGGAAACAGGTAAGGAGAGCCCTATCACTGATGAACTTGCTGCAGAAAGGCAATTTTCAGGTCACAGGGCAGAATAGGAAATAAAGACCCACTATCTCACTGGGAGGAAGAGATAGAGTTCAGAGTTTGGGGAGCCCAAGGCAGCTAGAATTTACAAGGCACAGTACTAGAGAGAAGAGAGCTATGTAATAAGAGATCTAGAGATCTTTAGAGGCTTCTCCTTGAATATTCAGCACAATAAATGCAAATGAAGAAACTAGCAAGCCTGGGGCAACAATCACCAAAAAAGGAGCAGAGAAGACATGAATTTTCCTATCTTCATAGAGATATAAATAGGAAAATTCAGTGTATGAAACTTCCCACAGCTTTACTTCTAGGCCCTCAAGTAGATGTCAAGTGATACAGATGGAATGGTAGGGATTTTTACCTGGGTGTGTCAAACATCAGGAGCCCCACAGGCTAGAAAGTTTGATTTCCAAACAGAAAGATGGAAAGACCTCTAATACATAGGTCATTGAATAGGGTTCTCAAAATGGTAATGCCTCAAAAGTAGGCCAAATTAGTCCTAAACCAAGAGCTGCTCTGGAACTGCCTAACAAAGCATGAAAGCAAGCCTTGAAAGGATCAAACTGTTTCCAAATAACTATATCCCAGAACAAAGCCCCCAAATATTAAAAGAATAGAAAAAAAATCTACCTAAAAAAACAAACTTCACAATGCCTGCTATCCAATCAAAAATTTCCCAAAACCATGTACATCTTTTATGTATCCATAAAAGTAAATAATTACTATGCATGCAAAAACACAGGGAAATAGGACCCATAATAAGGAGAAGAGTCAATCACTAGTGACACCTGGAAATGACACAAATGATTGAATTCGAAGAACAAATAAATATAATAGCATTTATAAATATACTTTATGTGTTCAAGAAAGTAGACAGAATAGAGACAATTATACATGACACATGCGCACACACACATATATACATGCATATATAAATATATACATATAGATATCCAAATCACACTTGAGATGAAAAATATGCTAAAAGGGATTTACAGAAAATTAGACACTGCAAAGAACAGAGAAATCATCAAGAAACAGCAATATAAACTACACCAAATAAAATAGAGAAAGAAAAATAAAGCATCAGTGGCTTAGGAGACAACTAGAAGCAACCTAACATACATGTAATTGAAGTTTCAGAAGGAGAGGATGAGGAAGGGGAAGTTAGAAAAAAATATTCCAATAAATAATGGCTGAAACACTTGCAAGGTTCATAAAAACTATGAACACACAGATCCCAGAAGTTCAACAAAGCCCAAGTAGAAGAAACAGAAGAAAACTATACTCAGATACATCATGGTCAAACTGCTTAAAATAGATACAAGAACAAAATTCTAAAAGCAGCCAGAGCGGAAAGACACATTATATACAAAGGAATAAAGATAAGAATGACCATGAATTTTCCTTAAGAAATAATGCAATCTAGAAGACAACAGAATATTACCTATAAAATTCAGGGAGGAAAACTTTCAATCAAGGTAAAATATCCTTCAGAAAGTGAAAATGAAGACTTTTTAAGAAAGGTAAAAGCTGAGTAAATTTATCACCAGCAGCACCTGCTTATTTGTTATTTAAAAAAAAACAACCTCCAAGCATTCGGATAAAAATACTTGATAAAAATAAAAAGTCAGTAGAATTCATTATAATTATCAACTAAAGAAAAACCATATTATCATCTCAATAGATGTGGAAAATGTATTTGGCAAAAGTTCAACATCCACTTATGATTAAAAATCTCTTAGCAATGTAGAAATAGAAAAAATTGCTTCAGCCTGTTAAAAGTCCTCTACAAAAAAAAAAAAGGCACCATAGTTAATAAATATGGTTTGAATGTTTGCTCTTGTTATTGGGACTAGGACAAGAAGGTCTATTCTTACCACTTCTACTTGGTATTGTGCTGAAAGTCCTAACCAGTTCAATACAGCAAGAAAAAAAAAAAGACATTATAAGTGAAGGAATAAAGCCACCTTTATTCACAGACTACATGATCTTTTATGTGAATGATCCTAAGGGATCTTCAAAAATTTTTCAGATCTGATCCATTGGGTTAGCAAGGTGGCAGGACTCAAGGACAATATAAAAAAGTCAATTGTATTCCTATACATTGACAATAAACAAGAGGAAATTTAGATTGAAAAGCCAGTATTATTTAAACAAAAAAATATAAAACATTAGCAGATAATTTTGACAAAAAAGGAGCAAGACCTGTATAACAAAAACAAAATTTTGCTCAGATAAATTAACCAAGTGGCAATAAATAAAGGTGATACAACATTCTCATTGATTAGAAGACTCAATATTGTAAGATATCAATTCTCTCCAAATTGATCTATAGATTGAATGCAACCAAAACAAAATCCTGCCATTTATTTTAGAAATTAACATGGTGATTCTAATATTTATATAAAAATGCAAAAACAGAATAGCTAAAACAATTTTTAAACAGGACAATGATGGAGCACATACAATACCTGATTTCATGACTATTTATAATGCTACAATAATCAACAGACTGTGGCATAGCAGTAAGTAGACATGTGGATAAATGGAACAAAATAGAGAGTCCAGAGATAGAACCAGACATAAATGATCAATTCATTTTCAAAAGAGGCATAAGGCAATTCAATGCGAAAAGAACACTATATTTAAAAGATGGTGCTAGAACAATTTGATGACTCAATGGGAAAGTCAACCAACCAATCTTGACACTAATTTCATACAATATACAAAAAGTAAACTCTATCACAGAATTCTAAGTGCTGAAGCTGACATTTAAAGCAGACAATATAGGAAAACATATTTGGGACTTTGAGTTCGGCAAACATTTTCTAAATAGGACATAAAAAGCACAACCTATAAAAGAAAAAGTCAATGTTAGACTTCATTAAATTAAAACCTTTTGCTCTTTGAAAAACACTAAGAAAGTTACAGAGTGGGATAAAATGTTTGCACAACATATATAACCAAAGATTTGCATCTAGAATGTATATAGAATTCTTACAACTTTAAAGAGGCAAAAAATTCAATATAAAATGGGTGAAAGGTTTGAACAGGTACTTCATCAGAGGACATATGGAAGGCAAAAAAATCAAATAAAAAGATGCTTAACATCATTAGTCATTATAAAAATGCAAATTAATATCACAATATAACAGCTGTAAACATCCAGTAGAATCTCTTTTTTGGGCTATGTGGTCTTCTGTTGTTGTAGCATAAAGGTAACCACAGATAATACAAAAATGAATGAATATGTCTGTGTTGGGGTAAAATTTTATTCATATACTTTGTATATTTTATGGTTTACATTTTACAAATCTGAATTGTGAATATCTTTTACATTTACAAAACAGTTTTCCCCAACAATTTAAAAATATAAAAAGAGTATCTAATTCAGGGGCCATACAGAAACAGATTGCAGGCCAGATTTGGCCAATAGAACATAGTTTGCAGATCCCTGGTGTAGAGCAACACTGTTGTGGGAATTTAACAGTACAACCATTTTAAAAACAGTTGTGTATTTACCCAATAGACGAAGCATATAAACACATAACAGTTTGTACGTGAATGTTCATAGCAACTTTATTTGTAGTAGCCCCAAACTGAAAACAACTTAAATATCCATCAACGGGTGTTGGTATTAAAGTAACATTGTAATACTTTTTTTTTTTTTTTTTTTTTTTGGAGACAAAGTCTCACTCTGTCACCAGGCTGGAGTGCAGTTATGTGATCTCAGCTCACTGCAACCTCCTACACCCTGGTTCAAGCGTTTCTCCTGCCTCACCCTCCTGAGTAGCTGGGATTACAGGCATGCGCCACCACACCCAGCAATTTTTTTCTATTTTTAGTAGAGATGAGGTTTCACCATGTTGGCTAGGATTGTCTCCATCTCCTGACCTCATCAGGACATCCATCAACGGGTGATGGATATTCATGCCACAGAGTTTCCATTAAACTATCAATACACACAACATAGAATACATCTTAAAATAATTACGGTGAGTGAAAGGAGCCTATTTAAAAAAAAAAGAGTACAGGGTCATTTGCTCTTAAATAACAATATGACTTCATTTATGATAAATTCTACTTAATGGAAGTTCATCTATTGTGAAAAAAAGCAGAACAGTAGTTTCCTGGGCAGGTGAGAGAGAGATGGAATACAAAGGGCCACAAGGAAACATTTGTAAGAAATGTTCATTATTTTGGTTGTAGTGATGGTTTCTGAAGTGAATACATATATCAAAATCATCAAATTATATACTTTAAATATGCAAATTGCATTTTACATTCACTACAACTCACTGTAAGAAACAAACACGTCCTCAGAAACAACTTTATAAATTTTACTTTCTACTGTAAATGTAAGTTAATTATTACCCGTCTGGGACACTCGCTTTTTAAACTTTGCCTCTAATTACAGAACAGCGAGTTTTAATTTCTTCAATATGGCACCAGGTTTTAGCAAGTAGATGAGGATTATACCTGGAGAATCAAGCAAATAAGAGGCAAGCATAACGATATCTGAAGGAAGGAAGAAATATGTTGTAAGAGAAATATATATACCATTTACATGTTTACTTTTTTGACTATGAATAAAACCAGACTTCTAGGGAAGTGAGAATTTAAGATGGTCTCTCTTCCTTAGCAATTTTAAGATCAATTTGATTTCCCCATGTCTTAAGATTGCAAATGAGACAAGTTGTTGTCAATTATGCCAACTGGTGGGTAGAGAGTGAAGAATGTAAGTTGCACCACTGAAAATTCTAAGTGCTAAGTGAGAACTTAGAGGTAATCTAGCCCAGCTCATTCATTCTGAAGATAAGAAAACTGAGATAACAAGAAGGTAAAGTAACATTGTAATACTTCTTTTTTTTTTTTTTTTTTTTTTTGAGACAAAGTCTCACTCTGTCACCAGGCTGGAGTGCAGTTATGTGATCTCAGCTCACTGCAACCTCCTACTCCCTGGTTCAAGCGATTCTCCTGTCTCAGCCTCCTGAGTAGCTGGGATTACAGGCATGTGCCACCACACCCAGCAAATTTTTTGTATTTTTAGTAGAGATGGGGTTTCACCAGGTTGGCCAGGATTGTCTCCATCTCCTGACCTCATGACCCACTTGCCTCAGCCTCCCAAAGTGCTGGGATTACAGGCATGAGCCACGGCGCCCAGCCTGTAAAACCTTTTAATTAGTTTCTGTTATACATTAATCAGACATCAACCAACTGGTACTATGGACAAGTAGTAGTAGACAAGTTTATTTAGTTCTTTTAACAAGAAAAATATGAGATTATATCAAAGATCACAATGGTCAAAATGCATCACTGCCCTGGCCATTTTTCCTCCCTGTATGTGTCTGGAAGCTGTTAACACACATACATCTGAAATGTGCATAGAGTAAGTTTTGGTATAAGAGATGGTGTAGATTTCCCAAAAGAGTCCATTTAAAATAGTTTGATATACATGTGAGCTTAAAAATTGTTGGACCCATATAAATTTAGGACACATTGTTCCTAAAAATCAGTAACAGTGGTTTAGATTTTAATCCTGAGAGATAAGTTGGGTGTGAGGTGATAATATAGAGCTTTCTGCTATACTTAATGACACTAGTTATATTCAGCACTGATTAAAAGGTTGAAGTAAGTTCAAATATCATTGCTTTCATTTTGGTTGGTGAACCCCAAATGGAAACTCTGAAGCCCAAATTGATTTACAAAGTCTTTTTATTCTCAGGCATCTTTGCTTCTTAAATGTATAAGCAGCACAGCATTACTTCACAAGCAAAAGCTTTGCAAGGTTATCCTTTTTTGTCTGTTTTTCCTGGTAGCTCTCTTGTCTCCTATGCTTGCATTACACATTCTGAATAGGACCCTGTGAATGTAATTAAGGGTCACACATATGGTATAAAGAGTAGGGGATGAGGAATTAATTTCTCAGTTTTGCTTTCCTGGGCTACAAATTGGTTTGCAAGTTACTATTCAATTCAGCAACACAGAGCTCAAAGGAAAAGACCAAACTGCTACAGCTGCTCTGCATTATGAAAAAGCAAGATGGGGAAGGGGAAGGGAAGATTAGATTTTATTTGCACACAAAATGAACATCTACAGTCTGCACACTCTTTTTGGGAATGGCTCTGTGTTTTGGATTAGGTTGGGTTTTTAAAATCTTTATCTTTTCCTCCCAAGTTCTACTCAGTTCATGAACATCATTAAAACTCAGACAGAGTACTCTTCTGGGCCTCATTCATGCAAATTCTGGACTATTCAAAAGGAAGAACATAAAGATTACACAGAAAGCCCAGGAAAATGCACTCTGAGGGTGGTTATTAATGACATCAATGAATTTGGGGAGCAGGATTAAACCACTGAGCCACTTTCACAAACGTAATTCCAAAGTGTGGTTTATTGCAGAATATATGACAGTCACTAAGAAAATGAAGATTAAAATGCTTTTAAAGACAAAAAACAAACAACAACAACAAAACAAAAAACACCACACCACCAACAATCTTTAAAATGGGTGTACCTGTCTACTAATTGATTATCTTAATGGAGTTTGTCATGCTTACCATTTTGTTCCTATTCATAGTCAATTGGTTAGGCTTCCAGGAAATCAAATAAAACTAGCCTGGCATCCTTTACATAATTATATTCACCAGCTGGTTCAAATGTGTTTTTAACATCTCAGTAACACATCAATAGTACCGCCTTAACTTGTAAAGTTCCATCTTAACATTTGCATCTATTACATAACATTAGTGGAAATTTTACAGGTTTTCTCCTACAAAAGGTATTGTCATTTCTGGGCTCTTCCCCAAATTGTTAAGCAGTCAAATCTTGATTTGATTCCCTCTTTTTTACAGTGTACTCAGTTCCTCCCATTTTATCCCAAATGAGGTACCATAGCAATCTAAGCAACTTTTTTCCTTTCTCCCATACTCACACCAACTTTTACCCTGTCTTCATCTTTATCCACCTGCTGCTCAACGTAACAGACCGCGGACATACATCTGTTTCCTTCCACCTCAAGAAGGGAAAGGCAGAAACAATATATGCAAACAAAAAGAAACCATATAGCTCTAGGGAAGTTGGAGGGTGAGAGAAGGAATAAAAAGAAGGAATAAAAGGAGCAATAAATGAAGCACACTTTTGAGGACTTGCTAGAAGACAGTATATGTGAATCAGACTGATAAAGCAGAGATAAACTTTTGGAGAAGACAGTTGATGCATGGATAGGTAATCCTGATGCTCTGAAAAACCTACAAAAACTCAGGTAACAACAATGCACTGTCAATAATTATTACTACAAATTAAAAATATAATGGCAGATTTATTAATCTAGTGAGTAAACAAAATAATTAAATGGGAAGAGCAAAAAGAAGTTGTCAACTTAGAAGATAAAATTGGGAAAATTTCACAGGATGAAGCATAAAAGAGAATGAGTAAGAAAAAATACCAAAATTCATGAATGAGATCTAGAAAATTTAATGTCATTTAGTAGGAATTATAGGAAAAAGCAAAGGAGAAGAAAAGGCAATCTTATTACATGAATACCAAATAATTTCCTTGAGCTAAAGAATAACAGCCTTCTGATTGAGTAAAATCACTAAGTATCAAGCAGAAAAAAACTTCTTAGAAATCCACATTTATATAGATCCTGATGAAATTTCAGAACTCAAAGATAGAGAGGAAATGTTAAAAACAACAAGAGGTGAGAGAGTAGTTTCCCTACTACAGAATGAGAATTATGTCACAATCAGACTCTGCATTAGCAATCATGGATGCTAGAAAACAATAAGACAGTCTTCAAAGTATTAAAAAAAATATATTGACCGTGACTGGCAAGATGGCCAAATAGGAGCAGCTCCAGCCTGCAGACGAGAGCAACAACAAAGGCAGGTGATTTCTGCATTTCCAAGTAAAGTACCCAGCTCATCTCATTGGGACTGGTCAGACAGTGGGTGCGGCCCACGGAGGGCAAGCTGAAGCAGGGTGGGGCATCGCCTCACCTGGGAAGTGCAAGGGTTTGGAGAACTCCCTCCCCTAAGCCAAGGGAAGCCGTGAGGGACTGTGCCATGAGGAACGGTGCACTCTGGCCCCAGAAAAGTGCACTACGCTTTTCCCACGGTCTTCACAGCCCACAGACCAGGAGATTCCCTCGGATGGCTACACCACCAGGGCCCTGGGTTTCAATCACAAAACTGGGTGGCCATTTGAGAAGAAACTGAGCTAGCTGCAGGAGTTCTTTTCCATATCCCAGTGGCGCCTGGAATGCCAATGAGACAGAACCATTCACTCCACCTGGAAAGGGGGTTGAAGCCAGGGAGCCAAGTGGTCTAGCTCAGTGGATCCCACCCCCATGGAACCTAGCAACCTAAGATCCACTGGCTTGAAATTCTCACTGCCAGCACAGCAGTCTGAAGTTGACCTGGGACACTCAAGCTTGGTGGGGGGAGGGGCGTCCGCCATTACTGAGGCTTGAATAGGTGGTTTTCCCCTCACAGTGTGAACAAAGCCACCCGGAAGTTCGAACTGGGCAGAGTCCACCACAGCTCAGCGAAGCCACTGTAGCCAGACTGCCTCTCTAGAGTCCTCCTCTCTGGGCAGGGCATCTGTGAAAGAAATGCAGCAGCCCTAGTCAGGGACTTATATATAAAACTCCCATCTCCCTGGGACAGAGCACCTGGGAGAAGGGGTGGCTGTGGGCACAGCTTCAGTAGACTTAAATGTTCCTTCCTGCTGGCTCTGAAAAGAGCAGTGGATCTCCCAGCACAGCGCTTAAGCTCTGCTAAGGGACAGACTGCATCCTCAAGTGGGTCCCTGACCCCTGTGCCTCCCTGACTGGGACACACCTCCCAGCAAGGCTCGACAGACACCTCATACAGGAGAGCTCCAGCTGGCATCTGGCGGGTGCCCCTCTGGGACAAAGCTTCCACAGGAAGGAAGAGTCAGCAATCTTTGCTGTTCTGCAGCCTCCACTGGTGATACCTAGGCAAACAGGGTGTGGAGTGGATCCCCAGCAAACTCCAGCAGACCTGTAGAAGAGGGGCCTGACTGTTAGAAGGAAAACTAAGAAACAGAAAGGAATAGCATCAACATCAACAAAAAAGAATGTCCACCCAGAAATCCCATCCAAAGGTCACCAGAATCAAAGACCAAAGGTAGGTAAATCCATGAAGATGAGGAAAAACCAGCACAAAAAGTCTGAAAATTCCGAAAACCACAACGCCTCTTCTCCTCCAAAGGATCACAACTCCTTGCCAGCAAAGGAGCAAAACTGGATGGAGAATGAGTGTGACGAATTGACAGAAGTATGCTTCAGAAGGTGGGTAATAACAAACTCCTCTGAGCTAAAGGAGCATGTTCTAATCCAATGCAAGGAAGCTAAGAACCTTGAAAAAAGATTTGATGAATTTCTAACTAGAATAACCAGCTTAGAGAAGAATACAAATGAGCTGATGGAGATGAAAAACATAGCATGAGAACTTTGTGAAGCATACATAAGTATCAATTGCTGAATCTATCAAGTGAAAGAAAGGATATCAGAGATTGAAGATCAACTTAATGAAATAAACCATGAAGACAAGATTAGAGAAAAAAAGAATGAAAAGGAACGAACAAAGCCTCCAAGAAATATGGGACTATGTGAAAAGACTAAACCTACGTTTGATTGGTGTACCTGAAAGTGACAGGGAGAATGGAACCAAGTAGGAAAACACTCTTCAGGATATTATCCAGGAGAACGTCCCCAGTCAGCAAGAAAAGCCAACATTCAAATTCAGAAAATACAGAGAATACTACAAAGATACTCCTTGAGAAGGGTAACCGTAAGATATATAATTGTCAGATTCACCAAGGTTGAAGTGAAGGAAAAATTGTTAAGGACAGCTAGAGAGAAAGGTCAGGTTACCCACAAAGGGAAGTCCACCAGACTAACAGTGGATCTCTCAGCAGAAACCCTATAAGCCAGAAGAGATTGTGGGTACAATATTCAACATTCTTAAAGAAAAGAATTTTCAACCCAGAATTTCATATCCAGCCAAACTAAGCTTCATAAGTGAAGGAGAAGTAAAATCCTTTACAGAGGAGCAAATGCTGAGAGATTTTGTCACAAGCAGTCCTGCCTTACAAGAGCTCCTGAAGGAAGCACTAAACATGGAAAAGAACAAACAGTACCAGCCACTGCAAAAACATACCAAATTGTAAAGACTATCGATGCTATGAAGAAACTGCATCAACTAACAGGCAAAATAACCAGCTTGCCTCATAATGACAGGATTGAATTCACACATAACAATATTAACCTTAAATGTAAATGGGCTAAATGTTCCAATTAAAAGACAGACTCACAAATTGGATAGAGTCAAGACCCATCAGTGTGCTGTATTCAGGAGACCCATCTCACATGAAAAGACACACATTGGCTCAAAATAAAGGGATGGAGGAATATCTACCAAGCAAATGGAAAGCAAAAAAAAAAAAAAAACAAGGGTTGCAATCCTAGTCTCTGATAAAACAGACTTTAAAACAACAAAGGTCAAAAAAGACAAAGAAGGGCATTACATAATGGCGAAGGGATCAATGCAACAAGAAGAGCAAACTATCCTAAATATATATGCACCAAATACAGGAACACCCAGATTCATAAAGCAAGTTCTTAGAGACCTACAAAGAGACTTACACTCCCACACAATAATAGTGGGAGATTTTAATACCCCACTGTCAAAATTAGACAGAGCATCAAGGCAGAAAATTAACAAGGATATTCAGGACTTGAACTCAGTTCTGGACCAAGTGGAACTAATAGACATCTACAGAACTCTCCACCCCAAATCAACAGAATACACATTCTTCTCAGCACCATAATGGACTTATTCTAAAATTGGCCACATAATTGAAGTAAAACACTCCTCAGAAAATGCAAAAGAACAGAAATCATAACAAACGGTCTCTCAGACCACAGTGCAATCAAATTATAACTCAGGATTAAGAAACTCACTCAAAACCACCCAACTGCATGAAAACCGAACACCCTGCTCCTGAATGACTACTGGATAAATAACAAAATTAAGGCAGAAATAAATAAGTTCCTTGAAACCAATGAGAACAAAGACACATGTACCAGAATCTCTGGGACACAGCTCAATCAGTGTTTCTAGAGGGAAATTTATAGTACTAAATCCCCACAGGAGAAAGCAGGAAAGATCTAAAATCGACACCCTAATATCACAATTAAAAGAACTAGAGAAGCAAGAGCAAACAAATTCAAAAGCTAGCAGAAAACAAGAAATAACTAAGATCAGAGCAGAACTGAAGGAGACAGAGGCATGAAAAACTATTCAAAAAAAAATCAATGAATTAAGGAGCTGGGTTTTTTTTTTTTAAAGATCAACAAAATAGACCGCTAGCAAGATGAATAAAGAAGAAAAGAGAGAAGAATCAAATAGACACAATAAAAAATGATAAAGGGGATGTCACCACTGATCCCAAAGTAATACAAACTACCATCAGAGAATACTATAAACACCTCTATGCAAATAAACTAGAAAATCTAGGAGAAATGGATAACTTCCTGAACACATACACCCTCCCAAGACTAAACCAGGAAGAAGTCAAATCCCTGAATAGACCAATTACAAACTCTGAAATGGAGGCAGTAATTAACAGCCTACCAACCAAAAAAAAAAAAAAAATGCCCAGGACCAGACGAATTCACAGTCAAATTCTACCAGAGGTACAAAGAGGAGCTGGTACCATTCCACCTGAAACTATTCCAAACAACAGAAAAATATGGACTTCTCCCTAACTAATTTTATGAGGCCAACATCAACCTGATACCAAAACCTGGCAGAGACACAATAAAAGAGAAAATTTCAGGCCAATATCCCTGATGAACATCAATGTGAAAATCCTCAATAAAATACTGGCAAACCGAATCCAGCAGCATGTCAAAAAGCTTATCCACCACAATCAAGTCAGCTTCATCCCTGGGCTGCAAGGCTGGTTCAACATAGGCAGATCAATAAATGTAATCCATCATATAAACAGAACCAATGACAGAAATCACATGATTACCTCAATAGATGCAGAAAAGGCCTTCGATAAAATTCAACATCCCTTCATGCTAAAAACTCTCAATAAACTAGGTATTGAGGTAACTTATCTCAAAATAGTAAGAGCTATTTATGACAAGCGCACAGCCAATATTATAGTGAATGGGCAAAAGCTGGAAGAATTCCCTTTGAAAACTGGCACAAGACAAGGATGCCCTTTCTCACCACTCCTATTCAACATAGTATTGGAAGTTCTGGCCAGGGCAATCAGGCAAGAGAAATAAATAAAGAGTATTCAAATAGGAAGAGAGGAAGTCAAATTGTCTCTGTTTGTAGGTGACATGATTGTATGTTTAGGAAACCCCATTGTCTCAGCCCCAAATCTCCTTAAGCTGATAAACAACTTCAACAAAGTCTCAGGATACAAAATCAATGTGCAAAAATCACAAGCATTCCTATACATCAATAACAGACAGAGAGCCAAATCATGAGTAAACTCCCATTCACAATTGCTACAAAGAGAATAAAATACCTAGGAATACAACTTACAAGGGATGTGAAGGACCTCTTCAAGGAGAACTATAAATCACTGCTCAAGGATATAGGAGAGTACACAAACAAATGGAAAAACATTCCATGCTCATGGATGAGAAGAATCAATATTGTGAAAATGGCCATACTGCCCAAAGTAATTTATAGAATCAATGCTATCTCCATGAAGCTACCACTGACTTTCATCACAGAATTAGAAAAAACTACTTTAACCTTCATATGGAACCAAAAAAGACTCCGTATAGCCAAGTCAATCCTAAGCAAAAAGAACAAAGCTGGAGGCATCACAGTAGCTGACTTCAAACTATACTACAAGGCTACGGTAACCAAAACAGCAAGGTACTGACACCAAAACAGATATATAGACCAATGGAACAGAACACAGGCCTCAGAAATATCACTACACATCTACAACCATCTGATCTTTGACAAACCTGACACAAACAAGCAATGGGGAAAGGATTCCCTATTTAATAAATGGTGTTGGGAAAACTGGCTAGCCATATGCAGAAAACTGAAAATGGACCCCTTCCTTATACCTTATACAAAAATCAACTCAAGATGGATTAAAGATTTAAACATAAGACGTAAAACCATAAGAACACTGTAAGAAAACCTAGGCAATACCATTCAGGACATATGCATTTGCAAAGACTTCATGTCTAAAACACCAAAAGCAATGGCAACTTAGGCCAAAATTGACAAATGGGATCTAATTAAACTAAAGAGCTTCTGCATAACAAAAGAAACTATCATCAGAGTGAACAGGCGATCTACAGAATGAGAGAACATTTTTGCAATCTATGCAACTGACAAAGGGCTAATATCCAGAATCTATAAAGAACTTAACCAACTTTACAAGAAAAAAACAACCCCATCAAAAAGTGGGCAAATGATATGAACAGACACTTTTCAAAAGAAGACATTTATGCAGCCAACGAACATATGAAAAAATGCTCATCATCACTGGTCATTAGAGAAATGCAAATCAAAAACATAATGAAATACCATCTCATGCCAGTTAGAATGGCAATCATTAAAAAGTCAGGAAACAATAGATGCCGCAGAGGATGTGGAGAAATAGGAAAGCTTTTACACTGTTGGTGGGAGTGTAAATTAGTTCAACCATTGTGGAAGACAGTGTGGCAATTCCTCAAGGATCTGGAACTAGAAATACCATTTGACCCAGCGATCCCATTACTGAGTATATACCCAAAGGATTATAAATCATTCTACTATAAAGACACATGTACACGCATGTTTATCGCAGCACTATTAACAATAGCACAGACTTGGAACCCACCCAAATGCCCATAAGTGATAGACTGGATAAAGAAAATATGGCATATAAATATCATGGAATACTATGCAGCCACAAAAAAGGATGAGTTCATGTCCTTTGCAGGGACATGGATGAAGCTGGAAACTATCATTCACAGCAAACTATCACAAGAACAGAAAACCAAGCACCACATGTTCTCACTTATAAGTGGGAGTTGAACATGGAGAACACCTGGACACAGGGAAGGGAACATCACACACTGGGTCCTGTCAGGGGTTTAGGGGCTAGGAGAGTGATAGCATTAGGAGAAATACCTAATGTAGGTGATGGGTTTATGGGTGCAGCAAACCACCATGGCACATGTATACCTATGTAACAAACCTGCATGTTCTGCACATGTGCCCCAGAACTTGAGTATAATAAAAATATATAATCAATATTGTGACATGTGGAAACCATATGTAACTCAAATCTCAATGTACATAAATAAAGTTTATTTAATATAGCCTTGCTCATTTGTTTCTGTATCATCTATGGCTGATTTTGTGCTACAACAGCTGAGTTGTGACAGAGAACATACAGCTTGCACAGACTGATATATTTACTCTCTGGTCCTTTACAGCAGTGGCCCCCAACCTCTTTGGCACTAGGGATTGGTTTCGTGGAAGACAGGTTTTTCCAGACCGTGGGGTGTGGGGATGGGGGATGGTTTTGGGATGAAACTATTCCACCTCAGATCATCAGGCATTAGATTCTCACAAGGATTGAGCAACCTAGACCTCTCACATGCGCAGTTCACAGTAGGGTTTGAGCTCCTATGAGAATCTAATGCCATGGCTGATCTGACAGGAAGCAGAGCTCAGGCAGTAAGGCTTACCTGCGGCTCACCTCCTACTGTGTGACCTGGTTCCTAACTGGTGGAGAACCAGTACCAGCCCACAGCCCGAGTGTTGGGGACCCCTGCTTTACAGTGCCAGCCCTTGTTTTAGACCCTTTGTTGTTTAATCACATTCAGGTTAATCTGCCTACCTCCCACAATGTTTTTATTTCTTCAGGGTTGCCTATATCTTACTAAGTAACAAATAGCAATGAACACTGTAGCAGGACTCCAACACACAAAAATGTAATAGGATTCTAGCTCAATGAACGGCACAATCAAATGTAAAGGCAAAATAATTAATTTATAATGAGCAGTGAGGATGAACAGAGGTCACTTTCATCACCATTTTAGTTTTGGCAGGTTTTGGCCAGCTTCTTTACTGCATCCTGTTGTATCAGCAGGTCTCTGTGACCTGTATCTTGTGCCGACCTCCTATCTCATACTGTGACTAAGAATGCTTAATCTTCTGGGAATGCAGCCCAGTAGAAATCATCCTCATTTTACCCAGGCCCTATTGAAGATAGAGTTGCTCTGGTTCAAATATCTCTGATACTTTTCTCTAGTTAACCTGTCTTTTGTTATAGGAGTGTTTGCCATGACCCTCATGATGGGTGGGGAACAGTATCACAGCTTTCTGCACTACACTATTCTGCTGTCAAAAAATTACAGAAAAGAAGTGGTTAATAGGAAGCAGAATATATGAATCAAAGGATTATTATTTCTGCGGTAAGCCAAATTAAATTGGGGTTTCATGGCCTAGATGGGTATGTAGGTAAATGGACAACAACTGATTGTGAAGGAAGAAGTGAATCTGGTCAGTTACAAGTCTCTGATGTGATTTGGGCCACTGGGTAATGGCTCCTGGAGCCCGATTTATCCCAAATGTTCTGTAACCAAACAAGGATGCCATACAATAACCCATCCCAATATGGCCACTGAAGAGACTCCTGTCATCTTGAAGTCAAGATCTCTCCTTAAGGGTGCACATTAGGCTGAAGTCAAACAAGTTCCTGGTGAGCTCAGGGAAATAGCTCACTCAGCTTGAAAAAAGTACAGCCCAGCAGGCTTCCTCCCTTCAAATGTTTTTCTCTTGACTAAAGCAACATGAAATGGAAAGAGAATAGCAACAAAAAAAACAAATAGTTCAAGCAAATGCCTTTTGCAGATAAATTACCCAGAAAGCCAGGCTGCTTTTCATGGCTACTCTCCTCTCAGCCCTGTTATTTCTTGGCCTCACCCAAATCCATGGGGTAGGAATCTATCTTGCAGGATTCATGCTTTGTTTATTGTCCATGCCTCTGAACAATTTTGTGAGCAAGTCTAAATCCTTGAGGGGATTTTTCCTTGCTTGTTTTTATTGACTTTGGCCTTGCAGTATTTTAAAAGTCATTTTTGTTTCCAATTATCAACGCTACTGACTTACTGAATTCTACTTCCTCCTGATTTTCCCACTTCCTCTTCTTCCCTTGAGCAGTTTTTTGTGCTTCAGGAATAAAGTTCTGACTTTTTCTCTCACCTCTTCACTCCAGTTAGCTTCCCCCTGCTGGTCCCAACTGCTAATCGGACCATTTCTCCACACTAAATTACAGAATTATCCTGAGGCAACAAAACTTTTACATGAATGTTTCCTTGCAGTTCAAAAGTATTTTAGGCACTAGGTGAATGCCTAGTGAGAGTCTGTCCCGAAATGTACACATCAGTATTCTGTGGGACTTAATTTAAGCTATGAAAGCAAAAGATAAAGAAACATTCCATCACCAACATGGTTTCCCCTGCTTTGCTTCCTGTTTATCAGTGCTTCAAGGTCACCTTTCGATATGGGCAGTGTTCAGCTTATTCTAAGTCTCCCTCTATTAATAATGGCTCTTATGACTCCTACCCCTTAGCTTGGCAGGGTCCCCCTCTCACCTTCTGTGAGTGAAAAAACAACTAGGCAGCCTTGCTCTTTTTTCCTTCCATCACTTAGATTTGCTTCTGAAGCTCTGCTGAATTATATTTGAATAATTCATCCAACTCAATTTTTACTGAGGGACTAATGTGCTAATTAAAAGAGGCGTCATTTTAAGGTTGGATTGGGTGCTCATTACTAAACATTGCTGTAAAATATTCATATTATATTTGGGAAGTTGGGGGGAAATACAGAAAGGACAAGCATGTGCAAGCATGTTAATACCTTTTCAGAAACCATGATTAGAATCATCATTTTTTTTCTGATTCAGAGAGTGTTTATGTTATAAATCCTGGGCTCTGCCATTTCTTGCTGGGTAAAAAGGCATTTAGGTAATGGATGATACAATTTAAAACAAAAATATCCAAAAACTGCATCTCTGCCTAAATTGCTCAAGTGTCTAATTGGATCCAGTAAACAAGGCTATCTTGATTCCAGGAAGGCCTCTTCATTTTTTTAAACCATGTTTTATATGTAGCAACACATTTCTATATTTTACTGTGCTTCATACGTATCCAGACACTCACCATTGTAGAAATAACGCCATTTCTAACAAGGAGATGAAATTTTAGTGACAATTGTTTAAAGATTGTATGTGACATTCTGCAGGCAAATAATCTTTTGACCAGAGAACCTTCCCTAAACGTCATGGTCTAAAATCTTTGAAAAGCATATTTGAAACTTTCGGTGAGTGACATACACTGACTTCTCAGATAGCCTTGATTAGGCTTCCTATCTAAAAGCATAGTAAAACCTTGATTAATGGAAATGTTTGAAGAATGGGACGTTCTGGCTAATTCTGCAAATTTTTTTTCAATGACAAAATATTTAATAAATAATTGTCTGATGCATCCTCCCAACCATACGTAAGTCAGTGAGGGGTGGGGACTAGTTTGAACTGGAAGAGATTAAGTTGTTGAGTTTTGATTTAATTTAGAGATTTAGAGATTTAGTTGTTTATGGCAGAGTTCCCTCCCATGTAGCAGTTTATGATTAGAGTCAATGACGTGACCTGGTTCATCTGAGGACACTGAAGTGATCTGCCACAGAACTGTAATGAGCACCAACTGTGGATGGGATGAAGTTCAGTTCAAGGTTGAGACTTCAATATCAAGAGTTCAAAGCTAAGTGCAATTGGAATAAAAACAAAGTCAGTCACGGATCATGCCAAAAGGAACCCTGGGCAGTGGCTGCAAACACAGGCCACTGTCCAGGACTTGCTTTTGTGGGCTGGCATGTATGTGGTGTACGAAATTACCAGGCTCATTTAGAGTTCCAAGGAGGAGACTGAAGTAGTTAATAGGAACCTAATGACTGGAATACATAAATAAACCTCCCAGTCAATGACTTAATAGTTTCTGAATTTCAAGAATCATATAGAACACTTGGAGATAGAAAGAATCCTAAGTATCACCCAGTTCAACTCCCACATTTTACAAATGAGAAAGCTCATTTGCCAAGAAGTCAAATAATAGCAAATCTGCTATAAAACCCCAGGCCTCCTGCTTCCTAATCCAATGCTCTGTTGTTTCACAGTAGGAATCATGGATTACAGTATTTTTTGCTGCCTAGGTTCTGCCAAAGTGTTCTACATGCAAATATGTGTCCTTCCCTTTCCCAACTTTTACCCTTAAATTTCTAAGTATTATAGAGAGGTGAGAATCAAAATGGAGGTGAGGTAAAGAGAGTCTAACAGAGAGAAAGAGCAAGAGATCTGGTTAAAGTTATTCAGAAATATTTGTGCTCCAGAATCAGGTCTTCTCTATCTTACTTCTTGCTATTTACCTCTACCATCCACATATTTTTCCCAAAATACCCATAAGTTTAGCAATTGAAATTCTACTCCTTGGCTTTGCTGTGTGCCCTGGCCAAGGACATTGTTAAATAATGCTCTGTTATCAGCCTAACAGGTAAAATTATCATGACTCTCTTCACTAATTTAGGTTTAAGAAATATACTATATAAAATAATGCATTTATAAGACATGGAATTTTCTCAATTCTCTTTCTGGAAGTGCTTATTCTATTGATATTTTAAGTAGACTAGAACAGGTTTAAAATGTACTTGAAGAATGAGGTGTGCAAATATGAAGTATAAACATAAATGTCTTTTAACACTTTAAAGTCAATGGAGGAAAACTTGCTACTTGAAATAAAAAGATAGTTACATCAATTAAACTTAGGAAAAATACCAATAACACAAGGAGAATGCAATATAGGAAAGGAGACTCAAAGAAAACAAGGGCATTTTACCAATACCACAGTGAGAAAAGAAATATCAGAGAGTAAACAGGTCCACTAATAAATGAAGAACATGAAATTAATGATGAGTCTAAAATGGTAGAGATAATGAACTCATTTGTAAAATCGGTCCTTAACAAGAAAAATGAAGATGGGAAGTTTCAACAATTAAGTAGTAATGAAAATCTTGCAAAAATAGCTGTTGACAAAGAAACAGGAAAGAAAAGGCCAATTCTATTTTGGGCTGGATCAAAAGAATTATTCCACAGCAAAGAGGGAATTTATATGTCCGTGATCACATACCTCAAATCTTATGCTAAGTTTGTGGCAATTGTGTTCAGCTTTATTCTCATATTCACAAGTGAGTGGAGAGGAAGAACTTATGGAGGTACCACTTGTCAGGTTTATGCACATGCAGCAGGTGGTAGATATGCTTAAAAGGATGAAAAAGGAAAGGTTGTTTCTGTGTTGGTTCCACCCTCCAAGCAGTATTGGTGGGCATGGTGCTGTGCTATTAGTAGCTGAAAATAGGTCTTACATTGATTTTTTAAATTGAATTAAAAAGGTATAAGTTGAAATGTTGATTGACGATCTTACAAACGGCAACAGAAAGCAAGGTAGGATGACATCATGATAGATTATCTTCTCTGCCCTATGAATACCTCTTCTTACTTGTTGACGGGTAGAAGTTATATGACTATGAAACATACTTAGAAACAGATAGTCCCTTACTGTGGTTCCACGAGTTTCTAACTATACAATGGTGCAAAGTGATACACATTCAGTGGAAATTGTAGTTCAAATTTTAAAATTTGATCTTTCCCTGGCTTAGCGATATGCAGTATGATATTGCTCACCAGTCAGCCATGCAATCAGGAGGGCAGACAACCAGTGCTTTATGCTATACCATGGTGCCAGATGATTTTGCCCCACTGTAGGCTAATGTAAGTGTTCTAACCATGTTTAAGGTAACCTGACCTTTGATGTTCAGTAGGTTAGGCTTGTTAACTGCATTTTTGACTTAAAATATTTTCCACTTACAATGGGTTTATCAGAATGTAACCCCATCATAAGTTGAGAAGCACCTCTACTTGATGTCCCTGCATTATTAAATCTTCATTGCTTTTTCCTGATTTACCCACAATACATCAGATACTAGTAATGCTTAAAATAAGATTCTGCCATTATTGTTCTCTTTATCAAACTGTAATACCATGCATAAAACTAGCGCCTCCCAGCCTGGGTGACAGAGTGTGACTCCGTCTCAAAAAAAAAAAAAAAAAAAAAACCACTAGGGCCTCCCAGTAAAAGCGCAACAGAGAAAGTATAGGCTCTGACGGAGCCTCCCGGCAATGCATAGAATGCCATGGCTCACCTCAATGGTCTTTCTCCTTCCTCCCACCTGAAATTCTTGGACTATTTTTTTCAGAAGTATACATCAGATGACAATGTCAACAGGAACAGAATGTATGCTATACAGAAATTAAGCATGTTGGCAATTTTTTTTCATTCACCGTTGCCCAGGCTGGAGTGCAATGGTGCAGTGATAACAGCTCACCACAGCCTTGATCTCCTGAGCTGAGGCGATTCTCCCACTTTAACTTCCTGAGTAGCTGAGACCACAGGCATACCACCACACCTAGCTTTCCCTCCCCCCGACCACCCCAGTAGAGATGGTATCTCACTACATTGCCCAGGGTGGTATTGACCTGCTGGTCTCAAGTGATCCACCCACCTTGGCCTCTCAAAGTGCTGGGATTACAGTCATGAGCCAACGCATATGGCCAACAATTTTTAATTTATTAAACAAGTATTTATTCAGAGTGTGGTATATGCCACATGTATTAGTCCATTTTCATACTGCTGATAGAGACATACCCGAGACTAAGAATAAAAAAGAGGTTCAATTGGACTTACAGTGCCACATGGCTGGGGAGGTCTCAGAATCATGGTGGGAGGAAAAAGGCACTTCTTACATGGCAGTGGCAAGAGAAAATGAGGAAGAAGCAAAAGCGGAAACCCCTGATAAACCCATCAGATCTCGTGAGACTTATTAACTATCATGAGAATAGCATGGGAAAGACCGGCCCCCGTGATTTAATTACCTCCCCCTGGATCGCTCCCACAACACGTGGGAATTCTGGAAGAGACAATTCAAGTTGAAATTTGGGTGGGGACATAGTCAAACCTATCACCAAGTAAGACCTGAAAAGGGGTGGCTGACATTTGAGCCAGGATGTGATTGAAATGAGGAAGTCAGCCTTTCTAAGATCTGGGGAAAGAGCCATCCATGCAGACCAAACAGAAAGTAGGAACTGCGAAGACCTTAAGGCAGGAATGAACTTGATGAGTCTGAGACTTTAAAGGACAGTGTAGTTGTATCATGCTAAGTGAAAGGGGAGAATACTCTTAGGTGACACAGGAAAGGTAAGCAGAGATCATATTAGGCAGAATTTTTTAAACCATAACTAGTTTATATCATAGGCTGAGTGTAGTAGAAACCATTGGAGTATTTTAAAGTAAATCACAATGCTGTTATTTTGAAAATTAATCTCATTTTAATAGATAAGGACGACTGCATTCCAATTCAAGGGTAAGAAATACATGTTTTAGATTAAAATTTAAAAATAGACTAAATAAATAAAAACTTTAGATGCAAAATTAGGAATTACTGCCTGTTGGAGAAACTCTGTTCCAAACATATGGTGGTATCTGAGAGGTTGGTACAAGATATTGAAAGGGGTCTTGGGTTTAGGACTAAATCTACAAAAACGCCTCAGCTTGAAGCAGGTAATTCCCTGGGGTGGCAAATGAGTAGCCACAGGTAGGTAAAGAAGTAGATGAGTTTCAAGAGAAAAAAAGATGAGGGAGTATTGTACTAAAAACAACAGTAGCCTTCCCTCCAGGAAGAACTGATTAAGTTCTTTCTGTATTTGCCATTTTCAATGCCAGAATTCTTCCTTGGTAAAAAAGCACAACAGAACAATACCTTTTGACTATTCCAAATAATTCTCAGGCAGGGTAATTTCCACATATAATCTGAGAAGAACCAATGTTCTGGAAAAATAAAATGTGGCCTGGAGCAGCAAAGTGAAAAAAGAATTTTGTCTCCTGTTGAGGGTGAATTTGATCCCAGATTCACCACTTGCAAGTCCTTTTTTTGAACCATCCTACAGAAGATCCTGTGGAGTCATGGGGAGTAAAACACCATTTGACAGAAGAGATACTAGCATACTGAGAATACAACTGGCTGGGATGCCAAAACAATGCATATATAAAATATACTAATGAGATTAAAAAAAAAATCAGAAACAGAGAGGAACTAGGCTGTTAACAACTAGAAAACTACAGAGACACTTAGGTAAGTAGAGAAAACAATGAGGGGTAAAAAGAAGCGAGGGAAACAAACAGAAAAAGAAAGATGTATACAGTTTTGATGACAGAAGATAAAACACACCTCTTTAGGGTCTTTGTGTTTGAACTCCGCTTTACAAGAAACATATTCCAAGTATAAGGCATGCTTCTGCAGACTGAGTTAAAAGGCTGTTGCCACAGGTAATCAGAAGTATCTGACTATTAAACCACAACAGCCTGAAAGGAAAGGAGTATTTAGTGCTCACACAGATTTTGCTCTTTTAAGAAACAGTAATCAGTCTGTGTATGTAATTTGGAGAGTAACATAAATTCAGATGGGGCTTGTTTATAATTGAGTACTAATGTGGGAGTATTGTGCTAATGAAAGAGTCAAGAGGGAGGCAGAGGCTGCTTTAATGGATGGTTTGTAATAGTATTAATAGTAAGACACAGCAAATTTGCCTAACCTGTAAGCCACTGGTTGGTTTCTAAAGGCTTATTACATTTTTCTACAGCATCTTTTTAATCATGGTGCATTGGTGGTGAATTGGCCTAGGTTTAGCTGGGGGATGGATCCATGGAGTAGTTATTTCTTTCTGAGAGTAGAATGTCTCAAGAAACAGGTGCCCTAGGTGATGCCAAATATCACTACACAGAGCAGTAACAGCAGAGGGTAATTGCCTGTGTAAATGAGAGGCAGTGGAGAGATGGTAACCCTGGGGCTGCATTACTAAGGCAGCTTTTATGCACATAAGGGTCACTGTTTCTTGCTCTCTGCCTTGCCCTTGGCCAGAAGTTTGGAGCCCTGATATTGAAAAAAAATGGAATGAAATGAAAGTTGGAATTCAGTAAAGGTAGGCAATGCAGTGTAATAGAAAAAGCACAGAATAGGAGTTGTAAATACTTGGGCTGGAATTCTAGCTCTGCTATGGACTAGCTCTTGCCAGTGCGAATAAAACCCTCTGAGCTTCAGCAATAACATAGGGATAAAAATACACATCTCCTACTATTATAAAGTTTAAATAAATTAATATGGAAAGTGCTCAGTTTCAGTTCCTAGCTCATAAGATCAAACTATTATTTTTATTATCAACATTTTCAGAACATTTTAGATGTTTCACTTAAAAATCTAGAAAGTGTACTCACCAACATATATGAATCTAAAAAACCAAGTTGAACAAAAAGAGCAAGCTGAAAATGTCTGTAATAAAAAGCATTATAAAATGTGTACAGAGACAAAAAAAAAAAAAACCAAAATACTATCATGTATTATTTAGAGATTGGAGAAATAAATGGGGATAATAAATCCCAAATTCAGGACAGTCTTTGCTTCTGCAGGAAGATGAAAGAAAGAAGGTGAGAGGCAATATGAAGTTCAACGGAAAAGTACATGTGATGGGGTGAGGCTTCCACTGTCTCTGAAATGTGTCATTTCTTAAGCTAAGTTGTGGGCATGCAGGTATACACTATTTATTATATCTCTTCATAGGTCAGGTAAATTTTAAATTAATTTATTCAGTTTTTTACTTCCATTTCCTCCATGTTGTACAAAACATATAGGAAAAATAACACTGCATTAATATAGTTTGCTAATATTTAATAATTTATAGATACTTGTGTGTACATTATCTCATGTGACCTATAAGCATCACCACATTTAGGCTGGGAAATATGGTAGAAAAAAAACCCACACAGTTTTAAGTTTTGCCTAAAAGCTTGCCTTTGGTGAGTCAGGCCATGTGATCATAGCCTATGTCCTTGTTCTTAATTTTTGCTTCTTAATCTATAAAACAAGAATAATGCTTACTTCATGGGAAGATCGTGATGGTTGCATAAAATAGCCCATAGATCAGCATATAGAAGGCTCTTAATTAATATAAGTTCATCTCATACCTAGCTTGCAGGATCCCATAAGGACACTATGCTATGCTGCAGTTATCATGGGTAAATGTGGATTTGGGGGTATTTTCATATGACAAGAGGCTGCAAAATACAGTCTTTTGGAAAATAACCAGAGCAGAGGTCCTGTGGCACTAAAAAATCTAGAGGGGGAAAAGGAAGTGGAGATTCAAGGATGGGTCAGAGGATCATTACTAACATCATTTAGAAAGAATTAAACTATTATTTTACTTATGTGACATTCACGTTCCATCACCGAGAGTCAGGAATAGACAAGTATTGAATGTAGTTATATTAACAGATAAGATAAAAACCATATGAGAAAATACAGTAGCAACTCTAATTCTGAAACACAGGATTCACTTCCTTTACTCTGAGAAACCTTCCTAACTCAACAGGATGCCAGCACCAGAGAACCTAACATAATGGAACTAAGGTTCCTTCTACCTAAGCCATTTCCCCATATCTTTCTCTGTCTTTCTCTCCCTTTCTCTCCCTTTCTCTCTCATTCCAAGAGCTTGTAAGAACTTACTTGCTTTTATTCCTGGACAAAGAAACACACTGGATAAGAAATCATTTGAACTTGAAATACTACAACAATTATTAGGAAATCTCCATGCTAATCAAAGTATAACCTACAAAAAAAGGCAAAAGAAAAGTAAAGGTAAAACCATGAGTCAGAATCTGGTTCATAAAATAGGTGACCTTTAGCTATGCCTCACTGGCATTTTCTCCTCACAAAATATGACCACTTATATAAGATACCATGAAATTACATACTTGTAATAGTTACTTTTGCTCTTTGCAAATGGAGCTGCTCAAACTAGAAATCAGAATAATATTTTGTATCTAAGTGCATGCTTTTTAAAAGAACCTAAAAGTATGTTTAAATTTTACTGCTGAGATATGACTATGAGAATAGAAAATTTAAACATACACACACATGTACACACAAAAAACCACACATATCTTTTCCTTTAAGCTTCTTTCATAGAAAATTAAAAGAAACTGGTATGTTGAATTTTTCCCCCCTGATTGGAGTGATGCTGCAGATACCCCACAGAAGGTCACCTTCATTCTTCTATGTTTTCATCTGCAAGGCTTCAGTGTTTGGGTAAAAGGTGGTGCAAAAGACAATAACAGTGCATTTTATTTTTACCTTGTCTTTTAACTGAATATATTTCTTCCAAAAATGTTTCAGAGTTCTCTAAATCTCCATTTGAGTATCATTAGAATGACACTGTGTATTCTTCCAACAATCCATGTTTTGACTTCTGGTTTCCAGTCTGCCTTATAAGAAGACTAGAAGTTTCCATTCCAATTTAACAAGAAGAAAAAATAAATAAAAACAAATAAACTGAAAAAAAAATCAACAAATCTTCTTGGCTCTATCAAAGAAATGAAATCACAGAACAAACTGTTGGCCCCAAAATTGGAGAGCAGCAGGCAGATTCAGAGAATCATAACCTCCCAGAACAGACAGCTGTGAGCAGAAACCTCAGCAGGAGCCAGTGCTATAGTAGGAAAACCTGAACTCTAATTGACAAATTGATGGAGGCTTAGAGAGGACACATCTGAAAGTTAAAAACTCCAGTGGTGCCCAGTCACCAGGAGCTCCCACATTTTTATGAGTATTACCTCCAGGAGTTCTACCAGGTTCTCACAGTGAATATCAAAGAAAAGTCGTCTCTTGCTTCCAGGAGAAGGAAGGGAAAATGAACCATTTAAAAATATGTAGAGTATTCTGTTCTTGACCGGGCTTACCCTCAGGAGAAACCATTTTACCAAGCCTAACCTGACTAGAGAAAGGAAAATGCCCAACTGTAGCCCTCTGTAGCCATCCCACCCCACATGATGCAGGGAAAAACTGAGAAGCATTGATAAAGTTCATCATTCAGGGGCACAAATTCACCAAGAGACTGAGACCTAATCATAGATTAATCAGATCACCTTTCAACAAAAAATTTACAAGCCACTAAAGGCAAAAACACAGTTTTAAGTGATTGAACAAGCATCAGAACCAAAGTCAGGTATGGCAGAAATGTCAGAATTATCAGACCAGGAATTAAAACAAATCATGATTGCTATGCTAAGGACTTTAATGGAAAAAGTAGACAATATGCAAAGCAGATGGATAACTTCAGCAGAGACAGAAATTCTAAGAAGTATTTTTTAAATGATCAAAAAGACATTGTAACAGAATTAAGCTATTGTAACAGAAATGAAGAATACATTTGATGGATTCATTAGTAGAATGGACACAACTGAGGAAAAGACCCTCTAAGCTTCAGGATATAACAACAGAAACTTACAAAACTGAAAAGCAAAGAGAACAAAGACTGAAAAAAATAAAACAAGACCAGAATACAATATCCAAGAACTGGGGACATCTATGAAAGGTATAACATACACATAATAGAAATAGTAGAAGGAGAAAGAGAGAAAGGGGCAAAAGCAATATTTGAAATAATAATGACTGAAGATTTTCCTGAAATTAATGCCAGACAGCAAAGCACAGGTCCAAGAAAGCTCAGAGAACACCAAGCAGAAAAAATGCCCCCCAAAACACTTATGCGTAGGAATATCATATTCAAATTTCAGGAAAGAAAAAATAGAAAGAGAGAGAAGAAGCCAGAGGAAAAAAAACACCCTACCTATAAAGGAGAAAAATAAGGACTAAAGCCAACTTCTCTGAAGCCATGCAAGCAAAAAGAGTGAAGTGAAACATTTAAAATGTTAAGAGGAGAAAAACACCAACCTAGAGTTCTGTACTCTGCAAAATTATCCTTTAAAATTGAAGGAGAAATTAAGACTTTTCCAGACAAACAAAAATTGAGGCAATTTGTTGTCAATAGACATACTTTGTAAGAAATGTTAAGTTTTTCCGAGATAAGGAAAATAATATAAGCCAAAAACTTGGATCTATATAAAGAAACGAAGAGCACTGGATAATCAATAAAGGTAAGATAAAAACTTATTTTTCTTATTTTTAATTGATCTAACAGATCAATTCAAAATAGTAATAGCAACAATGTATTCAATTGTGTGTGTAAATATATACGAGGGGTTTTCACAGATTTCATTAAAAATGTTTATTACAAAATCATAAATTTCAAAATTGCTTACACTAAAATAAACTTGTTTTAACTTGTTACAGCACGTCAGAATAGGATCTATTTTAAGGCACTGAGAAAGAAAATACATCAATTTGAAAAACTGAAGCAAGAACATCAAATTTATAGTGAAGCTTGGGTGAAAGAAATGGTGAAATTGTCGATCCTTTATGAAAAGCTTATGAGAACAATGCCCCACATAAATCAGCAGTTTACAAAAGGATAACACATTTTAAGAAGGGACAGTAATTTGGAAGATGAAGCCTGCAGCAGCAGACCATCCCAATTTTCCAGGAAAAAAAAAATTAACCTTTTTCATGCCATCATTGAAGAGGACTGATTATTAACAGCAGAAACAAGAGCCAGCACTACAAATATCTTGATTGGTTCAGCTTATGCAACTCTAAAAAATTAAATTTGAGCAAACTTTCTACTCAATAAATGCCAAAACTGCTGTGCCCAGGTCTGCTGCAGAAAAGAGTAGAGCTTTTAAGAAAATTTTTAACAAGTGATATCAAGATCCTAAAGCATTTCTTCAAAGAATCACAACAGGAGATAAAACATGGTTTTTCCAGTACAATCTTGATGACAAACACAATCAAAGTAAGGGCTACCAAGAGGTAGAAGTGGTTCAGTCAAAGCAAAAGAGAACTGGTCAAGAGCAAAGTTCATGGCAACAAATTTTGAGGATTTTCAAGACGTTTCATTTGTTGACTCGCTGGAAGGCCAAAAAACAATAACATCTACTTATTTTGAGAGTATTTTGAGAAAGTTAGCAAAAGCTTTGGCACACAAATGCAAAAAAAATTTTACCAGACATGTTTTCTCCACCACGACAATGTTATTGCTCATTCCTCTCATCAAATGAGGACATTTTGTGACAGTCTCAGTGGGAATTCATTACGCGTTCACCATACAGTTCTGACTTGGCTCCTTCTGACTTTTTGTTCTCTAATCTTAAAAAATCTTTAAATGTTTTCCCATTTTATTCTTCAGTTAATAAGGTACAAAGGATTGCATTGATCTGGTTAAATTCCCAGGATGCTCAGTTCTTTCTGGATGAACTAAATGGCTGGTATCATCAGTTAGGAAAGTGTCTTGAGCTTGATGGAGTTTTTGTTGAGAAACAGTATTTTTTAATCTTTTAATTCAATTTTCCACGAAGTTTTTAAAGTCCCCTTGTCTGTGTGTGTTTGTATGCTTATGTACAAGTGAAATGAATAACAGCAATGATACAAAGAACAAGAAGGAGAAGTTAATTTTGTATTACAAGGTACTTGCACTGATTGTAAAGTGGGATGATAGTGTTAGTTGAAAATGAACTTGGATTATCTGTAAATGTACTTTGCAAACTCTAGGTAAACCACTAAAAATATTAAAAAGTATAACTAATACACTAAGACAGTAAATAGAATAATGTAAAATGCTCAGTTAAAACTACAAAAGGCAAAAAAAGTATAAGACAACAACAAAGAACAAGGGCAACAAACAGAATAGAGTATCAAGTATGATATATATTAATTCAATGGTGTCAAAATAATTTTAAACACTAATGGTCTGTATATACCAATTGAAAAACAGATTGTCAGTGAATCACAACACAAACTGGCCAGGGATGGTGGCTCATGCCTGGAATCCCAGCACGTTTGGAGGCCGAGGCAGGAGGATTGCTTGTGCCCAGGAGTTCAAATACCAGCCTGGGCAACACAGTGAGACCCTGTCTCTACAAAAATAAATTTAAAATTAGCCAGGTATGATGGCACATGCCTGTAGTCTCAGCTTCTTGGAAGGCTGAGGTGGGGAGGATCGCTTGAACCCAGGAGATTGAGGTGGTAGTGAGCCATGATTGTGTCACTGCACTTCAGCTGGGGCAACAGAGCAAAATCCTGTATTGGGGGAAAAAAACCACTCACTTTGAATATAAAGACACATGTCAATTACAAGTAAAGGGATAAAGAAAGATATACCATTATACCATGCTAACACTAATCAAAAGTAAGTGAAAGTAGCTGTATTAATTGCAGACAGAATAAACTTCAGGGCAAAGAATGTTATCAAGAATAAAGGGAAGCATTATATAGTAATAAAGGGGTTAATAACTCAAGAAGACATAACAATCCATAACATGTATATGCTTAACAACAGGGTATCAAAATACAGGTAGCAAAATAGAACTGCAAAGAAAAATGAATAAACTTACTATTATAGTTGAAGACTTTAACACACCTCTATCAGAAATGAACAGATCCAGCAGTAAGAATTAGTAAGGACATAGTTGAATTCAACAGTGCCATCAATCAACTGAATATAATTGACATCCACAGACTACTTCATCCAAAAACAGTAAAATACACATTCTTCTTAAGTTTACATGAAACATTCATCAAGATACATCACACTGTGGACCATAAAACACACCTAAACAAATTTAGTAGAAATTATACAATGTCTACTTTTCAGACCACAATGGAATTAAACTAAAAATCAATAACAGATAGCTGGAAAAGCTCAAAATATTTGGAGATTAAACAACACACTTCTAAATAATATGGGTCAATAATAAAATATCAAGAAAAATGTAAAAATATAAACTAAATGAAAATAGAAATTAAATTTATCAAAATTTGAGGGATTCAGGAAAGCAATGCTTAGAGGAAAATTTATAAGACATATTTTAGAAAAAAAGAAAGATCCAAAATTTATCCTGTAAGTTTCCACCTCAGGAAATTACAAAATAAACTCAAAGTAAGCAGAAGAAATAAAATAAAAATTAGAGCAGAAATTATTGAAATTGAAAACAGAAAATCAACAACGAAAATTAAAAAAACAACAAGAGCTAATTCTTTGAAAAGATCAGCAAAATCATTAAGTCTCTAGTCAATCCAAGGGAAAAAAAAGAAAACACAAACTGCTAGTATCATAAATGAAAGACTGGATTATAGATCCACTTGATATTGAAAGAATACTAAAGAGAAACAATAAATAACATGCCTACAAATTTGATTACCTAAATGAAGTGGACCAATTTTTTGAGAGACATAATCTGCCAAAAGTCACTCAAAAAGAAATAGATAATATGAATAGGCCTATATCTATTACGGAAATTGAAGAAATAACTTTCCAAAACAGAAAGCACCAGTTCCAGATTCATTCACTGATAAAATTTCCCAATTATTTAAAAGAAGAGATTATACAAATTCTCTACAACTTCTTCCAAAAGACAGAAGAGAGGAAATACTCCCTAACTCATTCTTTGAAGCCAGCATTACCCTAATATCTGAAACATACAAAGACATTACCAAAAAACAGATCAATCTCTCTCATGAACATAGATGCAAAAATTCTCAACAAAATATTAGCAGATCAAATGCAACCATATATAAAAAAATTATACATCACAACCAACTGGGATTTATCCCAGGCATAAAAGGTTTAATATTCAAAAATCAGTTAATATTATCCATCACATCAACAGGCTAAAACATTATATAATATCAATAGGCATAGAAAAAGCATTTAATAAAATCTAACATTTTTATGATAAAAACTCTCAGTAAACTAGGAATAGAGGAGAATTTCCCCAACTTGATAAGGTATCTCTAAAAAAAAAAAAAAAAAAAAAAAAACACCCTAGAGCTAATATCAACATCATACTTTATATTGAGAAATGAAATGTTTCCCTTTTCACCGTCACTTTTCAATATTGTACTGGAATTCTTAGCCAATGCAGTAAGACAGAAAAGCGTAATAAAAGGTATACAGATTGAGAAGAAAGAAATAAAACTGTTTTTCCTTATAGAAGACATGATTGTCTATGTAGAAAATCTGAAAAAGTCTAGAATGAAACTACTGGAACTAATGGGAATTACAGCAAACTTTTAGGACAGAAGGTGGGTATATAAAAAGCCAACCACGTTCTTACATGCCAGCAATGAACACGTGGAATTTTTAATTAAAAACACTTTACAATCTATATTATCACCTTCCTCAAAATGAAATACTTCAGTATGAAACAAAATATGCAGATCTGTATGAGAAAAACTTTAAAACTCTGATACAATATTTCAAATAAAAACTAAATTAAATTTCAAATAAAAACTAAATTAGGCCAGGCACGGTGGCTCACACCTGTAATCCCAGCACTTTGGGAGGCTGAGGTGGGTGGATCACTTGAGATCAGGAGTTCAAGACTAGCCTGGCAAACATTGTGAAACCCTGTCTCTACTAAAACTACAAAATATTAGCCAGGCATGGTGGCAGGCACCTGTAATCCCAGCTACTCAGGAGGCTGAACCCAGGAAGTGGAGGTTGTAGTGAGCCGAGATCACACCACTGCACTCCAGCCTGGGCCACAGAGCAAGAGTCCGTCTCAAAAAAAAAAAAAAAAAACAAAACAATAACAAAAAACAAAAAAACCACCTAAATAAATGGAGAGAGAGAGAGTTCATGTTCCTGAATACAAAGAATCATTATTGTCAAGATGGCAGTTCTTCTCAAGTTGATTTATAAATTCAACACAATCCCAAAACACCACCAAGTTATTTATTGGATATGAACAAACTTATTCTATAGGTTTTTATGGAAAGAGCCAGAATAGCCAGAATGAGATCAAAGGACTGACATCACCCCATGAAAGAACAGACAAATAAGTTAATGGAACAGAACAGAAAGCCCACACATAATTCCATACCAATACAGTCAACTGATGTTTTACAAAGGAACAAAGATAATACCATGGAGCAAAGCTAATCTTTTTGATAAACAGTTCTGGAAAAATAACACACACATGCAAAAAATTCAATCTATACACAGACCTTACACCTTCACAAAAGTTTACTCAAAGGGAGTCATAAACCTAACTATAATACACAAAAGCATACAATTCTTAAAAGATAACATGAGATAAAACCTAAATGACCTTGGGTATGGTGACAACATATACCACCAAAAAAGCACAATCTAGGAAAGAAATAATTGATAAGCTGAACTTTATTAAAGACTTTGCTCTGTGAAAGACAACATCAAAAGAATAAGAGAAGCCACAGACTAGAAGAAAATATTTACAAAAGACACATCTGTTAAAGGACAGACGTATAATTCTTAAAACTCAACAAAAAAGAAAAAAAATGGACCAAAGACCTGAACAGATGCCTGCACTTTGACACATGAGTTTTGTCAAAACTCTAAGAATGTATACTACCAAGAGTGAACCCCCATGTAAACTATGGACTTTGGGTGATAAAAATGTGCCAATGTGTTCAGCGTTTGTAATACATGTACCACTCTGGTGTGGAATGTTGATAGTGGGAGAGGTTGTCCATACATGGGGACAGGTAGCATATGGGAACTTTCTGTATTTTTCACTCAATTTAGCTGTGGACCTAAAGTTGCAATAAAAATAATGTTATTAATAAGAGTAGGATAAAATTCATGGTTTCTCCCTTACTGCTTACCTAACTATAGACAATATTTCACAGATAAAATTAGGACAGTAATTCTATGTCAATTGATGTTTACAAGTATTTTATTTTTCTTTGAAATCTAGTATTAAAGCAAACTCCTCAGTGACCAGTGAATCACTAGTCTAAGAACCCTACTTATTATATGTGGTAGTAGAACCTAAGCACTACTATTTTTAGTAGTTCAGTAAAGAAAGTATAGTCAAAGAGATTGTGGCAGAAGGACGTTATAGTTATGAAGTGATTATCATACTTTCCTACCATTGCTTCAGCCTCAAGATTGCCTAGTATTTGATTGAAATCCTTCAGCAGTGAAAAAGTTCTAGGTTACTCATTTCTTGCTATTCTTGATTCAGTATTAGAGTTTCTTACATCCTATCGACTTTCAAGTAATAAGAAATATTTACAGTTATGAAAGCCAAAATCATTCACCTTCCCCTAGGTTAATTTGTGAACAAAATGAACTTTTTAAAAAAAAGCCTGTATAAGAAACTATAGTGGAACTATAAGAAATGCAAATATTTTGGCTTAGTATGGGGAAAGCATTACCATTTAGATTTCTACATGAGGTTGGGTCAACCTAATATTGAAAAATGCATATTTTTGTTTTCCCAATGACCTTGAAATAGCAGAAAATACTACCAGCTTGGAAACATTACTGTTTACAACTCACCACACTGGGAACCACAGGGATTTACAAGGTCAGGATGACAGGCATGTCATGTATTTGCATCATGTTTGAAATGTTAGTGGCATATCACACACATGGCTGGCATATTCATGTTGAAATATTCACCTCAGTTCTTTCTGTCAAGCATGGTAAGTACAGGCAATATGACTCTCAGATATAGATAGTAAAAGAGCCTTCCTTTTTAGCTACTTTGCTCAAAGACCGTGAATTTATGCCTCTAGAATGCAGTCACTTTGAAACCTTCGGTGATTCTGTGTTATAGCTCAATGTACTCATTGCTTGTCCATTTGTTAAAACCAGTGGCCATGTTTAGGAATGAACAGAAGCATAAGTCCAATTTTTAGCCACCTATGTGGTAAGATGTAAACAGTTTATATCTTAGCTTATTATCTCCCAAATGTATTCACCCCTACAAGACATTATGGTTTTATAGCCTGGCTCCTAAATTCTTCAGATTACCTTGTTTGGGTAATGTAACTTCATAGAGCCCTAAGAAGGCAGCGTACAGGTCAGGTAGATTACCAGTTGGAGTGGAAAAAAAAAACATACTGGAGGATAAAGTGTGGTTCTGGAAGGCTGTTCCAAAAGGGATGTCTCCATGATAACGAGCCTGAATGTTCTAGACTGACTAAAGCAAAGTGAAGGTGCTAAAAGGGAGTGGAGAAATCATCAAAATGCATTTTGCTTCTTTTATAATCTTGTTGATTTTTCCAAGGGCTACTTAGTATACTGACATTTCAAGAATTCTGCGGATTATTGATTTTTAAAGCACTAAGTCTGGAACTTCTGGAATTGAAGGAGAAAACTGTTATCTTCTCTCACAGCGGTGGTCATTCATGGAAGTTCTTAAAAAGACAGCGAGAAGTTAAGTGTTTATAAATACCTGTACTTAGTTGCTACTTTTACTAATGAAAACACTTTCAGAGCCCTTTTTCTTATGACAATCAGTCTGAATTCCTTTCTTGGCTTTAGGACATTAATAACCTCTTTCCGAATATATTTTCCCTGTCCCAAATCTTTCTTCCACTTGTACCCACACAACTATGCTCAAAGTGTCCGCTCCTTTCAGAACACCTTATGTTACCATTTATCCACCAATTTTCAAGAACTAGCTTAAGACACACCTCCATAAAGCCTCCCATATCTATAAAATTTTCCACAAATTTATATAGTATTTAATCTGATCAAATAACCTAGCCTCATAATTATAGTGGTTAACAATATAGGCTCTACAAATATGGAAAAATGCTACAATTGGTGAATCTAAATGATGTTATATGGGTGTTTACTGTATTATTCTTAGCACTCTTCTGTAAATTTTTTTTCAAAAATTTGGGAAGGAAACGGAAGTCAGACAGCCCATTTTCAAATGCTAGTGCTGAAACCCACCCTGATATTTCCTTGAGTGAGATCTCTCTGTGCCTCAGTTCTTTTGTAAAATGACAATTACAGTGCCTACACCAAAGGGTTTTTGTGATAATCAAATGAGATAAGGGCTATTAAAAGTTTAGTACAATATTTGCAAAATAAGTTATTTGAATAGCTATAATTGTCACTGTGTGTGATACAACAGTGATTAATAATTCATTCTCTGCAGTCACATGACTATACTCATGTCCTGACTCCACCACTCTTTAGCTATGAGACTGTGCATAAATGCTGAACTTCTCTGAGCCTTGGTTCCTCTTTTTCTAAATTTTTAATACTTTATATGGGGGGGGACTTTTTTGATGATTACAAAGTTAATATATTTAGAGGATTTAGCACAGTATTTGGAAGATAAGCAATCAAAATTTGTTATCTCTATTGATCCTATAATAGTTCTTGAGAATAGTATTTAAAACCTTTTTATCATAGCAAAGTCTAAATTACTTTAACTACCTTACTGAGGCATAATTGACATACACAAAGTTGTATATACTTGATGTATACAACTTGATGAACAAATTAAATTTCTTAAAGATCTATGTATCTAAATATGACATATCATTAAGTAAAAGGCAAAGCTAGGTGAATGTGAGAAACCTACTTTTTTTTTTTCTCGCTCTGTCGCCCAGGCTGGAGTGCAGTGGCACAATCTCGGCTCACTGCAAGCTCTGCCTCCCAGGTTCATGCCATTCTCCTGCCTCAGCCTCCCTAGTAGCTGGGACTACAGGCGCCTGCCAACCCGCCTGGCTTTTTTTTTTTTTTTTTTTTTGTATTTTTTAGTAGAGACGAGGTTTCACCGTGTTAGCCAGGATGGTCTCGATCCCCTGACCTCGTGATCCGCCTGCCTCGGCCTCCCAAAGTGCTGGGATTACAGGCATGAGCCACCACGCCCGGCCAAAACCTACTCTTTTTAATTGGCATAATGAGTAACTTGCTCAGATTATGTTCTTAAATATTTATTGCAGTGAATTGAACAATTTGAAAATAATCTATTTTTTAATGGTGAGAAGAGAGGGTCAGAATAATACCCAGTCTGGGGGCAGGAAGATAACAACAACATCCATGAGGCAGGAATAACAAGTAGTTTTATTCTATGTGCCAACCATGATGGGAGGCCGTTGCCTGCTTTTAGTGCTGAAAGAGATTTGGGGACTCATTAAGAAATTGAGTGTTCATACTCATGAGTATTAATTAAGATAATGTTATCTGCTAGAACAGATAAACTTCGAACTTTCAGTGGCTTAACACAATTGAGGATTATTTATTGCCATTACAATGTCCTAAAATGGGTGTTTCTGACTGACGGGGGTTGGGGGGGAAGGGGGGGAAGGAGGAGCATAGGGCACTCACTGCCCCATGAAGTCACCAAAGGACCCAGATGGAATGGATGAAGGTTTATCCACCTTCAATATGTATCTTTTGTGCTTTCAGTGTAAGAATTATAGATTAGAAAAATCTAGAGTGTCTAAAAGCACTATGACCTCTTAGGTTTATTTTTTATTTTTTATTTATTTATTTTTGAGAGGGAGTCTCACTCCGTTGCCCAGGCTGGAGTGCAGTGGCACGATTTCAACTCACTGCTACCTCCGCCTCCCAGTTTCAAGCAATTCTCCTGCCTCAGCCTCCAGAGCAGCTGGGATTACAGGCAAGCACCACCACGCCTGGCTAATTTTTGTATTTTTAGTAGAGACAAGGTTTCACCATGTTTGCCAGGCTGGTCTCAAACTCCCAACCTCAAGTGATCTGCCCACCTTGGCCTCCCAAAGTGCTGGGATTACAGGCACAAGCCACCATGCCCAGCCTATTTTTTTTTTATTTTTAGAGATGGGGTCTCACTCTGTCAGCCAGGCTGGAGTACAGTGGCTCAATCATAGCTCACTGCAGTGGTGAACTCCCAGGCTCAGGTAATCCTCCTGCCTCAGCCTCCTGAGGAGCTGGGACTACAGATGTGCACTACCATGCCTGGCTGGCCTCTGAGATTTTTGATTGAAGTAGATATACTTTAAGAAGATTAGTGACAATGGAACGTCTTTTGCTTAGAGAGTATTTTTGGCTCTGTAAAGCAGAAAACTAGAAACTAGTATGAGTAGAAGTGGCAACAAAAATTTAAAAATAATACTTCTAAGCCTTAGCGTTAGGCCCAAGAGACACAGAAAACTAGTAAGTTCATATTTCCTTCTAGATTATGAAGCTTAACGGACAGTAAAAAGTATAAGGTGGTACTGGTGTAGAACTTCACTGTTTTGTTGTTGTTTCTCTTAGGTAACTTTATTGTAGTGGCCAGTGCAGAAGATTCTATGCCCTGAGTGAAGGCTCATAAATCAGCTTTAAATAAAGTCTCACTTTATTTGTATAGTTGAGAAATAAATTGCCTTTTTTTAGTTCTTACAACATCACAAGCACTGGACAACTTGTAATCCCTCCAGAAAATCCACATAGCATCATAGAAGCTCATTGTTAAGGGAACCATTTTCATCCTTTTCAGGCCAATGAAACAGACATTTCCTGTACTTGGAAACGCTGGGAAAGTAGCTCTCATGCTTCTGCCTACCCAGCTCACTTGCGCCTCCTAAAGGAAAAGACATTGCTTGTCTGACTTATAAGATTAGGAAAGTGCAGACACATAGCCTTGAGCTTGAGCCTCTTGTTTAGGATAATCCATTCTTAGAGTTCCCAACCTTGAGGGACAAGATGGGGTATGGGTAAGATGGCCTGTGGTTCTGACTGTGACTTGGTGAGCCATTTAATTGAGTGAAATGTGCTATAGGGAACCCCTATCATAGTCATACTTTTAATCCATCTTTTCTAATTCAACTATCATCAGTAAAACCTGTATTTTGATATTTACTTTCCTGACTCTTGTGCATATTTCTCAACTGGTTCTTAAACATAAAGGGAGAGGGTGCCATTTATTGGCCCCCAATTCCAACAGTTACCAAGATTGCTATTTCTTCCCCAAATCATTTCTAGCTTATTCTATTGCTTTATGGCTCTAAATAATAATAATTCTAACATCTGCAGCAACTTTATTGTTCTCACAGAGTCTCAGAAGAATGTAAAGGAAACAGGGGGAAAAGCAGAGTATTGAATATTTCATTTTGGTGAGATCCAGCAGCTTGATTTCCCCGTAGACCTATTTTCTTTTAAACCTGCAATATTAGTATTAGCAAAGTCGAGGTGACAAGGAGATACATTTAAATTCAGAAAGCCATGGTATCTTCAGTGAGCATTCCTGAGTAGTTTCATCTTCTACCTCTTCCTCATACCAAACCAAACAGGATTAGATTAAGTGTATATTTTTAAGTTAAATTGTTGGCCTCTAGAATGTAACTTGACCCTTTGGCCTATTTCATCAGGGCCATAAGCACTGATGGAATGCAAGAAATAGTAATAAAGCCATAAGGCTGAATGAGGATCTGCTACAAATAGTCGACTTGTTTTACACATAAACACAATGATCAATTTCGATTGGTAAATTAATTATATTGGAGGTGTAACAAGATGGCTAAATAGAAGCCTCAAGCAATCATTCCCCCTGCAATCCATCACAGGAACACCAAATTGAAAAATTATCCACACAAGACATTACCTACATAAGAACCAAAAATCAAGTGAGCAATCACAGTACCTGGTTTTGGACATCATATAAGCAAAGAGGCACTGAAGAGAGTACAAAAGAGTCGAATTTCCTACAGCAACCCTCCTTCATCCCGTGGCAGCAGCCATGTGGCATGGAGAAAGAATGCATGCTTGGGGGAGGGACACGGAAGTGACTGTGTGACTTTGCATTGGAACCCAGTGCTGCCCTGTAACAGCTGGAAGCAACAGAGGGCAGAATTCAGCCAGTGCCAATGGAGAAAGCATTTAGACCAGACCTAGCCAGAGGGGAATCATCCATCCCAGCAGTAGGAACCTGAGTTCTGGATAGTCCACCACGGCAGGCTAAAGGGCTCTGTGGTTTTAAATAAATTTGAAAGTCAGTCTACACCACAAGGACTGCAGTTCCTGGGCAAATTCTGGCGCTGTGCTGGGCTTGGAGTTAGTGGACTAGGGGTACATGCAACCCAGTGAGACACTGGCTGTGAAGGCCAAGGGGGTGCTTATGTGGCCTCACCCCCAACCCCAGGCAGGGCAGCTCACAACACCAGGAGAAATTCCTTTTGCTTTTGGAAAGGAGAGAGAAGAGTAAAGGACTTTATATTGCAAATTGGTTACTAGTTTAGCCACAGTAAAATAAAACACCAAGTAGAGTCCTAAAGTCCCCATTCCAGGATCTAGCTCATGGATGACATTTCTAGACTCATCCTGGCCCTGAAAAGAACCCACTGTCCTGAAGGGAAGGGCCCAGTGATGGCAGGATTTGTTACCTGCTGACTAAAGAGTCCTTGGGCTTTGAATAAACATCAGTGGTAACTACGCAATAGTTACCACAGTCCTTGGATGACACCCAGTATTATGCTGGCTTCAGATATAACCCAACACAGTTCCATTGGTAGTAGCCATACACGTGCTTGAATCACCCCTGCCCCCAAATCCAGGCAGTTCAGCATGGAAAGAGAGACTCTGTATGTTTAAGGGAAAAGTAAAAGAAGAGAACAAGAGACTCTGATTGGTCATCCAGGGAATTCTCCCAGATCTTACCCAAGTACACCAACATGTTACCTCTATGAGTCTACAAGAACTACAGCATTACTAGGCTTGGTGGGGGGGGGGGTCCCCTAATAGAGATATGGCTGCAGTGACCAAAGACTTAGATCACAACACTCAATTCTCTTTGAACACTTGGAAAGCCTTCTCAAGAAGAATGTGTGCAAACAAGCCCAGACAGCAAAGATTAGAATAAATACCTATTTCTTCAATGTGCAGGCATTGACAATATCCACAATCATCAAGACCATCAGGAAAACATGACCTCACCTAATGAACTAAGGCACCAGTGACCAATCCCAGAGTAACAGAGATATGTGACCTTTCGGACAGATTAAATCAAACTGGCTGTTTTGAGAATGCTGAACAAAATTCAAGACAACATAGAGAGGGAATTCAAAATAAAATTTAATGAAGATATTGAAATAACTTTAAAAAATTTAGCAGATATTCTGGAGCTGAAAAATTCAATTGACAAATTGAAGAAAACATCAAGTCTCTCAAAAGAAGAATAGATCCAGCAGAAGAATTAATAAGCTTGAAGACAGTCTATCTGAAAATAGAGAAAACAAAAGAACAAAAAAGAAGAAGAATGAAATGTGAAACATGCCTATAAGATCTAGAAAATAGCCTCAAAAGGGCAAATCTAAGAGTAATTGGCCTTAAAGAGAGAGTAAAGAGATTGGAGGAAACAGTTTATTCAGAGAGTTAATAACAGAGATCTTTCCAAGCCCAGGATATCAATATTCAAATACAAGAAGGTTATAGAACACCAAGAAGATTAAACCCAAATATGACTACCTGTAGACATTTAATACTCAAACTTCCAAAGGTAAAAAATAAAGAAAGGATCCTAAAATCAGCAGAGGAGAAAAGTAACATATCCAATACTATGGCATCAGACTTTCCAGTGAAAACTTAATAGGCTAGGAGTGACAGGACATATTTAAAGTTCTGAAGAAAAAAAAAACACCTTTTATCCTAGAATATCATAACCAGTGAAAATACCCTTCAAACATGAAGGGGAAGTAAGAATTTTCTCAGAAAAAACTTAAGGCACTACATCAACAAATATTTTCTACCAGAAATGCTATAGGGAGTTCTTCAAAAAAAAAGATGTTAACAAGCAATAAAACATTATCTGAAGGTACAAAACTCACTAGTAAGTACACAAATACCAAATATTATAACACTAATTGTGGTATGTAAACTACTCATACCTTGAATAAGAACACTAAAAGATAAACCTATCAAGAATAATAACTACAAAAACTTTTAAAGACATTTCTATTTATCGGATATAAATAGAAACAAAAAGTTAAAAGCAGGAGAGATACAGTTCAAGTACAGAATTTTTATTAGCTTTCTCTTTCCTTATTTGTTTGTTTGCTTTTGCAATCAATGTTAAGTTGTCATCAGTTTAAAATAGTACGTTATGTTATTTGCAAGCCTCATGGTAATCTCAAATAAAAAACCATGCAATATACAAAATATCAAAAGCAAGACATTAGAACATATTACCAGAGAAAAATAAGAAGATGGATGGATAGATGGATGGAAGGAAGGAAGGAAGGAAGGAAGGAAGGAACCACAAGACAACCAGAAAACAAATGGCAAAAGGGCAGTAGTATGTCTTTACTTATTAATAATAACATTGAATATAAATGGACTAAACTCTTCAATCAAATGTCATAGAGTGGCTGAATGAACAACAACAATAACAACTCCTCCTCCCCAAATATCTGTTGCCTATAAGAAATGTATTTCATCTGTAAAGACACACAGAGACTGAAAATAAAGTGATGGAAAAAAATAGTTCATGCAAAACCACAAAAGAGCAGGAGTACTTATACTTATGTCAGATAAAATAGATTTCAAGGAAAAAAACTAAAATGAGACAAAGAAGTTCATAATATAATGAAATATGGGTAAATTAAGCAAGAAGATATAAAAATTTTAAATATATATGCACGAAACATTGTAGTACCTAGGTATATAAAGCTAATATTATTAGTGCTAAAGAGATAGACCATAATATAATAACAGGTGGAGATTTCAACACCCAACTTTGAGCACTGGACATATATTTCAGACAGAAAATAAAGAAACATCAGACTTAATCTTCACTATAGACCAAATGGACCTAATAGATATTTATAGAACATTTCATCCAATGGCTGCAGAATGCAAATTCTTCTCAGCACATGGATCATTCTCAAGGATAGAGTATCTGTTAGGCCACAAAAAAGTCTTAATTTTTTTTAAATTGGAAATAAAGTGTCTTCTCTGACCATAATTGGATAAAACTAGATATCAATAACAAAGAACAATTTTGGAAACTATACAAACACATGGAAATTAAACAATATGCTCCTGAAGGACCAGTGGGTCAATGAAGAAATTAAGAAGGAAATTGAAAAATTTCTTGAAACAAATGATCATGGAAACACAAAACAGCAAAAATCTATGGGAAGCAGCAAAAGGAGTACCAAGAGGAAAGTTTACAGCAATAAGTGTCTACATCAAAAAAGTAGAAAAACTTCAACAACCTAATGATACATCTTAAAGAACTACAAAAGTAAGAGTGAATCAAACCTAAAATTAACAGAAGAAACAATGAAGATCAGAGCAGAAATAAATGAAATTTAAACAAAAAATATATAAAAAGTCATCAAAATTTATCAACGATAACAGTTTTAGTTTTATTAGTCTATCTAACTAAAACAATTTTTATTAGTTTTCGCTTTCCTTGTTAGCTTTTGCAATCAGGGTTAAGTTGTCATCAGTTTAAAATAATAGGTTGTAAGATGTTATTTGCAAGCCTCATGGGAATCTCAAATCAAAAACCATGCAATGGATACACAAAAGGAAGTTGAAAAATTATTTTCAATTGCTCTAGCTAGGACTTCCAGTACTATGTTTCCAAAATTTGGTTTTTTGAAAAGATAAACAAAATTGACAAACCTTTATCCAGAATAACTAGGAAGACAGAAGACCTAAATTTTTAAAAAATCCAGAGATAAAAAGGAGATCCTACGAATTAAATTTAAAGGATCATTAGACATTATTATGAGAAACTATATGCCAATAAATTGGAAAACATAGAAGAAAAAGATGTACTCCTAGACACATACCACCTACCAAGATTGAACCATGAATAAATCTAAAACCTGAATAGACCAATAGCAAATAATGAAATTGAAGCCACTGGAGCCAAAAAGTCTCCCAAGAAAGAAAAGTCCAGAACCCTATGGATTCACTGCTGAATTTTACTGAATGTTTAAAGAGTAATAAATACCAATCCTACTCAAACTATTCTGAAAAATAGAAAGGAAGTGAATACTTCCAAACTCAGAAGGTAGGCCAGTATTACGCCAATACCAAAACCAGACAAAGACACATCAAAAAAAGAAATCTCACTGATGAACATTGATGCAAAAAAATTCAACAAAATTATAAACACTGATGCAAAAAATTCAACAAATCCTACAAAACAAATTCAATAACACATTAAAGAGATCATTCATCATGACCAGGTAGGATTTATCCCAAGGATCTAAGGATAGTTCACCATATGCAAATCGATCTATGTGATACATCATATCAACAGAATGAAGGACAAAAAACATATGATCATTTCAATTGATTCTGGAAAAGCAAAGCATGTGATAAAATTCAGCATTCCTTCATGACAAAAACTCTCAAAAAACTGAGTATGGAAGGAATATGTCTCAACACAGTAAAAGCCATATATGACAGACTTAGAGCTAGTATCATACTGAATGGGAAAAAACTGAAAGGCTTTCCTCTAAAATCTGGAACAAGGCAGGGATGCCCACTTTCACCACTGTTATTCAACATGGTACTGGAAGTCCTAACTAGAGCAATTAGAAAAGAGAAATAAATAAAGGGCACCCAAGTTGGAAAGAAAGAAGTCAAGTTATCCTTGCTTGTAGATTATATGATCTTATATTTGGAAAAACCTAAAGACTCCACCAAAAACTATTAAACCGATAAAGAAATTCAACGTTGTAAGATACCAAATCAAAATACAAAAAGTTAGTGGCATTTCTATGTGCCAACAGTGAACAATCTGAAAAATAAATCAATAAACTCAATAGCAATAAATAAAACAATATACCTAGGAATAAACTTAACTAAAGAAGTGAAAGATCTCTATGATGAAGACTATAATATATTGCTTCAGGAAACTGAAGATGACAAACACAGGGAAAGATATTTTATGTTCATGGGATTAGAGGGATCAATAGTGCTAAAATGTTCATACTACCCAAAATAATCTACAGATTCAATGCAATCTTTATCAAAATACCAATGACATTCTTCACAGAAGTAGGAAAAATAATCCTAATTGGGACCACAGAAGACCTGGAATAGCCAAAGCCATCCTGAGGAAAACAAAACAAAACAAAACAAAACACCACACATACAGAAAAACAAAAACACCTGGAGGAAACATTATCTGAGGTCAAATCCTACTACAGAGCTATAGTAACCAAAACAGCATGGTATTGGCATAAAAAGACACATAGACCAACGGAACAGAACAGCAAACCTAGAAATAAATCCACATATCTACAGTGAACTCATTTTCAACAAAGGCGACAAGAACATGCACTGGGAAAAGGACACTCTCTTCAATAAACGATGCTCAGAAAACTGAATACCTGTATGAAGAAAAGTGAAACTAGACCCCTATCTCTCACAATATACAAAAATAAAATCAAAATGAATTAAAGACCTCAAACTATGAAACCACTACCTGAAAACATTGGGGAAGCTCTCTATGATGTTTGAATGGATGTAAAGATTTGTTGAGTCATACCGTACAAGCACAGGCAACCAAAGCAAAAGTGGACAAATGGGATCACAACAAATTAAAAAGCTTCTGCATAGCAAAGGAAACAACCAACAAAGTGAAGAGACAGCACACAGAATTGGAGAAAATATTTGCAAACTTTTCATCTGACAAGAGATTAATCAGAATATATAAGGAGTTCAGCTCAAATAATTACATAGTAAAAATTCTAATATAATTGAAAAATAGGCAAGAGATCTGAATAGACATTTCTTAAAAAAATCACATACAAAAGGCAAACAGGATACAAAAATGAGTTCAACATCATTGATCAGAGAAATGCAAGTCAAAAGTACAATGAGATATCATCTCACCCCAGTTAAAATGGCTTTTATCCAGAGACAGGCAATAATGGATGCTGGTGAGATATACAGAGGAACACTGTTAGTGGGAATGTAAATTATTATAGTCACGATGAAGAATAGTATGGAGTTTTCTCGAAAAACTTAAAATAGAGCTACTGTATGATCCAGCAATCTTACTGCTAGGTACATACCCAAAACAAAGGAAATTAGCATATCAAAGAGATACCTGCACTCCCATGTTTTTTCCAGTACTATTCACAATAGCCAAGATTTGGAATCAACCTAACTATTCATCAACAGATGAATGGATAAAGAAAATGTGGTACATATACTCAACGAAATAGTATTCAGCCATAAAAAGAATAAGATTCTGTCTTTTACAACAACATGGATGGAATTGAAGGACATCATGTTAAGTGACATAAGCCACGGTCAGAAAGACAAACTTCATAAGTTCTCACTCATTTGTGGGAGCTAAAAATTAAAACGATTAAACTTATGGAGACAGTAGAATGACAGTTATCAGAGGCTTGGAGGGGTAGTGAAGGGAGGGAAAGAGTGGGGATAGCTAAAGGGTTAAAAAATATAGTTTGAACAAATAAGTCTAGTATTTGACAGCACAAGAGGGTGACTACAATTTATTTTACATTTTAAAATAACTAAATACTATAATTGGAATATTTGTAACACAAAGAAATGATAAATGCTTGAAGTGATGGATACCCCATTTACCCTGATGTGATTACACATGGTTTGCTTGTATCAAAATCTCATGTACCCCATAAATATAAACATCTACTGTGCACCCATAAAAATTAAAAATGAAAACTACTTAGATGAAGAACTTTGCTGTTAAGATTGCTTCTACTTAACTTTTTCATATTTGGTAAACTTAAATCCAAGTCCTTAACACTAATCTGTGGAGGAAAATAAAATTCTTCTCAAACCTATTGTGTAAACTAGCATTCATATCAACTGAGAACTTTTATATCTTTGCTTTTTCTTCATTCAGCTATAAATTATCTCACATGCTCCTCCTTATGCACTGAACAAATGGCACAATCTAAGAGTTTTCAGGTTGTGCTGAAAACAAACCAAGCAAGCATAAACAAATCATATATTTAAATTGTAACTGACTGCACAGTGCAGAACCTGATGTCCCTGGAGGTGGTCACCCACCTTATTCTAGTTTGGCCTGAAAGAGAAAACAGAAAAATGTAGGATGAGGGGCGGGAGGGCAGTGAATTTCACAAGGAAAGCAATCCCTTACTCTACATTACAAAGGAGAAAGTAGAAAAGCCTCCCTTTTTAATGTGAGTAGCCACACTGTTTCATAGTTTCAGTTCCAAAAAAAAAAAAAAAAAAAAAAAACTCAATACATCTTTTAGCGATTGCTTTTCCCAGTCCTCTTGGATTTATTTAAAAAGTAATCAAACCTAATTAAAACAATCTGCTTTACTGCCAGAGTGGCCCTTCAATGCCCTAGAAAAAACCGAGATTGCTCAGAAAGGGGCTAGAAAACAGAAGGAAACATGGAGCTTTGCAGCTCTTCATGTGCGAGAAATTAAGAAGGAAGAAAGGTTAATGTTATTGAAGAAACTTAGAGACTAAGGACAGGTGTTAGGACCGGAGGCAAGAGTCGAGACTGTGGAAGATTGTGTCCCTGGTATTAGGGGGTCTGCTGGTCTCGGAAGATCCAGCCTGCAGCCCTGACCTATTTGCTCCATGGGAGTGACCATGTTATTACTTGCAGTTTAGTGTGTCAGCCTCCATGCTTACTGAACCCTGGATGCTGAAGGGTAGAGACTGTGTGACAAACCTGGATTCCTTAAATTGGTGGTTTAATTTTCCTGCTGCTCTCTAGAGAGTTTATTTCTATATTGTAGCATATTTATTATGAATATTAAGTGATAAAACTAGCTGTATTTGAGAAAAGAGTCATGCCTACTGAAGACTTCATGTTAATTAGCTGCAAATAAAGTCCAAACGTCTCTAGAAAACCAAATGCTTTACATTCTAATTCTATCAGCTGTTTGGTTTCTGTTTTCTCATCACTACACAGCCCCTGGGTGAAGAAATTTCTCTGTTAATATATGTAGTAATCTTTTCAAAATGGTTCTTTATACCTCTCCCTTCCTTAATTTAAAAACATACAGGAATGTTCTTGCTATTGTTGGGTAAATAGGCACATGTACCACAAAATTTTACGAAAGCATTAGATTTCATTTTAACTGGTAACTTGACACTTTATCTCCAAAACAAGTCTTTTCTGTGATCTAGCTCAACACAAAAGCCCCAAAGATAAAATTTTACCGTGATGTAATTATTCCACACAGTATGCCTATATCAAAGTATCTAACGTACCCATAAAGACATACACCTCCTATGTAGCCATAAAAATTAAAAATTAAATTAAAAAGAGGGAAACAGCAAAGGACACAGTGTGTGTATGTGTGTGTTGCTGTTGGGGATGCAGGGAATATAGGAGAGGCAAAGGGAAGGGGAATATGGTAAAGGGAAAGAAAGAAGTGTGTTGGAAAACATCCCACCCAGGAAAATTGCCTTTGAGTAATAGCAGTAGTCATAAACATACTCAGGAAAGGATATCACAAGTTAGATTTCCTCAAGTTCATTTGTCTTTAGAAGGGAACATCTTTAAATTAGAGAAAATAAAAGTATTCTAAATGAGACTGCACAATTGGAAAGTAAAACAGGACTTTTAAAAATGGTAAAAAAAAAAACTGTAAAAAAAATTAATGTGTCAGCCCTTTTAAAATCCCAGATACGTGGTTGAATTGCTGTCATTCACAGAAACTTTCAGCATAAAATGTTCAGTAAGATGTACTTTAGAATTTCAGAACTCTGGATTTCTCTGGCTATTATATGCTAAGTTATAAAAAGAGTTTAGTCAACTACAGATTTGAAAAATTATTTACTTAACACACTGTAGCAAGAGGAATTGGTAAAAATGACTAGTCCCTGTTGGTGAGGCAGTGACAATTTGGTAGGTAGTCCTCTTCATGTTCCAGGCAATCAACCTTTTGGAGATGTATTAGTTCGTTCTTATACAGCTATAAAGAACTGCCCAAGACTGGGTAATTTACAAAGGAAAGAGGTTTAATGGACTCACAGTTCTGCATGGCTGGGGAGGCCTCAGGAAACTTACAATCATGGCCGAAGGTGAAGGAGAAGCAAGACACCTTCTTCACAGGGTGGCAGGAAGGAGAATGAACTCAGGAGGAACTACCAAATACTTATAAAACAATCAGATCTCATGAGAACTCATTCAGTCTCACGAGGATAGCATGGGGGAAACCACCCTCATGATCCAATTACCTCCACCTAGCCTCTTCCTTGACACATGGGGATTATGGGGATTATAATTCAAGATGAGATTTGGGTGGGGACACAAAGTCTAACCATTTCAGGTTGTTTAGCTCTTTAGTTGTTTTTTGGCTAGGTTGCTTTCAGCCCTTGTTAGGTAATATGAAAATTGACACAATCTCAATGCCTATGAGATTACGAGGCTTCACCTGTTTGTAGGCACAAATGAAATTACACTACATTAGAAAAACTGAAGTGTTCTTAATACATACCACCTGTTGGGGATCTGGAACCCAGATCCACTTTATCATCTTTTCCCAATCTCACAACTCCTGGTGTGCCTCAGCCTGGGCCTCTCTTCTCTGCTTTGAGGGTGTCAGGTAGCTGCTTACCATTCATTGGTCTCTGTCAGCAGTCCAGTCCTTCCCCAGCCAGGGATGGCTTCCTGTGGACTTTAAGAGCTCCCTCAGGCCTAGGCTTACCGTCCAAAGGGCTCCTCATTCTAACACTAGGTACTCCTGTCCAAGCCTTCCCTTACTTCCTCTCTTATGCATGACAGACAGCTCTAACTTTTCACAAGGCCTGACTGAAGCCCCACATTTCAGGGAAGGGAAGTACCCACAGAGCTGAATTCACAGCAGACTAGAGATGGGTGTTCTGAGAGGCCTCAGCACCACGCCGTTGCTTAAAGGCTGCCTCTTTGTCTCAGTGGTAAGGGAAATGAGTTTTGTTCCCACCAAACTTCTTCAAATTGGCTAGATTCCTCAGAGAAAAGACCCAAGCAAATAATCCTAAGGAGATGAAGGTATCACCTCCTCACCTCCAGACTAAGATTTAAGATTTATTTCCTGTCTCAAAATCTACTTCATCCCAGGAAGGCAGACACTGGTGAGCTCTACTCTCATATGAACAGATTCTTACCTCACAATTTCAACAGAGCAGTCACAGGAGAACACCATCATCCTGCTTTACAAGTGAGGCACACAGACAGCAGAGAGTGGTGAGACTGGGGAAGCTGGAGAAGTTGCTTTTTGATATCCCTTGCTTCCAAATTACCAAGAAAAATTGATTGCCCCTTTAATTTTCAAAGTTTCACAGATTTGGGGTTTCTGTCTTTAGCTTATAACGTAGAGGGCTGTTTTATGGTCTTTTCTCCAGGATAAAATGAGGGTGACTCCTGCATATCTTTTCTAAAGTCTCAGGGTCTGAGAGCCTGAACACCCCAAAGAAGATACTTAATATAAGACACAAGATATAAACTGTATTCTGTAGGCATCTAAATCCAGACTTAGAAAATAAACTTTTTTTCCCAGAAGCAGCAGCCTACAGAAATGCTATTCTGCCTACTACACAAATGACCTTTTCCATGATCACACAGAACAGTTTAGCTCCTTATAGCTACAGCTTCTCAAACACCTCCTTTTCTAATTACGACCTGTGATTTAGATTTGCATAACTGAAAGGCACACGCAATGATTTGCCTTAGAATTTAGAAATAGTCTGCATCAACACTGTGTTCAATTCCCAACTTCTAGAAAAACAGAAAAACTGCTTGCAGTTTTGAAATGACCTTTTTCGTAGGTTCCGTCACTCCCACCAATGTTTCCAATAGCTTGGGACCAAGCCTCTGCCAAATACAAGCTCATGTGCTTTTGAACACTGCCTTCAGCAGTCTACGCAAAAAGCTAGCCCCAAAACGGGAACTCAACCCTGAGGTGACAGCAGCGGAGTCACTTTTATTTATATCTTTCTTCAGAAATTGCTGCCTTTTCCTTATATAGTCAGAAAGTAACCTTTCAAGAAGGTACCCAATCTCATGTCAGTTCAATAATCATAATAACAAACACCTAATAACAATTACTATGTGCCATGCCCTGTTGCAGGTGCCCCCATATATTGACTTGTTGACTTAGTCTTCAACACAATAGCATGACATATGTACTAAACACACACATATATACACACTCACATGCAAATGCACACCTTGAGACACTAGGTCCCATTGTATAGGCAAGAGAGATGATGTGACTTGCCCAGATCATACAGAGAGTAAAAGTGGCAGGACAGGAATTTATTAAGACTGGTTCCAGAATCGATCTCTTAATCACTCCTCCCCGCTGCCTTATGCAATAGTATATCATACTATTTTTCATAGATTCCCAATTATAAAAGTGGCTATATTGACTTATGATGTTTCAGCCATGATCCCCCTCATTTACTTTCTCCATCAGGCTTCACAGTCACTATAAGTTGATGGCATACCTTTTCAGGAGGAACATGAATAGTAATGCCTGTGCCCTTGTTACTGTTTTCAATCACCCCATAGCAGCCGCTGCTGTTTGTGGGACCCTCACTGTGTCCTAGCATTAAGCTAACTGCATATGATGAACAGTACCTTTTAATTTTCCTGAGCCATAGAATAGATGCCACTATTTTCCTCTATTTTGATGCATAGGAAACTGAGACTCTGAAGGCTTAAGTAACTTATTGAGAGTCCCATGGTTATTGAGTCTGAGAACCAAAATTTGAACCACATCATTAGACTCAATGCTCCTGACCACAGTGCTATACTATCTCCTGGTATAATTGTTATTCCAGGAGTATGATATTTGATGTAAATCATCATGGTGTAAGGAGGCCATTATGAAAAATGAAAATTCACTTTCTCTCATGCATGAGAGAGTCTTGGATTTTTTCCTGTATGATTTACTTTTACATCACTTAATACATCATGTCTCAATTTAAAAGGCGAGTCTTGTGGAGAAGAAGGACACCCTGACTTAGGTTATCTGAGATATGAACACTATGTTATTAGTTTTTCTATTTTTTGATTCATCTCATGAAACCTGAGATTGTATTCATTACCTCCTTGGCAAGAGCCCCAATTTGCATGCATGCAAGCAGTCTGGTATGAAAACTATTGTTCTTTGTTGTATAATGACTTTGACCTGGGATTCAATAAATAGAAACATGTTTATAAGATTGTGATGCTAATTGATACAAAAGTGGAAAAGTTCCAGAGTTAAAACATTTACAAAGGAAGTATAATATCAAGAATAGTTGCAGGAATCAAAATAGTATCAATACTGCTATGTTTATCATACCTTTATTTTCTCAAGGTTTTCTTATCTAAAGAATTCAAGTGAGTTTTTTATATACAAGTATATTCCAGGCCAAGGGACTTGAACATAAGGTAATAGAGATGTGCAGGAGAAAGTACCATGTACAGTGAAATAGCCCAGTATAGTGAGAAGAGCATCGGCGTCAGAGGCAAGACATTTGGGTGACATTTAGAGAAAGCAAGCCTATCAAAATCTTACAGTTATTTTTGTCACAACAGGATTGCAGAGCTTAGTTTTGCTTATCTAAATTGGCTACAAGAAGGCAGTAAGAACAAACCAACGGTCTCAAATAACGACTTCTTTCAAATGGTTTATAGACACACGCTTCTTTCAAATGGTTTATAGACACACACTTCTTTCAAATGGTTTATAGACACACACTTTCTCCACAGCTGATGCTGTTTCCCTGGGACCCATAGGGTCAGTACAATTACTCATTAGAACACATTTTAGTCACCAAATGACTGGAAAGATATGAGACTGGGTTTTGCTCTTTGTCCTCCCTAACTAGCTTGGTGCTCAAGATGTGGATTTTAAGCTTGCGAAATATGTACATACATACAAAAAACATCTGTACTGGATATTTAAAAATAAATCGAGTCTCATACACTACTAGTGGGAGTGTGTGACAATGTTCACTAAAGATGGATGTTTGTATACCCTATGCCCAGCAATTTTACGCCTAGGAACATGCCCCCCAAAAATGTGTGCATATTTCACAAAATTATACATATGATTTTTAGAGTAGCACCTTTTAACAGCCCCAAACTGAAAACCATTGAATTGAGATTTAATAGTTGAATGAATAGTCTGTGCAGTATTTTGTATGAGAGAATACTATACAACCATAAGAATGACTAAACTGTAGCTATGCAGCAACATGAGTGAATTGTAAAAATGTAAAGTTGAATAAAAGAAGGCAAACACACAAAAAGTGCATACTATGATTCAACTCCTATAAAGTTCAAAAACAGGCAAACCTAATCTGTGATATTAGTGGTCAGTATAGTGGTGATCTATGGTCAGAAAGGCTGACTGGACTGGGTCATGAGCAGGCTTCTTGAGTATTAGTGATGCCCTATTTCCTGAGCTGGCTAATGTGTTACACAGATGTGTTGATTTTGTGAAAATTTATTGGGATGTACATGTAAGGCTCTTGTACTCTTCTGCTTAGGCATTCAATATAAATTTATATTAAAATAATTCTATATAGATGTATAAACATTTCATATATTCTTTATTAGATTACCTTACAGTAAGGTTTCTCAGTTTGAGCATTAATTAAAATTTTTGGCTGGATAATTTTTTGTTGTGAGAGGCTGTTTTGTGCACTGTAGGGTGTTTGGTAGCATCCCTGACCATTACCTACTAGATGCCAGTTAGCACCTCCTCCCCAAATTATAATAACCCCAAATGTCTCCAGACATTGCCAAATGTCCTCTGGGAGGTAAAATTGTTCTCTGCCTTAAACTGACTTGCACAAAAAAGTTATATTTTACCAAGGTTACTGATCAGTTATGCTGTCCACATCATTTTCCTGTTAGTTAAATGCCAAGAAGAATTTTAATATCTGTCAAATGGAATCAGACTGGAAATTGAAATACAGAGTCACCCATATCCAAAAAACAGAATTATTCATCATACATGTTGTGCAGATGAGATTGGAACAAAAGAAGATTCCAAAAATTACCCCAAAATTCCTTTCTCTGAGAAGACTACATGATAGTTAGAAAATGATAGGCCATACCTGGACCTAACTCAAACACCATCATTTGGAAACATGAATATTGGAGGGGAAGGTGGGCAGTAGACCGGATGAAGAACACACTTCTGAGAGCCTCCTTGGTCACTGCCATGTGTCAGGAGGTACAGAGGTCCAAGGAGCAACATCGAGTAGAGTTAGGGCAGGAAATCCTCCTAACACAGTTGAGCACCCTTTCCATTTCAAAACACCTGAAACCAAAACTTGTTCCTCTGTCTCTGGACTTAAAAAAGTAAAAATGTAAGGATGTGGTTTCCCTGTCAGACTGCTCTTGGCTTCAAAGCTCTCACCACCTCAATGAACTTCTCTACCGTGGACCAGCTCTCTAACCTATCAGAGAACAGCCTACAACAGCATTGTCCAGGAGAAATATAATGCAAATCACACATGAACGAATGAATGAAATATAATGCAAAACACACGTGAATGAATATATACATATTCATTCCAGTTGCCACATAAAAAAGGTAAAAAGAATAGAACAGGGGGTGTTAATTTTGATAATACATTTTATTTAACCTAAAAAATTCTAAACTCTCATTATTTCAGTATATAATTAATAGAAAACATTGAGTTTCTTTCTCACACTAAGACTATTTGTTCCTTTTATAATAATATATTGGCCCCTTTTATATAATTTTTTTGCATTAGAATCTTTTTGTGTAATGTTGTTAAACACTAGCTTTTTATTAGCATTTGTTTAAAAAGCATTTTACAAATCTTAATTTCATTGAAGTTCAACTTTATCATTATGTTTCATATATATTTCTAAAAAGCAATGTACAGCTAAATAACTTTAATCTGAAAGTTTTTTTAAATTTTGACATCTTTAAAAATTATAATTAGTGTGACTGTTGGTATTGTTGGATTTATATTGCCGGTATTCTTATTGTGCTTTTTTCATCATCACGGTTTTTGGGGTTTTTTTGTTTGTTTGTTTGTTTTTAGCTTGCTTTCTTCTTTTCTTGCCTTCTGTAGGACTGATTATTTTCATTCACTTCTTTCTACTGATTGCAAAATTACATTTATATCCACATGTGTGGTGATTATTCTTAAACCATTATCACAGAATCTCCATTTTAAGTGTAAAATTAATTAACAATTCTGGTTGCCATTTGTAAAATAAATATCCATAAAACACTTTAATTATAGCCCTCCTATCTTACCTTATTTTGTCTATTATTTTACTTTCTACCTAGTTTTTTTTTATTCTCCCCAAATTATTATTATGGTGGTGGCTATTTTGAACATTAAATGCCTTGCTGGTTTACTGATTTATATGATTTACTCATTCTTTGCTCAGTCGCGCTTGTTGTACTCCACTTTTTCCACAAAGATCAATTTTCTTGTTTCTCAAGATTAGGCCTTTTGTAGTTCTTTCAGTGAAATATCACAGTCTTCAATACCTTTACTTCACCTTTTCTCTACTATGATACTTTATTCTTGTATATAATTCTAGATTGGTTATTTTTTGTTAGCACTACAGAGACATAATTTCCTTCATTTTTTGTCCTCCATTGTATACTCTGTCGATCTAATTCTGGTTTCTTTATAAGAGATCTATCTTTTCTGTCTAGTTGCCGTAATATTTTTAAATCTTTGGCTATGGTGTTTTGCAATTTCACCTCAATGAGCCTGGGTATTTGCTTTTATTAATTCTGTCCATTTAAAAAATATAAATCCGGGGATATTTGTAGTCATATTCTCTCTGAAAGTTGCCTTACAGTAATTATCTATATACTCTTATGATGAAACTCCTCTAATATATGTTGATCCTCATTGTGTCCTACATATTCCCTTAACCTTTTTTTCATTCTCCTATTCTTTTGTTGTTTCATTCTAGGTAATTTAATCAATTGCCAAGTTCCTTGCTCATTATTTAGTTGTGACTAAATAGTTGTTAAATGTATTAATTTTATTTATAATTTAAATTACTAATATTTTCTAAATCTGTTTTCTATTTCTTCAGTCCTAGATCATTTCATTTGATTTTATTTCTTAACATCTTAATCATTATAAATATACTAATTTTATTTTCTGCATAAGGCTATAATCATTCCCTAATCTAGTCATAAACATAAAACTGATAATTTTTTAGATATTTTATGGTTTGTGACATTATTTTATACAGGTTCATATTTTCATTGGAAACACATGTAGTCTGTGTTGTAGGAGTATCCCTCAAGAATGGTTTTATGTTTGTTTCTAGCAGGACCTCAGTAGCGTTACCAGCCAGGGACCAATTTTTATTAAAATTTGAGGGTTTTTTTTTTATAAGCTGTATGTGTAACAACAATTCAGACCTTAAACTGATTTTTGATTTCTAATCTCTTAGTGAAAGAGGAAAGTCTCTATCTTCTCTGTTCCACTGGGTAAATGTTACCTAATTTGAGAATGAAGCCATTCATGGGCCTCATCTTCATGAAGGGATATCATTATCAAATACCTACTTTGAAAGGGCCCGGCTCTGTTCTTCAAGTGGGATGAAACTGAAGCTATTTTTTCTCTGGTGACAATGTCTTTCGAAGGCCCCAACTTTCTGAGGGGATTTCACTACCAGATGCCTAGCTTGAAAGGAGCTAATGCTTCACTTCTGTCCTTCAAGTGAGGTGAAATGAAAGCATAGTTTACTAGCTGTTAGCTAATCACTCTATTCAAGCTCTCCTCCAGAACAACCACAGATTCAACACATGCACATAATTCTTGTTTTCAGTTTTACTTTTGTTCTTAGCATCTAGAGGTTTTTCTTTTTTATTGAAAGTTAAGCTATGCATTAGAGAAATGGTTTTTTGGTTTGTTTGTTTTGTTTTTACATTTATCCGACAATTCTAGTTGCCTGGTTATCTTGGTCTGCCATGTTGTTAGAATCCTAAATATTCTTTAAAATTTTTCTGTACTTCAACATTCATGAGGGTTATGCTCCCATCCATAATTGTTATTGGTTATAAATTACATCCATACAGGAAACATATATTTACAAAGACCCTCTCGATCTTTGATGGGCTCATGATTCACCTGGTGAATCTCATTAAAAATGCAGATTTTGATTCAGGAAGTAAATCAGGTGATGCCAAGCTACTGGAGGCTCATGGCTCACAGTTGGGCCATGAGGCCCAAGTAGGTTCTGATATGCATTCTTTAAGGAGGTACCTTCACACCAAATGCCTGCCAGTTCCAGGTCACTATTTAAGGAAAAATATTTATGGGTACACTCAGTGTTGATGACCAGATCAGTCCACAAAAATGTTAGTGTATTTCTTTAATAACACCATCTAGTTTACTTCTTAAGTTTTTGATGTTGTTTCTTGTTATCTATGTTTTTAAAGTCTGACTTCTAAACTTACAAAGAGATTTATGAACATTGATTATTTAACTTATTTGCTGTGGGCCTTTCCTAAAATCCTGTAAATAAATTCTTTAATTTCTGTATTTTCTGCATTCTTAATTTTGTCTACTTGGGGAAGACCACACAGAAGACACTCAATACATGATTACTGATAACCAAAAATGAGCTAATGTACATTATCCAGAGACGGACTCACTGCCCTTGGCTTTTTTCTACAGTTTTATGAAAAGAGAATTGCTTACCGTCAGAAGACTATTGCCTGTCCATTACCAATGCTGGGCACTTAAAAAATGAGGCACAGTCTGGAAAGGAGACACTGTGGGGAATGAGTCTGCTCTCTTCAAGGATTGTCTCTCTTACGTTCTTCAAGGTGGACTTCATTGCCTAGAGGGTAGCATAATAAATTGCTTCCTAGCTGTGTTGTTGTTTAAGGACACAGTTTCTGAGTCTACTGGCTTCATTACTGTCTAACCTGGTTGGGGAGGAGACCTCAAAAGGGATTCTAAAGGAGCTCTCTTTATCCTTGTATATATCCTAACATACATTACTGATGGTTCCTACAAAAAAGATTAAAGGGCAGAAATAGACTTGGTACACAGAGCTAAATGTGCACACCCATGAATCATGTTTGCATCCGTCTCCAAAGAAGTGCTTGAATAGTTTCTCACCTTTTTGTCACTTCATCTCTGAGCTCAATTTATAGTGCTGGAATACTTTTCAAAGATTCTTTTTTTCTTTGTGTGTGTGTGTGTGTACTCTATATGTAAACAATATGTACACACATACTTTTAAGAAATATTCCTTCACTACAAATTGGGCTCAGTGGTGAAGTGATGAAAGAGTGAAAGAAACTATCCAAATACTGCTTTATATACAAAGAGTGTGCGTGCACACACACACACACACACACACGTGTGTATCTGTCTATCCCTCTGTCGAGAGAGAAGTTTAAAGAAATTAAAATATGTGGCTCTCATTCCGTTTCTTCATTCATTTCCATTGTGGCACTGTTTGGTACTTATGAGAAAGTATTTTAGATAACACATACACACATAAATCCATAAAGTACCCTGGAAAAGCCTGTGTAATTTAAATTGTATTTAGAACAATTTATTGCTACATGCTACAAAAACTGGGATGGAATGTAACTAACAAAGAAAGTGAGGAATCAGAAAGGCTTCACTCGGGTTCTCAAATGCCCAGTGGGCCATAGTTGTATCAACAAAGTAGAAAGTCGGAGCATCCAGAGGGAGCTCTCTAAACTGCATACTCTGTGCCCAGTATCTCCCCATACTGTGCTTCTATTGTCTATGTCTAATTTCAGTGATATCCTAAAGTAACCTCAATAAGAATAGCCCAGCATTCTTCACAGGAAGAAAGTCTCAGAGGATTTTATTCACCACAGAGGGACTCTAAGCTGTATTGGAGTTGCAGTTCAGTGGTGCAGAATGTACTTAAAGATGTCCACTCTCTAAATAACCTAGTCAGAAATGTGTTCATATAATGCAGAGTTGGTTATTTCTTCTTACACCAGTCAGCATTTCAACTTTTTCTTACTGTCACTCTCTCCCAGTGGAGACAGTTATGATCTGTAACTGACCGTTCTAAAAAGAGATGAAAATCAAAAAGAAAGTTCAATCAGAGTCTTGGCTGAACAAAGAATATTGGTTCCTGTAAACTGAGAATTAACCTATTGACCTTTATGGCTTTATTTTCACAGACAGCCAATCCTATGTGCCTAGAGACAAGAAGAAAATGGAGCATTGGCATATGAATGAGTCCCACATCTCACTCCAGTCAATAGCTCCTACCAGACTATTGACTACCCTTAACAGAAGAATTGGTTAATTGGTTACCCTTAACAGGAGAAAACCAAAGTGATTGATGGAATGCAATCTCCTCTTCCATCCCGCCATATGGTGGAAAATCTTGAGAGAGTGGAACTTCCCAGAGGTGGACAGGCCCAAGAACAAGAGATCAGAATGCACAGAGAGAAAAAATGGTTGCTATGCTATTAACATCAGACTGCACTTTGTGTGCACTGAAGTCTGAGGTCCTGGCATGGTTCAGCCTGCAAGAGAACCCACTTAGCAGACAGCTCCATAAAAACAAACCCAGTAGACTGTATGCTCCCAAGGGCAGGGATATGTCTGTTTTAATTTTACCTCCCTACCTGGCACATTGTCTGGCACATGTTAAATACTCAACATACACTCAACCTAGTTTCAAAGAAGGAAAGAAGAGAAGGAAGGAAAAAGAAATGAGACATTTATGAGGTTATACATTAGATGTTGCAGCCTCTTATTGATGGAGCAGCATGATAAACTCTATTTTTAACTTCACAAAACAATAAAAGCTGCTGGCATTTATTGAACATTACAGTATACTCTTGACTGATCCTTTATCACCATATGCCCTAGTCACCCATTGAGGTCTGAATTGGCAGTTACTCAGTGTGCCCTGAGTATAAGTTTGTGACCACAGGAGCCAGCGTTTTCTGTAATTATGCTCCTGGGCTGTGAAATCTGTTCCCTGTTGAGATTAAGAGGGAGCATCTGTTGCAGAAATTAGGTTAAATAAAGGAGGTACATCTGACATCTTTAATCTTTGCTATTGTTTTCATTTGACTTTCTCTATTCACTGCATCACCACATGATAAAATAATTATAATAACAACTAATACTTACACAATTTTGCCTAGTGCCAGAGATCGTTTAATCCTTATATAAACTGTATTAGAGGTGTTAGTGTCAGTTTTACTTTACAGATGAAAAAACCTGAGGGACAGAGAGGTTAAGTAACTTCTCTGTGGTCACATAGCTGGTATGCAACAAACAAGATCACTTGAGACAAGGAGCTTGAGACTAGCCTGAGTGATATATAGCAAGACCCCATCTCTACCAAAAGTTTTTTAAAAATTAGCCAAATGTGGTGGCACATATCTGTAGTCCTAGCTACTCCGGAGGCCAAATTGGGACGGTCAGTTGAGCCTAGGAGTTTGAGGCTGCAGTGAGCTATGATTGCACCAGTGCTCTCCAGCTTGAGTGACAGAGTAAGATCCTGTCTCTAAAAAAGAAAAAAAAAATGTGTATCAATATATGTTGTGCATATATATATATGGGTATGTGTGTGTTGAATGTATAATATGTATAGTTTGAAATTAGATAGCACCATCAGTTTGAACAATGACTGACATTCTTGGATGTTGTATTTTATAGCAATATACGAGCAATTTTACAGCAACGGCCACCTCCATGTATCAGGCACTTTGTTGTCTGTTTTATACATTATATCTTAATCCATACAGGAGAGATTCCATTTTACAGAGTAGATCATCAATTTGTAAGGTACTCTTCCAAGGTATCATGGCAGTGTTGTGAGTTAAACCCAGGCTGATTCCAAAGCCACACTTTTAGAAAATAGGAATGTGCGGTAGAGTTTAGTCATATAATATTTAAAACCTAAGACTCGTTGTTAGGAAAGTGAGTTGAGTGTTGACAAATTGGAACATATTTTGGCAAACATAGACTTGGGGTCTAGTCTCAGATTTCTTCAACTCTTCATGCACAGTCTATAGTCATCTCCATATATGTACTAACTACTATATACACACACACATACACATACATGCACACACACATGCACACACACAGAATCAGGTGAAATGAATCCCAAAAAGTGACAGATTATAAGCCCTGAAAGGAATAGAGAATGAGGGGCTTTGGAAAAAGATGATTGAGTGTCAACTATTGGGAGTGCCTCTACTGCGTATCACCCTTTGTCTTTACCTTTTTCAAAAATTGGAACTTGGCTACAGAAGAAGTATTTGATAGTCTGAGAAAAGGAGTTCCAGAATGCCATACACTCTGGTCAGGTATTGTTCAGAAACACCTAGCCTTTGATGATGTTCAGTCTGGTTCAATAACCAGGAAAGCTCACTGTTTATAAATATTCTTTTAAATATAGACTGAGGCATTGTTAGTTGAAGTGCTTCTGAAATGATATGGGACTACGTATAAAGAGACAGTAGTTAGAAAGAGGCCAGCTTCCCAAATGAGGCTTGATGAAGTGTACACTGCATAGACAGTTTCATTGCCATCGGGTGTCCCCAGCAAGAACTCTGGAAGGCAAGAAAATCTAGGCTGAGATATACAACATCTGCATCTATCTGAACACCATTCACTGCCAAGCTTTTAACTTTTTTTCACTTTTTATTTTTTATTAACTTTTATTATTTGTAACTATTATTTTTAACTTTTCATTAGTTAATTCAGAACTTAATTTACTACTCAAGAGGGTGTGTGTGTGTATAGTTTGTCTTAGCCAACACAGACTCTTTCAAATAGAAGGAACAAAAATTTCAAAGGCCTTGATGGGTGGGAGTATTTGGCTAGCTTGAGAAATAGGATATTTTGTGTCTGGGGTGGCTGAGCAAATAGAATAATGCAAATGAAGAAGTAGAGAAGGTAAAACTAAATAAGAAGCCTCCGAGGACATAGCTTAGCTAGTGTCCTCGCTAACTTTCCTACTGTCTTGATAAAGCAGAACTTGGCTCCATGATGATCTTTCACCAGGAAGTGGAGTCCTAGTCATCCAGCCCCGCCATGTCACAGGGATGCTACGGGGGAATGCATGTTACAGGTGTACACATATTAAGAGGTCTCCTTCCTTTTTAGACAGGGGAACACAGAGAAAGAACACTAAATAGCTTTTCACTTGTGCCATCAGAAAGCTCAGAGCTATAGCTCAGTGGAGATGGGAAAACAATGATTGAAAAGGAGTCCGGTGGCCTGATTCTATGTAGGGTCAAGGAGATACCCAGATGAGTCTAAAAGGTGGTTCTTACTTTTCAGGAGTTCCCAGACTTGGAAGAAAGAAACACAGAGGCCCAAAGTTCCAATTCCTAGAAATGAGAGAGATGACAGAGAAGGATCAGAGGAGGGGAGCCAGTGAGTGTCCTCTGGGTAGAGGTAGGCACTTCCAGGGCACTTCCAGGTATAAAGATGTCTTTGCTTTTGTTTTTTAATCTGTGTAGCGTTTCCTGTGACCAGGACATGGTAACTGGTACACAGAGGAACCCTGTAGACTTAAAACCTACAAAATTAGAGGGATTGAGTTTGTTTTGTGTGTTTGTTTCAATTGCTTTATTGAAATATAACTGACATGATAAACTGAATATATTTAAAGTGTAAGATTTTATGAATTTGTTATATGTGTACACCTGTAAAACCATCAAAATCAAGATAATGGACATATTTATCACCCACAAAAATCTCATGTGCTCCTCTGTATCCCTTCCTCTCTCCCCTCCCATCCTCTCATCCCCACATCCCCAGGCAATCACCAATCAGCTGTCACTACAGATTAGATTTTCTAGAAATGTATATACATGAAGTGAAACAGTTCTATTTTTTGTCTGATTTATTTCATTCAGCAAAATTGTCATCCATTCTGTAGTACATATTGGTAGTTCATTCCTTTTTAACACCATGCAGTATTCAATTGACTGAGTATACCACATTTACTTATCTGTTCATCTGTTGATGGACATTTGGGTGATGTCTAACATTTTTGCTATTACTTTCATGCATACTCTTCTAGCTCCTGCTGGTATATATTGGCTAGGTCCTACAGTTTATTCTTTTTTTAGCAGGTCTAGCACTTCTCTAGTAAGATTATGCTGTGACCTCATCCTAGCTACTTGTCTAAAGCTAGAATCGTAGGTGGGCTATATCTTGGTTAGTCCATGTTAACTTGCAAGATGCACATTTCTCTGTGACCTCCAAGCAAGGAAAAACTGTTCATTTTTGCAAGTTCAGAGATTGGGGAATATCTGAGGCTTTAAGGATTTTGAGTACATCAAACATGATATTCTCATCTTTAAGATCCTACTCCTTTCCAACCAGGACCTTGACCTGAGCATAGCAGATTTGCTGATACTGAAAATCAACATTGTCTGGAGTTCTGCCTTTATAATTGAATCCTAATTCTCAGCTTTTTTCTACCCTCAGGCTGCAGGAGATAAGAATCTCTTAATAGGCTGCCAAAGAATCCCTTCCACTTTCACACTTTGCCTTGAATTGGTGATTAATCATCCTTACCCTTTCATTGTCTTTCTCCCATGCTGGGATAGTATTAAGTAGCATTCCTGGGTTCTCACTGTCCTTATAATGCCTACTACCCTAGAATCTCTCAGATGCTTGGGATATTGCCCCTGTCAATATATTCCATTTATCAGTATCTCAATCCAGTTTATCATTGGTATAAGTTTTAACAAATTCCACCACTGTAGCGTACCAAAGATTATAAGAGCTTCACTCACTACTAGTAATGGGTACCCCATTGTCAATGAAACTGTGGCCAATCCAGCCTCCAACTCCAATTTTTTGAGTCTATTCTTAGGACCACACCTGTCTGTCACAAATTGTCTTGGGTCACATTACCCAGGAAATGGATTCTGAGACGGAGATGCATATGCAGGAAGTTTCTTGGGCAATGATCTTTGGAACAATAGCTGTGAGGTAGTAAGGGAAGCATGCCTGAGCAGAGGAAAACATTGAACTGAGATACATTTACAACTGAAAATCTAAACTGCTCACAATGGAAGTCTGAAGTTTAAATTGCCCTTTATAATTTTCCTGAATTGAGCTAAGGTGGACAGGTTTCGGTACCGAGTCATTGAACTCCGGCTGCTCTTGGGGAGGAGGAACATAACCCCAAGCAAGGCACCTCCCTTTGCCCAGGTGAGTCCCCAGGAAATTACTAAATTGTGAGTTGTCAACAATTGTCACTTCTACTAGTTGAAGAAATGAATCCTGAAGCAGGGATCTGAGTAACCCTTTTTTTTTTTTAACTAGTAGATGGTAGAAACAGGCATTGAAACTAAACTACCTCATTTTTCGTTTTTAATTACTGCCTCCTGCATCCCTGATGCATTTTGTTTCCATTTCACCCTAACTGTCATAGTCAGGACCTTCATTATGTCTTTCCTGGAATATTATGATATGATAAACAGTAAGTGGATCAGTGAATCAATGTGACTTTCTTTCTCTTATCTAAGTACACTTTATGTGTCCCCATGAAATTTTTATGTAAATACAATCAGTTTTATAGCAGTCAAACACATTGTCCTTCCAAATATCTTTCTAAAGGCTTGATTCTATATAATGATAATTTAACCTTTCCTGTGTTCAGTTTTTCTTTTCCTTCTAGCTGCTACTGGCCTTTAGAATACGTATATAAGTTAATAGAGCAAGTGAAACAGTCAACAGGTAAATTAGTAAGAATGAGGTCAAGAAAAAGAAAACTGCTTATTGCTAATGCCAGCCATATCACCGCAAATCTTAAATACCACCACACTTGTAAAATCAGTAAAGCAGACAGAAATGCATTTTCCAAATGCATTTCATCATCCAAAGATAACCACAATTTTTCTGTTGCTGTATTTTCTTCTGGTCTTTACGTGTATTCGCATATACTTATCTTTACAAAGTGTGAATAGTATTATGTATAAAGTTCTATATACTGCAATTTTACCTACCATTTTGTCATGGTCATTTCCTCATAACTTTCCAAACATGAATTTCGATGAACACATAATTTTCCTTTGTGGAGTTTGTATTATAACATTTTGATTTTCTAAGCTCAAGAAGGCAAGTTATATTGAGAATGAGATGGCTATCTAATACCTACTAGGATAACTCAAGTGTTCCAATTATTACCTGCAATATAGAGAATCAAAAGGAAAAGAGAAATGTTGAATCTAAACACACAGATCTTTAGGTTTTTCTCTCCTCGCAGAAGGAATTTATTGGTTAGCATTTTCTTGATCTTAAATAGTGAAGAAGATTTTAGCAAGTTACCTAAAGGTCTTAAATTAAGGATTGATTAATATTTCTATATAACTTTTCCCCATCTCATTTCATCAATATGGCACTTTAGGCCTTTTCTCTCTTGCATCATTATGCACTGACCTTTCCATTGTTAATGCGTCTATTCTATGCCTGAGTAGAGAGAATTTTTTCCCTCTTTTCAGAGATTAGCTGCAAAGAAAAATTATGTGACATTCAAAGGAATTATTTTCAGCCTACCCTTTCAAATGCCTTTCTGACATCTAGTGATGTAATTGAGCTGCATTAATTTTACGAAGCATCTATATTTGCATAATAAAAAATTATTTTAATGTACTTCAAAATTAATGCAATATTTTTTGCAAAGAATACTAAACCACATTTAATTTTGTTACTCTGTTATTACAATATACTTTGCATTTCACGTTTGTTATAAAATTCTAGTTGATGTCAATATTGTAAATTTTAGTCCTTCTATCCTGTCACCAATATGCACATTTGCTCATTAAAAGCCATTTGGTGCTGTTCAGGGCAACTAACACCACCAAAAATATTTTTAAATAGATTATGTAAAAATAACATTCTCTAAGCCCAAGCTTCTCAGTATCTGTCTATATAGATGTGACTACCTCTTTAAGATAATGAAGAAACTTATGTGAAACAGGGATTTTTTACCATAAGTTAGGATAAGACTAGGATTAAAAATTATGTTCCTTTACTAATAGTACTTCTTGGAGCCACTAAAGGAATAATAGAATAGGAATACAGAAGAAAAGGGAAGATTCACTTTGAATCTTAAAAAGGAAGCAGTACTCCCTCTTCTTCAGCTATTTACCAGGAAACATTTTCTTGTATCATCAGACTGATTATTCTGGAGTATACTGGTCTAGGCACATCTTTACTATTTAAAACAACATTTCCATTTTTCAGTTTTCTGTTTGATTTTATGGATCCCAACTGACATGGTAAGACTTATGTGTGTTATAAGAGAAAAAAGTAGACCGAAACAGACTAAAACTGTGTGATCCAAATGTGTATCAGGGAAGAGCTTTTGGCTAGGTGTCCAAAAATGGCTGTGTCACGTGCCTCTCTATCCCACATGTCAATCCACATGTTTCTACCCAAACCTAGTTTGAGACAGTTTCCACTTTAGAACAACTTAAGATGTTTTTCTCTTCTTTGAAATGCATTCAACATTGTATTTTGAATCTATTTCTTGCCACTTCTTTCCCTATAATTCTAAGCCCAGCCACCATCATTCTCTAAGTATCACAACAATAGTCTTTTAGTAGGTCTCTGGACCACCAACATTGCTGTCTAGGACCTATTCTTGACATGGCAGCTAGAGTTCCTTGCTTAAATGTAAATCAGATTTAGTCTGATCTTCTCATGTCTTAGAGTAAAAAGCAAAACCTTTATCATAACGTAGAAATACATATATGATCAGCCCTTGCTCTCCCCCAATCTTATCTCCTACAAACATTCCTTCTCAGACTTACCTCCTCACTATTCCTCAGGTATGCCAAGCATGCTCCCATCTCTGTCTTTGCACGTGCGTATCTCTCTTCCTGCAATGTTCTCCGTGCAAATATCTGCACCACTTTTTCACTTGCTTCTTTAGAGTAAATGAGTGAATAAATAACTTTAAAAAATTATACAGTTTTATTTCCCATGAGGGAAGCTGATCTGTGTGTTGGAGTTGACAGCACAACCTGTTTGGTCTTAACACTGTATGACTATATAAATTTAAAAGTAAGAGCCCCGCCTACCATCCCCCCAAAAATTCCAAAAGGTAACTCTCATGTGAATATAAAAACTATTTAGGGCAACAAAATTAAATGGAAAAAAACTAAATATTCTATTCTTAATCTAGAATTATATATATACATACATATATATATATATATCATGATAGGCTGAGAGACAAATATAAACATTCTTCTGTTTTTCTTTTTCTTTTGATTCATAGAATTCACTGTGTTAAGCCTAGAAATGATCCTGGAGATCATCTACAATAACCTCCCCATTTTCAAAGTAGACCGAGATACAGAAAATTAAATGATTTCTAAAAATTCTCATAGCTACTATTAGAAGAATCACCACTAGGATGTATATTTTTTACCTTCCATTCCAATGCACTTTCCACCATCCCAGATATTTTACAATTTGTGCTATATAACAAGATATTCAGAGGTTCATGCATTGGCCACAGGACCATAATGATATCTTCAGGGTAGAAATGAAATGAGTATTTGGCTGGATTTCTTTATTTAGGGCTGAGAAGGAAAAACTGCTAAGCTGGGTATTCTCCTCCTTGCAACTTAAGGAAAATCTCCCAAAATGGATTCTGGCTTTGCTTCACTTTCTGCAAAAAATTAATCTCAAGTAGAAAAGCATATGAAACTGTTGAAGAAACTCACAGATGTATCTTTTTCCATATCAATATTCTTTATGAAATTTGAAGTTTTATCAAAAGTCTATATATCCCTCTTGCAGAGAATATCCAAAATTTCAAGCCCCTTTCATGAATAATTTCTGAACATAAAGCAGAATATTTTCATGTGTGAGACACTCTTTAAAGCAACAGGCAGTTTTAAAGACAAGAAAAAAAAACATTTTGTTTCTGAGCAAATTTGTGGTTATTTTTGTGTACCTCCTCCCATACTCCCACTGACTCCCATTGATTTGATACTTCAGCTTTTAACAGAGCACTCTGAAACATAGCTATAAATGTTCTTGATTTTTAAAAAGCTACAGCATACTCAATCATATACCATATAAGCTAATTGTAACATTCTTTTCTTCTCATAGAATGCTTTTAAGTCCCATTGTCAAGTACACAGGCCATCTCATATGCTACCCAGCTAATGTAAGATAGAAAAATATCAGAAGTATAAACTTGAATGACTCTTGGCAGAGGCATTTATAAATAAAAACAAACTTGAGGGCATGGTATAGTCTTATGAAAGAAATTTTGTTGAATTCTAAAAATAGCACAAAAATAAATGTTACATTTATCAGAGATCATCACTGGATTTTCAGTTAATGGTGCCTTTCTCTTTCCATTTTCTCTGTTTCAATCTATTCTGTAGGATTATGACCAGGAAGAATAAATTTTAAAGTAATTGCAGAATGGACATGCCTAATCGTATTGATCAACTTGCACATAAGCATGTAAATTTTGTTTTCAATGACCAACATTAATATTGGTTTCTCTATAAAATGTTCATTGGAGTGGGACGGGGAGGGGGGTATTCAGCATTATCAGCATTTCCATCCATACACCAGGTAAGCTAAAGTAGCTACTTACGTGGATAATCAGTTGCAGTTGGAATGAGGTATGTACCTATATTCCCTGCTGCCATGTTAAGTTTCAGTATGCCCCTAAGGCACCATTTTGCAATTTATTTTGCTCTACTTAGCAGATCTGTTATATTGCTATTCCTTTGTCATAATTGTTAAATCTACCTGGTTCTACTGTAATTCCATTGCTTTTTAAAAAAATTTGTTTGCAGTAAATGCAAATAGAATACCTGCTATGCATCCAAGAAACACAATTACCGGAGGGGCTAAGGTAAGATGATTGTAATTTTACATATATATGAAAAGATATACATAGACATACACAAATATACATACATACAACTATTTGGTCAATACCTAGGAATTTCAAAGACAGCAGACAGGAGTGATGACATCCTTCCTCAAAGCCAGAAACCAGGAAAGAGACATGTGTCATTTACCAGAAGGTCTTTTGTTTGTGCCTAATTACAAACTCTAAGATTTTAATATTTACAATCTCAGTTGAGAAGTTACTGCGAGGATCGAGAGGGGTCAAATCCTTTAATTTTGCTTGTTTGTTTGTTTTGTTTTGTTTTTGAGTCGGAGTCTCACTCTGTCACACAGTCTGGAGTGCAGTGGCTCAATCTCGGCTCGCTGCAACCTCCGCCTCCTGGGTTCAAGTGATTCTCCTGCCTCAGACTCTCGAGTAGCTTGGATTACAGGCATCCACCACCACACCTGGCTATTTTTGTATTTTTCGTAGAGACAGGGTTTTGCCATGTTGGTCAGGCTGGTCTCGAACTCTTAGCCTCAGGTGATCCACCTGCCTCGGCCTCCCAAAGTGCTGGGATTACAGGCTTGAGCCACCGCGCCCGGCCTAATTTTTTTTTCTAATAATTGCTTATTTAGAAAGAGGCACTGCTTAGTATTAAAATTTAGAGTATCAAGAAAAAAGATCAACATTTGGGAAAGGGTCCTATAGGAAATCTGTGGAAGAGTTCCACGAAGAACGTATAAAATACAAATTATAGTACAGACATGGACTTTGTGGTTTATGTTTCCAGTTTCTCCCACCTGTTCTTTTCTACTTCCTCATTTTCTTGGTCCATTAGCGACAGCTTTTCACTTCTCTTAAATAAGAAAAATGTGCTTATCTCTTATTTTTCATTTCCAATTTAGCCAGAAAGGTCACGAAGACATTTTAAAATAGCGCTTTCTGGCAATATTTTAGGGCTGCTAAAATATCTTAATTCTCAAAGATTCCACTAGAATTACCACACTTTGTATTTGATGACTATCTGCAAGAAGAAATACCATTTCCCTTTTTCTTTCCATTTTTATGCAAGAGGGAAAAGTGTCAGAGAGAAGAAATGGGTTCTGAATGATATCTGACACATGATAGTTTGTTTCAGTTATCAGATGAAATTCAGAAAGGGGTCACACAGTTCAAATATAGCCTTTAAAATTAAATCAGAAGGTTGTCCCCATTTCAACACTTTCTGGGAAGAATTATATTTTATCCTGGTTGCATGTTGATCCATCCTGTCCGCTAAAGCTGCTTCATTTTTCTCTCTGGGGGTTTCTTCATTCTGGAGAAATTACTGCAGACTTTAGGTATCTTCCCTGATCTTTCTCTTTCATCCTTGAAATTCATTCTTTGGCTCTGATCTGTCGATGGGCAAACTTAATGGGGTGAGGTTAATTGGAGTGAAGCTTTTGAGCATCTTCCCCAAAGATCTTTAAATCCTCCAACTGTAGTACAAATAAGTGATTCATTTCTGTCTTCTCGAGCTCACCATCTGGATGGCTTTAACTTGTGGCTTGAGTGTGAGTTTTAAAAAGAAAGCATCCAAGTGTCATCTTTGTTTTTGTTTGACTTTGTTTTTACTTCTTTCTTCAATAAACACTTCTAATTGCTTTCATGTTATGCTACTGTCCCCACTTTATTCCCTTCTGGTGACCTAAACGATGAAAACTATCAACAGGGTAATGTAATTGGGATCATTGTTGCACTGTCTGCTGCATTTCTTGGCTGAAATTGAAGTTGGTCATTCTGTACCCGTCAGCTACATACAACTACTCTGTGGGCAGAGCAAGTGGTAGAAGCAAGAGGGAAGGGGAAGTACTCTTTGTTAAGTTCCTACTGTGCTAGGCGTTGTGATCCCTGTATTATATGTGGTATTTAGTTTTTAAAACAACCCTTTGAGTTAGATTATCATTACAAGTGTTGAAATTCAAGATCATACCAGTTGGCATGATCTTGCTTCTGCTTTCTGCACACAGCAGAAAGCCATTATTTCAACAGAAAGGAGTTGTTATGGACTGTTTGTTTTCCCCAAATTCCTATGATGAAGCTCTGATGCACAATGTGATAGTATTTGCAGGCAAGGCCTATGGTCGGTAATTAGGCTAAATGAGGTCATGAGGTTGGAGTCTTCGTAGTGGGATTAGTCCCCTTTTAGGAAGGAACGCTAGAAATCTTGCTCTTTCTCTCTCTCCCCTCAATCACACAAAAGGGTCATGTGAGGATTCAGCAAGAAAGCTGCTGTCTGCAACCCAAGGGGAGAGCCTACACTGGGACAGACCATAGTGGTACCCTGTTCTCAGACTCCCAGCCTTCAGAGCTGTGAGAAAATAAATTTCTGTTGTGTAAGCCATCCAGCCTATTGTACTTTGTTATGGTAACCTAAGCAAACTAAGACAGGGAATTTCCTTAGTGTTCTATTTAGAAAGGGTTGGAAATAATCTGTGAGACTGGAATTCTATTCCTAAAAATATGGAAAATGGTACAGGGTAGCTAAAAATGTGAAAGAAAAAAATACTTTGTAAAATGTTTTTAAATTCACTGATTTGCTGTCAGGACATTAAAAGCAATTCACAGAGACTAGAAATCTGGAAGGCGGAAGCTAGAGAGGTATGAATGCACCAAAGAAGGATTCTGCCCATGGGTATTTGCCAATTCTTGATGATCTAGAGATGAGATTTTACTGAAAAACTGAAGGGGCAGTTTAGGGCCCACTCAAGGAGGAAGGTTAGAACTCAGAGACCTGAGACTACGGACTCAACATAAAGCCAAAACTCTGGAAAGGAAACAGGTAAAGAGGGTAAACTTAAAACACACACACACACACACACACACACACACACACACACACACACACACACACACAATTTAGATGAAAATCATCGGAATAATTACCTATCTTTACCTTGGCTCTGAGTGAAATTGGGAAAAAAAAAATCTCTGTCCTGAAAATTCTTAAATACAAACCTACCCTTGTGCAAGTGGAGGCCAGAAATCCTATTGCCTATACAGTCTTCACTTTTCCCTGTCCAACAAAAATGCAAGCTGGGAATTGACTTTAGAGTGGTTCTGAGTCAAGCTTTAGTTTACTTCTGTGGCTGTTATCAAGGTTCTACATGTCAACCCTTGGCAAGCTGACATAAAGTCATAGAACCAGGCTGTACACCTGGGAGAATGAGTGAGGGAAAAGTTGGATGGAAGGAAAAGGTAATGATCTCAATAACATACTAGATGTTTTATGCTCACTATTCTGTTTAATTCTCATACCCACCTGTGACATAAGCATTGTTGTCTTCATTTAAAGATTAGGTCACTGAAATTCAGAGGGGGTAGGTGACTTGCTAAAGTACACACAGAAACTACATGGTAAAGCCATAGTGCTAGTCCAATTCTGAGGTCTCCAAAGTCCTTCAATTACCTACAGCAAAACCATGTCACTTGATAACAGTTATAACATGTAGATTAAAGTCTGATGAATGAAGAGTGTATATTTCACATGGATAGCACTAAGATCTAAGTGGGGTTTGTTTGTTTTTGTTTTCCTGCTATATTGTCCTCAGGCAATACTGGAAAAATCTTTTAAAATTCCAGGTCCTCAGGAGGTCATTTTAGTGGTCTTGGAAATTGTAAAACAAATTGTTGTGAACAAGCTTTTTAAATTGTTTCTTGGCAGAAATTGAATAATCAAGTGCAATGAATTTAATTGATTACAGAAGAATGTTCCTTTGAGCTGACGCAGCAACTGTTTTTGGTCTGTCTGTGGCTTAAAATGTGAATTGATGTAATGACTACCAAGGTTAGGCTTTACTATTGGAAAAAATCTTCAGTGGGAAAAATTGGAAATGCTTGATTTCAATTGTTCTTAAACGATGTCTTTCAATATGTAGAAGTGATTATCTGCCTGTGGCCTCCCTACTTAAACCTTATCTTTCTTCCATTTTCTCAATCTGGAATTTGATTCTCTTAGTGGAGACAGGATTAAAACCATACCAGTGCCCATTATTCTGCCACTAACTGGATGCGTGAGCTTCATCATTTTGCTGAGCATTTCTGCCTCAGTTCCCTGCTTTCCTTTTATTTTCCTTTTGAGGCAATAGGCTGGAGTCCAGAGGCATAATCACGGCTCACTGCAGCCTTGACCTCACAAGTTCAAGCAATCTTCCCACCTCAGCCTCTCGAGTTGCTAGGAGTACTGGTGCAACTCACCATGCACAGCTGATATTTTTCATTTATACAGACAAGATCTCACTATGTCGCCTATGCTAGTCTTGAACTCTTGGGCTCAAGTGATCCTCTTGCCTTGGCCTCCCGAAGTGCTGGGATTACAGGTGTGAGGCACGGCCCTTCTCCTCTGCTTTCTAGAATGAGGAAAATGATAATTCCTGCTTTTATGTAATGTTGTAATAACTAAAGAAGTTAGTATCTTAATATGTTACCTGGAACATGGCAGGTGGTCAGTAAATATTAGCTAATACAGTAGTCCCCTCTTACCCATGGTTACACTTTCGATGGTTTCAGTTACCAGTGGTTAATAGCAGACTGAAAATATTAAGATATTTTGAGAGAAAGCGCAAGGGAACACCTTCATATGACTTTAGTACAATATGTTGTTCTATAATTGTTCTATTTTATTATTACTTACTGTTAATCTCTTATTGTGCTTAATTTGAAAATTAAGCTTTATCATCAGTATATACATATAGGAAAAAACATAAGGTATATAGGGTTTGGTACTATTTGTAGTTTCAGGCATCTACTAGGAGACTCAGAACTTACCCCCTATAGATAAGGGGGGATTCTTGTATTATTAGTAAGAGTGAAAATTTTCAGCATCTCTTGGATGTGATGATAACATCTGATGTTACTGAAAATTTGAAGATATTATCCTTGGACTGGCTAGTGGTAATTCTTCAAGATTAATAGAGAATGAGAGAAATTATAAAAATTGAAAGTAATAAAAAGGACAAACAGAGAAAATAATATTGTGGCAAGCTTGAGGTGAATATCTATCTAGACAATGCCTGGAGCTGTCACTGGATCACATGCTATATGCGAATTTGTCTGTCCCATCTTCCAGTCTATTCAGCTTGGGGCCTGGCCTCGTGTTAGTTTGCTAGGGTTGCTATAACAAAGTACCACAGACTGTGTGGCTTAACGACGGAGATTTATTGCCTCACAATTTTGGAGGCCAGAAATTCAAAATCGAGGCCTTGCTAGGGTTAGTTCTTTCTGAGGGCCGTGAAGGGAGGATGTGTTCCAGCCCTCCTTTTTGGCAAGGAGATGGTTGTCTTCACATTTGCATGGTGTTTTCTCTATATCTTCAAATTGTAACCCCTCTGTGCATGTCTGTGTCCAAATTCCTCTTTTTTATAATGACATTGTCGTATTAGATTAAGGCCAACCCTAACGGCTTCATTTTAACTTGATTGCCTCTATTAAGATTCTCTCTTCAAATAAGGTCATCTGTAACACACTGCTCTCTGGCTGCCCCCACATTTATGTCCTTCTCACATGCAAATATATTTACCCCATCCCAACATCTTCAAAAGTCTTAACCCATTTCAGCATCAACTCTAGTCCAAAATCTCACTTAATGTCATCTCAATCAGGTATGGGTGAGACTCAAGGTTTGATTCATCCTAAGGCAAAATTTCTCCCCAGCTGTGGACCTGTGAGTACAGACAGCACACTGTCTGGCCAGGGACCAGAGAATATATGTACAGAAATTTATAATGCAAATATTGACCCATAAGGAAGTCATCTGCCATGATTTTTGGTTAGATTTTGGGGACTATAAAGAACATATTGCTTTATTTCTCAAGACATTTATTATAAAAATTGAAGATTGGAGAGGAGGGGACGAGGGACATGAGAAATTATATTCTGAAAAGCCTGATGTGTATACATAGAAAAATAATTCTGCAATGGAATATGAAATCTCAAAGACACATGAATCTCCAATCAAAGGCTGGGTGACAAAATTCTGAAGGACTATAGATACAGGGTATAATTTACATTGAATAGAAGAAACGATCATGTAACTGTAAAGTACCTAAAACCTAACTCACAGCCCTTCTTTCTATACAATACAATTTCTTACAGAAAGCACTAAACTATCTAATATACAATTTTGCCCACATAATCACCCTGAAAGCATTTATGTAATCAAAAGAACCTCTGGGAATGGAAACTGGAATCTGGAAGTGAAACTCAAGAAAGATTTCATCACTGCACAAACAATTTCAAATTAAGCACTAATCAGAGGGGAAAATTAGGTTTATTCACAGGGGCCATTCAAAATATCCCTCTTAATAATGTAGAAATTGGCTGTAGCTAAAGCCTTACAAGTCTAGACACAAATACATTTAAAATACAGCAAAGCCAGTCAATATAAAATGTAGCAAATACAAGAAGTCAATGTAAAATAGATTTCCCAGATATGAGAAACACGGCTCCAGGACTGTAGGCAAACTGCTCAGGAAGGAAAAAACAAAACTATGATTTAGCAAAACTTTAGATTTATAAGAAATATGTTTGCTTTTATTAGTGTCCTAATAAAATGTCTTTAATACCTCTCTGTTACGAATCAGAAAAAATGCCAACCAAAAACTAAGCAGTCACTAGACTCTCAGGTCATATTCGTCAAGCTAAAAAAAAAAATGTAATTAGAAGAAAAGAGGAAAATAAGAAAAAGAAAGACACAAATTAGTAGCTGGTCTCCCTGACGGTGGCATTAAACTCACCTGAAGTTGAATTCTGATAGATTCTGGAGGATACATAAAATTAGCTGGCATCGCCTCCATCTTTGCCCCCAGAGCCACACCAAACCCTGAGATACAAGCCTCTGTGGCTGATTAAAGTAAAGGTTTTCTGGTAAGAGAGTCTATCTTCCCAGGAGTAGATAACTACAGGCAGAGCTGTGACTAAGATCACTTAGTACATTCTCACCCTTAATGTGGGTATTCTGACTATCCCTTCTCATTTATCTTCCTTCTTCTTTCCTATTATCTCTTTTCACATTCCTCCTTTCCCTTCTCTTTATGCCTTTCCCTTCTCTTTATGCCTTTCCCAGGCTCAAGACCTTGCACCAACATTGTTTATTCCTGCAGATGGCCAGAGTTTGCTGACCTCCGCCTTCACTCATGAAATTTTCATATATATCTGCTCCCATGCTTTGCAAATGAGCCCTATCTGAACCTCCAGTCACACAGGGGTGCCCTGCATCCCTAACTAGAGAATATCTAGTCTCCAGGCAACCAGAGGGAAGCATTCTGTCTTCAGAAAAACACTAAGTATTACTGGCCCTGAGAGCCCTCAAAAGTTGAGGCGAAGGGTTTGGAAAAACTTGAACCAAACTTTGCAAGTTGGATCAAATTTCTCTGGTGATAAATGATTTTTTAAAAACAAAAAAAAAATAAACGAGCTAAAGAGGTTATCACCTCTCAGTCACCAACATCTGAGTAATACATATAATGTTAGAGATAATCAGTTGGTCTAAAGATGCTCTGGCCAATTAGTCAAGTGTGGTTATTCAACTTTAAATTGAATTAAATTTAAAATGCCATTCCTCAATCACACTAACAACATTTCAAGTTCTCAGTAGTCACATGTAGTTAGAAGCTACTGCATTGATCAGTGCAAATGTAGACTATTTCCAGTTGTCAGAGAAAGTTCTGCTGGACAGCACTGGAAATGAGAGAGAGAAAGAGAGAGAGAAGAAAGGGAAATAAAGAGAGAGAAAGGAGAAAAAACAAGAAGAGAAAAGCAAGACAAAGAAGAAAGAACAAATAATAATTGAAAGAATGAAACTGGAGGTCTGAAATGGAAACATTTTCCTCCAGGCTCAAGTCACTCTCTGAGTCATGTGAATTATATATTAAGAGAAGCACACTTTCCCAAGCGTTGATTTTAAGAGGCTGTCTTGAGTCTAAGCAAATGAGCGTGGGGACTTAACCTACATGGGAGGTTAGAGTTCTTGCAGCAATTAGCTGCTTTGACCTGAATCTACTTATTTTCATTTAGACGTTTTTCTTGCAGCCTACCAGTAAGCATCCTGGATCACTTCCCCACCTGGTCCCTCTGAATCTGGGAATGATTATGGCAATGAGGCTGGAACAGCACAGGTATTAGAAGTGAAGAGCATCACTGAGAATTTAGACACTGTGTCTAGTTTGGAAGAACCCATGGGAACTTCAAAAACAGTAATCAGAGTGAGTAGGGATGGATACATAATGCAAAGTGTTCCCTCCAGAAACTTTACTTCAACAAGAACAAGAGAATTTCCCTGAAGGACATGAGTAATGTGAAGTGTAACTGTTCACCATCCTTCTCCAAGGCACCAAATGGGCTTTTAAGCCACACATTCCTGGGGGCTTAACAATGGATTCAAAATAGAAACTGTAAATTTGTTCCTTGTCTTTCTAAGTTTGCAATGAGAAGCAGACAATGTTGGGGTTGTTGTAAAGCCTGCCTTTATCAGCTTATAATACAATGGGAGTTTTATTTAAAAAAAATAGATTAGTGACACCTCAGAGGTTTTGGTATTCTTGACCCTCTAGTTTATGTAGTCAACCACAGGCCCCAGAGCAGACTCTGGCAGCCTTTGAAAATATCTGCAGAGTACACTGTGGAATGTAGGCTTACTTTATGATAAAACAACAATAATAAATATATAATTTTCATTTATAAGCCCTAGGAATTAATGAGCCTATGTGTTAGCCATTTCCTCAGAAGAGAGATCAGCACAAGGTATAAACACTCTATGAAGACAAAGAAAATCACTCCAAATATGTCCAGATACTACTGTAAGGAGAACTAGCCTCAAAGTTCTTCTGCTTCACTTCTGTACCTCTACTTCTAAAACACCATTTTGGTTCCAATATCCTCTTTCCCTATTATTTTTCAACAAGGATCCCTGTGAACCACCAGTGGTCAACAGAAACCTCTTGCTGCAGACATAACTGCTTTCTACTATTCCTAGTCATAATAATTTGCCCTGTTCCCACTATTTTTGGATCCTGATCTCTTAACATCTTGAATGCTGAACATCCAGGCCAGAAAAGGCTGGAGTAGAAACTCTGCAGACTCACTCCCTGGGTGTGAGTTCTTTGTTCTGCCTTATCATGTGTGTGACCTTCAGCAAGTTATTTAGTCTCTTCGAAATCGGGTTCCTCCTCTCTAAAATAAAGTTGTTAGGAGGTTTAAATGAGTTAATGTCTCTATAGCACTTAGAACAGTGCCAATAGTTAATTGATAGATAGATAGATAGATAGACAAACAGATGGACAGACTGACAGGCACTTGGGAAGTGTAGTCAAAGTACGGTATTTATCCTTATTTATTCATTCATCTGCTACATGAAAGACACTAGAGGATGTGAAAATAGCTAAGACATAGTCCATGCGCTTAAGCAACTCAAAATTTAATGAGAGACAGACACTTATAAAACATTATAATGGCTGTGGTAGAGTCAGATACTAATTCCTTTATAAGTACAAAGAAAGAAGTAATTAATTATTCCTGAGGGTTTAGGGAAAGATTCACAGACAAATCTGTGCTACTCTACAATTTCAACACACATCCAGAAGCCACTGGGTATGATGTCAAGGGAAAGGTGAGTGAGAATTAGATATGACATGTCTATAGATTATCCTTCTCTTAGTATAATCCCCACTACAAGATTATTCATACAGACCTCTGCTCCCCAGTTGAATGGACACTTGGCCCTCTCTTTGCCAACACTGGAGGAGTTAAAGCTCCTCTGCAGCCCTAGTGCTTTGAAAGTAGCCATCATTTCTCTGTTAAGCAGTAAGCAATCATTAGAGCCATGAGGAGCCACACACTCAGGTGTGTATGCATACACACATGTATAGGTACATGCACGTATATATGCATACACATGTATTTTAGTAAATAATATACATATACATACATGTGTATTAAGAAAATATTCATATATATTGAGCATCTGAGTGGTTGGCTCTTTATTAGAACTCAGAGGATAAAGATAAATATAAGATGCTTGCTCATAGAGAGTTTGTAATATAGTGAAAGATACTACATGCCATAAAGAGCATAGACACTGTTCGCACAAAAGGGAAAAGAAGAGAGGGGTTGGATTTGTAATTCTTTAAACCACTGTCATCAATAGATGATTTTAGTCATCTCTACCTGTAAGCAGTATTACCACTAAGTAGCAAATAAAAAAGTAGCAAATAAAAAGGTACATAGAAAAGAGAAAAACTACCAGAAATTGTATGGTCTATAGCTATACACATCCTGTGACTACATTGAAGCCACACTCTCTCAGCAATGTCGCATGGAAGATGTATGCTGTCTCCCCTGTCATACGCATTCTAAGAGAGAACAGTTTTCTATTTAGGGTCCATGAGTGTAGAAGAGAAGTCTTCATTTAAGGACCAAGAAATCCACATTCTAGACCAAGCATGGCTACAAAACTAGTCGAGTGTCTTCTGCTATTTTTACCTTTTTTGTTTTACTATCTAAAAATGAATGGATTGGGCTAAATGATTAAAAAAAAAAAAGACTTCCAATTCTGATGTTACCCTAAAGACAGAAGGCAAGCATTCCTGGGAGCAGCACCCACATTGCACCTTCTTTGTTTCTGTGTTCCTCTTTTTCTTCAGCCAAAGTATCCTTGTTTTATTGCATTGCCACATAATTCAAACTACAGATCCTCTTGGGAAGCCATCTTGGACTTTTAAATTGTTTGCCAATTCAAAATATATTTATGTGTTTACTTTCAAAAAATATCCTGGCAAGGAAACCACAAAAAGAAAAGCACTTTTCCCATGAAATTTTGGCAAGCTGCAAGCAATCCAGATTTTAGTTGATTAGAACTACATATTCAAGTTTATATGGCTTACAATACAGGGATATTCATAATATTCCATTGGGACATTTCAAAACTATATATATCAACCCTAAATTTACTACTGGTCATGTTCCCTGAGTGGGTTACTCCAGTGGACAGAGCCTTTAGTGTGAGTTTCACAGAGGCCTCTAGTCCTCCAGTGATAGTAAACTAAATCTGCCGAAGGCCTTGAATTCTTTTGTACTTTATACAATATGGGGTTCTAACAGCCAATGTGCTTTGGAGTACGTCATTTTCAGAATCTTTGCACTGTATCTTCTCTCACCTCAAACCACCCACCAACAAGAAGTAGTTTCTGCCAATGTTCAATGTCACATTAGGCATGAAACGATAGATATAAAATATTTGGTTTGGCTTATGTCTTTTTCTGTTAGCAAAAAGAATGATTTCCATTGGTTTGTTCTCCGACAGTGTCTCTTTCCAGATATCTTTGATGTGGGGAGGCAAGAGGTATGACTAGAAGAGTTTGCTAGGGGTCGGCATCCATGGTATGATACTAGCCCAGATGAGGTTTTGTGTCCACTAGTTCTCTCCAACCTACGCTAAATGGTGAATTCATGGTTAGCCAAAACATCCATTTCTTTCTTATGACATATGACTTAGCCTTTACCAGAATGTATGTCGATGGGGGTTTTGTCTCGTTTAGATTAGGTTTTCTATAGCAACAATCATTAGCAATAACAGCTATGATTGTTCCCATTCTTTGAACACCTACTATGTTCCACAGCCTGAATCAATTACTTTTCAAGCAGTATTTACCAAAGTCTTCTTAACGTTTTTCTCAGCTTGACCAAACTTTATGCAGTCTATTTCCTGCCTCTGGGCCTCTGACCTCCCTTTCCATAGAAAACTTTCTTTATAAAACTTGTAATTGTAAATTCTTTCTCTGTCCCTTTGAGGTGTAAATATTCTGAAAGGCTTCTTACCAGGTGTGCAACCTAGGAATGTCATTCTCAAGTTTCTGGGAGCCATCCCTTTGAAATGTAAACCTTAAGGATGATAAGACAACAATCTGTTAATATCTCCCAGTTAGAGACAGGAGATAGGAGCCTAACTTTTATTGGTACCTTGCACCAATTTGTAAAATTACCTGCTGTCATGAAGATACAAGAAAGTTTACTATTACCTACAAGTAAAGTCAATCAGCAAACCCTGATGGCCTATAATAACCCACCCCAGCATTTAAAACTCTCTGGCCCCTTGCTCAGCAGAGTTGAGCTAAGTCTTCTATCGCAAGTCTTAAAGTCTTCCTTGTCTTTTAAACTTTTTCCCATACATTTTTTGTTTTAATATTATCTTTAATATTTAAAATATCATTTTATAGGTGAAGAAACTGAGATTCAAAGTAGATAAATTGCTTGCTCAGGGTCATGTGATGTACAGACTTGAATCCAGGTCAGTGTGACTCCACTGCAGCATGCTTCCCACTACACTTCACTCTACTCATTCTCCTCAGAACACATTAAATGTTAAATCTTTATTTCTCTGGGCTTGAAATCGTGGCTCTCTGGAATAAATCTAGCTGCCCATATGGTACATATATGATCATAATACCTGTTTCAAAGCCTGGGTTCATACTTTTAAAAATGCATCGAGGTCAAGAGATCGAGACCATCCTGGCCAACATGGTGAAACCCCGTCTCTACTACAAATTTTAAAAATTAGCTGGGCGTGATGGTGCATGCCTGTAGTCCCAGCTAGTCAGGAGGCTGAGACTGAGGCAGGAGAATCACCGGAAACCAGAAGGCGGAGGTTGCAGTGAGCTGAGATCGCATCACCGCACTCTGGCCTGGGCAACAAGAGCGCAACTCCATCTCAAAAAAAAAAAAAAAAAAAAAAGCATCGTTTCTTAAATTGAGTTACTTACTGATTCTATACTCTAGCAATCTTTGTATTTGCCTAAAATTCCTAAACCATTATTCTACAAATGTCAATTTCCCAAAAAGGAATTAACATTTCAAAACTGAACTCTTGAACTTTCTCACCAAATGTCCTCTACCTACATCACAATTGATGTCAAATGTACACAGCTATTTAGACCAAAACTGTTGGAATCGCCTCTGACTCCTCTGTCTCTCACTCCCCACTTCTAATGCATTAGCAAATCCTGTTACATCTTCAAAATATATCCATAATATGACTATTTCTCTCCATCTCCACTGTTGCAACCCTGGTCTAAGCCATCAATACTTCTTACCTGGATTATTGCAGGAATCCTAACTGGACCTTTCATCTCTACAGTCACTTCTCAATGCAGCGACCAGAGTGATACTGTTAAAAAATAAGTTAGGTCACATCATTTCTTTGCTCATAAACCTCCAATGTCTTCCCATCTCATTCAGGGTAGGAGCTAAAGTTTTTATAATGGTTGCAAGGCCCTACATGATCTGGCCCTGGGTTACCTCCTACATGACTTTCTTTTCCTCTCCTCTCCTCTCCTCTACTCACCCTGCTTTGGCCACACTTACTTCCTGACTGTTCCTAAAATAGAGTGGTATGCTCTCCCCTTAGGGCATTTGCATTTGCTATATCCTGAGGCTGCACCACTCTTCCCTAACCTTGGCAAACCCTTACCTCCTTCAAGCAATCACTCAATGGTCATCTACACTAAAGGAAACTTTATCCCACCGTCCACCTCCCCACACCCAGTACATCCCAGGTCCACTTTATTCTGTTCTAATATTTCCCCAAAGTACTTATTACCGTCTAACACTACGTAATTTTAAAATTATGATTATTATTCATGGTACACTTTCTCTGTTAGTGCATAAGCTCCACAGTGTTAGGAATTTTGTCTTTGTTCATTGATCACGAGCATTAGAACAGTGTCTGGTTTGTGATAGATGTTATGGGCTGAATTGTGTCCCCTCAGATTCATTTGTTGAAGCCCTAACCCTCAGTACCGCAGAATGTGACTGTATTCAGAGATAGCACCTTGAAGGAAATGACTAAGGTAGAGCCATTAGGGTAGGCCCTAATCCAATCCGACCGATGTCCTTATTAGATTAGGACATACATAGACACCAAGAGGATGCATGCAGAGGGTGATATATTTTGAATATCCTTTCCAGTTCTCATGTTGAAATGTGTTCCCCCATGTTGGAGGTAGGGTCTGGTGGGAGGTGTCGGATCATGGAGGAAGAGCCCTCATGAATGCTTTGATGCCATCTCTTGGTGATGAGTGAGTTCTAATTTGATTAGTTCACAGGAGAGCTAGTTATATAAAAGAGCCTGGCACCTCCTCCTTTCTTTCCACATCTCTAACCATGGGACATGCCTGCTTTCCCCTCACCTTCTGCCATGAGTAAAAGCTACCTGAGACCTTCCCAGAGGCCAAGGAGATGCTGGTGCTATGCTTGTAAAACCTATAGAACCATGAGCCAAATGAACCTCTTTTTAAAAAAAAAAAAAACAAAAAAACAAAAAAAAAAACAGATTACCTAGTCTCAGGTATTCCTTTATAGCAAGGCAAAATGAACTAATACAGAAAATTGGTATTGAGGCATATGGGGTGGTGCTATTAAACTACCTGGAAATATGGAAGCAGCTTTGGAACTCTGTAACAAGCAGAGATTGGAAGACTTTAGAGGGCCCAGAAGAAAACTGGAAGATGAGGGAAAGTTTGAAACTTCTTAGAGACTTGTTAAATTACTGTGACCAAAATGCTGACAGACATATAGACAGTGAAGGCCAGGCTGAGGAAGTCTCCAGTGGAAATGAGGACCTTATCGAGAACTGGAGCAAAGGTCATCCTTGTTGCATCTTAGCAAAGAACTTTTCTACGTTGTGTCTCTAACCTAGGGATGTATGGAAGTTTGAACTTAAGAGTGAAGACTTAGGTCATCTGGCAGAAGAAATTTCTAAGCAACTAAGCCCTCAAGAGGTGGCATGTCTGCTTCTAACAACCTAGACTCAGATATGGGAGCAAAGAAATGACTTACAGTTGGAATTTATATTTAAAAGGGAAGCAGAGCACAACAGTTTGGAAAATGTGCAGCCTGGCCCTGTGGTAGAGATGAAAAAGCATTTTCAGGAGAGGAATACAAATGGGCTCCCAGGTGCTAATATCCAGAACAATGTAAAAAAGGCCTTGAAGACATTTCAGAAATCTTTGGGTCAGTTCTGCCCATCACAAGCCCAGAGGCCTAGGAGGAAAGAATGGTTTCAGAGGTCAGGGCTGGGCCCTCTTGTCCTCCTCAGCCTTGGACACTGCTCCTCCCATCCTGACCTCTCTAGCTCCAGCCTCAGCTCAAAGGGCCCCTCGTACAGCTTGGATTACCACTCAGAAGGGCACAAGCCATAAGCCTTGGTGGCTTCCAAGTAGATTTCAGAGGATATATGGGAAAACCTGGGTGCCCAAGCAGAAGCCTGCCACAGGAGTGGAACCCACACAGAGAGCCTCTACTAGGGCAGTGCTACTAAGAATAACCAAGTGAAGAGGCAGCAAGAATATGGCCATCGGCAAGCAAAGAGAGAGGCTTCAGAGGAACCAGCCCTGCCAGAACTTTGACCTCATACTTCTAGCCTCCAGAATGGTGGGGAAATTAATTTCTATTGTTTAAGCTACCAGGTCTCTGGTATTTTGTTATGGCAGCCCTAACAAACTAAGACACTCAATGAATAAAAATGAATTAATATCTTCTGAATCACAGATTCTTTGAACAGCACAAGTCTGTGTATAAAAATTCGACAAATTACCAAGGAGGCCAGGAGACAGAAATGCCCAAATAAATGATTTCAGAATATAGAATGGTCCACCCACCTGCCATTTATACTTAGAATTATTTTCTTGCCTTTATATAGACAAATACCACATCATCAATTCAAATGATCACTTTTGAAGGACCAAAAATATCAGAATAATTAGACCCATATAGAAACCTGTCAAATATATGAGTTCTCCTAATGTACGAACTGGCTACTTTGTAAGCTACTCTTAACTCTAAAAAATATTACAAGATGATCTGATTTAGCGTGCTTTGAAATCCCCTGAGAAAACCTGTCCTCCTTAAGTACAACCTTTTTCCCCCCTCTGGCAAAGTTTGTTTTAGCAAGTTTTATTCAGACCATCCGAACTAAAGCACAGTTGTGACTTGATTGATACTTACTTCCAAGTAGAAACCACTGCAAAGTTTCTTTCGCATTGATTAGTGTCTTCCAGCTGCCTACAAACCCACAATGAATTCACAATGCATTAGGGATCGCATCAGGGGGTTATTTATGAGTGAGAAACAGGCTTATCTCTACCTCTATTGTGCTATGGATATGCCAAAGGATCAGAGACTTATTATAGAAGCATTCTTGGGCATTATTCCCACCCAGAGTGAGTGGCTGGTTTTGATTAGTCTTAAATTAGCTTATCTGCAATTTATTTTTACATAGGAAGCACTCATTTGCTTTCTTATAAATAAGAGCTTACATATATCCATCACCACGTCTCACCATAAATTTAAGCAGAACTGCCTGTGGGCCCAATCTACAGCTTAGTCACCAGCATTAATGGGTTACCCAATATGCTCCTCACTGAGGTGTAAACTCAGTCAGTCTCTTATCTGGATCTCCCACCAAAATCAGTAGATAATCAAACTGCTAAAAATAAATGGAGCCGTATCTTATACAAAATGTTATCTGCATCTGCTGAGGAAGAATACAAGGGGATCTGCTTTGTTGTGAAGTGTTTTGTGGTTTGAAAAGTGATAGGGTATTATGCCTGAGAAGGCAACACATTCAGAAGCCAGCCATCCAGTATCTGATTGGAGTTTACATAATGTGAAGGACGGGTGAACTCCTGAGTTTTAGCCCAGAAACAGTCCTGCGTTTTATTATGGGTATGGTGATTTTTAATGAATGGGGATGGATAGGTGAGTCTAAATGTAGGAAAAAAATGAATCTCAATTAAATCGAATTTCTGTTTTCTGAGAGAAGGTATTCTATTTTCCCCAAGCCAAGATATGTGTCTGATTTATGAGTGCTATGGGATAATCAATAATCAAAAGCAGAAATACTCTCAATTCCGAAAGTTTCTAAAATAACAAGAGAGGGAGGGAGGATAGAAAGTAGAAAATAAATGGAAAAATTAAGTCAAATTCTATTTTAAAGTGGTTCTTAAATGCAACCTTCCCGAATGTGGGCCGACTGCCATATTGAGAGAAAAAAATAAAGAAAAATAACAATAACAAAAACATGCACAAAAAATTCTTTTGATTACATTTTCTAAAACATACAGCTTTTCCAACTACCTTCTCTTTGAAACAGCTATAGTGAAGTGTCTCTGAGTGTATACATTCAATCTAATGCATGCATTTTAGTAATTCTGCGTCTTTTATTTCTGCTGGACTTGGGGCTGTACAGATATCCCTCTAGGTTAATATCTCACTGTCAAGGATGGTGCCCCATAGGGAAGTTCCGCCACTTCTTTCAGAAGTTCTTTCAGATCCTACCACTCACTGTCAAAAATTGTGGCATCTTCTATTGGTTTTTCATTCCCTTTTATGTACCTTCTTTTTATTGATTTTTTTTCTTCTTTTTTATATGTTTTCCCTCTCTCTCCTCCTGCTGTTCTTATTATCTCGAGTCCCACAGGTTCTCAGCTGTAGTCTTCTTTGTTTTCTATGTTTGCCTGGTAGCTCCTTTGACTCCTTCTCAGTATCTCTCGGATTCTCTTTCAGCACTTGCTTTCCCTCGAATCAATGCCTTTCTTGTTTAAAGCTACGGTGGTCTTTGGTTTGTCCTGTGAGCTATTTACCTTATTGTGACAAGAAGGATGAATTGTCTTCTGCTTTTCCGGCAGACCTAAAGTGCTGCCATCCATCAACCTGGAGATGATTTCATGTATTTAGGATGTCAAGGGCTGGAATGATACTAAATAAACAGTACTAGGCTGAAAAGTCCCAATGAGATTATGCTTATTCTCTGTGGAGCCCCTATCCCTAGCTAGTAGTATCTGTCAACAGAGAAAATGAGTTTTAATAAACTTTATCATTATAAATGTAATCTTTCAAACATTTATGGGGAATGTGGATCGCCAATGTTTTTCTAAAGTATCAATAGGAAAAATATGTATTTATAATATTCTTTTATATAAACTAGCTGAGCTTTTATTCATGTGCCTGTGTATAATTGGTATGACTTAGAATTCTCTACACAGACATGTGTGACATAAACTGACTTTATTCCCAAAGTTAGAAAATATTATTCTAATCCTTCAACACCCAAATTGCTGAGATGAGACATTTTCTTCATTTGATCAATTCCCAATCAAATACTGAACTAGTTCAATGATTTCTGCAACATAATTTAGTTCTGAATATCTCAGTCTTCCTCAGTAATTATTCGGTCAAATTAAATTATAATCACTTATCAGCCAATGATCACAGCCTACACTCTTATCTCTTCTTGGATATCGCCTCTGACCCTAAAACCCCCAAGGGGCCTTTCTCACTCTCATCACTCCCCTTACCCCCAGAAGCAAGAGCAGCATGGAAGGAAGATTCTGCTTGTGCAACTAAAATGTTGTTGTTGGTTAAAAGATATCTCAGTCTTAATCTGGTTCCATTTCATATCTATCACCTCTCAAAGGTGAGCCATGCTCCATTCTTATCTTTGTGTGTAAGTCTTACGACACAATTTAAAACATCCAGTAAATCAGATGTGTGTCTTCTTTTTTACTAACCTCCTCTCTGCAAATTCTGAAAGCCAAGAGGTAACTGGAATGGACATCTCCTTCTATTCTTTTTTTGGACATAGTAACCTGGGCTTCTTTATGTCCTGCTCATTTGGGGCACTCTAGTGAGCTCCTAGGCTTCAGATAAGAAGGTGCTAGTCTCTATATTCAACTATTCCAAACTCCAAAAATATATGCCAGTGCCCAGAGGGCACATGTAAAATAAAAATGCAGAATGTCTTGTTCAAAAATTATTAATAATTTCACGATGGCTATCACAGAATATTAAACCACACTTCTGAATGCAACCCCTGTGTGACTGCATAAGTAGCACACCCATGATGCCAGCCCTGCCAGAGCCCCATTTCATGCATTATCTAGAAGTTCCTCCAAATAGTTGCTCTAAGAACAGCCCCTCACATATTCTTTTCTAGCCCATCTGGTTCATCCTCTCCCAAATCTGGACTTCATCTGAAAATTTCAAATGACAAACTGAGATTTCTTTGAAGTTGGATGGTGGAAATTAATGAAACTTGCTTTCAGAAATACACAGTCTTCATCTTGGGTATATTTGAAGTACCTGACCATTTTTGTTGCTGTTGTTGCTGTTGTTCAGTAAGCTAGTTTCTCTCCTTACTCTCTGGATACCATTACAGTCTCAGGATGAGGTAGAGGCAGATACCATTTCAATAAGCAATATCCTAGCCCTAGAGCAAAAGGAAGGAGGCAGACTATCTTTTCTAGTCCCATGGTTATGTGACAAAAATGGATATATATATAGAGAGAGAGAGAGAGAAAGGGGAATAGTCATAAGTATGTTCTAAACTGCTCTTTCCAGGTTTGCTTCAGAAAGAGGAAATAGAGTCTTTTGCCCTGCCCACTGTTCGGAACTTGGGAACATGACTGCTGTGTAGAGCAGTCCCACATACACTAGCATAGTCAGGAAGGAGGAGTACAGATGTAATATCAAGACATAGTTCAGTTTGCACACTGCGTCAAATGTGATTTCTAGGTGGTGTGAACTTTAAGAGCTAGGGGATTGTCATTGGGCTGAATATGATGGCTGTGTGGGGAAAGTGGTGAAGTGATCCTGTTGCAGAGGCCGTAAGGTAGACAGGTAGGCCTTATGCCACACAGATCACATGGAAGGGACTCTGAGGGGCTTGTAGTGGCCACAAGAGAATAGAAAAGGCTAAATCAGCGTGGTAGGTCCATTAGGCCCTGATCAAGCCAAGAAAGAAAGCAAGAGTTGATTGTCGTCAGGTATCAGTAGCAGATGACAACAGTGTGCCATGTACAAGATCAGGTTACTATCTCTCAGGGGATATGAGCCAATACCACATCGAAGGACAGGCAGCAGACTGTGGATCAACTGTCCTTACTTCTACAATGTCATATAGGCCTTTTTCCCATGAACTAAGAGTCTGTTGTTAGAAAGAGAAGGGGGACAATATCTCAGATGCTCCCTTAGTATTTTGCCTAAAGAAACTGAGTTATTCAAAAGAGATGTCTTATAGTAGTCCTGATAGGCAGTTACATTTTAAATAGGATAAATACTGAAATGAGCAGGAACTTGTTTAAACCAGCATAAAAGGGGATATTGCTACTTAGCCCCAGTGCAAGGTACATCTAAATAAGGAACTATACAAGGTCAGGGACTGAGACATGAAAATATATATGGGACAAATATTTCAAGCAGAGAGAAGAGCAAGTGCAAAAGGTCCTGAGATGGGGGAAATGACTGGAATGAGCAAGAAATAGCAAGGGGGCTCAAGTGACTGGAGCAGGCTGACATGAAGGAGTAATAGGAGATAAAATTAGGGAAACAATGGGAGAACCCGATTCTAAAAAGCTTTGTGGGCCATTTGAGGAAACTGGATTTTATTCTAAGTGAGAAGGCAAAACATTAGATGATTGGTTCACAGGGGTGACATGATCTGACTTTACACAGTAGGAGTTAAATAAGGAAAGAAGGAAAGAGATAGTTTAGGAAGATACCACAATAATCCGAATGAGATATACTGGTGGCTTGAACCAGGGTGATTATGATGAAGGAGTGAGAAACTTAACTTTGGGTATTTTAAGCTTGAGGTGCAGATCATGCATTCAGGTAATGACACAAATCTGAGATTCAGGAAAGAAGTCTGGAAATCTTCAACTTGCATATGGGATTTGACGCTATAACACTACACGAGATTATCAAGGGAGTGAGTATGAAGAGAGAAAAAGAAGGCGTCTAAGGACAGAGCCCTGGAGCAATTCTCTGTTTAGAAGCCAGGGAGATGAAGAGGAACCAAAGAAAGAGACACATAAAAGGTGTCCGGGAAAGTGAAAAGAAAGCTAAGTGGAAGCTGGTGTCTTAGAAACCAAGTAAAGACAAACTTTCAAAGAAGAGAAAGATGGTATGATGCTGTTAAGTCCAATAAGGTAAAGACTAAGAACAGATTGTATTTAGCTACATGGAGGCCACTGGCAAACTTACCAAGATCAATATTTGTACATGGCTGGAGGGGATCCAGGGGAAATAGAGGAGAAGGATTGGAAATTGTGGGTATACATCACTCAAGATATTTTGTTCTAAAGAGCATCAGAGAAATGAGGCAATAGCTAGTTAGATATATAGAGTCAAGATATGGTTTTATTTTCAAGATCAGAGAAATGATAGCATAATTGTATGTTGATGAGAATAATTCAGTAAAGAGGGAAGTGTTTATGTGCTGAATAGAGAGAGGAGAATTGCTGGAAAGGCTGAGAGGAGATGGCATATATTGTACAAGTAGAGGAGTTAGCTATAAAAAAATGCCCAGACAGTTCATCTACACAATGGAGAGAAGGCAAGTCTTGGCATGTTCACAATTTTCCAATATTCTATGAAGTATAACAGGAAGAGCCAATACTGTCATTTTTGTTATCAAGGTGAAGAAACCTGTAATAGTGATTTTCAAAGACCAAGAAGGCAATTTAGCATTGTCTCTAAAAGCACAGATTAAGTCAAAGAATGAGTCCAGCTCTGCCATTCTAAGCTCAAGTTTCTTGATCTGCAAAAAGTCATTGGGAGAATTAAGTGAGATATTGAGAGAGCTAAGCATAGTGTGGCAGAGCTCACTATGCATAATCGTAGTTGCTCAACATTATTCATGTCCTCTCTCCCTTGGCACAGTGCTTTCCTGTGTTTCCCAGCCATAGTTGCACATACATAGGGTCATGTGACTGAGCTCCTTCCACATGAGTGTAAGAGGAGTGATAATCATCAGTTCCAGGCCTGGCCCACTGAAACCTCAATCACATTCTTCTTCTCATCTGCTGCCCTTATCATTCTGCCAGCTGGATGCAGGGGATGTATTGAAGTACTCTGAGGCAATGGAAGATGGCAGAGCCACCAGTTGGAAATAGGTTGGGTGCCTTCCAACTTGATGTAAGCAAGAAATAAACTTTTATTACCTTAATCCACTAAGATTCTTGGCTTATTAGAGGGGCAAGAATTAATTCCTCTAATTAATACAATAAGCCCCTAGTAAATGTTAAATATCCCTATTAATGTGTTAGCCCAATACCACCTTAATTAATGATGGAGGTTCACAAACATCTACATTTTCTCATTCCTAGTTTAGTGCTTTTCTATATTATGTATTAGATTATCTATTTTTTTGTCCACTGTGCATAAGAAGCCATTATTCCTTTCAGATTACAAGCTCTACTGTGTTAAAAAAAAAAAAAGGAAAAGCAGTTATATCTTGTCGGAAACTCTATCTATAAGCCATCTTAAGCAGCAAATGTTGTTGCTTTGACTCTCTTCTTTCAAGTTGAAATGTAACTGAAAATAAATAATTGAGGTTATGTATCACTGAATAAATCAGTTTATAAGTATCTGATCTATTGATGCAGAATATCTGGTACTCTGAGATTTATATTGCAACTAGGTCACAAGTGAAAACATTTCCAGCTACCATCTCTAAACTTTACGTGGACAGACAGTGATTGATATTTTTCAATGGCAAGATAGTAATTGCTATCTTAGAATTTCCTTAATTTCTCCAATTCAAAAGGAATCAAATTTTCTTTTTTATACCTTTCTGTTCATTTAATTGGAGCATAACATTAGGAAAAACTCTTTAATATTCAAGAAGCATATCTCAAATAGCATCATGTCATGAATATTCCCCACCGTAAAGTCATACTTTTGCTTTGACCTTGTTGTCATTGTTTTGTTACATAAATTATTCAGCCTGGTATGTCTTATAGATTAAATACTCTGGAAACAAATTAAAAAGCATCCCAGTGGCTTAGAAATGTCAAGTAACGCTTCTTTTCTCTGAATACCTCTTGTAAAATGGGATAGTAAAAAATAACCCCACAAAAGTAGGCAAGATGATTTGTTAAGGGATCAAATTGCCAACTGAAATAAGCATCTCTGCTTCTTAAAACAAACCTTATAACTCATTTTTCATTGTTGAATTCGAACAGGGATATGCAACTTGCCCATTGATGTGTAGAGTAGAGAAACTTATCCTGACCCAATACCACAGGCCTTTTATAATTACGAAGTGAGGCTGAAAGAAGACACATTTTCCCCAGAAGGTAGAATGCTCAAAGCTTCCTTTGCCCACAGAAGAGAGTTCCCAGGAAGACAATAGAGTTCCTTAGCAGAGCTTTCCAACTATAGAATGGGCTGCTATACTATCAGTTATGACTAATGGAAGTTTTCACCTCGAAGCTATTAATAGATAACCAATCATGGCAGAAGGTAGAAAAAGGCTTCTTAAATAGAAGGCTTATTCACTTATTTTTAAAAATCCTCTATTAAGCAACTAATCTGAGAATACTCATTGAGAATACAAATATAAAAAGACAATATCTCTTGAGAAGCTACTAACACTCCCAAAATATTTTCCCTGTACCAGGGGTTGTTCCGATTTTATAGGTATTAACTCATTTAATTGTCACAACAACCCTATAAAAGTGGTCTTATTATCATATTTATTTTATAAACAATAAAACTGAGGCCCAGAGAGATTAAGAAACTTACCTGAGTCGCATAGACTGCATGAGAAGGAGTTTCAATGCAGGCAACCTGACTCCAGAATTTGGGCTTCATACCCTGCCGCCTCTGTCCATGAGGCTCCAGGGCCCAGCAGTTTACCAGGAGTGACAGCTGAGACATCCACAATTACCCTGTGATAAGGGCAAGAGCAAAAGCGTGCACGAAGTGCAAGCATACACCTGTTGATATGGTTTGGCTGTTTCCCCACCCAATCTCATCTCAAATTGTAATGCCCAGATGTCGGGGTAAGGACCTGGTAGGAGGTGACTGAATTATGGGACACACTTCCCCCTTGCTGTTCTCGTGACTGTGAGTTCTCAGGAGATCCGGTCATTTGAAAGTGTGTGGCACTTCTCGCTTTTCTCTCTCTCTCCTGCTCTGTCATGGTAAGATGTGTCTGTTTCCCCTTCGCCTTCTGCCATGATTGTAAGTTTCCTGAGGCCTCTTAGTCATGCTTCCTGGTAAGCCTGCAGAACTGTGAGTCAATTAAACCTCTTTTCTTCATAAATTACCCAGTCTCAGGTAGTTCTTTATAGCAGCGTGAAAACGGACTAATACACCTGTCTAGGGTGTATTTTTCAGGGTGCTTTTAAATCTGTATATTTAATTTTAAGACAGACTGGCTACAATATAGAGGGAACAAAAGATAATTGATTTTTGACTTATGCAATTTGTTCTAGACTTATAAGATAGCACTGTTCTTGAACGGAGAAGATCCCAAATAGAGCCCCTCCACATGTGAAAAAGGGTATCCAGCCTTCTCACCTCATAACACCACTCCTGTATTTTGTAAAAGCATGTTATGGTGCAAAAAAGTCTGTTATGAACACTGACTGGTGCCAGTCAAGCCAGAGCTCTTTCCCCCAAGATAAGGAGAAACAGGGCATGACTGTAGGATTAAAAAATAATAATAAAATAATTAGTTTAAGCTTTGGGGGTCATCTTCACATTAAAACGAATTGATATGAAGATCACAAAGATCAGCCATATAGAAAATGACCTATCAGATGCTCCAAAAAACTGATTCTTCTAAAATCCAGCTGATTCTGAGGTTATTTATGACCAGCATGCCTGCAAAAGGTAAAATCTGCAAAGCCCATCCAATAAGTGCAGCTTCAATAAATATTTCTAATAAATTTATGTTCCACCATTCTCTTTTGCAAGCCCATTATATACCCTGATAAAGATTGAGATGTATTATTCAATTCTTTTAAAAGCTGGTTCCTTTTTAAAGGTGGCTCCGGGTAGTTTTGATGTAGAGGTGTAGGCAACAAGTTTGTTGGGCTTTTTTTGCTTCACAAATAAACCTTTCCATTTAAGAATAATAATTACCATGGTAACCCTAACAGCTTAAGAATCATTCAGGCATGCAGTTCCTAGGGAGAGAGAGAAAAAAAATCTCAGCATTTCTAAAGGTTGTTTAACCCTTCAAGATTCAGTGTCCATTTCTTTGGCAGTCAATCTGGTTTAACCTTTCTGTCAAAATATGTAAGAAATCTTTTCACTGGAGGCACCAGGAGGAGACGAAAATGAACAGAATCAGAAATGATACATTAAATATTAATCTAACCTTATTTAAAGAAGTACGCACCAAATACTGCATGTGAAATAGTGTTTGCCTCCGACACAGGCAGCACTCTCTTGCATATCCCAGTTCTGAGAGGAGGGTACGACTAATGAACAGCACTGTCATTATACAGTCAGTGGGGATGTTGTACTGCGAGCCATTCAGACTTTTCTTTTTCCTCATGTAGCATAAAACTCAGACCATGTAGGAATTGAACAACCTTGATGGCATAATTTGCCTGTAACTGTACCTCAGGAGCAGAAGTCTGAAGATGGACCAGGATTTGTGACTTTTCTGTCTGCCTTTTCTTCTTGCCCCCCTCTGCCCAATGGCATTTTGCCTGCAGTGCCAAATTTGAGAGCTAAATTAAAACCTGAAATGTATGCAGCAAGTGTCCTTTAATTAGGAGCAAATATATACCTCCTAGAAAAGTACGAGTCATACTGAACAAACACTGAACTGGGTTTTCACAACCATGTTAAAATAATGAACTCTTAGGTTACCTAATAGGCTTGCACAAAATCTTAGGAAATACTTAATATTCTTGCTAGCATTGCTTTTTAGTGGTTAGGAGGCATTCTTACTCTAAATCTCTCCCTAGTAAATACTGCATTCTGTTGGTACATTTACTAAATCAGAGTAATATCAGAGGAAGAAATGGAAAATTATACTGTTCATGTACAAATGCATTCATCTTGCCTCCAAGTAAACCTAAGCTTGATTCATGAGCCTGTGATTAATATCTCAGAATACACACACACATTTATATATTACATTAATACATATAAATGTATACATCCATAAATATATATTCATTTTATTCCATTGTTTATAATGTTGTTACATAATTTACATTGTATTGTCTATTATCTGTATAGCTGATCTGTTGAATTTTTTTTTCTGTCAGAAGGATTACTTCTTTTCGTATGCCCATTAAAATTTTAAGAGAAAGGTCCACCGCTTAGCAAGACAGCGGTACTTTCAGAATTATTTAGTCCATATTCCTCATATCAATGGGGACAGGAAAAAGGCAGGTAAAAGATGGAGAAATCCAATATGAGTTCACTCTTCTAACAAAGATTTGATGATGATGATGATTAATGCTATTATCATTACTATTATTATTTTCTAAACATCCCCTTCCGCTAGCTATCCTCTCCAGAAAAGAAAGAGAAAACTTATGAAGAAGAATCACCGGCAATTTTCCCCCCACAGCCCCTTTATCTTCCCATCAAATCTTGATGCTCATATAGAGCAATGAGCCTCTGAAAATAATGGTTTGTGGCCTTGGTAACTGAAGGCAATAAGCAATATAACCATTGCCGAATCTCATCATGGGAATGAAATAAACTTCTGTCACTACCTTTTATCTTTTTTTTCCTATTCTTTCATACCTTCAAATCATTCTTCATTTTCCAGCCTGTAGCATTGCACTTCATTATTGTTATTATTATTTTACAAAAGTGCTGTGCCAGGTCCATAGCCAGAGGAAAAGCCTGCAGTAAACTAAAGAAGATTCTTTTTCAAAGCTGTTTTAGGTGAGCTTTTTTGCCTTCCATTGGTTTGGGTCTAGGAGGTTGAAATGGGACTGCATACATGACACCATCTCACACAGTATTAATCTTCATGTTGAGAAGAAGATGGTCTAAAAGCAGCACCTTCCACAAATGACCCCAAGGTGCCTTTAGGTGGTATTCAATTTCTCTTGCCAACTCTTAGCCCTCCCCTACACGCATCTAGCTTGAACACCAAGAAAGGTGGTGTTTTCAGATTCCCTTTTCTTCTCTCTGTCATAGTGCCTTAACTTCCAGCATTAGAGGTCCATTCTGAGTATTATACCATTTTTTTACAGCAAGGCTTCATTTCTTTAAATGTAAATGTCCCAGACAGATAAAAAGGCATTGAGCTAGTTATGTCTGAGTCCACATGAATGGCTCCGTCTGAACTCATTTTCCTCTCCTGACATACGGCTTAAACAGAGCACAAGGGAATAGTATTTTATTACTAGAAAAAAAAAATAGGAAGGCTTTTGTGGCTATTTTAGATCATTGGGCATTTTCATGGGAAGGCACAGTTAGGTAAAAAACCTTCATGAGAACTACAGAGGAATTATGGATTTGCTTATATTTATAAGCAAAGAGAAAAGAGGCCTAGAAAGGAGATGAGAGATGGAACTACAGAAGCTCAGTTTCATATTCTGTTACTGAGATCCACAGGATACCTCAGGACACTATAGAAAAACTCTGGGAATGTAAATTTGAACTAAAACTATTTTGTGCCCTTTAAACCCCTTAACCTAATAATCACATCTCTGAAATGATTTCTAGCTTATTGGAAATACAAGTCTATTGTTATGTCTTAGGGCATGTATTGAATATGTATAATAACTGTACCATCATACTGGTGTTGAGGATTTATCAACTTTTTCTTTTGTCTCCACCTGACTGGCTTCCCTGAAGTTAATGGGGGCTACATGATCCAAAGTTTTCTGTAGGCAAAAAGAGTCAATAATCAGACCCAGATGATTTAATAATTTTCTACTCTAGGGTAATCATTTAGCTTTCTTCAACTGTGTACTGAAGAGATGATGATGGTACAATCGAAGCAAGTAATAGAACATTATATTATCATGCAATCTATTCCTTTTGAGGATAGTTGTGGACAGGCATTCTGGTAAGACAACTGGATAAAAATACATTTTAAAAAGAAAAGGTAAGAAATTGGGTAAACAATATATGGAAACTCCTGTACTATCTCTGCAACTTTTCTGTAAACCTCAAATTAAACCAAAATAAGAAGTTAAAATATCAGGAAAGAAGGAAAATAAGATGGAGATGGAGACATAAGAGAAGGAAAGAGAGACCACAGTATTAGGGTGAAAAGTGAAGAAGCATGAGCAATGTTCAATGACTTCTCACTCTCTGCCAGGCACTCTTCTGGCTACCTTATAATTTTTGCTCATTAATTCTGACATAATTCTTATGAGTAGATACTATTATTCTCATTTTAAAATTAAACGAATTAGGATTCTAGGGGATAAAAAATGTATCGAGACTAAACAAACAGGAAGTGCCCTAGCTAGAATTTGACTCAATTTGTCTCCGGTTTCAAATACTCTGACTTTTCCTGTGGTCGCTTTTCACCTGTTTTCACTCCCCTCTGGACTTTTCTTTTGCCACACAGCTTTTTGATAGACAGGTATCCAATCAAATCCTCATCCTATTCAGTTGATCTAATTTTTTCTATGGCATAAAATATGCTGTCCTTGTGAAACAGCCAGGTCTGTGTTTAACTTGGTAAGGCAATGAGTTCAAGAAAAACCCAGCTGAGGTATCCAACCCTCAATGCTGTGATAGTTGCATTTTATATCAAATAGTCCTCTAATATTCTCTTTGACAAGTAGAATCCACACTCCCTCATGTTAAATTGTTAATGGCTTCCCTTGTGGTTGGCTGTTCTGATTTCATCATAATTTAGACTCCTCATTTTATGTTGGCAAAATTGTCTAGAATAACATCACAGCCCTTGGCTATAAGCCCTTGATGTACCCAAGAAACAGAAGTGTACGCTCCCATAAGGACAGCGCTTGCTTTCTTGCTTTCACTCTTTTTCTCTCACTCCCTGGCTGTTTGGTTGTTGTCATGTTTTCTCTGGCTTTTCTTTTCCCCCATTCTGCTTGTAATGTTTCTATTGTTCCCTAAAGCATACTCCTAGTAAATCAGTAACATATCCATGTTATTTTTTGGCAGATATTCCAAAAGGATGTATCTGATCTGAAAATCTTTAGTTGCAATTGAGTTATGTGTTTCATTTTAAATTTGTACATCTTTGTTCTGTAAATGTTAGGTATCTCGCTCTTTGGAAACAGGGAAAAATATCAACACAATGCCTTTCCCTTCTGGTGCTGCAGTTTTTTGTGTGTTTGTTTGTTTGTTTGTTTTAATGCTTGAAGGATTCTGTTTAGACCATGACCTTGTTTCAATTTGAGTACACAAATTCATCCACTTTTCATAACAAGCATCCATACTTTGGCATGACCTTCTATAAATGCAGCACAGGAAGTATTACGCATTCCTCTCAACATTCTTTCAAAGGTTTAAGTTCCTGAAGTTTTTGTAGTTGTTGTTGTTGTTGTTAATCTTCAGAGGTCCTGGTAACTACTGGAGATGATGCAGGGAATTCTAAAATTCTATCCTTTTAAAACACAGATTAACAGTGTTCTTCTCAGACGTAAGATATATAAACCCACATGCCATACTTAGAAACAAAAATAAAACAAAACAGAAAAACATAAAATAAAAGTAGAGAAAATTTTGCCGTTCCTTCTTTCAACCAGTCTATTTGTGATGATCAGGCATATTTCCATCAAAAGACCCCTCATATCTATTTCCCCACAGAAATTCATGTTGTGGAGTTCTGTTTAATAGCACACCTAGAAGGGCATAGGGCAAGGCCAGGGTTAATTAGTCCTATAGGTAGGGTGACCATACAACTCATCCTCCAAATCAGGACATTTTGACAGTAAAACTGAAAGTTATTAATAACAGGTGCCAGAAAAACAAGGAAAACAAGTAACAAACTGGGATAAACATCCAAGTAGGCTGAGATGTATTTTCACTTCATTGTCTAATGTAATTATTAATACTGTCTCCTTTCACTCTCAAATTGTCCCCATTCTGGGTAATATGAGTAGTTCCCAATCAGTTTGGTCTCAAGACTACATTACCCTATTAAAAATTAGTTAGGACCCCAAATGGCTTCCATTTATGTGGGTCATATCTCTTAGTATTCACATGTTATAAATTAAAACTGAAAAAATTTTAAAATATGTATTAACTTTTTAGCAATAAAATTGCTGTATATGTTCACATAAATAATACATTTTACAAACTCTCTTTCTCAAAACCTACAGTGAGAAGGGTGACATTGTTTAATATTTTTGCAAATCCTTTTAATGACTGACCTAATAGATAGCTGAATTCCCATGTTTGCTTCACAATTCAATCTGTTGTGATCGAATACGTTATGCAGCTTCTGGCAAACTCTCATCAGAAAATGAGAGTAAAAAAAGCAAATAACATCTTGGTATTATTGTGAAATAGTTTTGGCTTCACAGATTCCCTGACTATACTTTGAGAGCTTCTGGGTTACACCTTCTCTTTATTCAGGAGTAAAAGAACACTTTTTCATGGAGCTTCCGAGAGCTGGCAAAACAACGCTTGCCTTTTCTCCTTGTTTTCTCTGTTCAGAACACACTCCTGCCTCATCTTCAGTGGCTACATCCTTTTTATCTTTCATGTTTTAATTTTAATGTCGTTTCCTACGATAGTCTTCCCTGACCCTCTGGAGACTAGGTCACTTTTTTGTTTTTTTTTGTTTTTTTTTGAGATGGAGTCGCGCTCTGTCGCCCAGGCTGGAGTGCAGTGGTGCGATCTCAGTTCACTGCAACCTCCACCTCCCAGGTTCAAGCAATTCTCCTGTCTCAGCCTCCCAAGTAGCTGGGACTACAGATGCATGCCACCATGCCTGGCTAATTTTTGTATTTTTAGTAGAGACAGGGTTTCACCATATTGGTCAGGCTGGTCTTGAACTCCTGACCTCGGGTGATCCACCCACCTCAGCCTCCCAAAGTGCTGGGATCACCAGCAGGCTAGGTGAGATTCTTTTGCTATTTGTTCTAAAAGAGTATAGTGCTTTCTTTATCATAGTACTTATCATAATTCAATGTCATTGATTGTAGAAATATCTGTCTACTTCATTCACAGACGGTAAGTCTCAAAATGGTGAGGATGCATCTATGTTTCTAAATACATACTGTGTTCCTACTACCAGAATAGTGCTTGACACAGAAGAAAAGCTTAATAAATATTTGATGTTCAACTAGCTTGTTGAATAAACCAATTAAGCATATTCATAACATTTATACACTTAAAGGCAGAGCCTCTGTTTGTGACCGGCCAGAGATGAGGCTACTGTCTGTAAGAGAATAGAATTAAATGTCTGGCATAGATCTCATAATCTTAGCTTAAATTGCACTGAAAACTGAGAAACAGATCTAATCGTAATTAGTACAAGTAAAAGCAGCCCAAAGACTGAAACAGTGATAAGACCTGTGCTACTCCAGAAAATTTTTATGAATATAAAGCAGCTTGACTATAATATGTGCACATTACTTGTCTCATATTACATAGTCCTTCAGCATCTCATCCTCAGTGAACTCTTCCGCTTCTGAATTTCTGTACTACTGAATGTATTATAAATGTAAGGTCCTTTTCATAGTGACCATACACTGTCATTATGTTTCATGATCTCTGTCATTTTCTTTATTAGATGATAAATTTGAAAGCTTATACTCCATGGCTTGTAACTTTTCCTCTTCCCATAAAACCTGTGTAGGGCAACATCTTGCTGATAGTAGGCACTGACATGTAGGTGTACGTGATGTGGAGGTATGCATTAGAACATGAATTGCCTCAATTTTACCTTATTAAAAAAAGCAAAAACATTTTTTTATGTGGAGTACACAAAAGTTTGAAGGTAAAAAAACCTAATCTTGAAACCCTGCCATGTCTCCTGACTGGAACCCTTTGTGATGAATGCCTAACCTTTAGCAACTTTGATACCCATGGGTATTCATGAAGGAACAGAGCTCCAACTGTACAGTACATTCTCAGCCTCGGGGTTTAGCCCATCTCATCCTCTTTGAGTTATGGGTCCCTGTTCTTTTACTCAGATTTATGAATTCAGAGAGCATCATAGGAGTCAGGTACAGCACATAAATCAAATGACACAGGAACATGGGACAAGCTGCAGAATTATCATCGTCCCTTTCTACACTTCACAATGTCAGCGAGGATATGTCTAGTAGCTTAGTAGCTTGAAACAGTTAACCTAAGTGCTTAGCTCATTGTGTGGGTTTCATTTGGGCACAAGAAAAATACTGGCTTCGTATATTTCTGCACTCGATGATAAATTTATAACCTAAATGCATAATATATAACATGTGATTCTATTTGCTAAAAAATGGTGTTGGATTAGACAGTCTCCAAGGTTTCTTGTAGTTCTGAAATTCTATAATTCAATGAGCTTATATTTTAAATGTTTTATACTGTCTGATAACAAGGACCCTTTTAATGATTTTTAATGTTTGTGATGAGACCATTAAAAACATTTTCTCCCATCAAAAACAATAATATTTAGCGTTTTTCAATTGGTCTCTAAAATATCAATCTTCACTGTTCAGGGAATAAACAGTGATGTGTCAAATAAACCATTGTCTTTATATTAACAGATTTTAAATACTCTATATCAAAATAACTCCATATAAGGGTAACACAAGTCACTGGTTTTCCAAAGACTTGTGCTCCCATCTATGGGTTTAGAGCAGTTGCTAGGAACTAGTTTTACAGACAGTGTTTATAAATCCAATTTCCCCTTGCCTCAATATGGGGAGTGGGGGGGGGCGCTAGTACAATTTGGACATAAAGGACATGTATCATTTCTAGTACTAGCCTATGTAAAATTCCCATATAATCATTCATGCTCTGTTTCTTAGAGTAATTGTTGAAACCACACAATGAAGATAATGAAGCCACCATTATCCTGGGGCCCTTGAATGGAACAGAGTATTCTTCCCTTTCTATCAACAACCTGTCCCATCCCAATAATTAATTATTAAACTTTATATGAATGGGAAGTATGCTTCCATTTCATAAACCACTGATACTTTGGAATTTATTACTTATACAGCAGGTATTACTAATGTAGCCAGAACAATTGAGCTTACACTACTTCTTTCAAAACAAACTACTACTTTCAAAACAAACAAACAAAAAGCACTATTTTTTTTAGAACTTTAAAGAATGTTTCATTTTTCCTTCCATGAATCTTGACACAGAAACACATCTATGAAAAGTAAAAGGATGTGTTTTGGTTTAAAAGTGTGAAATTTTGTTTTTGTTTACTATAAGTGCCTAAAACATATTTTTAACAGTCTAAACATAATTTAATGTCTATAGAAAATGAGGTCATATAGAAATAGGTATTCTACCCCATCCATGATAATTTTTTTTTTTTTTTTAAACCCTTAGCAGAGTTAGACACAGACGAGGTCTCGTGTACTCTGAAGTGACTACATATCCCCCCAGGATCTTTCTGTTATTTCAATTAAACCAACTGATGTTTCCAGGTTGGTAAAACTGAAATCTAGGATAACAGTTCCCCCTGTCACATTTTTCTTATAAAAGATGAAAAATAACTTTTTGAATGCTCTATTTTTAACTGGACAAAAATGTTTACACCTGCCTGGAGAGGTGAAGCCCCTCCTCAATTCTACTTGGGTTCGAGTGCCTGCACCAGTACTCGCCATGTTTTTCCTCCTTTGCTGAGGTCGTCTTGAGCCCACTGTTATAGCTCTATAGTAGTTCCACTTCCCTCTGCTTTTATCCTCACTCAAAATTTCCCGGGAATGATCTACCTTCATATTTGTGGATTTTCTAAAGGAAATTTTCTAAACACATACTACTCCTCCTAACATGCCAGAATCTTTGGGATTTAGTACCTCTTTCATTTGAGTTATTCCTTTTACAGAATTTTATCTCTACTCAATTTTATCTATACTGTCATATTTGCTTTATTACCTTCTAATCTCAAGCTCACTTTTTTATTGGCTGTACTTTGTGCTGCAATTTATAGAAAATAAAGTCACTACATAGTATTTTTAGACCTCATCAATTATTTTTTTTTCTTGTGAGCACTTTGTTATTCTTATATCCATATTGTATGATAGTGTTAAACTATACAGTTTCTTCTGAGAATTCATGGGACAGTTTGTCAAATGTTTGAAGAAATCAATTGTTCTACAACATGTTTTCCCTGAAATATCAACCTGTTAATTATCTCTTGAAAAGAAACTGAAGTTGTTTTAACTTGAACTACCAACTTTGAGATTCTTCTTTTATATCTTAGAATACATGTGTTTATTATTAATGATCACCATATACATTTTTGAAACCTGTTTACTACCCAATTAATATTGAATTTATGTGCTTGAATTTCTATATTTTGCTTGTTAGGAGATTTGGATATTTATCCATTTCTAGTCTTCTGACACTGTTTCCATTTTTCATTTCTCACCATAATTAATTCCAATGGCTGTGAAATTATATGCAACTCCATATAAAAATTAATCTGAATGCAGTGTTTTCTTCCTATATTTGATGATCTAGTCAAGAATTCCTTGTACCTAATCCTGACATTATCTGAGCAACAATTTGAAGGCCTGATTCTTAAATGAAAGTAAGAATTTGAGTGAGTTGTTTCTCCTCCTTTTTTATCATCTTTCCCAACAATAAGCCTATTTTTTCCTTGTCAACCTTCCTGGTTGGATGATAGCTGTAAAAAACACTATTTTGGATTGATGTTGATATGGATATTAAACAGGTCATTTGGCATTCTAGCCAAATGTACATTATTGTGCTAGTTTCAGAATACTTTTTTGCATCCTTTGTTGTTTACGGTTTTTTCCTACCAATTGCTCATATGCTTTTAAAGTTTCAGTTCATGTGAAAGCTTTTTTTAAAAACCATTATACTGATTTAATGAAGAGATTTTTGGAAGCCTAGAAGTTAAATGACAAAATAATGCAACAAGCAAAGCTGTGTGTTTAGAATGCCAAAGAGGGAAAGAAATCCTTTAAAATCCATTATCCTGACCCATGTTTGGGTTTTACTTGTATCCTTCTTTAAAACAATCTCACTCCATATGTGTTCACATAAGTATTCTGTGTGGTTATGCCCACAAGTGTGCATACCTGAGAATTTCAGGAGTAAAGGTGAGTTTCAATTACAATGGTGCTTGATTAGCACCTACCTGCTTTTCATTTTCCTTGCCTTTTTCAGTTTCCACAAAATTTCTACCACAAAAGTTTACCTGATTTTGGATCAAAACCTTGAAAAAGATTATGTTGTGAAGTTTCTGAGGTAAGCTTAGGTAGGGTCTTTAAATTTGATACCTTTCAAAGATCTTCCCAAGATCTAGAATTTCTCTTCATTGCAAAAGATATGTTCCATAAACAGAGGAGTTTTCAACTTTATGGCTTACAGTTTCATTAGAACTATATTACATTCAAAAGCATGTTTTGATTTTGATTTTGGTTTTACATTTATACCAGGATCACTGTTCTCTATTAGGCTACATACACTGTGCGAGCTCTTTCAAAGTGTCTTTGGAAAGGGGAAAAGCCTTTCAAGCTTTAAAAAAAAATTAATTCTTAGGGAGAAACAAATACTGAAGCCTGTAGATACAATGACTACAAGAGTTTTTTAGTTGTTGCTCCAGGCCATCATAAAAAGAAAAAAAAAAAAAAACCAACAACAACACTGGCCTTTGTGATTTTAGCAATCTTGTTTTTCATTACTTCCTACTGCTGTTCACACACCTGTTTTCACTTGTGTTGGCATCCTCTTCAGAACAGCAAAAAAATCATATTACTTTCCTCATTTTGTCCAATATGTTAAATAGAGACTTGGTTTCAACAAGTTCATATAAAAATGAGAATAACTCTACATTTCTTCCTGAACAGGGTCCTAAGGAAGCTCTAAGCATGGCAACAATTTACTCACTAATTATATATTAACTGTGAAAGCAATATTAGAAATTTCTTTTCATTTCTCTAAAACACACTGCTTCCAGGCTGGTAATTTATTTTAATTGAATGCTGAGAAAATTGTTCACTGAGAAACAGAAAAACAGTTCATTTGGGTCTAAAAAATATATGCGAACCCAAATGCTCACAGGGGTCAGGCAGATAATATAAATGAGTGAAATGGACCAACGGATTTATCAGTGGGCAGGAGATCTTTGGGCCTTGTCTAAGGGGGTACTAAGAACAGGCTAGCGGGCGAGCACCTTCAGGACCGAGGCTTCTGTTTCCAGGTCTTCCCATTTTTAAAGGGATGCCTGGAACTTAGATTTTTATTTGAAACATTCTGCTGCTTTTCAAATCTTGGCAATCAATTAAAACATATTTTAAAACCCTCTGCATATCAGAGGAAGGAAGGAAGAAAGGAAGGGAGGAAGGAAGGAAAGGAGAGAGGGAGGGAGGGAGGGAAGGAAGGAAAGAAAGAAAAAAACAAAACACACTTGAGGATAGGTTGGACATGGACATCACCATTTTACAACCTTTGTTTTCGGTGGAAAAAAAATGAGTTTTCCTCTAGGTAGAAATGATCTTTAGCTTTTTGTTATGACTTCATTCTATTTTGTTGCATCTTTTTTTCATTGTGTCACTATTGAAAAGGTTCTCGATAATAAGAAAACTTAAAAGTGAAATTAGTGAATTACATATATATAAGTATATGGTATATGTGTGTGCACCTACATACACACACACACACACACACACACTATATGTGTACATATAGAGCACATATGTGGAGGCCAAAAAAGAGAGGAAAATAAGTGCTTACTTTCTTAGAAATCCTGAAGTAGGAAAATTGCCTTAACTTTTAAAAGGTAGTTACATTCAGGAGACAAGTAAAGTTCAGCACACTCCATCATTTTGAAGGAAGGCCATCAAATCTGAGTATGTGTGGATCTCCATGTTTATTTATAGTAGGAAACTTACAGCATTGGATATGCTCTGATTAGTTTGCACTGTACCATGGCAATTTATTCCATTGTGGGATTCAAAATAGCTTTCTGTATTTTTTTTCTCTTCAAGTCTCCATTTCAGAGATTTTTTTAATTATGTGATAGTGGTATTATTTTGTGTATGTGTGAACATTTTCACAAAGCCCAAATAAGATTACTCTAAATATCCATAAATCTAATTGATTCTCATTTTTCTTTTCTAGTATTACAAATTATATATTTACTATGTGCCTCATATTATTGAAAAATGAATTAAATTTGCAAATTAGAATTCTTTATTCCTAAGTCAATTTCTTTCTTCTCTCAAGGTACATATAGAATAAAACAAGAATATTAATATCAGTTAATTAGATGTCCACATTTTGAGACCTTTTAGTTGGTTTCAGATTCATTCTTCAGATTGCAAAGTAACTGGCCAATTTGATCAACTGATGCTATAAAAGAATCTTCAGAGAAAAATGATCAAATGATCATCCAAGTCAGTTTTATTTGGTACTTATCAATTAATTATTATAGTCCATACCCCTAAAATATTTTGGATAGTATAAGTACAACTCCATGTATCAAATGATCAGTTGATAAGTAAAAACACATCTATAAATTGGTTTGTTTGTGTAAGTTAAGCAGCTGTTTTTATTAATAAATTATTGAATTATCTTATTTTCATGAAATAGCCTTAATTTTGTTAATCTAATTTTAAATATTAAATTTAGCACTTGTAGAGATAATTATCTTCCCATATATATTAATATTGTTATGTTTTAATTTTATTTAATTTCCCTTAGTCTCTTCTTTGATTTATTCTTTTTCTTCTTAGAATCATATTATTGATGAGTCTTACAGCTACTTTCTACTTAGTTATGGTAAAAAGTCATCTGCCCCCTCCACCTCAGCTACTTACTATACCTTGTCTCGAATTGTTATTTACTCATTTATCAACACCCAGAAGAAAACACGCATACATCTTCACTACCTTGAATTATTTAGTGGTTTCTTAGAGATGATAGCAAAAGTGATAATAGAAAAAAATAAATTAGACCTTATACAAGTTAAAAACTTTCGTGTTGCACACAATGCCATTAGAAAGTGAAAAGGTAACCCACAAGTTGAGAGCAAATATTTGCAAATCATGTATCTGATAAGGAACTTGAATCCAGCATATATGAGAATATGTCACAATATATAAAGAACTCCTATAACTCAATAATAAGCAAATATTCCAGTTAAAAATAGGTAAATAATTTGCAAAGACATTTCTACAAAGAAGACACACATATGGCCCATAAGTACATGAAAAGATGCTCAATATCACTAGCCATTAGGGAAATACAAATCAAAACCACAATGAGATTTCATTTCACACCCTCTAGGATGGCTATAATAAAAGAAGATGGAGATTAACAGTGTGAACTGGGATGTGGAGAAATTGGAACGCTTATACATTGTTGGCGGGGATGTAGAAAAGATGCAGCCACTCTTGACTCATGACTTATCCCCAGGAATTTTTAAGATTCAAGTGCAATTAATAGAAAATGAAAATGGGGAGGGGAGATATCATGTTCTTATATTAAGTTGGTAATAAGATTAAGTCCCCAAGCTCAATTTGACAGTTCCTCAAAGGGTTAAGCATAGATTAATCATATGACACAACAATTCCATGACTAGCTATAAACCACAAGAAATGAAAACCTAAGTCCATCCAAAATGTTGGACAAATGATCTTAGACAAAAAGTGGAAGCAACCCAAATTTCCATTAATTTTATAATTTTATATTCCATTAATTTATGAATGGCTGAATAAAATGTAGTATGTATACACAATGAATGTAGAATGTTGAACATAAGCAGTGAGAGCAGGTATCCCAGTCACTTCCTGATCATTGGGGTAAACAATTCATTCTTTTGTGTTAAGTATTTGTTAGCTATTCGTTTTCAGTTATGAGGTTCAGTATTCTTATTCTAGAGCAGTAAATATTCTTTGTGGAACATCATTTCAAATTTTATTATCATTGTGGTGCATATACTGGAGTGAAACCCACATGGTTATTTGTAGTCTGTGGAAGCAAGGAGTCTCCGTTGCCTCAGAACCAAGACAACTACACATGCATCTTCTATTACTTTCTTCTCACTGAATTTAAGATGGAATACAACTGATAATTTTTTTCTCTATTAGGTATTTTGTTGCAAAAACTATTTATCATTCTGCTATATATATATTATATATATATAAATATATATATGGGAAAAATATATATATATAAATATATATACATGGGAATATATATATATATATATATATGTTTGGTGAATCCTGAACTTGTTGCTATCTGAGAGCTGAATGCAGAAAATTAAACAGGTCTGGCTTCTACCCACTAAGAGATTATAATCATTTACTGATATGAGTGTAGGCATTAAATTTATTCTGCAGAATTGCAATGTCAAGGTATGAAGTATGGATTACAGAACTTCACCTAGCAGTCTGGCAGAAATGGCACTCTTAAAATACTGGTAGATATTGGTGAAAAACTACCAACTAAATAATGGTAAAATGGGTTACTTGTTTTTATTCTACATTAGTTAAGAGACATTTGATATTTGAAATCATGCTCTGAAGATGACATAAAGTGAGAAGCAACGTATAAAAGATACACACAGATGCGTATCTTTAAAGAGGTGGAAGACTCCTATTCTTAGTAATATGGTGTTTTTAAGAACAGGGTAAAAAGATTTGTTCAATCTGGAAACTCTGCATGGGATAATTAATACAGCAATGAAAGTTTCTGCTACTGTTCACATATGAATTCCCAGCAAAGCTTTTGTTGTTTTGGAACAGCAGTAATCATACTTTCAAATGAGCAGCATCTACAGAGACAGAAACAATTAAATAATGTTAATCAATTATAAATTAGTTAAAAAAAAATGCATAACTCCAGTTGAAACCACTTGTGTGCTAACGATTTCAACTATGGGATAAATTGGTTACTAACATTTTGCATGTCTACTCTGCATATGTTACAGAAAATGGTTGTCAAGATGTTTAAGCTGTTAAAACAAACAGATTTGTGGTTCAAGGAGTGAAATTTGAGAACAGAGTTGGTAGAGAGCAGATTACCATAGAGACCACTCTGCTGGGCAAACCCCTCAAGTTCAAAATCTGCAGCTGGTTAGTCTCATGATGATAAAATAGAACATTCCACTGAGCAGCTAAAAGCAATCTACTTGGCTCCAAATGTGAGAGACAAAAGACCTACTTGCTGAATTCTGAAAAATGGAAATTTTCAGTTCTGAAGGGAGGCTGACTTGAATGAGCTTAAGCCACTGAGTGAGAAAAAAAGAAGAGAAAATTAAAAGCCGAACACAGAGAGACTCGCCAAGCTGAGGAAGAGTTGCCAACTTTTCCAAACTCCTAACTCCTGATTTAGCACCAGGAAGGTTTAGGATTGAAGTGCAATTAATAGAAGGTGGAATGGGGAGTGGGGAGGGTATAGCGGGTTCTTATATTAAGTTGGGAATAAGATTAAATCCCCAAGTTCATCAAGGAGAGGTAACAAAGATGTATTTAAAATTTGCAAAACTCTTGGGAAGATAAAACCCTTTAAAAATATAAAAGAAATATGAAGGATCTAGTTCCTTTTCCTTTTCCTCTAAGAAAAGGATGAGTGCAGTTTATTACCCTTAATTATTATTGTCACTCTCCTTTTATTCACCTGGCAACAAATTGGCTTATTACCCAGGGACTATTAGTTGTGTATTAACATCAAGTTAAACACTGTATCAGTCTTCAATAAGCTCAATGAATAATAACTTTACATTTGAACGGAGCTTTATAATTTAAAAACTATTTTTCACATTTTTTTCTTTTTTCCTTTGTGACTGAATTGACAAACTATGGCCAACAGACTTAAATCCAGCCAGCCACCTGTTCTTATCAATAAATATTTATAGGGATAAAGCCATGCTCATCCTTTTACCTATTGTCTATGACTGCATTCTGTGCTCTAAAAGCAGAGTTGAGTAGTTACAGCAGAGATTGTATAGGCTGTAAAAACAAAAATAATTATTATCTGGCCTTTTAAGAAGACGTTAACTGAGCCCTGCCCTGTGTCTCTGTATTGGTACCCTCTTTAAGTCACTTACGTTACTGGCATTTGTTTTATAATGATATTAGTATATGTAATACTATTTCTAAAGTACAAGCTACTTGGAGGCAAGAGCTGTGTTAGATTCATTTTTGTAATTCACCGGAATACTTTTAAAAGTAAATAAAAAATAAATTATTTGGTTTCTCTTAAAAATTCTACAAGATTACAATCCTCATTTTTCAGATATAGAAATAAAGTGCAATAAAATAGCGGTTTCCCTTATTCTAACATGTAGCAGGTTTTTAAAATGATATTTGAATACATTAAAAAGTGTATTTTTTCTTTGTTTTCAAACATCAATGAACACAGCATGTTCTTTATGTTTTAAGACAATTTGTTGGCAGTGTTGTACTTTGTATCTGCAACCAGCACTTACAAAGTCAATGTATAATCAATATTGCATTACCCACTATGCACATGGATACTGTTTCTCTGGTTTATAGCTGCAATAATTGTTTCCAGGCTTTTCTCTTACTCTATATATGCACCAGTTAGACTCTTTAAAACAAACCCTTCTATGTTTAGTCATTACTAGCAATGATTAGTTATCAATAGACTATGGCAACACCAACAGAAACTGTAAGTTCCCAGTAAAGCTGATCTTCCCACCTGGGCCCCATTGAAGATAAGCTGTCGCTACCAGTCCCATATTTCTCTTCACTCTCTGCCCATCAGCACCTGAGGGCTCCCGGCAAAACATATCCAAAAGGGAAATGAAAAAAGAGGGAGAACAGTTCTCCATAATCTCTTCCAGAAAATAAAGGCAGAAGGAATACTTTCTAACTCAGTCTATGAGACCAACATGACCTAAATAATAAACCTAGAAAATACATTAGTAGGAAAGAAAATTGCAGTCTGATCTCTCTCATGACCATGGATGCCAAAGTTGTCAGCAAAATATTAAACCAAGTCCAACAATGAATAAAAGGAAATAAATATACAACATAACCAAGTCAAATTCATTTGAGTATACAAGGCTGCTTCAATGTTAGAATAACTATTAATGTAATTCATCAAATCAATAGACTGAACAAGAAAAGTTATATTATCATATCAATAGATGCATAAAAAGAATTTGACAAAATCCAATACACATTCATGATTAAACCTCTCAAAAAACTAGGAACAAAAGGAATCTCTTCAACGTGATAAAGAACATTTACAGAAAAACTAAAGCTAACATTATACTTAATGGTAAGAAACGAGATACTTAATCCCTAAGGTTGGGAATAAGACAAAGATGTCTCCTCTCACCACTATTATTTTCTGTCATATTGGAAGTCCTACTTAGTGCAATAATAAAATGTAATAAAAGGTATATAGATTAGGAAGGAAAAAATATAATTGTCTTTGTTCATGGACTATATGATTGTCTATAAAGAAAATCCAAAAGAATGGACAAGTGAAATAATTGAACTAATAGACAAGTCTAGCAAGGTTACAGGATACAAGATCAATATAGAAAAGTAGATTTCTGTCATGTATGCGTCATGTATGCGTCATGTATGTGTCATGTATGTGTCATGTATGTGTCGTGTATGAGTTGCATATGTGCGTCATATATGTGCGTCGTATACGTGTGTCGTATATGTGCATCATATATGTGTCATAGGTGTCATATATATGTGGCATATGTGTCATATATGTGTCTCATATACATATAAATTTTTTTTTTTGAGACGGAGTCTTGCTCTGTCACCCAGGCTGGAGTGCAGTGGCACGATCTCAGCTCACTGCAAGCTCCGCCTCCCAGGTCCACGCCATTCTCCTGCCTCAGCCTCCTGAGTAGCTGGGACTACAGGTGCTTGCGACCACACCTGGCTAATTTCTTTTTGTATTTTTAGTAGAGACGGGGTTTCACCGTGTTAGCCAGGATGGTCTCTATCTCTTGACCTGGTGATTCGCCCGCCTCAGCCTCCTAAAGTGCTGGGATTACAGGCGTGAGCCACCGTGCCCGGCCTGTATATTATCAATAACTAATTTGAATTTGAAATTTAAAACAAAGTTCCATTTACATTAACATCTAAAAAATAAATTAGGTATAAATCTTTTAAAAAGTAAAAAACCTATATAAAGAAAATCATAAACTTTAATAAAATAAATCAAAGATCTAAATAAATGAAAAAATATTATACATTCATGGATAAGAAGACTTATTAAAATATCAGTTCTCCCATATGGATCTATAGTTTCAATGCAATCCCTACCAAAATCCCAGCAAGTTGTTTTATAGATATCAACATAAAGGTTCAAAAATTTATATGAAAGGCAAAAGACCCGGAATAGCCAACACATGAAAAAGAACATATTGAAAAAGAACAAAGTCAGAAGACTGATATTACCCAACTTCTCCACTTACTATAAAGCAGTAATGATCGAGACAGTATGGTATTGGTGAAAGATAACATACAAATTAATTGAAAAGAATACAAAGCCCAGAAATAGACCCACACAAATATAGTCAACTGATCTTTGACAAAGGAGCAAAGCCAATTGAATGTAGAAAGGATAGTCTTTACAGCAAATGATTCTGGAATGACTGGACATCTACATGCAAAACAAAAACTAGTATAGATACAAACCTCACAACTTTCACCAAAAAAAAAAAAAAAAGCTCAAAACAGACCACAAACCTAAATATACAATGCAAATATCAAATTTATGGAAGATAATATAGGAAAAACATGTAGATAACTTGAGTTTGATGATGACTTTTTAAATAAAATACCAAAAGCCTGATTCATAAAGGATAAAATTGCCAAATTTGATTTTATTAAACTTAAAATTTTCTGCTCTGTGAAAGACACTGTTGAGAGAATGAAAAAAACAAAACACAGGCTAGGAGAAAATATTTTCAAGATACATATTTGAATTAAAAAAAAACCTTGTATCCAAAATATACAAAGAACTTTTAAAAAACTCAGCAAAAATGCAATAGAAAATGGGTAAAAGATCTGCATGAACACCTCACCAAAGAAAATACACAGGTGGGCTGGGTGCAGTGGCTCATGCCTATAATCCCAGCACTTTGGGAGGCCGAGGCAGGCAGATCACGAGGTCAGGAGATCGAGACCATCTTGGCTAACACGGTGAAACCCCGTCTCCACTAAAAATACAAAAAATTAGCTGGGCGTGGTGGTGGGCCCCTGTAGTCGCAGCTACTCGGGAGGCTGAGGCAGGAGAATGGCATGAACCCAGGAGGCGGAGCTTGCAGTGAGCCAAGATTGCACCACCGCACTCCAGCCTGGGCGACAGAGCGAGAATCTGTCTCAAAAAAAAAAAAAACAAAAAAAAAAAACAGGTGACAGTTAAGCATAAAAAGATGCTTGCCATCATATGTCATTAGGAAATTGCAAATTAAGACAATAATGAGCTATTACTGTATACCATTACAATGGCCAAAATTCAAAGTACTGACAACACTGAATGCTGATAATGATGTGGAGCAACAGAAACCTCTTATTTATTGCTGGTGGAAATGCAAAAAAGCACAATCCCTTTAGAAGACAGCCTGGCAGTTTCTTACAAAGTTAAGCATAGCTTTATCATAAGATTGAGTAATTGTACTCCTTGGTATTTACAGAAATGAGTTGAAAGCTTATGTCCATATAGAAACCTGTACATTAATGTTTATAGTAGCCTTATTCATAATTGCTAAAAATTGGAAACAACCAAGACGTTCTTTAATAGGTGAAAGAATTAAAAAACTGTGGTATATTCATACAATGGAGTAATGTTCAGCAATGAAATGAAATGAGCTATCAAGCTATAAAAAAGTGCAAAAAACCTAAACGTATGTTGCTAAGTGAAAGAAAAGTCTGAAGAAGCTACATATTGTACAATTCCAACTACATATGACTTTCTGCAAAAGGCAAAAATATGGAAACAGTAAAAAATTAGTGCTTGCTAGGAGTTTAGGGGGAGAGGGCAATGGATAAATAGGTTGAATATAGTGCACTTTTAGTGCAGCGAAACTATTCTATATAGTACTGTAATAGTGGATACCTGGCATTAACTATTTGTCAAAACACACTTGTCAAAAAGTGAACTGTAATGTGAGCTATGGCCTTCAGTTAATATCAATATTTGTTCATCAGTTGTACAAATCATATCACGTTAAAACAAGATGTTAATAGGAGAAACAATGGGGGAAGGGATATGAAAACTCAGTACTTCCTGCACAATTTTTCTATAAACATAAAATTGCTGTAAAATAATATTTATTTTTTAGAAAAATACAGAAGAGTTTCTTCTCTAAGATCAAAGGTCACTTACACTAATAAAATTAGCCCCAAATTTTGACTACCCAAATTCTGTCCTTGACAACTTTGACCTTTCTATACTGATTCCTCCAGAAATGGATATTTTGCCTTATAGCCTGGAAAACTTTTCAGCCCTTTACCACCTTGCCAAACATCAGTCTTGGCCTTGGGCTCTCTTGTCTAGATTTGTCTGGATGATGAATAGTCATGACCATCTTGCTATACCTCAAACTTATGGCAAATAAATATGATCTGCAGTTCTGCCTTTTAGACACTTAGGTTATTGGGCACCCAAAGATGTCACTGAACATACAGAAAGAATTATTATTGCACAGGTCTCTGACCAAGAAATAGTGAAGGCTGCTGCTTTCTGTCCTATCCAGGGGTGCAGACAGATTATCTTAGGCTCAACCAAATCTTGAACTTATGCCTAGTCTGTCTTGGCCCAGCCCTTCAGGCAGCATTGCCTTTGAAGTCAAAGGTTATTTAAGTCAGTCAGGAGTTAAAAGCCATACTGGTATTCAAGAGGACCTTTTCCCCTCTTAGTTCTGCATTAAGTATCCAGGATGCCTTGAGCAAGCCACATTTCCTTGTATAAATTTCAATCTATAAGATTTTTTTTGTCAGTCATGATTTCCCTTCATCTAGCAGCATGTAGAGGTTTATTTAACATTTTCTTGAAGCATTGTTATTGAAGCCTTTTCACAGACCTGTCCCAGGGGAGTTCAAGCAAAGAAAGTATCAGTCCAGTGCTGATACAGGTACCAGTGCATTCTTCATGAGCACTCACTTGCCCATTTAATGCTAAGTGTGACTTCAATTTTAATATATTTGTACACTATATCTTTTCAGAAAATATTTTAAATCAGCTTCCAAAATGACAAGTATAATATGAAAAAAATAAATAAAACACAAATGTAAGAAACATGGCTAAGAGGAGAAAACAAATGCACCAATAGGAAAGCTCAATATAGTTTCTGGGCTTGAGCATCCAAATAATTTAAGTTTTCTAGTATCCAAGTCAAGGAAAGAAATGTGCCCAAGAGCTGAAAGCACACAATTTCCTTAAGAAAAAATAAAGAGTTTTCTAATCTTTAACTTTAAAGTAAATGTCTGATGTTAGCGTACTGTACAGCAGACATTGAATGGTATCATATGCAACATCCTCCATAGCAGTTTCAAAGTAAATGCAAAAGCTGTATAGTTATTTGTCTCTATCTACCTTTAAACAATAAAAGACACAACAATTCAGTTAATGTTATTATGAGGATAAAAGGACCAATGATTTTGTTTTCTTATACTCTCAATTAGTTCAAGAATAGGTTGTAGAAAACCTAGAAGTGGTAAAAGATGATAGAGGACTTGAATTTTCTTGCAGCTTTTTGAGTTACTGACTATAAATGGTTGTGAGATAATCCAAGATTATTCTCCTTAGAAAAAGTCTGGGGTAGTATAGATTGTGATAAGTTAGAATAGATCTAAATTTTCAAAATCAAAGTAAAATAAGTGTTATAGCTAACATTCTATTATTCATATAAGGAATATTAAGTCAGTATTCTTGTGTATCTGGAAGTATACCCAACTATGATTAAAGCTTGTCTTTAATGCAACTAAAGATACAACTATTACTTATTATATGAGTACATAGTAATAGGAGTGGACAGCTGAGTTTTCTTGATTGGTGCCTGGGACAATTCCCTGTGGTCCCTTTGCCCCACTCAGTCACCTCGTAGGAAGCCTCAGGTGGTAACAGCTCACTGGAGGAGGAGCACTACATCCCTCTGAAATGCTGCCCACTTTTATCCACTCCTCGTAGTAATACCTATTAGATGCAACTCTACATAATTTAATATCAACAATTTTTACATTATATATAAAACAAGAAATAGTTGTAAAAAGAGACACACAAAAATGTATTTATGAGATTTGTAGCCATCTCTATGACTCGGTCCCTTCTTAGAAAATAATTTTAAGGCATCTACTAATCTCCCAGTGGAGTGAAAAAGACAATAATTTATACAGGAATGAAGAGAAAGGAACAGTCTCAGAGGGTCATGAGAGTTGAGCAAAGCTGGTGAGCGAAGGGAAACTTGAGCTCAACTTAGAAAAAGGGGATTTAGTTAAATAGGGGGAAGGGAGCTCTAGGGGGCAATCACTATTTGTATTAGTCCATTCTCGCACTGCTATGAAGAAATGATCGAGACTGAGTAATTTATAAAGAAAAGAGGATTAACTGACTAACAGTTCCTCATGGCTGGGGATGCCTCAGGAAACTTACAATCATGGCAGAAGGCACCTCTTCACAGAGCGGCAGGAGAGGGAATGAGTGCCCACCAAAGGCAGAAGCCCCTTCTAAAACCATCAGATTTTGTGAGACCTCACTCACTATCATGAGAACAGCATGGGGGAAACCGGCCCATGATTCAATTATCTCCACCTGGTCCAACCCTTGACATGAAGGGATTATTGCAATTCAAGGTGAGATTTGGGTGGGGACACAGAGCCAAACCATATCACTACTACAAGTTGATGATGCACAAGAACTATAGTCTCAGAAGGATATTGACTTCCTATATCCAGTTTTCTTATTTTTATTGAGTTAGTAGAAAACTCCTTATTAGAATCATCTAGTTCATCTCAGGCTCTTTCACCAAGCCATGACAGTCTACAATTTAGATCTCTTTCCTTGTCCTTTGCTGTGTCTTGAGAATGACAAAGAGAGGTCAGTGGCCTGACAGACTGATGTGGCTAGTATTTTCATCAGAATCTCATTTTCTCCAAGCACCAACAGCCCCATAACTGCATGGGCAAGGACTATCACTCCTGTGATAGATGACAAGGTTTCATGTGAAGAGTAGAGGAAGATGTCCCTGTAACAATTAAGAGTAATTTTTGTCATAACCCTTGCAGCAACTGTGGCTGCTCAGTTTGGCATAAGAACTTAAAATTTCATCTTCCATGGTACTCTCCAAGCAGCCACAGTCTATAATAATTTGAATGTCTTCTAGTTTATGCCCTTCAAAGGCAGACATCAGTACATATATGCTCCTGGAAATGAACTCAGGGAATCTCAAGTTAACCATAGGGTTTGGAAGGAATTTTCAAAATTTTCATCCCCTACAGCTGGCAGTAACCCTACTGCACTGAAGCAAGAATTGAAGCTTCAATCTGTTTCAATATGTAGCATAACTGTGTCTATCTACCTTATTTTCTATGCCACATTAAAGAAATCCAACACATTAGATGCCGGGGGTTTGGAGTAGGGATAACTGTGAAAAGGAGAAATATGTTTGGGTGATACACTTACTAGGCAGCTTTACAGAAGACTGTGTACTAGTCTGAAGAGAAAGGATTGAGGTGGAAAGAAGGCAGAAGTTAAGATAGTAGTCTTTGGAAATCTGGCTTGGAATCTTGTGCCTACCACCCACAAACTCTCAGGCTTATTAAACTCATCAGGCTTATTATTCATAGTAGTAATAGTAGCTGTCTCATTTTTTATGGTCATTGTCTTTGTACTCTGATATTGGAATAAACTTTTTAGGAACAGCAGATATCCCTATTCAGCCACCCAGCTTCCCTAGCTTTCACACATATTTTGTGATGTTTTTAAAGCCTACGGATGACTCCAGCTATAAGTGAAACAACAGTCTGAATCTAATTTACCAACTTTCCTGGGAGCTACAGTTAGTCAGAACTTTCCTTCAATGCCTTGGGGGACCAAGCTGTTTACTGAGATGACACTGGGAACACTTTGTACATTAGCTCCTTGTCAAGCCAAAGTTCTTTCACTGGGGTGATCGTTCCTACCCAAATATTGAGGATGCCATTGTCTATCTCTATTTTTATGCTCATTTCCTCCCAAAGGTTCAGATCATCAGATCAAGTTTTACCTTTTTCATCAAACATCTACTGGTAAATTCAGTTTCCTTGGATTTTTTTTGCACATTTCTTCAATCAAAAAGCACTGAGAATTTGCATACACACATGTACACACAGACCACACACCCATATGCATACTCACACATATACTGAATCCAGTTAACTACATAGTCCATGTTTAATAAAGACTTTTTTGGCTGATTAATTTAAACATACAGGTTTTTGAGTGAGATTTTTAACAATGTTGTGAAAAAAATTTACCACGTAAAATTAGATTGCAATTTTTGTCAAATAACTAAATGCTGGGTGTAACTGAAATATCTTACTAGTCTCAATGTGGAAACAAAAATAAGAAATGACTCCTTCTCTCTAGAAGCTTAATATCCAGAGGACTAAGCAGATATGGATATTGATAAATGAAGTAAAGGCAGTTAATGGCTGAGCAGAGGTTGAATAACAAACGAGGTAATCTCAAGATTCCTTTCAAGATGTTGCTATCCTGACCTCAGGCTGGCCCCAATAGTCTCCAGGAAAACCTACTGGCAAATTCATGGCCCCCTACTGTCAAGTTTACTTACCTAAGTGGTCATGACGTCACACAGTCAAGTATCAGGTTCATCCTTCATTATGAGACAAGAGAAGAGCTGTTTCAGAATTTGAATCAGAGCTGTTTTGCCAGTGATGCCAAGACAGCTTTTCCCCACCCTGCCCCCCCCAGTAAGCCCTGTATTCAAATCTGTCAATTGTGAAGCACAGCAGGGATCCTGGAAGTGCTATATTATCACATCACACAAGTTCATGGTGTGCTTGCCAAGGTTGTAATGAAAAGTGGCTTGGTGATGTAAAACTTGAATTTGTTTGCCATGACATCTAGTTCAACAGTCTCAATTAATTGGTTAAGAAAACCTTTCTTATCTTCCAGAAGAGGCAAATACTTGAAAGACAAATACCTTAGCATAGGGTTTACTTAGAGCTGATCTCTATGTCCTGCTATTACTTTTAATGAACTTATAACTTAAACTTCCTGAAAATTTTTTCTAAGAATAAAATCTGAATGAACTTTCTATCCATTTTATAGCAGAAGAACATGAGGGAACTACTAAATTACATAAAATACAGACTTCAAGTATGTTGTATCTGACTGTGCTCATTGGTATGTACCAAATTGTAATTTGAAGTCATCAATATTTGAGGAAAGTGATAAAGGAAAAAAAATTAATGAATTGCTTACAATAGCAGCTGGTGACTGTAATTTTGAGCTAGAAATTATTAAATAGAATTATTTGCTTGTAAAATATGGAAGTTTAATTTGTAATTTTAAACAAATATTTTGAACAAAGACTGAATAAAATCCTGTCTTTTTTAATTTTAAAATTGTATTACTCCACAATTTTTGCTTGATATTTCTTTTTGCAAGATGACTGCAAAAAGTATTTTTAAGAAAATATTTCAAGATGTCATCAGTTTTCTCATAATCTTTATAAATCTTTCATAATCAAATTATTTTTGACTCATTGCTGCTACTGGCTTGCATTACATTTTCTGATGTTCGTAAGAAGATTAATAAGCAAAGGCTTGGCAGGCATGGGTAGATACTGGTGTAGGGAGGGCTGTTTAAGTAAAATTAGATCGCTAGTGAAAAAGAAACTCTCTTAAGGTAACTTTTACTTCTTTATACAACTTGTGTAACTGGAAGGACTAAAATAGGAGTGTTGAAAATTCAGATGATGAAGATGCTCTGTATAATTACCCCTTGTAGCAGCTGCTGTAGTACACCTCTAGGTTCTCCCTTTAGAAATGTGGCACCCATTCCCTGTTTCTGGGGGTATTACCTATTGATGGCTCACAGTAGAGCCCTCACCAGAAATGACTCACAACTGAGAAGCCTTATTGCCCCTTTCTGAAGTTAGCCCTTGTAAACCAAAAATAAAATTCTAAGCCCTGCCAGCCAACCAAATGGACCACTCCTCTTGGCCAAGGACATTTCAAAGTTAAGCTGAAACAGCCCTTCAGGCCACGGTGGGAATGGGTAGTCAGACATATCTCATTATACCCTTCTCCTTTTGGAATTCAGGCACACTGACAAGCATTAACATTAAAACAGAGATCTTAAGAAAATCTATTCTCTCTGAAGTCTGCTACCTGGAGGCTTCAACTGCATAATAAAATCTTGGTCTCTACAACTCCTTCTATTGATTCCAGTCGTTTAGACAAATGCTTTCAACCACTTGCCAATCAGAACATTTTTGAATCCACCTATGACCTGGAAGCCATCCCCTGCCCACTGCCGCTGCCCCTGCCCCCCAACATCAAGTTGTCCTACCTTTCCAGACTGAACCAATGTATATCTTGCATGTATTAATTGATGTCTTATGTCTCCCTAAACTATATAAAACCAAGCTATAGCCCAAGCTCCTTGCACACATCTTCTCAGGATCACCTGGGGCCACGTTTCTTGCATGTCCTTAACCTTGGCAAAATAAACTTCTAAATTGATTGAGACCTGTCTCAGATAGTTTTGGTTTATACCCTAAATCAATGACTAGTTAATATAGGAGGACAGAAGCCCAGGAAACTGACTTACTTAAATTTGGGGCAATTCTGAAGAGCCAATGCCACCTTTAGATTTCCCCATGAGATTGGTGGAGACCCTTATTATAATATCATCACAATTTCAATTTTCCCTCTACCTAATCCTACTCCCCTTGGTCTTTTACAGTCTTGTTCCAATGAGCACTCCTTAATACATATCTGCAAACCTCCATCTCAGAGACTTTTTCCAGGGAACCCTGCCTAAAACTGTTGGTGTTCTGAGTAATCCCATGAAGGAAAATGTAAAATTTAGGAGTTGGGAGTTGGATCACATACAATCAGGCTGGCATTGGAGAACCATCACTAGTTGTAAGTGTAATACTGACAGCCTTGGCATGAAGTGAAAATAATTATTAAAACAGTTACTGCTGGTGAATGGAACAGGATTCTATAATAATGGAGAACGCTTTCAGGAGTAATGTCTCAGTTCTTTCAGAGAGCTAATAATTATGTGGATTTTCATATGGGGTCTATTGATGCATGGAGAAAGGTGAAGAAAAACTGGGTGAATTCAGAAATAAATCCACTTATTTACAGCCAACTGATTTTCAACAAAGGTGCCAATAACATACATTGGAGAAAAAAGTCTCATCAGTAAGTGGTGTTGGAAAAGCTGAAAAATCTGTATGCAAAAGAATGAAACTAGACCACTCTCTCTCTCATCATATACAAAAGTCAACTCAAAATGAATTGAAAATTTAAACATAAGACCCACATCTATAAAACTACTAGAACAAAGCTTAGGGAAAATGCTCCAAGACATCGGTCTATGCAAAAATTTTATGGCTACGATTTAAAAAGCATACACAACAAAACCAAAAATAGACAAATGGGATATATTAAACTAAAATGCTTCTGCATAGCAAAGGAAACAATCCAACAGAGTGTAGAGGCAACCTACAGAATGAGAAAAGTATTTGCAAGCTGTTCATTGAAGAGGCTAATAACCAGAATACACAGGGAACTCAAACAACTCAATCGCAAAATATCAAGAAATCCCATTAAAAAGTGAGCAAAGGATCTGAATAGACATTTTTTAGAAAAAGGCATATAAATGGCCAACAGGTACATTAAAAATGTTTGGCATAATTATCAGAGAAATGCAAGTCAAAACCACTATGAGATATTATCTTACCACAGTTAGAATGGTTATTATCAAAAGACAAAAAAAGTAAATGCTGGTGAGGATGCGGGGAAAAGGAACTCACACACTGTTGGAGGAAATGTAAATTAGTGCAGCCATCATGGAAAACAATATGAAAGTTTTTCAAAACCTAAAAATAGAGCTACCATACAATTCAGCAATTCCACTCTTGGGTATTTATCCAAAAGAAAGGAATTCAGTATATCAAAGGAAGATCTACACTTGCATATTTATAGCAGTACTATTCACAACAGCCACGATATGGAATCGACCTAAGTGTCCATCAGATATGAATGGATGAAGAAAATGTGATATATATATGCAATAGAATACTATTCAGCCATTATAGAAAATAAAATCTTTTCTTTTCCAGCAACATGGATAAAACCAGAGTCATTATATAAAGTGAAATAAGCCAGTCACAGAAGGACAAATTTCACATGTTCTCACCCACATGTGGGAGTTTTAAAAGTTGATTTTATGGAGGTAGACAGAAGAGGTTAGGGAGGGGTATGAAGAGAGATTGGTTAATGAGTACAAATATAAAGTTGACTAGAAGGTATAAGTTCTAGCATGTTCTAGCATAGTAGCGTGACTATAATTAATGACAATACATTGTATGTTTCAAAATAGCTCAAAGTGAAGATTTAAAATGTTTCCAACACAAAGTAATCATAAATGTTCAAAGTAATGAATATTCTAAATACTCTAATTTGATTATACATTGTATGCACGTATCAAAATATCACAGGTATCCCATAAATATATACAAATATATGTTAAAAATTTTAAACTGTGGGTGAATAATCACTGATTCAAAATAAAGTGTAAAAGCAGAGGGCTTTCTTAGCTAAAACTCATGCTTATTAATATTATTTATAATATGTATTTATAATTAATTGATTAATACTTATTGTTTTTAATATAGTAAAGTTTCTGAGAATATTGAATGTGTAACATTAGCAAGTCTGCTTCACCAAGTCAGCATATAGTTGAAATGGGATGGGACTCAGAGATTGGGATGGGGACCCATGATCAATTCACTCCCCTGTACCCTTTGAGCTTGAGAACTGTGCAACATCTTTTTGGTAAACATAGGTGCTCTTTCCTTGCTTAAAGACATCTGGAGTCCTCTGCTTTGCAATTTAACATACCCCCTGATTTCAGGGTCTGCTTCACCTTCCCTCCTGGACAACAAACTACATAACTAAGATCAAGCCACAACAAAACCCAATTAGAGATGTGCTAGAAAAGAAAATATAATCCAAAGGAACATCAGGACTTAGCCAACATCTCCTTGTGGGAAAGAATGTGTAGATGAAACAAAAGTTAAAGAAAAGCTTGTTGATACAAGAGCCCTTTCTCGTGCTACAAGATTCAGAATCCTGGCAATGACCCTGGAAAATGATGCTAACACACTGCTGGGTTGGCTTTTAAAATATTTTAGAAAGCAATACTTAACACCAAGTGATAACAGAAATGCCAGACAGTTAGAAGTAGTGATTAGAAGTCTCAAGAAAATTGACATGGCATAATGGATGTACTATGTGTATTGGTTTGCCATAACAAAATTCCACAGCCTGGGTGGTTTAGCCAACAGAAAGATACATCTCACAGTTTTGGAGGCTGAAAGTCTAAGATCAAGGTGAAGGTAGGTTTGGTTTCTCCTGAGGTTTCTCTCCTTTGCTGGCAGATGGCCACTTTCTTGATGTGTCCTCACATGATCTTTCTCTGTGTGTGTGCATCCCTGGTATCTCTTTTTGTATAAAAATTTCTTCTTCTTATAAGGACATCTATCAGTTTGGATTAGGGCACATCCTAATGGCCTCACTTTAACTTAACCCCTTTATGCTTGAGGTTGCAACTTTTTGAATTTTTGCAATCAGACCTTGGCAATAACCTTGAGCAGTAGGATACAAATAATTCCCACATGCTTAGCATTCCAATAATGGAACACTAGGCATAAACGAGAGTTATTTAAAATGCTTATCTCCAAATATAATCACATTGTGAAGTCCTGGGGTTAAGATTTTAGCGTTTGCATCTAGAGAGAAACACAACTCAGCCCCTAATACTATGTAAAGTTGAAAACTCTTCAGCCAATTACGTTCCAGGAAAGCACCCAGAGATTACTCCTTTTGCCAAAGTAGTCATGCATGTGCTGGTGAGAAGGTCACCTACACCGCTGAGAAGTTCCATAGTAGCACATGTGAGTTTGAGCAGAAGCAGAATTCAAGAGTGAGTTTCTCAGCCACCTATGTCATTACCTGCACTTGCACTGGTGTTCCTTTCTCAGATCACACATGTGGCCATATGAGGGGTTCTTGATGCTTAGCTGAGAAAGGAAAAAAAAAAATGGGTAGCTGAAAAAGTGCCACTACAGCTGCACATGGACTCAACTGAGGAATATTCCTGAAAGACAGTGGTGAGAAAAAACCTTCACCTGATTTTGCACTCTGTGGAAAAAAAAAAAAAAAAAAAAGTCTGAAGTAAGAATATGCATGGACTCATGGGTAGTAACAAATAGTTTGACTGGTTTGTTACAGACCTTAAAGGAGAAAGGCTGAAATACTAGGTATAAGGAAGTCAAAATCTCACTTACCATCACTCTCAGTGACCCACTTAAAAGACTTCATTTTTCTTATTCCCATAATTCTATGCCAAGAGGAACCAGAGATTTTGGTTCCTAGGGTGGAGTCCCTTCTACTAGGGTACATTGCAAAAGTCTCATTAAGCTTTAAGCTATTCTATCATCAAATCCTTTTAGGCTTCTTGTGCCAAGGAGCCAGCAAACAAGAAAAGAACCACCTTCCTCGCAGAGATAGAAAGGTTATGTTTGCACCAAGGTGACTAGTACTCTTTTGCATAACTTTAATTTTCAATAGACAAGTACAGTGGACAGAGTCTGAGAAGGGCATAATGACCAATGCTCAGATCCCTGAGGATGGGAGTCCAGGACTTATCACTCAGTAAGCCAATGAAATTAGAACAGCTAGGAAACCAAAGACAAATGGAAACTGGAATGGGTAAGAAGAGGAGGGAGGTGAAGAATGTTACATATGGTCCTCAAACCAGCTGATATGATGGGGACTGTACTAATTGGTGTCTTGCTTTGTTTTTGTAATTTTTCCCAGAAAAACAAACCAACCAGAATCCTGGAGGAGCTGTTCTTGGATTGTATATATATATAATCAGCAACATGAGCGGTGAACTGTAGTCAAAGCTATGGTGTTTGCCACCCAGAACCCCACTCAAAAATTGCTAAGGCTGAAGAAGGCTGCCTTGCCCAGGGGTGTGCCCTGCTGTAGAAGCAGCCTGTATCTACTTGCTGATGGGTTAAGTCCAAAGGCCCCCAGCTCCTTTGCATCCATTTGAGATAATCTGAGGTGTTTCTTAAGGGCCTTCACAGCTTCAGAGTTCTCCCTGAAATGGTTCTTGGTGGCAGCTGCATCACAGCTTAATATTTCCCTCTGCTTAATCCTGTTTCCTTTGCTCCATCCGTTGCAGGTCCTGTTTCAGAAAGCACTTTCTAACAAATCTCTGCACACAAATTTCCAACTCAGGGTCTGTTTCAAACTCTAAGATCCCACCACTATTACCACTACCACGATCACGACCACTACTACAAAATATTTACCAATTATGAATATATGACATTTATTCAAGGAGTTAAAAGTTCTCAAAATCATACATGTGTTTTAAAAATACACGTGCTTACAATTACTTAATAGTAACACCTAACTTTCATTGAGTGCTAAGGAGGTGCCAGCAAGAACTTTGCATACATCAAATCATATTCTTACAACTCCATAAAGAGATTCTATTAATAGCAAGCCAAGATATCATGAGGTTAAATTAATTACCCCAGACTACACAAGATGTAAATGGCATCTGGAATTTAAACACAGTCTCCAAAGCCCGAGCCCTTAGACCACCACTACCACTCTCCTTCCTCTCTACATTGTATGAAGTGACATCATGGTTTGACAAATATTTTTCTTTCTAATCTTATTGTATTCCACTTTTGTATCCTTCCAGTTTTGTTTGATGGAAGAAAGCTTAGGATGCCAAAATGAGGCATTCTCTTTATCAGTATGGACTGTATTTGTCCTTCTAGGCTATTGCTTTCTTCATGGGAGCGCCGTGTTTTGTTTGCCTGAACAGCATAGCCATGATGGTTACAATGTGGTTATCATCTGCTCTGTGTATCAGTTAATATTTGAAACTGTTCAGTTACACTTTTCTCTTTTAAGAAGGCTCAAATTTATAAAGAAGCCCAAAAATTTACCTTAGCTAGTTTGTAGCTTTGTGTTCCTGTAATTCTATGCAGGACCACGGTAATATCTTTTCTAGTATATTTAGTACGTTTGCTAATTAAATATCAAATGAGAGGGGTTGATGCACATGATCAGTGACATGTTTTCATTTCTAATGTTTTCTTTGGCTACATTTTCTACTTTTCTTTGCAACTAATGGGAATGTCAACTGCCGGCCAGAGGCGTAAACACAGAATATCTCTAGCATGTATTTTTCTAACACATATTTTCTCACAAACATGTTTTATGCCTTATTGCTAGCTAATGCTATGAGCCTACTATAATCTGACTCCTTGCCAATCATATGGAGGAGAGTAGGGAAGGCTTACATTGCAGTGGCCATAGTACACCTGGATTATATAGAAATCAAAAGCAACAGAAAAGGAAGATAGTCTTCACTCTCACCAATTTTCAGTTGATTCTTCTATACCAGCTGACTTCTGAACAATAGATTGAATTCCAGCCTCAGATCCTAAATCTTTGTGGGGTCTGTTGTGAAAATGCTTTCTACTGTCATAGATTCTGATAGCTGCCCTCCCTCCTGGAATGCATCACACTCCGGTAGCACTCAGAGCTTTTAGCTTGTTAGTGCAAATCAACTTTTATTGCCTGCATCTGAGAGAAAAGGACAGTGAAATTGCACATCCATACATTATTTTGGCTATTTGTAAAAGGTTAAACAAGAAGAATGGAGGCAAAAATGGCAGCATTTTTCTGAAGGCTTAAGAAATTACTTTGAAACACACATGCACACACACAGATGCACACACAGGCACGCACACACAGGCATACACACCAGCTGCTAGTGGTTTCTGATAGTACACCAAAGACAAACTAAACGTTTGCTAAGTGATTTACTGTCAACATGGCATGGCATTTTGACATGCACTGTTTTTATATTTTCCCATTTCCTGTATGAAATCTGTGGAACTTTTAAAGCTGTTTGACTCCAGAAGCCTGCTTAGCTGGTCTGACAGCTCAAACCCTGCAGACAGTAAGTGGCAAGGGGTGGTAAAGAATTACTGATAAATTGGGAGTTGAGAAGCAAGAGTGATGAGGGAGGCAAGTGTTGCTATTAGAAACTTTGATTTGGGGGTTTATAAAGGTAACTGAATGTGACATTCAGTCATCTCAATTCTGAAATGGGTGAGTGCAAGGATTACAGATGATAGCTTTTAGTGAAGGGCAGAATCTTTTAAATCTTTTATGGCTGAAATTTCAAGGCAAAGTCAAAACTAGATTAGAAGATAATCAATACTCTGAGACTTACTAGGAGGTTCAGAACATTTTTACTCAGAATGCCTATCTTAAGAAATGGCTTTGGAAAACAGCCTCAAATAGAATCCATAAAAGGAGCTTTTTAAAAGAGATAACAGAAAAGTGTATTTTAAAAATACAAAATAAGTGTAATAAACGTCTTATTAGCCCAAAAAAGCATAGTCAAAATGGTTATCTGTATATAATTATGGCACTTCTGATATGCACATGTACAAAGCTTCTGTTGAGTAAATTTGCCTTTACCAGCTTTTCTCACACACACATATTAGAAGATTTAAGCTATTAGAATATATAAAAGCCAACTGTTTTCTTCCAGCCTAGGGGTTTGATGATATATTCTCTAGGCTATGGTTGGAAAAAATTGGCAAGTGTCAGTCTTATAATTGAGCCTTTAGGAGATTTTTGCAAAAACTGTTTCAAATTAAATCTGCTATATGCAAACTTAATTTGAGGTTGCCATCTGAAAATTAATTGTGAGTGAATCTATTGTTATATCTAAAATGCTATGCAATGCCCTGTCTGCTCAATAACACGTATGGAGCCTCTACCCGAAGATAGAACAGCCTTGTGTGTAAATGTGTCCTAAAGCTTCCTCCAACTTACTAGACATTTCTCCTCTCTCCTTCAATTTTCTGCACCAAACTTGCCCAATCTCTTAGGCCATGATGTTGCATCACATCTAAATGATAAAATTTAATAATTCTGATTTTCCACAACAAAACATAGAAACCTCCTTGTATCTATACCTATCCAACCTCATTAGCTATTATTGAGGAAATGTCTTTCATCTATTAAAGGTAAGATTCCCCATCTGCCCTAGCCTTCTCACAGGCTTTGCATCTCTTTCTTAATTGCACCGGACTCTGCATCTGTCTTACCGTTGCCATTAGCAACACACGCAAGTGTCTTTTCTATTCAAGAAGAATCTTCTGAGTCTCGTATTCCCCTCCAGATATCACCTTTTTTTTCTATTCCCCTTTACTGTGTAACTTTTCAAGAAGTGTTTATTCCTGCTATCTCCTTTTTCACACATCACATCTACCCCTCTTTCCACTCCAGTTTGGGCTACATCTTTCCTTCCTACCCCCTTGTGAAGCTATTTATTCCAAGGTTGCCGATCATGTCTCTGCTGTTAAGAAGTAGACTTCTTTTTTGTTCTGATTTTATCTGCCTTTCGGCAATATTCAGCAGGGTAAATCGCTTTATTTCTTGAAATATTATCTTCCCTCAGCTTCCAGGATACTATCCTCTCATGGTTTTTCTCTGACATTTTTTACCTCACTCTCTCAGTTTCTTTTGGTTTTGTCATTTCATTTTATTTTTTTTTCCTGATGCCCCCGCTCACTATACTTCTCTCAATAGCTTTCTCATCAATTCCTGTGACTTAAAATATCATTTTATCTCCAGCCCAAACCTTTCTTCTCAGCTCCAAAATCAAATATTCAACTACAGCTTGACAACTCCAATTGGAAGACTCACAATCATCTCCAACGAAACACTTCAAAATGGCTTCCTTGATTACAACCTCTCCACACTGATTTCTTGCCCACACTTCATCTTCTCACTAAATGGTACCATCTACCCATTTGTTCAAGCCCAAAGGCAAAAAATCACTCCTGATATCTCTCTCTGCATAATTTCCTACATTCAACTATTGGCAAACATTGACACTTTTTCCTGCAAAGTGTATTTAAAATCTATTTGTCCACCTTGATCACGATTTTCATTACCCCAGTCCAATTTCTATCACCTCTTGCCTGGTTCAGTGCAATCCTCTCCACTGTGTCTCCCTGCCTACTTGCTTACCCTACTACAACTCAACAACCACCAGATCAGTTGTTTTAAATATAAATCACCTCCTATCACTTCCCTGCCTATAAAGCCATTAATGACCTTCCATTGCACTTGAATAAAATCCAGATTCTTCACATGGCTGGAACTGTTTTCTCCACTTGCAACATGTTTTGTCCCCAGTTTTCATTCTTTAGACATAAGCAGATGTCACCTTCTCAGAGAAAACTTCCCTCACTACCTAGATTTATAGATATCAGGACTTTGTTTATTTATCTCATGGTAACCACTGTAATAGTTTGTCTTCATTTGTTGATATCAAGCTGCAGAGAACAGGGACCATGATTGTTTTATACATTAATACATTATTCAGTGCCTATTTTCACATCTGAAACATTTAATAGTTCAATAATTATATTTCAATTAAGGGAGAAAGAAAGGGAGGAAAGGGGGGCAAATGAAGGAATATCATTTCTAGCAAATTTACCAGCACTTGCTCCAAATCATTTTTAAAATTAGAAATACCTTGGGATCAGTAAGTTATTTGGCCTGATGACACATTTCACTGAAGCAAGAGTTGTATGTCATTTATGTCTCCCGTGTTTCAGTCCACAACTTCTTCAATTATAGCACATAGTCTCTCTCTATATCTATTACTCTAAAATCCATTTAATCAGCTTAATTTATCAAAATGGTCATTCAATTGCCTTTCTTAGAGCAAACCTGAATTTCATATGCATTTTTGTTTCAAGTAAAATATAAGTACTACTATATTTATAATTTAAAAAAATAGCCTTATTTAAGCAATTAATCTTTATACTTTGTATTCAGTTTTAAGAGCTCATCAGATTTTTTTTTTTTTTTTTTTTTTTTTTTTTTTTTTGAGATGGACTCTTGCTCTATCGCCCAGGCTGGAGTGCAGTGGCGCGATCTCTGCTCACTGCAAGCTCCGCCTCCCGGGTTCACACCATTCTCCTGCCTCAGCCTCCTGAGTAGTTGGGACTACAGGTGCCTACCACCACACCCCACTAATTTTTTTGTATTTTTGTTTTTTTTGGTTTTTTTTTAGTAGAGATGGGGTTTCACCGTGTTAGCCAGGATGGTCTTGATCTCCTGACTTCGTGATCCGCCCACCTCAGCCTCCCAAAGTGCTGGGATTATAGGCGTGAGCCACCGCGCCCGGCCGAGCTCATCAGATGTTAAACATAATGAAGGTTTTTTTGGTTGTTGTTGTTGTTGTTTGTTTTTTGTTTTTTTTGAGACGGAGTCTCGCTCTGTTGCCCAGGCTGGAGTGCCATGGTGTGATCTCGGCTCACCACAACCTCCACCTCCCAGGTTCAAGCAATTCTCCTGCCTCAGCCTCCTGAGTAGCTGGGATTACAGGTGCCTGCCACCATGCCCATCTAATTTTTGTACTTTTAGTAGAGTCGGAGTTTCACTATGTTTGCCAGGCTGGTCTCAAACTCCTGACCTCATGATCTACCCACCTCACCCTCCCAAAGTGCTGGGATTATAGGCATGAGCCACCGCACCCAGCCGAAATTTTTCTAAATTCTACTATTTTCATGGATTTTATCTTTCCTTAGCAGTTGATTTATATGATGTATGTATATAAATCTGACAATATAAATCTAAGAATGACTAAACTGAATCACAAGTTTTCAGACAAGTTAATAACAATCCCTTTTGGCAACTGAATATTATTAAATATTATTAGATGCTAGAGGCAGCTCATATTGAATGAAATTAGATAAAAATTATTGGATGAGGTTTAAACTTCAGTGTGTGATATGCATCCATCTGAAATTAGATGGCCTATATCAAAAGCAAACCAGTGTTGGCCTGATGAGGATCCAGAAGAGACCTCATGGGCATTATCATATGCCTCCACTTCTTTGCCCTTTTCATTTGGTTTTGGAGTGATCAAAAGGTAGTATTGATATGTGACTCCTATTTCCATCAAATCAAAGTTTTTTCCTCCTGTGATCCCAATGGTCAATGTCTGCATCATCAATTGGATTGGACACTTCATCAATATGACTTAGCAATGAAGAAGTCACTATTAATCAGATCTACATTTCTAAATGCTATTTCTGGCTTACCATAATATCTGGCTTAAATTGATTTTATTTTGGTAAATGTTTGCCTGGACTCAGCATTTTATATGAGAAAAACAGGGACATCTACCAAAGTACAAAATGTTATTTAATAGGGACTAAAGCAAAGAACCTTATAGCTGCTAATATAAAACTGCTTGTTGCATGCCGTGTCGTATTTCTGTATCATAACTTTAAGCTTTCTACCTAGACTACATATTCTCTAAGACAGTTTTATAAATTCCATTATTATCAAAAATATTCACCACCTCTCACTTTCAGGTCCTTTTGATGGGAGAATTATTCTTCCTAACCCACTGATAATTGGCTTGTAGGTGTGACTTCATTTGGCTAACGAAGTGTGAGTTAATATAACAAGCCACTTCCAAAGAGAAATTTTAAAAGCCAGTACATTCCTGCCACTGCTGTTTTTTCATTACAATGAGACCAGCATGAGTGGACAGGGGCTACTCCTTCAGCCTAAATTGCAACATGAAGATTGGTATGCAGATGAGTCAAAAAGCTAACCTTCACAGTTATATGAAACAAATAACAAATAAACCTTTGCCTCGTAAACGTCTAAGATTATTTTGTGCTTCGTTGTTATTGGAGTGAAACCTTTCTTAAACTGCCTAATATAAATGTTTTCTATGTTATCCACTATATAAACTCAAATCCTGGGAGAACATATAGTGCAGAGAAGATGATAATGTGTTGAACAAATAAATGAACCAGAAAAAGAGACACTAGTATGCATTTCTATTAATTATAACATTTTATTCCTTTACAAATCACCACCGGTACTGAGATACAATATATTCTAGTTAATAAGACAGAATTCAGTTCCAAAGTAGAGATCTATTTAATAATAAGCTGTTACTACCATGGTACTCTAAGAAAACAAGCAGCAATTTTCATACTTATTTGAAATGTGAAGGTTTTAAACACAGCAAAATATTCAAGTATGTAAATAATAAGTATTGCTTAATAAAGATCCCAGTTCTTTTAGATTAAATGGTAATCTCTATCTCTTAATTTTTCCTGCCTGGGGAGCTTTGATAAAAATAAATGATGTTGTGCTGCCTATGCTTATCAGACATGACCACACATTTCCTAAGGAGAATATTTGTCAGGCACCCCTACTGCCTGTGCGGGTTATATTCAATGTCGCCTTATTAGCCCTGCACTTAATTTTGGTAAATTCTTCAGTATCTTTATTTCCCCAGTTTGAATATGTTAAACTATTAGTATTTCACAATCTGTCACAAGCAGCATATTGATGAACTTCTGTGCTCCATGATCTTTGTAACCCCCTTCATTATCTTCATAGGATTGAATACTGGTCTCAGAGTCTTGCCTATTTCACTTAAGTGTCCTACTGAGGATAATCATGCACTCCAACCATACACAATGTAGAAGTTTAAGTCTGGATTTAAATATCACAGGATAAGAAAGAAATCTGGCAATCATGTAGTAAAGTTCATCTGTTTGTACAAATGTATTCGGATCTAAATTAGGATATCTAAAAGATTGGCCACTAAAGGTTTTGTTCATGGTTCTAATTTGGTCATCTTGAAGATTTCTGGATGATCACAGCCAGCCATCAACAGAGAGTGATCTTTGGCCTCTTCTATAAGAAATACGTAACTATAACCAAACACAGTACTAGGGAGAAAAAGAAACATCTATCTTTTGGCTGTCTCTGACAGTTGGGTCAGGAGCCAAGTTAACAACAAAGCAAACTTTCTGTACACCCCTGCCTTTGATCTTTAGCAATGCTTGGTTGGAATAAAAGTTGGATTCAACTATGATAAAAATGAAGCTACTTATTCAGTCATATAGTAATGTGAGTGAGTTACTGTTCTGGATAAAAGAGTACGCCTCTGGCTGTTATTAGTTTAAAAATATATAAGAAAAAGAAAGAAACAAGTCTGGCTTCAAATAATACTGAATACCCAGTTACCAATTAATCATTTGAATTCCAAATGTCTCATTTGGGGAAGTTTGACAATAGCACGCAGGCTCAGTGCTCCTGTTTATGTCTTCTAACAAAGCACAGTGAAGACCTTCTTTGGTACTTTTCCTTTCGCTGTATTCCACTCATGATTGAAAGCAAGTAATCTATAATGAATGATGCCTTCAAGGTAGAGTGAGATAGCTACCTGCTTTTACAGCTGGTAATGGAAAAACTGCAGACATGGTGGGTAATAACTCACCTCATTAACTTTCTCAGACATGTTTTAGGCAATAAACACCTGATTTAAACCTTTGGGTGTACAAAAACACCTTGGCCTTCAGTGGAACATATCTGCTTCCATAATACCCCAACTCATGACACTTTTCCTATTTCTTGTCCAGTGCATTAGGACATTCTGAGTATGGCTTTACCTTCTATGGGATAATATACATGAGCCACTTTGCCTTGTTCTCATCATGTACTCCCATATAATGAGAAAAATGCATTTGAACAGTTTGTGAATGGAACACAAAGGTAATTTCAGAACATTTGTCTGTAATTGGAGAGCCCCTGCCTATGAAGCTACAAAGACTGGGTGACCCTGCAGACCCTTGTTTTGAGAAAGTAGCTAAAATGCTTACATTCAGCCACTGTCAATGCGTGAAGGTTTGCTCTGCTGGGTGATTCAGAGAATAGCAATAATGATGATAATGACAATGATGATCATAATGAAAGTGGGAGTTGTTTTGGAAAACAATATTCCATCTCACTCAAAGCCAACAAAACAGGGACACCAGGGGAGTCTGTCAGGCATAGAAACTGTCTACAAAGAGTCTCTGTTCCTACTGCCCTTTTCAGCCAACCCAGCTACTGTGACTCAGCTCCCTCAAACACCTTCCCGCTATCCATGAAGCCCAAAATATTTGTTTTTATCAAAAACAAAGCAAAGCAAAACAACCAAGACTTCCCTTCCATTAGCACTATCTTGACAGAAGAGAAAACTTATTGCCAGGGCTGTCCCCATCCAGTCGACTTCTAGGTTGGATTTCCTACCAGGAGGGAAGCTTCAGAAAGTTCTTTTCCTAGTTTCTCAAGAGTGCAAAAGTCTTTCCTCTATCCTCAGGACTATAACCCTAACGGTTTGCTTATTGATAAGAAGACAAATCTATACTCACAGCAGGTAATGGATGTATTCAAACATAATAAGGGACCTCAAATTGACACTGAACATTAAACTGGGGAAGCAAGAAATAACTTGTACATTCTCAAGTTTAGGTAGGAAATCCAAATATACTCTATACCGCACACAAGGAACTCGAGGAAATCGTTAAGTTAATCTTTTTTTGACCTTCTAACATCTCTTTTTTCTTCTTCCCCTTTGAAAATGTATATTCTTTCTCCAGCCATCCAGCTATCTCTTCTAGGACTGTGCTCTCAGTCAGCTTTCAGTATAAGGTAATAAAATACAGAACTATGGTAGGATTAATATTGACCAAGATTCAAGCTACAAGGCTGGATAGTACCACCAAGAAAGACCTAGAACATTCTCATCATGTCAGAAGTAATAGCCCTCTGCTTTTTCTTTCTTTTAACTTGTTTCATAATAAACTATAACATTAAAAACAAACGAATCGATCTAACACTCTGATTATCTCCCAGTCCACCTGGCAAATATATCACTGTGGTATCAATGATCTACCCCTACAGCAGCTACTCCCCAAGATATATCAAATTATTACCAGGTGCTATGAAAGTGTCATGCCCAGGCTTTTGTCCTCTTGGGATTTATAACTGGGAAGGCAAGAGGGAAAGGAATGCGCAGTTGCATGACAAAGAAAACCACCAGCAAAGAAAATGCAAATGACTATGATTAAATGTAAATGGGTTGGGTAACATCGCTTCAGAAGATTAAAGGAGTACATAAAACTGGAACATGGCAGATGGGGCCATAGTAGAGTAAGCAGTTCTGGAAAGAGAGAGCAGAGGGTTGAGTAATGCCATGGAAGAAACAAAACAAGCAAGGCAGAGAAGCAGGAGGACTGTCCTGGCATAGCTGTATAGTACACTCAAATTAAATTTGAAGGTTCATATATAGAACTAACTAGAATTAATGTGGAAAGTATATTTGGATTAGATTGTTTAAGAACTTAAATTCCAAATAATGAGCCATCCTATATTTTCCCTTCCAATTCATTTGACAAAAAGAAAGGGAAGACAGGAAGGAAGCCAGGAAGGCAGGAAGGCAGGAAGGAAGGTAAGAAGGCAGAAAGGCAGGAAGGAAGGCAGGAAGAGCAGTTTGGGCATTCTCTGGTCAAATTAGACAAGGAAACTCTTGATTAAACTAAGTATAAAAGATTTATTGGCCAGAATGTTGGCCTCTGTTCTATAAGTGCTTTGGGAGGCGGAGGCAGGAGGATCACTTGAACCCAAGAGTTCAAGAACAGCCTGGGCAATATAGTGAAACCCCATCTCTACAAAAATGAAAAGAAAAATAGGTGGGCTTGGAGGTACACACTTACAGTCTCAGCTATGTGGGAGGCTGAGGCAGGAGCATCGCTTAAGCCCAGGAGTCCAAGGTTATACTGAATTATAATTGTGCCACTGCACACCACCTTGGGCAACACAGCAAGACCCTAGCTCAAGGGGGACAAAAAAAGATTTATTTGTAACTGGAAGTTCATGTGCAGGATGGGTCTCTGAAAAGAGAGTAGAGAGTGTACAGTGTTTCCCAAGGCTGCCTTCTCATGACTTTCACATTCTATGGAAAGACTGATCTACCCAGTTTCTCACTATGCATCTGCAGAAATCAAAGGACAAAAGAAGCAAGCGATCTAGCAGAGGCCAGCTGGCTGTAGGGAGCAGGGCCAGACCTGAAACCTGTCTCCTGGCTTTCAGTCAAGGGATGTTTCCATTATTCTACCATGCCATTTATTAATAATTAACAGTGTAGGTGCTGTCTTGCATTGTTGGAATAAGTTATCTGAATGGGCAAGAGTGATGAGATAGAAGTAATTTTTCTAGTTCTTTTGCTTAGGTAAGTGTTACTGATATATTTTTGGTGTGAGGAGCATCTTCTTTTTTCCTCCCTCTAGCCCTGAGATCTCTGTAGGATTTATGGTGGGATGAGGTTGAGGGGAACCATGGCGCATTGCGAGATGCAGAGCAGAGAGCCAGCTCTATAGTTCAATATAATAGAAAGCAAGCAGTGATAATAGATGGGTGTTTCTACCCTTCCTCCTAAGAAGCCAAAGATGAGTGTGACCCTAACAGCTGACTTGGGGTACCATCCTGTATGACTCATTACCTGTTCCTTTGTCCTGTATTGCAATAAAAGCTTAATGTTTATTTGTCACGGTAGAAGCTCAAAGTATTATGACATAGCCTCAATAAATCTATCCTGATCACTGGGCCTGGAATAGGAACAGCACCGGTCTACAGCTCCCAGCGTAAGCGATGCAGAAGACGGGTGATTTCGGCATTTCCATCTGAGGTACTGGGTTCATCTCATTAGGGAGTGCCAGACAGTGGGCACAGGTCACTGGGTGCAGCGCACCGTGTGCAAGCCGAAGCAGGGCGAGGCATTGCCTCACTTGGGAAGCCCAAGGGGTCAGGGAGTTCCCTTTCCCAGTCAAAGAAAGGGGTGACAGACGGCACCTGGAAAATTGGGTCACTCCCACCCGTATACTGCGCTTTTCTGACGGGCTTAAAAAACGGCGCATCAGGAGATTATATCCTGCACCTGGCTTGGAGGGTCCTACGCCCACGGAGTCTCTCTGATTGCTAGCACAGCAGTCTGAGATCAAACTGCAAGGCGGCAGCAAGGCTGGGGGAGGTGCGCCCACCATTGCCCAGGCTTGCTTACATAAACAAAGCAGCCGGGAAGCTCGAACTGGGGGGAGCCCACCACAGCTCAAGGAGGCCTGCCTGCCTCTGTAGGCTCCACCTCTGGAGGCAGGGCACAGACAAACAAAAAGACAGCAGTAACCTCTGCAGACTTAAATGTCCCTGTCTGACAGCTTTGAAGAGAGCATTGGTTCTCCCAGTATGCAGCTGGAGATCTGAGAACGGGCAGACTGCCTCCTCAAGTGGGTCCCTGACCCCTGACCCCTGAGCAGCCTAACTAGGAGGCACCCCCCCAGCAGGGGCACACTGACACCTCACATGGCCGGGTACTCCAACAGACCTGCAGCTGAGGGTCCTGTCTGTTAGAAGGAAAACTAACAAACAGAAAGGACATCCACACCAAAACCCATCTGTACATCACCATCATCAAAGACCAAAAGTAGATAAAACCACAAAGATGGGGAAAAAACAGAGCAGAAAAACTGGAAACTCTAAAAAGCAGAGCGACTCTCCTCCTGCAAAGGAACGGAGTTCCTCACCAGCAACGGAACAAAGCTGGACGGAGAATGACTTTGACGAGCTGAGAGAAGAACACTTCAGACGATCAAATTACTCCGAGCTACTGGAGGGCAAGGCAAAGAAGTTGAAAACTTTGAAAAAATTTAGAAGAATGTATAACTAGAATAAACAATACAGAGAGGTGCTTAAAGGAGCTGATGGAGCTGAAAACCACGGCTTGAGAACTACGTGAAGAATGCAGAAGCCTCAGGAGCCGATGTGATCAACTGGAAGAAAGGGTATCAGCGATGGAAGATGAAATGAATGAAATGAAGTGAGAAGAGAAGTTTAGAGAAAAAAGAATAATAAGAAACGAGCAAAGCCTCCAAGAAATATGGGACTATGTGAAAAGACCAAATCTACGTCTGATTGGTGTAACTGAAAGTGACGGGGAGAATGGAACCAAGTTGGAAAACACTCTGCAGGATATTATCCAGGAGAACTTCCCCAATCTAGCAAGGCAGGCCAACATTCAGATTCAGGAAATACAGAGAACGCCACAAAGATACTCCTCGAGAAGAGCAACTCCAAGACACATAATTGTTAGATTCACCAAAGTAGAAATGAAGGAAAAAATGTGAAGGGCAGCCAGAAAGAAAGGTCGGGTTACCCTCAAAGGGAAGCCCATCAGACTAACAGCAGATATCTCGGCAGAAACTCTACAAGCCAGAAGAGAGTGGGGGCCAATATTCAACATTCTTAAAGAAAAGAATTTTCAACCCAGAATTTCATATCCAGCCAAACTAAACTTCATAAGTGAAGGAGAAATAAAATACTTTACAGACAAGCAAATGCTGAGAGATTTTGTCACCACCAGGCCTGCCCTAAAAGAGCTCTGAAGGAAGCGCTAAACATGGAAAGGAACAACCGGTACCAGCCGCTGCAAAATCATGCCAAAATGTAAAGACCATCGAGACTAGGAAGAAACTGCATCAACTAACGAGCAAAATCACCAGCTAACATCATAATGACAGGATCAAATTCACACATAACAACATTAACTTTAAATGTAAATGGACTAAATGCTCCAATTAAAAGACACAGACTGGTAAATTGGATAAAGAGTCAAGACCCATCAGTGTGCTGTATTCAGGAAACCCATCTCACGTGCAGAGACACACATAGGCTCAAAATAAAAAGGATGGAGGAAGATCTACCAAGCAAATGGAAAACGCAAAAAGGCAGGGGTTGCAATCCTAGTCTCTGATAAAACAGACTTTAAACCAACAAAGATCAAAAGAGACAAAGAAGGCCATTACATAATGGTAAAGGGATCAATTCAACAAGAAGAGCTAACTATCCTAAATATACATGCACCCAATACAGGAGCACCCAGATTCATAAAGCAAGTCCTGAGTGACCTACAAAGAGACTTAGACTCCCACACCTTAATAATGGGAGATTTTAACACCCCACTGTCAACATTAGACAGATCAACGAGACAGAAAGTCAACAAGTATACCCAGGAATTGAACTCAGCTCTGCACCAAGCGGACCTAATAGACATCTACAGAACTCTCCACCCCAAATCAACAGAATATACAATTTTTTCAGCACCCCACCACACCTATTCCAAAATTGACCACATACTTGGAAGTAAAGCTCTCCTCAGCAAATGTAAAAGAACAGAAATTATAACAAACTATCTCTCAGACCACAGTGCAATCAAACTAGAACTCAGGATTAAGAATCTCACTCAAAACCGCTCAACTACATGGAAACTGAACAACCTGCTCCTGAATGACTACTGGGTACATAAGGAAATGAAGGCAGAAATAAAGATGTTCTTTGAAACCAATGAGAACAAAGACACAACATACCAGAATCTCTGGGATGCATTCAAAGCAGTGTGTAGAGGGAAATTTATAGCACTAACTGCCCACAAGAGAAAGCAGGAAAGATCCAAAACTGACACCCTAACATCACAATTAAAGGAACTAGAAAAGCAAGAGCAAACACATTCAAAAGCTAGCAGAAGGCAAGAAATAACTAAAATCAGAGCAGAACTGAAGGAAATAGAGACACAAAAAACTCTTCAAAAAATTAATGAATCAAGGAGCTCGTTTTTTGAAAGGATCAAAATTGATAGACTGCTAGCAAGACTAATAAAGAAGAAAAGACAGAAGAATCAAATAGATGCAATAAAAAATGATAAAGGGGATATCACCACCAATCCCACAGAAATACAAACTACCATCAGCGAATACTACAAACACCTCTACGTAAATAAAATAGAAAAACTAGAAGAAATGGATAAATTTCTGGACACATACACTCACCCAAGACTAAACCAGGAAGAAGTTGAATCTCTGAATAGACCAATAACAGGATCTGAAATTGTGGCAATAATCAATAGCTTACCAACAAAAAAGAGTCCAGGACCAGATGGATTCACAGCCGAATTCTACCAGAGGTACAAGGAGGAACTGGTACCATTCCTTCTGAAATTATTCCAATCAATAGAAAAAGAGGGAATCCTCCCTAACTCTTTTTATGAGGCCAGCATCATCCTGATACCAAAGCCAGGCAGAGACACAACCAAAAAAGAGAATTTTAGACCAATATCTTTGATGAACATTGATGCAAAAATCCTCAATAAAATACTGGCAAAACGAATCCAGCAGCACATCAAAAAGCTTATCCACCATGATCAAGTGAGTTTCATCCCTGGGATGCAAGGCTGGTTCAATATATGCAAATCAATAAATGTAATTCAGCATATAAACAGAACCAAAGACAAAAACCACATGATTATCTCAATAGATGCAGAAAAGGCCTTTGACAAAATTCAACAACCCTTCATGCTAAAAACTCTCAATAAATTAGGTATTGATGGGACGTATTTCAAAATAATAAGAGCTATCTATGACAAACCCACAGCCAATATCAAACTGAATGGGCAAAAACTGGAAGCATTCCCTTTGAAAACTGGCACAAGACAGGGATGCCCTCTCTCACCACTCCTATTCAACATAGTGTTGGAAGTTCTGGCCAGGGCAATTAGGCAGGAGAAGGAAATAAAGCGTATTCAATTAGGAAAAGAGGAAGTCAAATTGTCCCTGTTTGCAGATGACATGATTGTATATCTAGAAAACCCCATTGTCTTAGCCCAAAATCTCCTTAAGCTGATAAGCAAGTTCAGCAAAGTCTCAGGATACAAAATCAATGTACAAAAATCACAAGCATTCTTATACACCAACAACAGACAAACAGAGAGCCAAATCATGAGTGAACTCCCATTCACAATTGATTCAAAGAGAATAAAATACCTAGGAATCCAACTTACAAGGGATGTGAAGGACCTCTTCAAGGAGAACTACAAACCACTGCTCAAGGAAATAAAAGAGGATACAAACAAATGGAAGAACATTCCATGCTCATGGGTAGGAAGAATCAATATCGTGAAAATGGCCATACTGCCCAAGGTAATTTATAGATTCAATGCCATCCCCATCAAGCTACCAATGACTTTCTTCACAGAACTGGAAAACACTACTTTAAAGTTCATATGGAACCAAAAAAGAGCCCACATCGCCAAGTCAATCCTAGGCCAAAAGAACAAAGCTGGAGGCATCACACTACCTGACTTCAAACTATACTACAAGGCTACAGTAACCAAAACAGCATGGTACTGGTACCAAAACAGAGATATAGATGAATGGAACAGAATAGAGCCCTCAGAAATAATGCCGCATATCTACAACTATCTGATCTTTGACAAACCTGAGAAAAACAAGCAATGGGGAAAGGATTCCCTATTTAATAAATGGTGCTGGGAAAACTGGCTAGCCATATGTAGAAAGCTGAAACTGGATCCCTTCCTTACACCTTATACAAAAATCAATTCAAGATGGATTAAAGATTTAAACGTTAGACTTAAAACCATAAAAACACTAGAAGAAAACCTAGGCATTACCATTCAGGACATAGGCATGGGCAAGGACTTCATGTCTAAAACACCAAAAGCAATGGCAACAAAAGCCAAAATTGACAAATGGGATCTAATTAAACTAAAGAGCTTCTGCACAGCAAAAGAAACTACCGTCAGAGTGAAATGGCAACCTACAAAATGGGAGAAAATTTTCACAACCTACTCGTCTGACAAAGGGCTAATATCCAGAATCTACAATGAACTCAAACAAATTTACAAGAAAAAAACAACCCCATCAAAAAGTGGACAAAGGACATGAATAGACACTTCTCAAAAGAAGGCATTTATGCAGCCAAAAAACACATGAAAAAAGGCTCACCATCACTGGCCATCAGAGAAATGCAAATCAAAACCACAATGAGATACCATCTCACACCAGTTAGAATGGCAATCATTAAAAAGTCAGGAAATAACAGGTGCTGGAGAGGATGTGGAGAAATAGGAACACTTTTACACTGCTGGTGGGACTGTAAACTGGTTCAACCATTGTGGAAGTCAGTGTGGCGATTCCTCAGGGATCTAGAACTAGAGATACCATTTGACCCAGCCATCCCATTACTGGGTATATACCCAAAGGACTATAAATCATGCTGCTATGAAGACACATGCACATGTATGTTTATTGCGGTATTATTCCCAATAGCAAAGACTTGGAACCAACCCAAATGTCCAACAATGATAGACTGGATTAAGAAAATGTGGCACATATACACCATGGAATACTATGCAGCCATAAAAAATGATGAGTTCATGTCCTTTGTAGGGACATGGATGAAATTGGAGATCATCATTCTCAGTAAACTATCGCAAGAACAAAAAACCAAATACCGCATATTCTCACTCATAGGTGGGAATTAAACAATGAGAACACATGGACACAGGAAGGGGAACATCACACTCTGGGGACTGTTGTGGGGTGGGGGGAGGGGGGAGGGATAGCACTGGGAGACATACCTAATGCTGGATGACGAGTTAGTGGGTGCAGTGCACCAGCATGGCACATGTATACACATGTAACTAACCTGCACATTGTGCACATGTACCCTAAAACTTAAAGTATAATAATAATCAATAAATAAATTTAAAAAAAATAATAATAATAAATATAAATCTATCCTCTCATTTATGATGTAAGGTTCTCCTAACTTTTTTATTGACATTTTAATTTTAACTTAATGTCATGTATAAAAATTGCTAACATTTTTTAAATTTTATTTACTTAAATAATTAAAATTTTTAAGAAACATAAACATGGACCAAACCTTTGTGAGATTTCTGAGAAAACATACAGAGCAAAATATTGAAAAGTGTCACATAGATGATACAATCAAATAGAAACTCTGCTGTGAAATCAGTAAAGAATAGTGATAAAAGAAAAGCCTAAAAAAAAGAAGAGCATAACACTATAAAAGTTATCGAACAGATCTAGTCCATGTAAATAATTTCCAACTACGATATGTATGAGAGAATTAACTAGAATATGTGATTCATTGGTAAGCACTGCCTTGTACATGTTATCAAGTTTGAATCACCAAAGTATTTGCTTTACTTGAAAAGAAGATGTTTGTTTTTATAATAAAGAATTAAAATATGTAAATGAATATATTTTATTGATAATGTTTAAGACATGCTAGAATGTTATGTTATGCTATCTATAATTGTTTAAATTGTAAGACGCTATAGTACAGATTATTCTCAATAACTTCTATGTCACAGGATTTAAATTTGGCCATCAATGTTTAATGTGTTCAATCTTTCAGTGCAGCCATCTATAACACTGTAGTCTGTAAGGAATGGGGAAGCACAGAGAGTTTTAAGCAAAAAGTAATGTGGAGAAAACTGGACTTTAGTAAGAGTAGCCTGATGACAAAATGCTAGATAAATTAGAAAAGGGAATGTGACTAGTATCTCCCTACAGTGAAACGACCCTCATTAGCCAACTCTCAGCATTTTCTTATCATTTCCATCACCAGTCTACTGACATTCCCTTTTTGTTTTGTTTTGTTCTACACAAATTCATATTTGCCCCAGTCATAGTGGAGAATGACAATTTGAATAGCTAGTTTATAAAAACTTCAGGAAGACACTGTGCTGATTTTTTTTTAACTCCTGCCCTGACTTTTCCAGAAGATTTATGAATGTGAAGTTTAAAGCTGCTCTCCAGCTCTCCCAGGTAGTAACTGCATCCCCTATTACTGACACTATCTCAGCATCAGTACAGAATATACGAGGCTGCCAGCTCTTTCTTCTCTTGTGTCTTTGATCACTACTCCTCTAAATAATATAAGAGATTTTCAATATTGGGCTTTAGTGTCAATTTATCACAAAGGAAACACTGTTGCTTGTTATTGATTCAAGCTGCATTTCTATGGAGGCCTATTTTTATACCAAAATTATTACCAACCTGGTAAATGATGAGGCTTTCGTGTTTTCAAGTGATGTCACGTCACTGGGAAAAATTCACCTGAAGAATACCTTTAGGTATCAAGCCTTTGAAAGTTCTCTAGACTAAGCAATCTCCAATTTCCTACTTCCCAAATAAATGAGAAAAGATTCTTTTAATTTAAGCTTTAAAGTTTCTATTCAGTTCCCTGGGCAAAAGGTAGAGAGGAAAGAAAAATAGAGGCTTTCAGGGAGATCTGTATCTTTTTTGCATAAGATGAACCAACCAATGGCATTAGTTTAAACTGTGGCAGTTTTACAAGCTAGCTGATTCAAGACATTTCAGCCTAACCTCGGATGACACCAAACTCCGTGAGTTCCCTGAAACTTTTAAGTAACGGTGATTAACATGAAAATGAAACTGACTAAATAATGGAGCCCTTGTATGTTAATGACACAAGATAATAATCCTTTTCTACCTAGCAGACACAGAGGAGTAAACCACTATTAGGGTTTTGTATTTTTATTATTCTCTCCCTCCCTTTCCCTCTTTCTCTCTTTCTTTCCTTTCTAACATTAAATATTAAAGATTTCCTGAGGATTCTCCTCCCAGAAGTGATGAAAAAAATCAGCATACAGATTTGAAGATATATTGTTATCATGGGGTTTTGCAAAGCAGTATTCAATCCTCACATACACACACAAAATAATTGCTCTGTTCATTGTACCACTGAAGAAAATAGACTCCTCATTCAGTCTAAGCTCCATCTGGTCTAAATAACATCTCAGCTGGTGTTGCTTTCTGTCTAATGAGGAAGAACCTCAATATATAGATGGGTTTTCCCATATTTTTGCAAGCTAATTAAAGGCAGAAATTTATCTAAAATGCAATGAATGGAAAAACTAAAGAGGTTAACTCACCACTCTTGTTTTTTTTTTAATATTTCCAAATTGCTTAAAACTATTTAAAAGGCTTTAAAACTTTGAATTTATAAAATGCTTAAAAACCTTCTAATTGTGTATAATCCAGCTACCATTTAGTAATAATCACATTTTCTATAAAACCTATTTTAGACCTGGGAAGTCAGCAAGTACATTATTTAAACCATCTAATGGTATACTGTTTGTGAAGGGTCAATGTCTATTAAACCATTATTTTTCATTCACCACAAAGTTTGAAAGCTGTGAATTTGAAATAATCTTCTCAGCAAAGAAGAATGAAAAAAATGCCTGTGTTTAAAAAAGAGCTTTGCTGTTGGGTAGAATTTAAAACATGTTTTGAATTTGATTGGTGACCTCAAGAAATAGAGAAAAATCTAGTGTTGGCTTCTAATCAGTAAGTAATTCACACTTCAGACACCTTCCTAGCTGATCCCTGGTGGACTGGACATCTTTGAACAAAGATTCCTAAGGTCTCATTAGAGCTTTATCTTTCTGAAAGTGAAATCATTTCCCAGATATGAGAGAAGGCACAGAAGAGCACTGGGGGAATATGTGGTTGGTAAGTGAGTTGCCCAGTTAAAGACTTTAAATGGAGTTGATGAGTATATGGAAAAATGCATTGCACACATAGATTAATTTTAAAAAGTAGATTAAATGGAGGACAACATACGTGACATCGAGTGTGCTAGCATAATACAGGTTTTTTTTTCCTATATATACTCAGGTGACAATATCAGAGAATCTTATATGAAAAATAGATTTCTGATTGTCATTGAATATATACCAACACATAGACTAGGTAGCAAAGTTAACTTGAAATTTTGAACAAGAAAGTAAATTTTATATCCTCTGGGACTTGATGACATGAGATTAATGTTCATAATGAGATAATGGAAATGTATCACTTCTTCTAAAGATATAGTTTTGGTAGAAGAAGTTCATTAAGAGTAGCAGAATCTGAAGCATCTGCAGCCATGACCACGTAAGAAACAGGCCATGTGGCCAATAGAAACTTCGAAAATTTTATTGGCCTAGTGATACTTTCCATGCCCCTGGATTAGGTGATGTCCTAGACAAAAGCTGACAGAGTAATCACCAAATATTTTATTACTACCTATAGGACAATAAACTCCTAAGTTTCTTCCCTATATGACCTCTTTCCAATACTACCGTTTCAACATCTATATGTAGTGAAAACCTGTTTCTCTGAAAAGTCACCTTTAATATTCTCAATAGTACATGGCAAGACTCTTATTCTCTATTCCAAGTCTCAGAAATTCTAAATATAGTTTGTAGCATAAAAGATTCTTCTTACCTTCTCTCCTATAGCTTTGTTTATTAAATGTGTTTTAAGAAGAGAAAGTGAAGAGAAAAGTAAGATGGGGATTTGACTATGACTGCTTGAAAAGACACATTCTAATTCAATAAAATAGATTGGAAAAAAGAACAACTAAATTGAATATGGTAATATCTATGTTGTCTAAATAATAAAAGAGATAATCAAATTAAGTATTTGGCACAGATTTGCTATAGTCAACACTTAACAAATGATCCCTGCTACCTCCACATTCGCTTTCCAAATACTAGTTCCAACATTTGAACAGAGGCAAGAAATTTCAACTCTGCTGGGAAAATAAATAAAAAATTTGTAAAATTCTTTGCCTTTTTACGAAGTTACAATCTCACAGAAGACAAAAAGGTAAGGCAAAAAATAATAATTATGTAGTATATTATTTTGTTTAATGAAGAAAATAAAATTGGATTTAATTCAAACGTACAGAAATTTGAGTAGGAATAATAATATTAACCAGGACTTTGTGATAATGAGCAAAGATAACACTAGATGTGGTTGGACTTAAACACAGTGTAATAGAGTGGAAGTATATGACTGGAGTTGGAAAGACCTGCAGTATTTACTTACTTTCTTTAAATTGTAGTTTCCTCATCAATAAAATAAGAATGCCAGCTTTCAAAGTCACTGTAAGGATTAAATCAGATACTGTTGGCAAAAGCTAGGTAGCATATAGTAAATACCAACAACTCAAGTTTACTTTCCCTGTTGGTTAGGAGCATACATTTCAAATAGGTTAAAGAAAATATTAGTATGGCACCATGACAGGAGACGTTGAGGGAGAATATGGCTTGTAGAAGATATTCTAGAAAATGGCATTGGGGACTATACAACTGTGAATGATCCATGCTAAATAAAAATGTGTCCAAAAAAATTCTTCAGTTGCTCAGAGGACTATCTCCTTAACTTAAATTTTAAAAGTGCATATGTATAATTTGGGAGAGAGACACAAAACCAAAAGCCTAAACAAAAGGTTGGTATTTACCTGGGAATTATTTTTTTAATGAACACTCAAAATGATCTAACACTTTTGGGAGGCAAGCATTAAAAGAAATGAAAGCAAGACTTTTACATCTACTCTCAGCAGGATGACTGATACAGAAGAGAGAGATGTGTCTGATGCTTAGAGGAAACCGTAGCAGGACATTAGGTGTCTGTCTAAGAAGATGCAAACCAATAATCACCTTCAGGAGCATGAATGGCCATCACACTAGAAATGGAAGAATAGGATGAAGAAAAATTATACCTTAGGATAATGGAGGAGAAAATTTAAGAGCAACATTCTATTTTAATTTACTCTTCAGTAGAGATTTATCTCTACCAGGCATGTAGAGATGTGCTGGAAATAAAATGAAGAACACAGAGGTGGCTGCTGTTTTCACGGAGCTTATGATATAGTGAGGAGATAGTAAATAAATAATCACATAGATAAATATATACAGATTTGTATCTAAAAATTGCTAGGCGAGAAGTAGTTCAAAATTCACAATTTTTTTAGAATTCAGAGGTAGTATGAATACTGGGTATTCAAAAAAATACAAATACAAAAAAAAGTGCCTGAGGCAGCACCCATAATCAAATACTTTAAAATGTATTCAATAAACTATATGAATAGTCATACAAACTCAGATAAAAATATAAATATTACAGCTTATGTATATAAAAATATATGTCATGATACATGGTGTAGAGGTAGAGATAAGCATATTGCTTTCTATTTTCTTAAAGTTTCAAACATACACAAATTCAAACTAACTTTACTTGTACTGTACATTCCATAACTGTTTACAGCATCTCTTTGCCTGAGGCTCTTAAAAAAAGGCCATATCCGATTATTAAAAAGTGAAAAAATCATGGATGCTGGTGAAGTTGTGGAGAAAAAGGAATGCTTTTATGCTGTTGGTGGGAGTGTAAAGTAGTTCAGCCATTGTAGAAGACAGTGTGGCAACAATTCCTCAAAGACATAGAGATAGAAATACCATTTGACTCAGCAATACCATTACTGGGTATATACCCAAAGGAGTATAAGTCATTCTATTATAGAGACACATGCATGTGTATGTTCATTGCAGCGCTATTCACATAGCAAAGACATGGAATCAACCTAAATGCTCATCAATGATAGACTGGATATAGAAAATGTATGCATGGTAAATATATACCATGGAATACTATGCATTCATTAAAAATAAAACACAATGAGATCTTGTCCTTTGCAGGACATGGATGGAGCTGGAGGCTATCATCCTTAGCAAACAAACACAGGAACAGAAGACCAAATACCATATGTTCTCACTTATAAGTGGGAGCTAAATTATGAGAACACACATAGTGGGGAACAATACACACTGCGTAGAGTGGAGGGTAGGCGGAGGGAGAGGATCAGGAAAAATAGCAGGTATTAGGCTTAATACCTGGGTGATGAAATAATCTGTACGACAAACCCCATGACCCAAGTTTACCTCTGTAACAAACCTACACATGTACCTCTGAACTTAAAAGTTTACGAAAGGCCATATTAATGTTACCAATGTCATTAGTATCAGGTTGGAGTGGGACAGAGTAAAACTCTATAATCACAAAGCAAAATGTTTCACTGGGGAAAACTAAATGCCAAAACATTTATTTATACAAGAATTTCAAGAGAGGGATTTGTGTCCAGAGCAGTAGCATTTTACAGATTTTTCCAGTCTAGTTTTCTTGCAATGAGCTCATGCTGCTAGAAAATAGGTTTTGTCTGCATAATAATGCACAGGTAAATTAAACACCTCTTTGAAATATCTCAGATGCTAGCTTTCTCAATCCCTGACATCTTCATTTGGTGTGTGCCCACAGGGTTAGATTACAAGAATTAGATCCCTTATACCCTGTTCCGTTGGTGTTTTCTCATGGGCCATGTTTAAGGTTTTTGCAGGAACACGGTACCAGTGCATCAGCATTACACATTTATTCACAGCTCAGGATTTTTTTTTTAGATATTTTCCTGTCAAATGCATCAGTGTGGTTTTCAGCTGCATCATGATCTACATAAACCCTTTTTCAACAGATTTTCTGAAATTTTACACCATGGCATTCTTTAAATTTTGTGTAGATAACTTTCTTTTTTTTTTTGAGGAGGAATACCCCAAATTTATTTTATTTTATTATTAATATACTTTAAGTTTTAGGGTACATGTGCACAATGTGCAGGTTTGTTACATATGTATACATGTGCCATTCTGGTGCGCTGCACACATTAACTCGTCATTTAGCATTAGGTATATCTCCTAATGCTATCCCTCCCCCCTCCACCCACCCCACAATAACTTTCTAAATATCCCACCACCTTCAATTTTCTGTTCTTCTTGGTGTGTTCTAGTTTTCCCATGGCCAAAAAAACCAGTCAGTACTTATATTCCCTTCCTAACGTCAAACTCACTTGATCAGTGGTTAAGATATTTAGGGTTCATCGTATGCAATTTTTTTTCCATTTTTCATGGTCTTTGCATCATGGTCACTGAAAAAACCTCCAACAATCTGTCTCTCTCTCTCTTCTTAATGTCTTATGTCATGGTGATTCCAATACTCTTTAGTAACATGTCTCATAGACATGCAACATTAAAGTATCTTACACTAACTCCACTTTCTGAGCTTCTACAGATGCTTCCTTTTCTTTTTCTTCTCACTGTTAACCATAAACAGATTTTACCTCTCTGTCATTTCTTAACACAATTACATCCAAAGCCACAAAATAGTCACATTCAGCAGAGGCATGAAGGAGGTGGTAGTGTACTGAGATACAACTGTCTTACATAAGTTCATGTTAAAAAATATATATATGTGTATATATATGATATATATGTATGTGTATATATATGAGATATGTGTGTGTATATATATATACACACACATATATATATATACATATACATATGTATATATGAGAGACACTAAGAAAAATTGATTGATACAGAGCCCTTTAGGTTTTGGGATTCTGTGGGATCATTTAAACAAACTGTTCAAATGTGTAGGACCAAATAAGTTATATCTTATGGGCTGAAACAATTTTCAGATGCAACCTGAGTCACCATTTAGAGTACTTGAAAAATCATAGATATTTAAAGAAGATCATTAAAACCATCAATGCACAAAGTCCCAATTTCTCAAATAAAGGGAAATGTGTTATGATAAAGTTATTGAAGAAATGAATTTTGGGTGTCTACAATTGGCCATACTCTCAATCTTCTGAGGACCAAGTCCATAGATAAATGATGCTAGAGCAAAAGTTGATTTTCGCATTAGGTTTGTTTTGGACTCATGCCCCAAAATGAATCTTTTCTTCACTTCTATCCATGCAGCAGCTGACCAACAACTTCCATCTCTCCTATGCCTACTCTTTTATTACTGTCATTTTCTGGATGTGGACACGCTATTCCCCTCCATCTCCAACCCCCTCCAAACCACGTTTTCATTTTACAGTCCAGGCCATTCCTCCCTTCACCATTTCTCCATTTCAGGCTGAATGGCCACTGTTTTGCCTCAGGACTCTTCCTATATGATTTTTCCCCTGTAAACAGATCCAAAAGTTGAAGTCCACTGTGCTCTGATCCCACCTCTCAACCTGGACTGCAGCTTCCAGTGAGTGTCACATAAGAGAGTAAATGCACCTGCTGTCAGCACAAGTGCATTCACATGGTCATATCAAATTAATTTTCTCTATCCTTTCTTTTTTTTTCCTTTGGTATTGCCATGGCATTATAAGTTGGTTGGTCAAAGAACTGTGATCAGAAAGTAATGAAAAAACTGTTTCATGGTAAAATACTAAAATATGTACTAAATAATTATTCCTTTGTGAGTTTTCACATGCTCCCACAGATTCTTAACAACTGGAACCCTAAATATGTTGCTATCCATTTTTATATCAATAACAACCAATAACCTAAAAACAACATTTATAAAGTTGCAAATGACACTAAATTATAAGACATGACAAAATAAAGACTAGGTCACAGTTACAAATAACATTTCATGAGAATAAATGTAAATGTTATTTGATTCCAAAAATATTTCTAAACTCTTTAATGTGAAAAAATAATCTAGCCCAGAGCCCCATCAAATGAGCTAATAACACGTCAGTCAGAAATTTTTCTCTTTTTTAAGCCATCCAGGACAGGTAGCTCACTGTTGCCCAAAACTGCCCATGGCATTTTTGAAAAAAAAAAATAATAGCGAGACAATTCTTTGTCATGTTGGGTTCAATTTTGCCTTATTTTGCCTTATTTTAACATAAATTACTTTGCATTCTACCTTCCGACTGAGGCCATTCAGATATTTGAGGAGAGTTCACAAAACAGAAAGCTGTCACATCATTCTTCTTTATGGTGCCTTTCCGGTTCCTTTGACAGTTCCTCATAGAACATTTCCTGTAACTCCATGACTATTCTTATCTTTCACCCCCTAAAATACTCCAGTATATTAATATGTCTCAAAGATCAGGATGCAGAAATTAACACATACTTTAGGGGAGAAATTATAAGCATACAATATAATGATTATCTCCCTTTTCCTGAACATTTTCTCTATTACTATAATCTTATGATACATAAAGACAATATAGGAAAGCCACAGTCAGGCAATAGAAATGTGAAAAGTCTGAAGCTGTTGACTTCAGGATTACTATGGGCGAATTCTGCAATACAGTGATCAGCCACTTAAGCAAATTCAAATGGCATTAGTAGAGGTGTAATATCTAAACCTTAGTAATCAATAACCCTGTTACATGCTGCATTGATTAAACCATATCTGGAATATTGTTTCAATTCTTGAAAAATATTTGCTGTTGAAATCTTGAAAAACCAGTGTGCAACTAAAGAACAGTACCCAGAAAGATAAGGATGATCTCAGAACCATGTAACCTAAAAACCTGCTGGAGTAATAGTGCATCTCAGGCCAGGAGAAGAGGAACTTACTACGGATGACTGCTGTCAAAACTCTGAAGCATGACACCTGAAAGAGTCTTGCTAATTGTGGTTGTTTCATAAGACAGAACCAGAAAACTGAGTAAAAGCTACAGAGAGGCAGGAATAACTACTTCGTGATATGGTAAATGCACTGTCACTGCAAGTATTCTGGTAGAGGTAGATTTCTATTTAGCAAGATTAATGTACTACAGATTCTGGCATTAGGTGCCTATTTGAACAAATCTCTAATTTTATTTCAAAAGCTAAGCTACCATGATTACTAATACTAAAATTCTCCATCAGTTCTAGAGAAAACAGGTATACTGACAGTAAGGTAATAAAGAGGCAGAAAAGAAAAGCTATGCATTTATCATGCCACATTACCACAAATCATGAAAAAAATGAAGGTGTCCTGGGTTTATCTGTGTCATTGGCCCATCTTTTTCCCCAGCCCACTTTGATGCTTCCCTCTGGCGGATCATTTTCTACCAACCACTTCTTAGTCTTTGGACCATGCTGTCCTGTACTTCCTGGTATCTTATGCTTCGAGAAGCTACAACTGAGGGAAGCAACAGGGAGGAGTCATTTAATTCCCTTAATTGTCTTACCATTCTAGCCTCTGGAGGCCCTGTTGATAGTGTTTTTCTATATTCACTTTTAATTATTTGATAAAATATGTGTCATTTAAATCACTAAGAAAAAATATATATGTTAATATGCATTTGTGCATGCATTTAATCAAGTATATACAAACATTTCTTTTGAATAGCACTGTGAAATCATCTCAAAGCAGGCAAAATATAGGATTTTTCATTTCTCTGTTTTGATTTTGTAAGTTAGAAATTAATAAAAACAGAAGTTAGGTATGAAATAACAAAAAGAGTCTAAGCAGATTATGAATTGGGTAGGCTGGTCAAAAATAAAAGTCATGAGAAACTCATACACATAACAGACACTGTGATTTACAATACTTTTTAAATGTTAGTAAAGAAGCATTATAGCCAATACTTGATGTAACTGTCTTTTTACATACAAATAGTTTGCCTTTAGGTAAATAAGTATTGTAGATATTTCTTTCTTCTTTCCACAAAACAAACAAAAAACCAAAACTGTAGTGACAACTCATTGGTAGATTTAACATTAGATAATTATTTAAGAATTTCCATAGTGTAAAATGCTGAAATCATTACAAGTGGCCTTTCTCTCTCTTGCCATTTTAATCATGTCTTGGTATAAAATTAATAAGGAGACTGTAAAGATACAACCCCTATAGAAATCCATATACAGATAAATGCTTATGGATGCAGAGCTTTGTTTACTTAACCATTAAGCTCCTGAAAGCATTGTGTTGGTGAGAAATATTGGAGAGACACAATGTATGAGAAAAGCAAAGAACTCAGGTATCATCTTTACACCCTGATGGCTTTACTTCTCTAATTTAAGCCAACAACAAAGGAAAGTGCCATTGTCCTGCTACATTCCTTTAAAGTAACAGGTGCTTGCTGGATAAACAGTATTGATCCTCCAAGAATTAAATAATGACACCACCATCAGATGGCAAATAAGACAATAGAACGTGTAGCTGGGGGTAGCAATGACTTGACTATTGTGAAATCTATGTGCTAATATTTCTTTTTCTAAAATTATGCATCAATAGTTCACTCAGCAAGTAAATTTGAATAAGTTATATTGGAATGCTAACTCATCAAACTAATTATGTGCAATGGCATAGATTGCATGCTTTTGATATATCTGATAAAACTGTAGTGCTAACTGATCATGCAGTTCTACTAAGTAGAATTATTTCTAGAACAAACACGGTAAAGAGAAATAAGTATGCCTGTTTGACAAAGGACCTGGAACAAATTTGAAGATTGAGATGCATCAAAGTGAAACTCATCATTTTGGTGACAGGTATGGCTGTGCATGCACTAGTTAAACATCTTAAATTACCGGGGATTTGTTATGCATGGGTTGCTTTTGTTAGTTTAGAGTCATCCTGGATACGTGTGGCAAAAATGTAGAGAATTGTAATACCAATGATAAATAATTGTAAAGATTTATACTTGAACATTATTTTCATTATTATGAATAAAAAAACAAGAAAAGCAAATGAAGATCTAATATTCTGCTCACAATTAGTCAGACAGAAGCCTGCAGTCTTATTCTCTATATATCTCCATGACAAGATAAGATTCCAGGGCTAAATTATGTTGTAAATACCTTACAATAGTATAGAATGTTCAGAACATTAGTTTCCTCTACTGTACTTTCCACTTTACCTCTGTCCCTTGTCTTCTCCAAGTCCTGAATGCTACTGATGTGTGATGGAATCTGTTCCTAAAGTATTTCAAACTCAGAAGTATATATCTGTTCATTGAAGCACATTACAATATTCTTAGAGCGCTTCATTGCCTTTTAGTTCCCTTCTGAAATCATTACCAAATAGTCCTTCTATTTCTGGACTCTTCATCTTCAATTTTACTTCTGCTAATTTCATCCCAGGAAAAAACAGACCATGATCTAGTGGTTATAACACAAAGTGTAGCAGGAGCTCATTTGACGTCTCTCTTCCCTGAGTTGGGACTGATTCAATGCATGGCCTTGGGCAAGTTACTTAGCCTCCATTGCCCCATATGAACCTGAGTCTTAATAACACCTACCTCACCAGGGGTTGTGAGAATTCATTAATAAACTGTCATTATCAGTCTTCATTATGCACCTGTGTGCAACCTCAAACAATCCCTCTTGTTCTAATTGAGCAGTATAGTGTATGTATTTTCCTGGGGTTTTATTTTTTATGTGCAGGGAGAGATTTTTGTGTGTTCTCTCTACTCCTGTTCAAGACAACTATTAGAACCAGACCGCTTTATCTAGGTAATTTGGCTTAGTGGAATTTTTTAAGCCATACAGCAACCTAGATGTTGACACTGAGAAATTAAAATGATGATTATTAGGCTGGGTTCCCATCCACTGCCAAGTGACAGGCTCATTTTTCTCTCTTCAAACCTGCCAGCTAGCTGGCCCCTGTGCTTCTCAAAGCAGCAAAGTTTTAAAGAACCGAGGAACATTACCCAAGCCACAATGCAATAACTCTAATAAACTGCACCTGTGGATGACTCTGTGGTTTATTTATATACTGTATCACAGGTCATTAACAGAAAATAACCCACTGAGATACAACGTTCTTGTTTACAGTGAGGTTCTGGTGGTGACAGCAGGAATATAAAATACAAAATCAACAGGGAACACTGAACTAATAAAAAGATAAGGGTCTATAAAGCATAGAAGAAAATAAAGCCAACTGTGCAGGCAAAAATAAAATAAAATAAACTTCCATCATAAAACAATCAAAAGCTATGGTATATTTATAGAGACTGGGGAACCCAAAGACCCACTGAGCTGGAATATTTATGGGTGTCAGATTGAAAGTCAGGAAATCTGTATGCTGTCTGAAGTGAAAGCTTGATCCATTGGATATATCCTTAGAAAAACAGATTTGTTTCCCCTTCTTCTGATGGTCCTTACCAACCTTTCCAGCCAATAAGCTTTCAGATATCTTTATTACTTTGATATGAAATTAGCCTTTCCAAACAGTCATGTATATTAACTTTAGAAAATGCTTGCTCAGAAATTCTAAGCCAAAAACATAAAATTTTGGCCACTCTATTACTATGATATCATTTCTCTGTCTTCATTGCCAAGAACAATGGCACCTCTCTGTACAAGCCACTAATCACTAGTAGGTAGCATAATTTTAGGCGTCAGTGATTTTATTGAGAAGATTTGCCTCAATAGAACGGTCTCTACTCCTGAATCACCGTATTTGAAATACTATACTTTAATAATATATATTAACGTTACATCTCTCTGCCACTCATCTTTTAAATACCAACACTTTTAAGATAATTAGGCAAAATTCACAATAAATGCTATTACAATAAGTATTTAGATGAGTTTGGAAGAGGACGGAAGGAGGCAGGTAGGCAGACGAATTGGACTCAGATAAGGAAGCGTTTACTTCTCAGTATTTCCTAGGACCAGTTTTAACAATATCCTTTCCGTGTGGATATAGTAGCTTAGTCTTACTGTCTCTAGCCTTCTACATTTTTGCCATGTCTTATTCTATTTTGTGCTGCTGTAACAGAAACGTTAGACTGGGTAATTTATAAAGAACAGAAATGTATTTCTTACAGTTCTGGAGGCTTGGAAGTCCAAGATCAATCAGCCCACATCCGATGATGGCCTTCATGCTGTGTCATCCCATCGCAGAAAGCAGAAGGGCAAGAGAGTGTGAGCAAGAGAGAAAAAGAGATTAAACTCACTGTCTCAACCACTTTCTCATAGTTAGTAATCCATTAATGAAGATAGAGCCCTCATGACCTAAACACCTCCCATTAGGCCCCACCTCCCAACACTTTTGTTGAGGATTAAGTTTCCAAAACATGTTTTTTGGGGAATACATTAAAACCATAGCGTGTCTCTTCAACACAAGCTTCTAGTTATTTAACAAAAATTCATTTTCTACTACATGCAAAACAAAATAAAAACAAACAAAAATAACAAAATAGGCCCTGTCTTCCAGCAGCTTATCATCTATTTAGAAGCTGACTCCATGAAGTCAGGGACTTTTTTTGTTCACTTCTGTAATTCCAGCATTTAGAATAATACCAGGCATATGCTACATGGTCAATAAATGTGTTAAATGAAGCAATAAGTCAATGAATGAATAAAATAGATATGCAAAATGGCATTGGGGTTATAGAAGTCTAAGCACAGAGAGACTGTATGTAAACAAAGAGCCTGGTTCCATGTCTGTCATATCTAATTGCTCAATAGTGTTTTTTTTAATGGAAGATAATGTGATTGAAGAAATATTTGTGTATGAAGTAGCAAAGTTTCTGGATCAATAAGAGAAGTTTGGCTTAGGGTGGATAGAGATTAGCAAGGGACAGCAATCTCAGCAAAGAAAAAGTATACGATCTGAGGAACCAAGAGGTTAAAAATGTACTCTATGCATCTATGCAGGTAAGTTTTGCTAACACCTATAAAATGGTCACCGATCAGCCTATCTCCAATATTAGAAGCTTTTTATAAGATGCCATTTTTGAGAAGATACAGAATCTTTAGCTAATAAAAGCCATAAGTAGTAAAAATAGGACATTCCTTATAAATGTATTAATTATTCACATGTGTCTATGGATCTTAATTAAGCAAGGTTGGCCTCAGCTTTGTAACATTAGAAAGGGGAGTTCAGGCTGACTTGTGATTATCTTTTCTTCATAGTTTTGAAAGTAATAAAGTAAGGTGGTGTCGATGTAAACACAAAAAAGGAGCTAGAAAACCAGCATCAGTGCAGGCCCCATAAGGCAGTTCACCAGTAGAAATCCCAGTGGCAATCACAACGGATGAGAGAAAAATAATTTTTACTATCCCCCTCTGTCTTAGTCTGTTTGTGGTGTTACATCAAAATATCTGAGACCGTGTAATTTAGAAAGAACAGAAACTTATTTTCTCACAGTTCTGCAGGCTGAGAAGTTCATAATTAAGGCACCAGCAGGATTGATTATTTGGTGAGGGATGTTCTCTGCTTCCTTCCGATATGGCACATTGTCGCTGTGTCTTCCAGAAGGGAGAGGGGAGGAACACTGTGTCTTCACATAGCAGAGAGCGGAAGGGCAAGAGAGCTGAATACTGCTTGAAGCCTCTTTTGTTAGGTACTTAAACCCACTCAGGAGGAAGGAGCCCAATCAACTCTTAAAGACACCACCTGTAAATACATCACATTGGGAACACCTGAATTTTGGAGGTGGCACATTCAAACCATAGCCCCTTCTGAGTTCTCAGCTGGGACCCCTGTAACAAAGACAGACTATCAAGAGAAAAACAAAAGGAAGTTTATTAATATATGTATATCATAAATACATGTTACTCAGGGAAAGAGTAACTCTCAAAGAGGTGACTTGGAACTCCAGCTTATCTAAAGTTCTTCAACAAAGAACTTTAACGTTTTAGAGAAGCAAAAAGACCTAGGAAAAAGACCTTGAGCTCTAGGGGCAGCAAATTGTGGGAAGTCAAATATAGGAAAACCTCATCATAGAAAAAGGCTACGTAGTAAAGTTATTTATGTAGATTCCTCTGGTGCCATCTCCAGGCTGATAAGCGTCTAAAGTCATCTCTGTACCCCCGATGTGATATGATGAGAAGGGGAGTTCGCCTCTGCAGTATTCATTCCTGAAATCCATAACCTCAGGGTAATCATGAGAAAACATCAGCAAACCAAAATTGTGGGCTATTTTACAATAACTGACCAGTATTTTTTAAAGTTTCAGGGTCATGCAAGACAAAGAAAGTCAGAGAAACTGTCACAGATTGAAGGAGACTGAGAAGACGTAACAGCAAAATGCAGTGTAGGAACCTGGATGGAATCTGGGAAAAGGAAAGGGGCATCAGTGGAAAGACTGAAGAAATCCAAGTAAAGTCTAATTTAGTTAATGTTGTTACTTTTGATAAATGTACCATGACTCTGTAAGATGTTAACGTTAGGGAAACGTGGGTGAAGGGTATATAGAAATTAACTCTGTGAACTAATGTGCCAACACTTCTGTAAACCTAAAATTGTCTCAAAGTTAGTTTTTTAAGCCGGGCATGGTGGCTCACGCCTGTAATCCCAGCACTTTGGGAGGCGGAGGCTGGCGGATCACCTGAGGTCAGGAGCCTGAGACCAGCCTGGCCAATGTGGTGAAACCCCATCTCTATTAGAAACACAGAAATTAGCTGGCCATGGTGGTGCACCCTTGTAATCCCAGGCACTCAGGCGGCTAAGGCAGGAGAATCACTTGAACCTGGGAGGCGGGGGTTGCAGTAAGCCAAGATGACGCCATTGCACTCCAGCCTGGGCGACAAGAGCGAATCTCCGTGCCAAAAAAAAAAAAAAAGAAAAGTTTTTTAAGATAAAAAGTAAAATAGCCTTCAATGATCAGCCTTTGTCCTTCCTGGTAGACAGGAAAAGGGACACCTTTGTAAATTAGTGTCCCGCTTTAAGGCAAGTGGAGGCGGGGGTGGGGGAGTGAGTGCAGAAAGTTTTTATTATATCTTCTTCTTTCCAATTGCCTTCAGCTTAAAAATAATCCTTATGTCAAAGTGACATATTTTGGAGTGGCATATTTTCCTACCCTTCAACAGTAACTGGCAAATTGCAAGCATTCAATACATTTGAATAAATGAAAGAATAACCAGTTCAAACTGCTTTCTTTTACACAGGCAGAAATGGAAGCCCAGAGAGCTTATGTGGTTTGCTAAGAGCCACAGAGCTTATTAGTGGCAATGTTAGGCCAACTCTTCTGATTCTTGGCCCAGTGTTAGTCTGCATTTCCCTGTTTATTCTAGTTTACAGTGACGCCATTAAAGGAACCGGACCCACTAGCAGCTGCTCTCTAAATATGTTCCTGATTTGAGTCTCTAGCCATGAGACATACATCTCTATTCTTGTTTCTAGTGAGAGATGAACTGGCATTTTTGTGCTTGTTTCTGAGGAGGAAATCATTTTGAGTTGAAACACAGCCAGACTGAGGAAGTCCTGCTGAGTCTGAAGGAAGTTCACTCATCCTTTGCAAATGCTCTGGAAGAAAGAAAAAATAATTCTTGTCTTTGCAGTTTTAGCTAGCATATATTGGGCAACAATCCACTGGATTATTTCTTATGCACCTGTATGTAAATAATCTGAATAGAACTGATTAACATTTAAATTCTAAGTTACTGAAGTATCCAAGGGGAAATTGATTAGATTGACTTGATTTGGTGCCAATATGGTAAATGCCTTAATGTTTTAAACAAATTGAGGCAGCAATCTCCGATGATTTTGAAACATCACACTTTTTAAAAATTCTCACTTTGAAATCTGGAAGAAAGTAACTTATCTCAAACGTTTGTTTTCCTTCTCCTTAGTATCAAATAAATGTTAACATTTATTTTCATAGTCAGGAGATACTAGCAATGGATCACCATTGTATTCCTCTAGTGGATTATTTTTAACCCGAATGGCTTTTTTGTTGTTGTTTGAAAAAACCAAATGCCTGTGGGGCTCAATGTACTTGGAAAATATGTAAATGATGGCTTTCCTCTGTCAATCTGGGAGTGACAATTCAGTAAACCCTTCATCCACATCATCTGTAGCATAATAGCATTTTAATTTAGAGTGAACCTTTTTGCTTAGCTCATATGTATCTTGTGCATTTTAAGATAAACTATTTACAGAGAAGTATAAAAGTCCCTGGAGATGCAACATCTCATTTTCAATTCTGTGGGCAGGAATACTAATTACGTTATCACATATTCAGCAGCATTCAGCAAAGTTATTTATTCATTCATCCTTAAGACCTGGGATGCCTACCAGGTCAGTTTCAATAAGCAGTACCTTGAGAATCTCTGCTGATGGTACATACAGATAATTAGGCGTAGAGTTGTTAGAAAAATCTCACCCCAAAAAGCTCAGCCTTGGAGATTTGCCTGCTCTTTCATTGTTTGAGCCAGAGAGAAAATCGAGTGGTTGCTAGAAATGAGGAAACACGTATCATCCAAATCTCTCACCCCTACAGGTTCAGTTTCTTAATTGAAGTTTGGTTTTAGTTCTTAGAATAGCAAGAGAACTTGTTTACAGTTCAGTATTGTGAAAATATTCAGAATTTACAAGTGGAACAATTTGGCTCTTCAGATGATTTTGAAAGTGAATGTGCTCTGATTAATGCTGCCTACCTTTACCTTTGAAATCTTTAATAATCATTGGTTAACAATAATCATTTACACTGCACATCATCTTCCAGTAATCTTGCTCTACTGAGATGTTAAAGGAACTAGAAGAATATAAATATTCATATTGTATTATATACGTCAGATTTTCCTAGTAGTATTAACAGTGTTGAGAAAATGAGCACCTGACAATGACTAGGCCTTGGAAGAATATAGTTTGATAACAAACAACCTGATCTGAGAAATTGCCCAACTTCACAAAGCAAATGATAGCTTTGCTATTATTCCAGGATTGTAGCAAAACTGTCTTCTGGTTTGTGTCACTCAAAATGTAGAGAAAAAGTAAATCACAGACCACAAAGCAAATTCCTTGTTGGGTCATTAGAGCTTGCTTTTGTCTCGGGTTTGGATTTTCTACCTTTTTTCCTCAAGGAATTTGTGAGTTACCTTAGATTAGCTGCAATATTTGGGCTAAATCCTATCCGATCCTGACCCCAGGCACCCCCTCCTTTAATACAGGAGAATTCTATATTCCCTTCCTATCACGAGAGCCAATGGAAATTCAGATGTAGGAAAGGAGTTTCATTCTCAGGGTGTTGCTACACACTCAATGTCAAAAAGCAACTGGAAACCCAGTAAGAAATCTGACTTTTGCACATCTTTAATGTCACTTTCCCCTAGAAATAGAAGATGAAAATGGTTAGGCAGAAAAAACCCACTGAAATATATTTTTCTGAAAATGGTAATGTTAGAAATCTATTCCTTAGGGATTTAGAGTTCATAATAAAGATCCCAGAATGCCGAAGCTTTTTTGGTAACAGTACATGATGATGGAAAGACATTTTTCATTTTCTGAGTTCTCTTTTAAATGATGATTTTTTTACTATGCATAATAGTGATTTTGGGGTCAAATATTCATCTTTTTAAATTGATATTGTAAGTTAAAAGGCCAGAGAATTTTACTTGGTCAAAGAATACATTCAACTTCTCTTTACAAATAGTTTAACTTGTTTAATGGCTTAATTTTCTGGCTTCCTCTGGCAATTGTCTCTTGAGAATGTAACAGCAGATCACCCAACACTGGCTATGAGATGAGTAAGATGTATTCCCTCAAGCTGAATTGTAACTATACAATTCAGACTCCATCGGGAAGTTTTCCTTCTAGTAATAAGATGGAATGCAATATCTTCCCAATCCTACAGTGGAGTCTAAACCATAGTAACAGATACAGAAAGCATAAAAGTTTCACTAGAGAAAGAAGAGGGCATAGGGTAATGCAAGCAGGCATGCCATTTCTGGGATAGTAGAGACGGACTAAATTTTAGAGTTTATTTAAAAGAAACAAAACTTTTGCCTAGCAAAATAATCAGCAAGTGTTTGATATGTAAAGTCAACATTCAACAGCTGCAAATGGATGTCAAAAATGTACAAATATCAATAATGGTTCTAAGAGGTAAAAGTGATGGCCAAGCACAGCTTTGTATGGGGAAAGGAATGCTGTGGAAATGAGAAAAAGAAGATGAGTAAGACTTGGATATTGCAAAAACAGGAGGCAGCCAGACTGAACTCACATTGACATTGTTCTCTTGGAACAAACTAAAGGTTTCTCCAATTCTTTGGTGAGAAATGGTATAAAAATAAATGTATCTTTTGTCATCTGTTGTCTATGATTATGCTTGACAGTACAATGCTTACAACATTTTTTCTGTAGTACAGATTAGGTCATTCCAATGAATCATTTCACTGTTTGCATTAAATTCTACAGCTATCTGGACTGGTAGGGACCCCTGATTATTACAGTGAAGGTCTTGGTGCTAGAATTTTTGCAAACAAGGAAACAGCTCACCATTCAGAGGGCCCTGCATTACATGTTTCTACATTTTTATGATACCAGCCAAAAAAACTCATGGGATCCACATGTGATTGACTCTTTGGTTCATAACTCTTCTTGCAGGTGACATGACACCTGGAAGTTTAATTTGAAGAGATCAGAACATTTTTTCAGCAATAATTCTTGTGGATTTATGCTTGTCTTTTCCATTATTTAATTAATTTTAACTTATTTTCTAAACTCATTTGAGACAAAACCATTTAGTTTAACTATGATGTGTGTGTTTGTGTGTGTCAGTGTGGAAGTGTGTGCAAGGGGGAAGGAGAGAGAGACAGAGAGAGAAACACATTAATGTCAGACAAGCCCTGTCGACATCAGTCCAGGTGAAATTGAAGTAAGAAGATACTACCAACATTTTGGATTTGTTACTTCACATTGGCAGAATATAAACCAAAAGAGGGGCTATGTCTAACATGATCTATGAACTAAGTATTTTTCAATGGCATCATAGTTCAGTATGTGGAGAGGAGCATCATTGGAGTAGAGTAGTATCTTAGATAGAATTTAGGATCCAAAGCCAAAATTACCTTTGAAAATCTCTTTCATCACCCACAGAGCGTTAGTATTAAACCCTCTCTTAGTAAGTCCAACTCAGTTTTTCTTTCAGCATATCAATAGATCACTATTTCCTTGGCTGGGCATTGAATGAAATAATTTACACTCACTTTTAAGAGCTATACTGAATGGGAGCATGGAAACGTCTTCAATTATAAGAAGTACACTCATAACAGTGAGAATGTTGCATCAGAAAATTGCTTTAGAAACGATGTTCTCATAGCACATTCATATAGGGGCATTCTTTCATCAAGTAGAATGCCAGGTGAAATACAGGTAGTTATAAAATTGATTATTATGTCTGTGTGTATGTATCTGTGTATGTGTGTTGCCTTTAGCTGGGCATGTAGAGTAAACACACTGTGTTGTAAATGCAATGCCACCATAATGGATTCAGTTTGGTGACTTCGTTGGGTGCATTTTTGTAGACTGTTGTTCAATCTGTTCGTTTCTGAATCACACAGACATTGCCTAATGTTTATTCAAACTTATCAAGCTTAAGAATATTCTTTAACCTTCTTATAACAGGCCCCACTGTTCCACCTGCTGAGACTCAAACAAACACCAGTGTGTCTTAAGAATGTCTTTGCTGCTGCTGCAGTTAGATGCTTCCTCAGGGATCCTAGGAAGAGCAAGAGCCCAGGAAACTCCATCAATGTTACAGCTATGTGCCTGAGCTTTGGTTAATCTTCTAGAACTTGTAGCTGAGGTAGAAGGAATGGGTGGTAACACACCTGAAACTTTAGTTTGGAATAGATCAGAACATTCTTTTCTCTGTCTTACAAGTAAAGCTTCTGGCATACTGCACCCTTTCAAACATCCCTACGCCTGTTCAAAATAAGATCATGATAGCTCTATCTTCATAGAATACTTTCTCTCTGTTTAAGAGGTTCCCACTTTAAAAAATAAAAAGGTCCACAAGGCTTGAATCCACTTGAATTGTCTAAAACAATTATAGTGTCTTCTATCTGAGAAAAAATGTTTGTGTCCATTAAATGTTATCATTAGTGGCCTTGATGATAATGAGTCTAAGCCAGAGCTTCTAAATAGGAAAGGGTTCATTTGCTAAACAGGCCCTTGTGGGTCAGGGGAAAACTGTCCCTTCATAACTGATGACTGATATAATTCAGCAAGCCTGAGCTTAATATGAATGTGCTGGCCTCTTTGTAGTATAATCTGATAGTGTGTACTGCAGGACTTCGGACAGTTACAGCAAGAGATGTCCCTCATTTATATTAAAAATAAAAATGGTAATTTTTCATTTTTACTTCTCTTGGATGATTGTAAAACTAACAACTACATCTGCATTTGACATGAACAATGATTTATAAAGAACAGTCTGTAAGACTCAATAACCTTTAGAAGTTAATAAACTTTAAATGATATGCAAATGGAGAATGAAGACTGTATATACATTCTAAAAGTAATAGTGCAGGAAGTAAGCATAAATGGATCAGTAAACTAATATATCCACTAGGATGTATTAATCTCCTAGTCTAAAAAGAAGAAGGAGTGGAAGGTTGAGGGGGAGGTGGGGAAAGAAAAGAAGGAGGAGGAAGAGGAGAAGGACTTGCTTAAATGTGTATTTAAATTTCAGTTAAATAACACTAAAATCTTTGTGAAAAAAGTAGACATTCACATTTTTTAAATTAGGAAAAGAGCAAAATAATAAAGGAAATGTATTAACCCAAGGGAAACTTTAATCAGCGAGTAATCTTAGTTTTCACACAGGCAGTATACAGTGTAGTAAGAAGAGCATGAAGCTCAGAATCAGAGGAACCAGGTTACACTTCCAACTTTGCTTGACATTAGGTAAGTCACTTCACCACCGGGTCTTTGCTTTTTCTTTGTCTTTCTCACAGGGTTTGGTTATGCTCAAAGTAGAGTATGTACATCAGAGTATTCCACAAATTATTCTTTTTTAGTAAGTTGTACTTAATTGAGTGGAAATGAGTTCAACTCCCTACTCTGCCACTAGCGAGAAGTATGATCTGTGGCAATTCCCTACATCTCTAGGGACCTGGAGAGGAGGGGTTCTGTTGTCACAGAATCCATGTGGTTTCTTCCAGTTCAAAGCTCTGGTTATACAGTACAAAAACTACAGGCCAGTAACCCTTTCCATCAATTTTCTCAGTGACCGGTGAATTTCTAGGAAGAAAAAAAAATACAAAGAGCTCTTGGTGGCCTGAAAGAGTTAATGTGGATTCCTGAACAGCCTAGTGACAACCAGAGAATAATTATATTTGGTTGATTATGACAAAGAATCTGATCTCATTTGTAGTGCCAAAGCTGTCAAGCCCCATGCACCAGAAGCCTATCACCAAATATTAATTTACCTGTTGTGTGCATCTCATAACTGACAGCTATGAATCCCATATCATTTTTGGTGGCCTTCCCACTGACATGTTCTTTGATTAAGAAAATAGTAAGCCAGAAAGCCAGTGTGTCTGTAATGTGGCCACCTCAGTTTAGCCTCCTTATTATGCTGGAATATTTTCCCCTAAATTAGATTTCCTGTCTTCATAGTGGCAGTTTACATGAATTTAATACATTACAAAATGTGCAGTTCCCTTGAGATTCTGTGATAGATTGCAGTATTTGAAGCCCATGTTTCCACGGGAAATAAAAACCTAGGCCATGGCCAAATATTTTATCAGCTTAGCATTATCTTGAGATAATGGCACTATTAACGCTTGTCAACCTTCTCAGCTTCCCAGGTCTTGTGTTGGCTCTTTTCTTGCTTCTGACCAAGGTGTTGAAAGCTTTAAAGCTCTGAGCTACACCAGCAATAACCAACCTTGATAGGTACCCTTTATACTATGTTGTCTGGCATATAACAATGCACAATGGGCTCCTCTTTTCTTTTCTCCTCAATGATACTGAATCTGATGATCAATTAAGCTACATGGGATGAGATTACTTTATATTACAGCTTGGCTGTGATTGGCTGCTAAAGCCATGTCAAGGGATGACAGCATAGCTGTGAGCTCTTACTATAGGATGTCTGAAAGAAGGGACATCATGTAAGAGAAAGGCAAAACACAAAATCCAAAGACTCAGCAAAGTGAAATCTAAAGACCCAGGAACAACAAATTACCAGCTAGGAAACATCAGAAGCTCCTAGATGAAATCGAAATGGGCAATTAGAGGCAAATCTTTCATTGGTTTATTCAGATCCATTTAGCTAAATGAAAAATAAAATAAAAGATCAAGACTTATATGACTACATACACTTATTTTGGCTCTTTCCCTCTTCCATATCTGTCTTTACTTTTAGTTGTCTGTCCAGGAGTTGGGTTTCTATAGGTTGAGAGTTGTTTTTGATTTCCTATTTACACTACTTTTTTTCTTATCTCACATTTTCCCTACATAAAGCTTCTGTCTGGGCAAAGGGTACATTGCTCCCTAAGTAATTCAGAAAGTCATTTCTCAGTACACATCTCTGCTTTGCCCTTAAATTTAAATTCTGGTGCCTTAATAGTCACCAGCTAACTTTTATTAGTAGGCTGTGCTCTACATACTTACTGACAACTGAAAATTGACTTTTCTATTTTTGGTAATATTCCAACCATGGCCTAAAAAACAACTGCATATGCATATGCATGGTAGTAGTCTAGGTGCAAGGAGAATGTTCAATTAGAGCTAAGCTTTCACTTGATATTCTGTTGTAACAAAGGCATGAAAGAGTTGAAATCAAAGACATGTTAGATTCACAAGCAGTGACTTAGAGATTGTTTTTATAATCTTTATGTAAAAGGTAAAAGTTGGAATTTAATCATATGCCAAAAAATATAACTTTAAAAATGAGGACTCTGGTTTTAATCAAATGTCATCAGAATTGGAAAAGGATCAATGTAAGTATTTCTTGTAACTGCAATGAGTCAGTCATTCCCCTCACATGTTCTGCATAGTCTCAAATAATTTGAATGAGAATTCTACTTCCATTTTCTGAGAAAATCGGCTCACATATACTGTCATGCATAGTAGCTATACAATTTGCATCAGTTTAAGGGAATCACTTTGTGGGATGAAGACAACAAAGTCTGTGCCTCCCTGTTCATGGAAATAATTTATTTTGCTTGGACTTGGAAGTAAGGAGGGAGAAAAATACAGTAGTAATATCACCTTTGATATGGTTTGGCTCTGTGTCCCCACCCAAATCTCATCTCAAATTGTAATTCCCAACGTGTCCAGAGGGGGAGCTGGTGGGAGGTGATTGGATCATGGTGGTGGTTTCCCCCATGCTGTTCTTATGATAGTGAGGGAGTTCTCATGAGGTCTGATGGTTTAAAAGTGGCAGTTTCCTCTGCATGCTCTCTCTCCTGCTGCCATGTAAGATGTGTCTTTCTTCCCTTTTGCCTTATGCCATGATTGTAAGTTTCCTGAGGCCTCCCAGCTATATGGACTGTGAGTCCATTAAATTTCTTTTCCTTATAGATTACCCAGTCTCAGGCAGTTCTTTATAGTGTTAAAATGGGCTAATACAACCTTACAGCTAGCTTTAGCATTCACGGTAGGTATTGAAAGTTTCTGTGAAAGTATGATAGCATGCTTCATGAGGAACACACAAGAACATGTCGCATACTTCTGATAATCATTGAGTTCGCAACATGATGCAGTCTGCAGGTCAGTTCCTTGAAGAGCAGACTCTAAAGCAGAGATTTTCATAGAAGTTTATTGAGGGTAGTTCTTCAGATACATAGAGAGATATCAAAGTGAAGACAGAAGGACTAGGTAGAGGGGAGGGTTGAAGTGTAATGTAGGCCCAGTCTTAGCCAGTACTGTCAAGATCTCTAGAGCTGAGATGCTATTCAAAGTAATCCCAAAATGGCACAAGAGGCTAGGCCTTTATACCCTGACATGGAACAATCAGTGGATGTGAATTGCTCTGGGAAGGGGACATCCCCTTAGGTGAAGATGCTCTCTTCAACTGAGGTCAAGTACCAGAGAGGGACACAACACTCTCAACCACAGACTCTCCCAAATCCTGGGAAAAATGGCCACCTAAGTCCTCAAGGGGAAATCTGGGCAGCGCATTTTAGTATCTACTACAGGAAGAGTGTATAATAAGAAGGCAGCATGATAGATTTGGGAACAGATGAGCTTTGAATTTAGACAGACCTACATTCAAAGATTGGATCAGACAATGACAAAATATGATAACCCTAGCCAAATTGTTTAACCTTTAGAAGTCTCTGCTTTCCCATCTGAAAACTGGGAATGAGAATATCTCCCTCACTCTGCTGTTGTGATTATTAAGTTAGACATTATATATAATATGCTCCCATTGTGCCTGGCACATGTTAGATGTTCAATAAGCATTGGTTCTATACTCCTCACTGCTCATTTTATACAAAAAGAAAATTAGTCAACTAATTTTTTGAGCATCTACTACCTTCTGAGCACTATGCTAGTACTGTTAGAGGGTAAGAATAAATATAAAGCATGTCCCTGTCCTGAAGTACTTATCACTTAGTTAGAACAAATAAGACTAACACAAATAAAATCAGTGCAAATAATAACATTATAAAATCATTGAATATTAAATTAAATGTTTGTTTGTAGAAAAAGATCAATGACAGCCAGACTAATCAGGCAAGGAACAAACAAACAAGTTTTATCAAAGAAGTAATTCTTGACATGGGCTTTAAAGGGCAGGTCAAATTTAAGTACTTGGCAAGAGAAATAAAACATTCTGAAGAGGGAATCCTTACAGAGACAGAAGAGAAAGAGCAGGGCTTTCTCTGATTTGAGTGTCATTGTGTATTTGGAACTACGCAATTTTGAATAGCCATTCATAAACTGCCACCCTGCAGTTCAGCCTAATCCCTCTAGAGCTGTTGAAAAGCTGACTCTCTTTAACCTATTAAAATAACATGGGACTAGTGAAAACTGAGAATGTGTGTCAGAAAGAGTGAAACCAACGTTTATTTGTATGGGTACACATTGATCCCTGACTTCTACTCACCTTCATTTTGCACCTTACTCCCCTATTAGAAAAGTCACTTGCACACTAAATCTGGTTTATGCAACTACTAAAATGCTTAGTCATAGGCTGAATTGTATTAGCATGAGCTGTGTGCAGATAAGTCCTTCCTTGACTTCCTGTATATCTGGCACTGATCTGCTACTGTCAGGATCTGAAGGGCAAAGGCCATGTTTTGTTCATTTCTGTATTCTCAGCATCCAACATAGGAATGATTACCTAATCAGGAATGGACAAAATGAATTTGATGGCAGTGAGTGAATTTACCTAATCAGAGCATGTTGTAAAGTAAAAGCATAAAAGATCATCAGACAGGTAGTGAAATTATGAAAGACATTGACAAGTGTCAAGTAGGTAAGGTAGCTCAGACGTGAAGTAAGAGTGATTGTGATTTTGAATCAGAAGAGTTATATAATCAAAGTTGTTTAAGGTGGAATTATTTAATAGCCAATTATAAGATAGAAGAGACAGCAAGAAGCTATAGGGGAAAAAAACAGACAATTTTACTGGTAAGTTGGATGTAATTTACCAATTATAATTAGATAAAAAGTTTAATAGTACAAAGACAGCTCCTGGATGAAAGTTCAAGACATAAGAAAATGTGAAAGTCACAGGCACAGATTTAACAGTTGAAACCAGTATAATAAATGTGTTCTCCAAAAATGGGAATTAGAAGGAGAGAACTCCAAACTCAGAACTAAGCCTTGGGGAATTCTCACAGTTGATCAGATACACAGTAAGAAAGACCTGGCATTGACTAGAAATAAAAAAGAAAGGAGTGGTTCCATGAGGGTGGAGGTGACCAAGCATACCAGAAGTTACCAAAAGGCCCAGAGTAGTCAAAAACTCACTAGAATTAGTATTTAAAAAACCCCTTTGGGCCGGGTGCAGTGGCTCATGCCTGTAATCCCAGCACTTTGGGAGGCTGAGGCAGGCAGATCACTAGGTCAGGAGTTCAAGACCAGCCTGGCCAGCATGGTGAAACCCCATCTCTACTAAAAAATACAAAAAATCAGCCAGGCCTGGTGACGGGCACCAGTAACCCCACCTATTCAGGAGGCTGAGGCAGGAGAATCGCTTGAACCTGGGAGGCAGAGGTTACAGTGTGCTGGGATCGCACCATGGCACTCAGGCTGGGCGACAGTATAACGAGACTCTGTCAAAAAAACAAACAAACAAACAAACAAACAAAAACACCTCCTTTATGCCCTTTGAAAAAGTAATTGAAATTGATGGGACTGGAATGCTAAAGGCTGGGTAAGGAAGCAGGTAGAGAAGACATGGAGGTCATGGGCATTGTGATGATTACTTTTATGTGTCAACATGGCTAGGCAATGATACCAAGTTGTTTGGTCAAACACTAGTCTAGGTGTGGCTGTGAAAATATTTTTAGATGTAATTAATGTTTACATTAACAGACTGAGTAAAACAGTTTACCCTACATAATGTGGATAAGTCTCATCCCATCTGTCAAAGGCCCTAAGAGAAAAGACTGAGGTCCCCTGAAGAAGAAGGAATTCTGTCTCTGATCTTCCTTTAGACTCAAGACTATAAAATCAAATTTTCCCTGGGTCTCCAGCTTACTGGTCTCAGATTTGCTAGCCTCCACAATCAAATGAGACAATTCCTTCAAATAAGTATCTATTTATCCATCCTATTGGTCTTGTTGTTCTGGAGAACCCTCAATAAAACAGGTATCAACCATAATTTGATACAGTTTAAAGTGAAAAGCGATAAACAATAGTAGAGGAGCAGGAAATAATATTGTTTCTGAGATATGGAAGATAAATTTGAGTAAGAGGACTTAAGATTGCACTTTGCAGATACATATTGTAGCCCAGGTCCTGTCCACCAATTAGGAGAGACAGTTGACTCTATCCAATGAGGTCAGAGCATCCCCAAATCCACCTAAGACAAGGACCACATCCAAATCAGTTCAGGTAAAGGTTTAATGGACCATTCTCATCACAGGGCTTCTGTGATTAATTCTTTGGACAAAATGTGTACAGCTAGATTCACTGTGTTTCATTCTTTGTTATTCATTACCATTCCCAAAGTGTAGCACCATCTTACTGTACACTAAATGTCTGTATTCTCACTTCCATTATGCTTTACACTTTCTTTTTCACTGAACAAACCTCACATTGCATACTTGTCACCCGGTTATATCCAGGTCAGATGTCACTGAGATATGTTCCTAAGCACCTTTACATCCTTTATTTTAACATCTGTTATACTACTTTGTCATCACTATTTACTTGTATATATCTTACACTGGATTGTAAACTCCATGAGACCAGGCAGTGTTTAGCAGCACCCTGATAAGCACTTGACAGATGTTTGTTTTATGATAGAATAAATGAAATGAATGAACAAAGTTTTAATAAATCCATCAGTACTTCTATAAGAAAAGTTGTAACAGGAAATGGAAAGTATACTCATATCAGTAAAACTCTATAACAGTTTAATTATAAAATATGAATTACAATGAAGTAGACAGAAAATGGGATATTACAAAGCAAGCTTGTCCAACCTTTGGCCCAACACAAATTTGTAAACTTTCTTAAAATATTATGAGATATTTTTGTGAATTTGTTTAGCTCATTAGCTACCATTAGTGTATTTTATGTGTGGCCTAAGACAATTCTTCTTCCAGTGTGGTCCAGGGAAGCCAAAAGATTGGACACTCTTTCTATAAAGGAATCATCCAAGAACCTGGACCTTTCAACAGAAGATTTGTTGCCAACCTAGACCTAAAGCAAGAAGGTAAGGGAGAGATTGCTAGAACCTAGATACAAAGAGACTCAGGGGTAGAACAGGTCACAATATGAGGAATAGTGAACATATTCATCAATGGACACAACTGGCCCAAGACTACCTCCTAGGGAGGAAACTTGGGAAATAATGTCTTGATTTGTTTCCTCCCTCCTTCTAGTATTTTCTTGGGGAATCCCATTGGCTGGAACCATGAGAACCTATTGATACCTTCCATACAGGTCAACTCCTGCAGCAGACAGCAAGGTAGAAATAAGTCAAAAATGTATCTGAGAGGAAAGCAGATATCTATCTGGTTTAATGCCATTTACAACTGAGAATTGGATCTTTTAGCACTCAATAAACAAAGTTTCTCAAATGTTTCCTCATATTTTCTGCTAGAAATGCCTTTGTCTTCTTTCCAACAAAGAAATGGTTTAATCCTTCAAAGCCTGAGTCAGAAATATCCTTCCCAGTATCTTCTCCAGTCCTCTTCCAGATAATATTAATTGTAATATATACAAATGATGCCATAGCATCTTTCTAGAATAATTATGGTGGCAGTAATGGTGGAAATAATCACAGTAGTTAACACTTATTTAAAATGTATTATGTGCTGGGCACTTTTTTGCTTTACGTATATATACATACGTGATCTTATTTAATCTTTAATTTACAATCCATGGGACATATCCACATTTCACAAATAAGGAAACTGAAGACAAGAATCTAATTTACTAAACTTAATCCTTTAAATAATGTAGATGATAAAATCAGAATGTGAATCTCTCTCTCTCTCTCTCTGTCTCTCTCACTTATTCCAAAAGCCTGTGCCTTTTAACAGCTCACTGTTACTGCCATGAGTTGTGTGGCTACATACTAGGCTAATAGGTTCACATGAGAAGGGGCCATGTCCTACTCATTTTGTAAACTGCAGTGTTTTGTGTAGTGTCTGCTCCATAACAGACATCCACAAATGTTCCTAGAATTAAATATGAATGGTATAGAGAAAACAAACAAAAAGAGATTATAGAATCAAAGCACATTTATCAACCGTAAATAATAGAAAAATACAAACTATAGAATGAAAGAAAAGCAGGCAAAAGCTAAGTACAAGAAACAGTCATTGCTCTTTTCCTAGACATGCAGTAGGTTTACTTTGATCCACTTCTCTCAGCTGGATTCAAGTTAATATTTCTTTTCTACTCACTATTTTGCTAAGAGCCATAAGATCAGCTTTTTTGAGTTTGAAACAGCCAGTCTCCCTTTTCTTGGAACAGTCTTCTCCTGAAGCAAAACCTCTCTTTTGGAGCAAAGCTTCCCTCCTAGGTTTCTTTGTTCTGCCAGTGCCGAGTCTCTTTGAGCCTCTCTCTGCAGCAGGTCTGGAACCAATACTTCCCCATTCTTTTGAAAGGCTTAGCAAGTTGTCTCTCTTCCGGGTTGCCCTTGCAGTGCTGGAGGCCTGTGCAGTCTCTGTCTAAACTCATTTCAGTAAAACCCCTCCAGAAAAAGCTAGTTGCATATTTAAGCTGGTTAACTTTTTTTTTTTTTTTTTTTTTTGAGGGGGAGTCTCACTCTGTCGCAAGGCTGGAGTGTAGTGGCTCGATCTTGGCTCACTGCAACCTCCACTTCCTAGGTTTAAGCGATTCTTCTGCCTCAGCCTCCTGAATAGCTGGGATTACAGGCGTGCACCACCACACCAGGTTAATTTTTGTATTTTCAGTAGTGAAGTGGTTTCAGAATGTTGGCCAGGATGGTCTCAATCTCCTGACCTTGTGATCTGCCTGCCTCAGCCTCCCAAAGTGCTGGGATGACAAGTGTGAGCCACTGCACCTGGCCTGGCTAACTATTTTTGAAGGTAGGAATATTTTGATATAGAACTAATATCTTACATAAAAAATAAATCACTTTACTACACACAACTTCTTCACAAGCAATGCAGATAGATACAGGACTCAACTTCAGTGATAGGTAGAAAATGAATCTAGTGATTACAAACTTAAAATTTGGAAAGGATTTTAGGCATCTTTCAGAGCAACTGCCTACTTAATGAAGAAATTTCTATTGCAGTAAACTAGGAGTTAGTTGTCCAGAACGAAAATCCTACTTTGAAAAAAAAAAAAAAAAAAAAGAGCCTGATTCTCTGTAGGCAGCTCTGTTAACAGAGTAGTTTTTAATTAAGCAAAAATCTCCCTCTCCTGAAATTTATTAATTATCTAAAATAACATTGACTAACCCTGCTCAATTCATGGGAAGTGTGCTAGATGCTGCATTATGTGTAATATTTATCTGCTAAAATGCTGTGCAGTAGCTCTACTCGATTTCCTATGTTGTCAGTTGAGTGGTCCAAAAGTGAACTTGGAGTAGAAGATGGTAGAGAGCCTGCTGGTGTGGGCAGTAGGATATGACATGTTAGAGGAGGACAAGGTGAGAAAGTGGAATAAGTTTTACATTATGGAAATAGAAAGCCAATGAAGAGCACATCAAAAAGAGGTAGGAGGAGAGAAGACATTTGGGTGTGGGTGATCATGGTTGGGGTTGGGTGTGAACTGGATGGTGAGAGGCAGATGCAATAAGCAAAATAAATTTTCCCAAGAGTTACAGATTAACAGGAGTAGAAGGTATGTTGGAATGGAAAGCAAAATACATTTCTATATAATTATAGGTCTTGAAATAGAAGCATTTCATAAATTTTCTCCATCTCTCTTTTACACATAATAACTGTTTTCCATTTGTTTAGTGGTGCTAGACCTACAGAGTGCCACTCCCTCATTTCTCACTCCTTCAACCCGCAAACATTATGGTTATTGGTGGAATCTGAAAGTAGCAGGGACAGCAGGGAGGAGACAGTACACCATGCTGTCTGCCCACCAGGATTGACCTGTCCCACGATCAGGCAGCTTTGTTTGATCTACTCAGTTATCATCGTCCTCCTTCATTATATAAACAGATGCATATAAAATGTTCTTATTGGCACCAAATCAAAGTGGCCTAAATAGATAGCAAGTAGTTTTATCTAATTCCTATCAGAAAAAAAATCCAGTGTTCAAAACCATTGTCATTATTTTTAATAAGTAGCCTCCTAGACTTAAAAAATATATATTCTAAATATTGGATAATCTCCCTAACAACATGAACATATACTGAAGTATTATTTATCTTTCTTTATTATCTATATTTATCTCACTATCTATTGATATTATATATCTAAAGAAATTTTCTGATCATATTATCCTTATTTATAACCCCAAACATGGACAAACTTATTAAAATATGTGTTTCTATACTTACATTTTATTATCCTTTCTCCAATTTCTCACTCTATTTTCCCCTCAACCTACTCCATTCAAACTACTTTAGTGAACCATTTTCATTGAGTTCACAGATGACAAAAATGAATGCCTCTTTTTGTTTCTTAAGTTTATTTTAAACATAGTAAGTACTATTGCTATGACACTCAAAAATGTACAAAAAGGGTCAAAATAAAATTTCCTCCCTACCTCTGCACGTACCGTTCAGTTCTCCTCCCTAGAATAAATTACTATGCAGGTTTTTAGACATGCATCTGATGATATTTAATACTCATACAGAGATTTTCTTTTTACATTTTGCTTTAATGCTAGCTTGCACTCTTCTGTCCATTTCTTTTTTAACCTATTATATGCTATGATCTAAGTGTTTGTGTCCTTTCAAAATTCGTGTATTGAAATCCTAACCCCTATTAAGAGGTAGAACATTTGGAAAGTGATGGTCATGCTTTTGTAAATAGAATTAGAGCCCTTAAAAAGTGGCCTGAGAAAGACTCCTTACCCCTTCCATCGTGTGAGGTCACAGCAAGAAAGCACCATCTATGAACCAGGAAGTGGGCCTCACCTGACACCAAACCTTCCTGCACCTTGATTTTGGATTTTTCGGGCTCTAGAATTCTGAGAAATAAATTTATGCTCTTCGTAAGTTACCCAGTTTATAATATTTTATTATAGAAGACTGAACAGACTAAGACATATATCTTCAACATTATTTCATATAAATACATAAAACAAAATTTCCTATACTTTTCCTCTTCCATTGTGTAATTTTATTATTTATTTAATAAGTCCACCATTGATAAACATTTTACTATTTTCAATCTTTTGCTATTACCAATTATGCTACAATGAATAACTTGTACACATGTCATTTAAAACATGTTGGAGTTTACAGGATAATTTTTTTGAAATTGAATTGCCAGGTTAAAGAATGTATTTATTTTTATCTTTGCAATATACTGCTAAATTGCACTTCATATAAACCATACCAATTTATACTGTTTCCCAATACTTTTGTCAGTATAGTGTGTTGTCGATCTTTAGATGTTTACCAGTCTAAGAAATGGCTCAGACCTGTAATCCCAGCACTTTGGGAGGCCGAGGTGGGTGGATCACGAGATCAGGAGTTCAAGACCAGCCTGACCAAGATAGTGAAACCCCGTCTCTTCTAAAAATACAAAAATTAGCCGGGTGTGGTGGAGGGCGCCTGTATGTGTGTGTTCCTGGTAACTTGCAAGACTTTTTTTTCTAGTTAAAAGGAAGAATGATTTTCAAGTGGTTATTTCCACCATTATGATTTAACATAAGGACTACAAAGTTTATCAGAGTTGTACACTTAAATAATTACTTATGGCCAGGAGTGGTGGCTCACACCTGTAATACCAGCACTTTGGAAGGCCGAGGCAGGCAGATCACCTGAGGTCAGGAGTTCGAGACCAGCCTGGCCAACATGGTGAAAACTTGTCTCTACTAAAAATACAAAAATTAGCCAGGCATGGTGGTGCACACCTGTAATCCCAGCTACTTGGAGGCTGAGACAGGATAACCGCTTGAACTCAGGAGTTGGAGGTTGCAGTGAGCAGAGATCACACCACTGCACTCCAGCCTGGGTGACAGAGTGAGACTCTGTCTCAAAAAAAAAAAAATTACTTACATAGTTCCTTCTGACATACTTCACAACCAGTGATGAAAGTATATAGAATAAGTTTTCTTTTTTCCCAATTTCTCTCTCCTTCATCATCAATTTTAGCAGATTATATTACCTTTATTAGTATTTAACATTTTACTATTAAATATCTTTGTATTTCTATTACTAGTTTATCAGTTTTAAGGGTGTATTGTATTTCATGGCTATTTTATTTATAGCCATGGAATAAAATCAACGATCACATTTACCTTTTTTTCTGTATACTATCACTTTCTTCCCAAGTTTTCTTAGTTATATAAGTTATTTATTGTCAAGATTTATGACAATTACACTCTATTCTATAACTATAAACTTCACATTTTTGATTATTAATTCTATAATCCTAATATTCTGAATCTTCCAATTGTAGCCCTACAGTCATAGCCCTACAGTTCTAACATCGGAATCTTGTATTCCTGATGCTTTTCAGGAAGTCTTTCTATTCATTTCTTGATTATCTGAATATCAACCTCTAGTAATGTCTTCAAAAAGATTTCATTGTAATTACATTATCTGTGGTCTTGCATGTTATAAAACGTATGTTGCCTTTATCGTAGAAAAGAGGTGCTGCTATGCTGTCTTCTAGCATTGAATATTGCTGTGGAGAAGTCTGGTTATGGTGAAACCATCAGAAAACATAGAACGATTTAGGCTAGATTGCAGAAAAACAATAGATATTAACATTCCTATGTATTTGGGAATACAGACTGTCTATGGGACTGTTTTTGTTGCTGCTGTTATTGTCAAAATATTTACTCTTATATCATGCTTTCATGAAAATTGGCATGCATTAAATATACTGTTCAATACCAAAAAGCAAATGTTAAGCAATGGGTACTACAGCATTACACATTTAACATTTGGAAAAACAAAAACCAAAAAGAAAAAAAATCCATTCTCATTAAAGACTTAAGTGTAAAACCCAAAACTATAAAAATCCTAGAAGAAAATCTAGGCATCAGCATTTAGGACATATGCATGGGCAAAGATTTCATGATGAAAATGTCAAAAGCAATTGCAACAAAAGCAAAAATTGACAAATAGGATTTAATTAAACTAAAGAGCTTCTGCACAGCAAAAGAAACTATCATCGGAGTGAACAGACAAACTACAGAACAGGAGAAATTTTTTGCAACTTATCCATCTGACAAAGGTCTAATATCCAGAGTCTACAAGGAACTTAAACAAATTTACATGTAAAAAACAAACGATCCCATTAGAAACTGGGCAAAGGAGATGAACAGACATTTCTCAAAAGAAAACATTTATGCGGCCAACCAACATGAAAAAAAGCTCAACATCACTGACCATTAGAGAAATGCAAATCAAAACCAGAATGATGTACGATCTCATGCCATTCAGAATGACGATTACTAAAAAGTCAAGAAAAAACAGATGTTGGCAGGGCTGCAGAGAAATAGGAATGCTTTTACACAGTTGGTGGGAAAGCAAATTAGTTCAACCATTGTGGAAGACAGTGTGGCAATTCCTCAAAGACCTAGAAACAGAAATACCATTTGACCCAGCAATCCCATTACTGGTATACCCAAAGGAATGTAAATTATTCTATTATAAAGATATATGCATGTGTATGTTCATTGCAGCACTATTCACAATAGCAAAGACATGGAATCAACCCAAATGTCCATAAATGATAGACTGGATAAAGAAAATGTGGTACATATACACCAGGGAATACTATGCAACCACAAAAAGGAATGAGATCATGTTCTTTCCAGGAACATGGATGGAGCTGGAAGCCATTATCCTCAGCAAACTAATGCAGGAACAGAAAACCAAACACCATATATTCTTACTCATAAGTGGGAACTGAACAATGAGAACACATGGTCACAGGGAGAGAAACAACACAGTGTGAGTCCTGTCCAGGGATGGGAGGGAGGGAGAGCATCAAGAAAAATAGCTGATGTATGCTGGGTTTAATAGCTAGGTGATGGGTTGATAGGCACAGCTGGCCACCATGGCATACTTTTACCTATGTAACAAGCCTGCACATCCTGCACATATACCCCAGAACTTAATATAAAATAAAATTTATAAAATTAATCCTCTGTACTGTAGAATTCTTGCTGTTAAACCCAGTGATATCTAACTTGAGTTTTCTGTCACAAAGATTGCACAAGCAGCCCGTAGTCTGCCCTGAATTAAGCTATAATTCTGGCATAATAAGGTCATACTTTTCTTCTACTGAAAATCAGAGAGTGCTAAACATTTCTAACATCTCTCAGTTTATTTCTTCCCCTAATTCACTTGCTGCATTACTTTATTTTGTTTTAGTGAGTCAGTAGAGATCTTTCCTTTAATCACCAAGAAAATCATTTTGTGTTCTAGTATATCCAAAACTTATTTTACTAAGTAGTAAGTGCCTGGCATCATACTAAGCCTTTTAATACACTTTATAGTTAAATAGCATATTTAATCCCAACAATAAAAATAAGGTAAGTACTGTCAATATACACATTTTACAGAAAAGAAAATTGAGTACCACAAAGTTTAATTAAGTAGCTCACCTAAGATCAAGCAGCTAGACAATACAGAGCCATAATTAAGCCTGGCATTCTGATTCCAGAACCCAAGTGCTTTAAACTTCACTGCTATTTGAACACAGTCACCAGCTAGCATCTGGGATTACAGTGTTACTAATGTACTTTTCATCATGTATACTTTTGATATCATTGAGAGAGGGATGTTGTGGCTTATCATTGGACCCACAGATTTCCTCATTCTGGTGCATATTTATACCAGATATAATTGTTAACCCAGAAAAATGGGTGCATTTCAGTCAAAACAGTTATTCGGTGTTTGCTATTGTTTGAAATTTTCACTTTTCAACTCATTGGGTGTTAGTATCTCATGGGAGGTTATTCAAGAATAAAAGGTGAACACACACACACACACACACACACACACACACACCCCTCACTATACAGGCAGATTTTGATTTTGAGAATGGTGCTATAAATTTCAGGACTGTGCAAGGCTCCTTTATGCTTTAGATTATGTGTTAAGCCTCATTGTTTACTTATGTTTACCTCTTGCCTGTGCCCTTTGAGAAACAGTAGTTACAGCATAATTATCACATTCTCCTGCTTTTCAACTTTTGGCATGATGAAGTTGTAGTGAGTGCACTTTCTTCCGGGAGAATAAAACTTTTGCCTCTTCTCTTGCAATTTGAAAAAAAAAAAAAACTAAATACAAGCAAAACAAAGCAGAGGGAAAAAATTGAGCGAGTTGCTCTTGCTCTGAAAAATATGCTCCAATAGAGAATTTTTTAATTTTAAAAAAATTGTTATCAGGTGAAAATAACACACTTGAGTAAACATTTATGTATATTTTCATAGTGTTCTGGCTTATTCCCCTTCATGTACCTTGCAGGCAGTTAAAAAAAACTATAAATCATAAATAAGGAATAAAATAAACTCCATGAAAGTCTCTGATTACTCCATGACTGAAATCCAGCTTAGCAATCATTTCCTTTTCTTCTCAGTATATTTCTATAAACAATCCAAAGCAAACCTGTAGGATTTATAAAATGCATTTGATATAAGTGAAAGTAGAACTATCACAGCACTAGCAAGAAATTAATTCGTATTTCCCTCTGGAAAAAAAAAAAGGTGTGCTGGAAACACAACATATCTTAAGGAGAAACACCATGGAAGAATTTAAAATAGCTTGAGATAAATGACATAGAGTGTTTCTAGGGCTATGAAATAAACTAGACAATCATGAACTAAACATTTTAACATTCTTTTCTACCATTGATTCTTGTGTAAACGTGGGGATATCATTTTACTCTGGTGTCTTTAATGATAAAAGTGATTAAATGAGCAAGAGCCACACAAACTGAAGGACTGACAAAAATTAATCTATCAGACACCGAAATGTGTAGTTTTGTCTGAGAAAGGCATCCTGAAAATAGTCTATCACAGCTATAGAGCCTTCATATCCTAACTGGAACCACCAAAGATCATACAATAGAACCTAATTCTTTCCTTCATTTAGATTTACTCAAAATAGTTACTTTATTATTCTTATTTATCCTAGTTTAACAGAGAAAAGTCTAGATTCCTTCTGTTAGAGAATCTTCTAGATATCTTTACTTCTACATAATTTTTCTATGACTAAACCTACATACATCTCATCCATTATGGATATTCACTCTCCAAATGTAATACAAAAAAAACAAGTGATTTGTAAATCACGACTCTGGATTATAACCTTATAAAAACTTTATTGAATATTAATCAAATATACATATAATTTTAAGTGTATTAGAAATACATAAGAATGCCTGATAATGCAAGATGATCCTGATGCTTGTAGAAATATTATTTCAAATAAAATGTAGTCATTGCCAAAAAAGTATTTTAGAAGTAACCTAATACTGGCTCTATTTTTAAAAAGTAAGGTGAGACGTCATGAGTGAGTTCACAGAAAAGTGGAAACTAATATCTATTTTTCTCAAATGTGTGAGACAAAGCCACCAGAAACTATGTTCGTGGCTAAGATTAGCCATTGTAATAAGGCACAAGGTAATACTGTTATATGCTGTCACCGTGTTCCAATATATAATATGTTCTAATTCAGTAGCTTTTAAAAGTTGGGAGTCATCCAAGCAATACTTTTTTGTCTATGTATGTGATGCTAAACAACTTGTTTTGTAGACTTAGAAATTTTTTTTTTTTTTTTTTGAGACAGAGTCTTGCTCTGTCACACAGGCTGGAGTGCAGTGGTGCAATCTCAGCTCACTCCAACCTCCACCTCCCAGGTTCAAGCGATTCTCCTGCCTCAGCCTCCCAAGTAGCTGGGACTACAGGCGCGTGTCACCAGGCCTGGCTAATTTTTTGTGTTTTTAGTAGAGATGGGGTTTCACCGTGTTAGCCAGGCTAGAGTGCATAGCAGTATTATTCACAACAGCCAAAAAGTAGGAGAAACCCGTTTCTATCCAGCAAAATGTGGTATATACCTACAATGGAATGCTATTCAATCTTAGAAAGAAAATTCTGACATATGCTATAACAGGATAAACCTTAAGGACATTATTCTAAGTGAAATAAGATAGCCACAAAATGTCAAATCCATTTATGTGAGATAGCTAGAGTCGTTAAATTTACAGAGACAGAAAGCAGAATGGTGGTTGCTAGAGACTGGGGGCAGGAGAAAATGGGGAGTTATTTAATGGGTATAGAGTTTCATTTTTGCAAGATAAAAAGAGTTCTGGAAATTGGTTGCACAATAATGCGAATGGACTTAATACTATTGAACTGTATACTTAAAAATGATTAAGATGGTAAATTTATGTTATTTATATTTTATCACAATTAAAAATAAAAATAGAAAAAATTAAAATTTCAGTATAAACATGTATTCAGTTTTTGGTAAATAGACTTTCTCTGAACTATGCTGCATTCTCATAAAGAGGTGGTCTGTCCCCTGCATTCATTCATGTTTACAAACTTTTATTAAAATGAAATGAATGGCACACATACAAGTGCAGCAAGGAGGTAGCTTCTCTCTACATTTAGAAAGTTCATATGTATCAAATTTAAGGTCAATATTTTTTTGCGTCATGTTGCAGAAATGCCCCTGCCCTTGTTCTTCCTCCAGTAATCACATTCTTATAATTATAGTGAATTTGAATGGAAGACACCTTAGAGATCAGCTAGTTTTTCCTCTCTCCACTCTTTTTGAGTGTCTCTTTGCTGCTGCTCCGTGATCAGTGCTTGAGATTCAGCTTTGAAAGGAGTCCTGCCTCCATCCAGACTCTTTTTTCCTCTCTGGCTGGTATTTAGGGTGTTGATGAATTTTCCCATCCTCAAAGACAGAAGAAAAGAGAGGTAATAGCATGATAAAAGGAGATTGGATATGAAAGCCAGAATATAGGACTCAGAAAGAAATTGTCAGGTAATTGTTCTTTTGTTTCAGAGTCATACAGAATTATTGTAAATAGCAGAAAAGCAATAGAAAAGAGGTATATGTTTATGTTTCTCCTGTCACCACTACAAATGCCCTGCTGATGTTAAAAGGACTAAGAGAAAAACATTAAAAGAATTATTGAGACAGGTCATATTCTTCAAAGAAAGGTACACAAACACAGAGAAAATAGGATTCATACAAGATATTATGTATCACACAAGGTAAATGGCATTGGATAAGAGTGTAAGCAGCCAGGGTAAGCTTCTGCCCCTTTGCATATTAAGAAAACAAAAGTTCCAATCTAAGTAACATGTGGACAGCAAAAATATTACTGCATATAAGCACCTGTCATGGGATAGGTGAATGTTCCTATAGTTTCCTTTAAAATGTCATGCAAATATTAGTCCTGTTTTTTGTGAGTCCCCTTTCCCTGCCCTGTGTCACCTCTTCCCATAGCTCTACATTTAAAATTCATCTGGTAACTATTCTTACCCAAGATTTTCCTTACTGACATTTGGCCGCCTGCATGCCTCTAAGTGAAAATGCGAACTTAGCACTGCATGGGTTTGTACAGATTCTCTGCTTGAGTCGCTAGTCCCTGTATCGTTGTCTCTCTCTCTCTCTTTCTCCCTTCACCCGCACTCTCTCTGTGCATGTCTCTCTCTTGTTCTCTCTTTATCCACTCAACCTGAACTCTTCCAAGTCCTAGGCTTTATTACTGACATTTTGTCGCTACCTCAGAATGTATACCTGAGTCTTCATGTTCTCAAAATTATACATCTTGCCATATTAGATATTCTTTGCTCTCCTACAATTGCTCTCCAACTGCTTTCCACTTACCTAAATGAGTTTGTCTTTGTTTACTGTTCAACTCTCTGAAGCTCATGTCATCATGACTTTAGTCAGTTGGAGGATTGTCATTTACAAGTCAAGAAGCCAGTAGAATCCGTTAGGAATTTTGTTTTTATTATTGTTTTCATTTCCCCTTCTCTTCCTCCACATAAGATATGGAAGCTTATACTAGAAAAAGAAGTTTTGCAAACAGGTAACACGCATTCCTAACTAGTAGATCTGTGCCATTCTTCTCGTCCCCTTTATAGTGCATTTTCTCCTTTTCTTTTACCTGACATGGTCTTCAAATAATTTCACACTGTTGCTTTTCCATACACCAGCCATGGGAGACTGTCCCAAGGTTTACAACAATCTCTTATACGGCAGGATATTTATATTTTCTGATTTAAATGAAAGTTCCAGGGCCCCATTAGACACCAATAAGTCATTTTTAAAACACAAATTTTTATGTATAACACATACAGGCTTTGTTCTTCAACTCCAGTTCCACTGTCTATTGCTATTATGGGACTAATCTCAAGAAGTAGCTGTTTAAGACTTAAACAAGAACGTCTTGAGAGTAAAATATCAACCTCTCTAATAATTAAGGAGCCAGGATTCACTCTCCCTAGAACAAGTCCGGAAGATTTAGGGTCAGGCTGAAGCAACAGGGACAGTTGTTACAGCTTTTCTCTCTAGGATGTTATGACCATAGGTCAGTTGGTGAACTCTCTGGCCTCTATAGCTTCACCTGCTTTATGAAGTTTATAGTTATAAGGTGTCATATTCTAGGGAGAATTTATAATTCCAGTGAAAGAAATAGGTGCATCACCAGCTTTGTAGACTGGGCACATTATATCAAGTGTTTTTTAAGCATAATTATGCTTCAATGCATATGTCTGTGTCTTGCAGTGTGCATAGTTACTATAATTTGAATTGTACTATATATCTATATAGGTCAATTGATACATAGGTATTGGCAAAAATAAAATAAATGTCCTCATTCATATGCCATTCAAGGCCACCATTCTTTCAACATAAATGAGTCTTATGCCTTGGAAAGTATAATACAAATCCTCTTAGAGTCTGATGTTTTCTCTTGCTTGTCCCTTTGGCCCAAGTCCAATCCCATAAAATAGTCATCAAAACATAATAAGCTACAATGCTAGGCCGTATTCAGAATATTATAAGATTTTATTCGAGAGTTCTAATTTCTCTGCAGTCACACTTCGTACACACACATTATTTTCAAAATTAGTGGTAACCCTGGGAAAGAAAAATGTATTATTGGAGAGATTTAGATGGATGTTAGGAATAGCATAATGATGCTAGCATAGTCAAATTCTTCTAGAAACAGAATGGACAACTTCAATTTAATTTCACTCATTTCAAAATAACCTTATATTAATCTCTAAATGTTCAGTTCAGTCATATAGCAACTAATCTCGAAATGCTCGACCTCATGAAGTTTTCAATTAAAAGAACTTCCCTTTTTCTTTTTGTTACTGAAAAAATCTCATAATTTCAAGTTTCCCCAGGCTTACTACAAATTCTGCAGTACAGTATGCATACTGAGTGCTGATGCAGAGGGATTAGAGCTCTGAATTGCTAGTAGTTACCAAGTTGTGCTTTGCCTTTCACATAATACCCTTTCAATAAATGCTTCTTGTTAAATTATACTGTGCACATATACTATTCCAAAAACTGGAATAATGGGAAAATTTTAAAATGCACATATTTAATTATTAACACACATAACGCATTGGCTCACACTAGCACTTTGGGAAGCTGAGGCGGGTGGATCATGAGGTCAAGAGATCAAGACCATCCTGGCCAACACGGTGAAACCCTGTCTCTACTAAAAATACAAAAATTAGCTGGGCATGGTGGCGCGCGCCTGTAGTCCCAGCTAGGAGGCTGAGGCAGGAGAATCACTTGAACCTGGGAGGCGGAGGTTGCAGTGAGCCGAGATCACGCCACTGCACTCCAGCCTGGGCGACAGAGAGAGACTCAGTCTCAAAAAAAAAAAAAATTAAAAATTTATACAAGAACTAATTTAATATTTGAATCACATTTATGGTTTTGTTAATTTTTATAACAGGTTCTGTCTAATGTTGCATAAGGATTAAGAATATAAACTTTGAGGTCAGACATAGCAAGATATGAAAACAGCCCTGACACTGCTTATTCACTATGAGTATATTAAACATCTTCAATCCTCCAACTTTTATTTTTCTGTCTCTAAAGTGAGAATAACAATATGATATATCAGGTTTAATTTTGTAAATGTCAAACTGGATTAGGTATGTAAGGCCTCCAGTTAACTATATTTTATGTGGTAAGATCCAAATTATCATCACATATATATTTATAATATATATTATATAAGAGCCCAAGTATTATATAACTTTTTAAAATTTCTTTGTTCTTTTTCCCTTGTCTTTGTGTCGTAAAAATTACTAAGAAACTCTAGAATAGATACTTTTGACATTTTTCATGCTAATAAGCACTTGAATTTATCAAGAAAATCTGACAGAGGCTTCCATTCCTCTAAGGCATGCTGTTGGAACCATAGGAAGATGCCATGAAATCTCAACAATATTAAACACATAATCAAAACCAGAAACTCTTTAACTTTTTAGAAAAGTATTGACATCATCTTAGAGTTTGCATGTAAAAGACAATACAGTATAGTAAAAAGAATACAGTTTGGGATTAACATAGGCTAAGTTTTAAATATCAATTTCAGCAAGAAGTATATGCTTTGAAAAATTAGCTAAGTCTGTTTCTTCACTAGTTAAATGTGGAAGACAATTATATCTCATTAACTGATATCCAGATTAAATGTAGGCTTTTAGTAAAGTGTCTGGCACTTAGTAGATATTCAATAAAGATAGCTACTAATATAATAGTATTATACGTAAGAAAAGAGATATTAAAAAGAATATTTCAAGCTACTTGGAGTAATGGTATATATGGTTTCATGATAATACCTAAAAGATAATAAAAGATAAAAGCATTAAAATAAGTAAAACAATTCCTACATTTATTTTAAAAAAAAAAGAACAACTAAGAAAAACAGTAAAAGCAGGAAGTCTTGGTAGAATTTCATTTTCCTAGTATGCCAACAAGAAATAAATTCAGTAGCATATAACTGCAAATAGAGAATTATGGTCATATATGTTAAAAGAGTAATGATGTAGATATTAAAGTTAGAATGAACTTAGACTCGCAAAAAAAAAAAAAAAAAAAAAAAACCGTTAAGGACCCAGAATGATTTGTGTGAGCATGTGTGTATATGTGGATTTATGCGTGGTTTCCAAATAGGAAGCAACTCCCTGATGGCTAACTGCCTGGAAAAGTTCAATGGCAGAAAACTAACCTCTCCAACTGATTTATATCTTTTCAGTAAAGGCAAGTGACGTTTTAAATCAGGAGATTAGAATATCCAATACCAGAATTTTTAAAAGTCCTCACAATGTAGGAGAAGATTGAACAGAGCCTGAGAGACATATGGGACACTATGAAGCTCACCGGCATAAATGTAGCAGGGTTACCAGTTTGCTGATTTTTCTGCCTGATCAAACCTACTGCTGAGCCCCCTAGTGAAATTTTAAAACATTAGTTTTTACAAATATTTTTTCTTGCCCCTTCATCTCTCTTCTCCTTCTGTTACTCAAATATTGGTGCAATTTATAATGCCCCACATTTTTGCGAGGTTTTATTTTTTCTTTATTCTTTTTTCTGGTTTTTTTTTTTAAGGAAATTTCATTTTGTTGTTGTTGTTTTTTCAGACAGGGTCTCATTCTGTTCAACCAGGCTGGAGTACAGTGACACAATCTCGGCTCACTACAATCTCTGCCTCCTGCCAGGCTCTAGAGATCCTCCCACCTCAACCTCATGAGTGGCTGGGACTACAGGTGTGGGCCATGATGCCCAGGTAAATTTTGTATTTTTTGTATGTTTTGCCATGTTGTCCAGACTGGTCTCGAACTCCTAAACTTCATCAATGCACCCACCTGAGCCCCCCAAAGTGCTGGGATTACAGGCAAGAGCCACTGTACCCATCCTCTCTCTGCTCTTAAGACTGTATAATCTCTATTAATCTATATCAAATTTGCTGATTGTCTCTTTTGTCACCACAAACTATCATTGAGCACTTCAAGTGAATTTTTCATTTTGATTATGTATTTTTCAATTCCAGGATTTTCATCTGGTTATTTTTACAGTCTCTATATTGGCATTTCTATCAGATAAGATATAAACATCATACTTTAGTTTTTGAATGTGTTCTCATTTAAGTCTTTGAACATATTTTTAATAGCTGCTTTTAAAAAAATTAACAAAGTAGATCTTTTTATTTTTATTAATTGACAAATAAAAATTGTGTATATTTGTAATATACATCATGATATTTTAATATATGTCTACTGTGGAATGGCTAAATTAAGCTAATGAATATATCCATAATCTCACATACTTACCTTTTTATGGCAATGACATTTGAAATCTATTCTTTTAGCAATTTTCAAGTATACAAAACATTGTTATTAACTGTAGTCACTATATTGTTTAGCAGATATCCTGAACATATTTCTTTTGTATAACTGAAATTTTGTATCCTTTAAGCAACATTTCAGTCATTGGTAAGCACCATTCTACTATCCACCTCTATGAGATCAATTTTTATACACTCACACTTAAGTGAGATCATGTAGTATTTGTTTTTTGTGTGTCTGACTTATTTCATGTAACATAATGTCCTCCAGGTTCATTTATGTTGTGGCAATTGACAGGATTTCCTCCTTCTTTAAGGCTTAATAGTATTTCATTGTATGTATGTACTACATCACCTTTATCCATTCTTCCACTGTTGAACACTTAGGTTGACTCCAAATCTTGGCTCTTTTGAATAATGCTGCAATGAACATGGGTGTACAGATATTTCTCTGGAATACTAATTTCAATTCCTATGGATATATATATATACTCAGCAGGGGGTTGCTGAATCATATGATAGTTCTATTTTTAATCCAGTGGGATGCCTCCATACTGTTCTTCATAATGACCTTAATAAATTATATTCCCACCAAGAGTGGACAAGTGTTCTCTTTTTTCCATGCCCTCTCCAATACTTGTTCTCCAATGTCTTTATGATCATAGACATCCCAACAGATGTGAATTGATATCTCATCATGGTTTTAGTATGTACTTCCATGATGATTAGTGGTGTTGAGCATTTTTTCATAAACCTTTTGGCCACTTGTGTGTCTTCTTTTGAGAAATGTTTATTCAGGTACTTTGCCCATTTTTTAATTGGGTTATTTGTTTTTTGCTATGAGTTGAGTTTCTTCTTATATATTTTGGATATTAACTCCTTATTAGATGTGTGTGGTTTAAGAATATTTTCTCCCATTCTGTAGGTTGTCTCTTCAGTTCGTTGATTGTTTCCTTTGGTGGATAGAAGATTTTTAGTTTGACACAATTTTATTTGGTGATTCCCTGCTTCTCTTGACCATGCTTTTGGAATCATGTTGAAAAATATTGTTGTTCAGATGTCATGGAATTTTCCTCTGTTTACTTCTACATTTAAATGTAACATATGAACCTGTAAAACATATCCATTTTGAGTTGATTTTTGTGCATCGAGTGGTATAATGGTCTAATTTCATTCTTCTGCATGTGGATATCCAGTGTTCCCACCACAATTTATTGTCCTTTCTTCACTGTGTGTTCTTGGTGACCTTGTTGCAAATCTGATGACTACAAACTTGTGGATTTATTTGTCGGTGCTCTATTTTGTTCCACTGGTCTCTGTGTTTCTTTTTTCGGTCAGTACCATGTTCTTTTGATTACTATATCTCTATAGTAAGTTTTGAGATCAGGTAGTGTGATTCCTCCACCTTTACTCTTTTTATAAAAGATTGCTTTGGCTACTAAGGGTCTTTTGTAGTGCCATACAAATTTTAGGATTATTTTTTCTTTATCTCTGACAACTTACCTTCGAATTTTATTAAGGATTACACTGGATCTGTAGATCATTTTGGATTGTATGGACATTTAACCAATATTAATTCTTTCAATCCATGAACACATGATATCTTTGTATTTATTTCTTCTTCAGTTTATTAATTTTTAAAATAATTTCTACTTTTATTTTAGATTCAGGGGTAGATGTGCAGGTTTGCTATGTGGGTACATTGTGTGATGTTGAGGTTTGGGATATGATAGATCCTGTAACTCATGTAGTGAGCATAGTACCCAATAGTTAGATTTTCAACACTTGTCACTCTCCCTCCCTTCCTGATCTAGGAGCTCCCAGTGTACATTGTTGCCATCTTTATGTCCATGATTACCCAATGCTTAGCTCCCACTTATAAGTCAGGCCATGCAGAATTTTGTTTTCTTTTCCTGAATTAATTCACTTGGAATGCATCCATGTTCCACTCCAGCTGCATGTTCCACTCCACATTGCTTCGAAGAACATGATTTCATTCTTTTTTATGGCTGTGTGGTATTTAATAGTGTATGTGTACCACATTTTCTTTATCCAATCCACCATCTATGGGCACCTAGATTTATTCCATGTCTTTGCTAGTGTGAGTAGTGCTGCAATAAACATATGAATGTCTGTGTCTTTTTGGTAAAATAATTTATTATTACTATTGGATATATACCCAGAAGTGGAATTGCTGGGTTGAATGGTAGTTCTGTTGTAACTTCTTTAAGAAATCTCCAAACTGCTTTTCACAGGGACCAAACTGATTTACATTCCCACCAACTGTATAAACATTCCCTTTTCTCTACAGCCTCACCAACATCTGCTGTTTTTTAATGCTGGGTGATGCTGGTATCAGGCTTCATAGAATGATTTAGTAAGAAGTCCCTTCTTTATTTTCTGGAATAGTTTCAGTAGAATTGGTACCAGCTTCTCTTTGTACATCTCTACCAGACTTTGGCTTTGAATTCATTTGGTCTAGTGCTTTTATTAGTTGGTAGGTCTTTTATTACTGATTCAATTTTGAAACTCAGTATTGGTCTATACTGAAAACCTGCATTCAGTATAGGGTTTCCATTTCTTCTCATTCAATCTTGGAAGATCGTGTGTTTCCAGGAATTTATTCGTGTTTAGTTTGTGTGCATAGAGGTGTTCGTCATAGTTTCTGAGGTTCTTTTTTGTTTCCGTGGAATCAGTTGTAATGACACTTTTGTCATTCCTAATTGTGCTTATTTACATCTCTTTTTTTTTTCTTTGTTATCTAGCTAGCAGTTTATCAATCTCATTTATGCTTTCAAGAAACCAAGTTTTGGTTTCATTAATTCTTTGTATGGGTCTCAAATTCATTCAGTTCTGCTCTGATTTTAGTTATTTCTTTTCTTCCGTTAGCGTTGGAATTAGTTTGTTCTTGTTGTTCTAGTTCCTCTAGGCATGTTTTTAGATTGTTATTTTGAGATCTTTCTTTTTTGAAGTGCGTGTTTAGTGCTACAAACTTTTTTCTTAACTTTGCTTTTGCTGCATCACAGAGATTTTGGTAGGTTGTGTCTCCGTTTTTAGTCATTTCAAATCATTTTTTGATTTCTGCTGTAACTTTGTTCTTTACCCAAAAGTCATTCAGGAACAAGTTGAGTTTATTTATTTATTTATTTTTGAGACGGAGTCTCGCCCAGTCGCCCAGGCTGGAGTGCAGTGGTGCGATCTCGGCTCACTGCAAGCTCTGCCTCCTGCGTTCACACCATTCTCCTGCCTCAGCCTCCCAAGTAGCTGGGACTACAGGTGCCCGCCACCACGCCCGGCTAATTTTTATTTTGTATTTTTAGTAGACACGGGGGTTCACCGTGTTAGCCAGGATGGTCTTGATCTCCTGACCTCGTGATCTGCCCGTCTCAGCCTCCCAAAGAGGTTTTTTTTTTTTTGAAAGATCTCTTTGGTATTAATTTCTATTTTTATTCCACTGTGGTGTAAGAGTATAATTGGTATAATTTGATTTTTTTGAATTTGTTGAGGTTTGCTTTATGGCTGAGCATGCAGTCAATCTTACAGTCTATTCTGTGTGTAGAAGGGAAGAATGTACATTCTGTGCTTGATCAATGGAGAGCTCTGTAGATGTCTATTAGGTCTGATTGCTCAAGTGTCTAATTCAATCCCAAATATCTTTGTTGATTTTCTACCTTAATGATCTCTTTAATGCTCTCAACAGCGTGTTGAAGTCCCCTACTTTTATTGTGTGGCTATCTAACTATTTCCCTTGGTCTAGAAGTACTTGTTTTATGAATCTAGGTGCTCCAATGTAGGGCACATATATATTTAATATAATTAAGTCTTGTTGAATTGAACCCTTTATTATTTAGTACTATTCTTTGTCCTTTTTTACTGTTGTTGGTTTAAGGTCTTTTACCTGATGTCAAAATAGTGATTTCACTCTTTTTTCCAGCTGCATGATAGATCTTTCTTCAACTCTTTCCTTTGAACCAGTGGGTGTCATTACATGTGAGATGAATCTCTTGAAGAGAGCAGACAAAAGGGTCTTCTTTATCATAACCAACTTGCCACTCCGTGTCTTTTATGTGGGGTATGTAGACCATTTATATTCAATATTAATACTAATATGTGAGGTTTTGATCCTACCATGAAGTTGTTAGCTGGTTGCTTTGTAGCTTGTATTCTGCAGTCCCTTTATAAGGTTTGGGGGCTATATACTTAAATGTGTTTTTGTGGTAGTAGGTATCGTTCCTGTTTCCATGCCTAGGACTCCCTTAAGGATCTCTTATAAGCTTCCCCTAGTGGTAACAAATTCCCTTAACACTTGCTTGTCTGGAAACAATTACTTTTTTCTCCTTTACTTTCACAGCTTAACTTGGCAGTGTGTGAAATTGTTTATTGGAATTCCTTTTATTAGAGAATGCTGGAAATAGGCCCCCAATCTGTCCTGGCCTGTAAGGTTTCTGCCAAGAAGGCTGATGTTATCCTGATGGGGTTCACTTTGTATGTGATCTAGCTACCTTTAAGATTTTTTCTTTAGCATCAATATTAGACAGTCTGGTAACTATAGGCCTTGGTGATATTCTTTTTGTATAGTGTCTCACAGGTGTTCTCCTCTGGAAATTTTGTATCTAAATGTTTACCTCTCTAGCAAAATTAGGAAATTTTTTTGAATTATTCCCTCAAATATGTTTTCTAGGTTGTTTACTTTTCTCTTTCTCTCTTAGTAGTGCCAATAATTCATAGGTTTGGTCACTTTCCATAATCCCATATTTCTTGAATATTGTGTTCACTTTTTTAACTTTTTTTTCTTTGTTTTTATCTGACTGGGTTAGTTCAGAAGACCTTTCTTCAAGCTCTGAAATTCATTCTTCTGCCTGGTCTAGTCTATTGATAAAGTTTTTTGTTTGTTTGTTTGTTTGTCTGTTTGTTTTTTGAGAAAGGGTCTCATTCTGTTGCCCAGACTGGCATGCAGTGGCATGATCACAGCTCACTGCAGCCTTGACCGGATCTCCCTGACCTCCCAGGATCAGGTGATTCTGCCACCTTAGTCTCTCATGTAGCTGGGACCACAGGCATATGCCACCACTCTTAGCTAATTTTTTTTTTTTTTTTTTTTTTGGAGAGACAAGGTTTTGTCATGTTGCCAAGGCTAGTCTCAAACTCCTGAGTTCAAGCAGTACACCCATCTTCGACCTCCCATAGTGTTGAGATTATAAGCCACCACGCCTGGCCAATTGTATTTTGAAATTCCTTAAATGAGACTTTCAATTTCAGAAGCTCTGATTGGTTTCTTTTTTTAAAGATGTTTGTCTCTTCCTTCATCTTCTGGATTGCTTTAGAAGTTTCTTTGTGTTGATTTTCAACTTTGCACTGGATTTCATTGAGCTTCTTTGCAATCCATGCTTTGAGTTCCTTATCTCATTTCCAAGTTCCCATTTTGGTTAGGGACCATTGCTGGAGAGCTAGTGTGATCCTTTGCTGGTGTCACTGCATTAAGATTTTTCATGGTGCCAGAATTCATGTGCTGGTTCCTTCTCATCAGTAGATGCTGGCACTTCTAATTTTTGTAATTACTTTCCGGCAAGTATGATTTTTTTTTCCTTCTTTTCCAATAAAGTTTTTTTCTTTCCCTTTCCCTTTCCCCTCCTCTTTAGAGAGTGGGACTGTAGACAATGTTTGGCGGTGTCTTTTGGCTTTGCTTATATAGCCCTATACACTTGTCAGCTTTATATTGGTCTGTGCAGTTTAACCTACAAGCCAGTAGATGGAGCTTAGAGGTAAGAGCCAGCTGTGGCCAATAGAACTGGGTATATACTTGATCCTTGTTTACTGGGATAAGCTCTCTGTTGCCCCAGGCAATAAGCTGATCTGTGAAGTGTACAGTGGTCTGAGCTCCCTGCTCAGCCCTAGGGGTTGGGGGACAAGGTAGGTGCTGCCAGATCAGGCAGATCCACCTCAGGTCCCCATATGGCTAGCACAAGCACCAGTGCCAAGAGACAATCCAGTGGGTGGCCAGCAAGGACCCAGAGGTGTGCCTAGGTGTGAAGCTGAGAAACTGCTTCAGCCACAAGTTTTCTGCAAGGGGAAGGGAAGCAGCCTAAACTCCTAATCCAGCAGAGTGAGTGTTCCAGATGCCAGAAAATCTGCCTGGGCATGGTGTATAGTGAACCCCATTGCACCACAATCTCTGCACAACAAGGGTTGGGTGGCTCAGGCTGCTGTTCCCAGTGAACAGGTGTTCTGGCTGCCTGGAGATCTGCCTGGGTGTGGAGTGTAGACGGCCCAACTTCACCAAGATCTCTACACAAGATGGGTAGAGTAGCTGAAGCTGCTGATCTGGGCAAGCAGACTTGCCCGGACTTCCTGGAGATCTGCCTGGGCACAGAACATAGTGGACCCCCTGCACCAAGATCTCTGCACAGAAGGGGTGGAGAAACTCAGGCTGCTTGCCCAAGTAAGTAGATGGTCCAAAAGCCTGGAGTTCTGCCTGGGGATGGCGCAGAGAGGGCCCCGCTGTATGACAATCTTAGGGGAGCAGGCTGGGGTACTCATCAGTGATACACACAGACCAGTTCCAGGTTGTCAAACTAGCCCTGGCGGCTAGCATCTTTGCCTAGAAGAAACCATAGCTCTAGGAGCTTTCCTCCTATCCTAGGCCTGCAACTGGGGAGAGCACAGTTCCAGTGCCTATTGCTGAGGTACTTTCCCTCCAGTCTGGCTGTGGAGGTCCCTATTTTTCTCCAGAACAAACAGTCCAGCCTCTGGCTCAAGACTAAAATGCTTGTATGGCCATGCTGCTGGGTCACCGGAGAATGGCTGACTCTGTATGTGCCCCAGTTATAAATGGTATCCTATCTCAGTCTCAGGTATGGGAAAATGCCTGCAGTTTTCCCCAGTGTCTTTCCCTCTCAGTGTCTCCAAGCCTCTCCCCAGATTAGTTCCAGGGCTTGGAAGAAGCAAAGTGCTCTCCCTCAGTCTGGGTTGCTTGTATCCCCTGTGGAAAAGTGAGTCAGAGAGGGAGGCTCTTTGTCTCTGACATGTACTGTTGTGTTAATTTTGACGCTATGTTTATAAGTGCATGCAAGTTATTGATTGTTATATCTACTTTTCAGGTTGTTCCTTTAAATGTCACCTATAATACCACTTCCTTTTCATACTGTTTTTAACTGTGGTTTATTATTTCAAATTACAAATATTATCACATGGTTTATTTTGATTAATAAAGAAATAATAGAGCCTTTTTTAATCATTTAATTTTAGTCTTTTTCATAGTCTCTTTTTATACTTACCTTTTCTTGAAACTCCTTTAGTATTTTGACTGTATTAATTTCTATTAAATTATTTTCCTCTCTCCTGATTTAGAAGCTATACAATTTAGCTACATTTACTTATGGTAATATTTTTTAAAAGTATGCAGAGTTAACTATGAATTAATGTTACATGTATCTACCTCTCTTCTGAATATAATAAGAAACTATGACAGGGCCTAACCTGTTATTGAACAAACTCATTCATTATGTTAATATTACTACTAGATATTAAATTTCTATTTAAAGGTGTTTGCAATTTCTTAATTAGTTTTCTTATATTACAGTATACAGTTAATTAAATTTACTAATTTTTAATCAAATATCTTGGTTCCCTATTTTTGTTATCAGTTCTTACATTTAACAGCAATTATATTGAGTATCTCTAGTTGATAAAGTTCTTACTTTTGGATATGTTATGGGTCTTTTTTCATCCACATTGTATTGTTTTAAATATATATAAGTTATATAATGAAATGTGTACATTTTCAATTTGAGTTTGATCTTGCAAAATCTAAGATGCTTTAAAAGGCAATCTGTCTTGGTCTAAATGTCACAATCATAATATATGGCATAAAAGTCTAGAAATGGCTACAAAAATATTTTCTCAAGGATATACTGCTTATATTCTATGGCAATGGCAATTCTGATTTGAGCTATGGATTATCAATTGTAAGAATCTCCAAAGGAGAATCTTTTGGCTGATTTAAATAAATCTAAAGAGTATATGTATGAATATGAATGCAATATGTTTTCTACAGCAAATATCTAGAAAGTTTCTTGTTTTACCTCCAATATTGGATGGTAGTTTAGTTGAGTATTAAAATATGTAACACACACACACACACACACACACACACACACACACACACACATAAATTTGTAAGTTATTTCTCCTCAACCTGTTAAAGATTCTTTTTAATTGCCTTCTGGTTTAGTTCATTTTAAACTGCAATAAACTAATATTTTTTATAAATAAATCTCAATTTCTAAGTAGTAGCACTAGTCATATGTTGAGTACCCAACAGCCATATGTGGTTAGTGACACTAGCAATGAAGACAAAACATGTTTGTTAGTGCAGAAAATGCTATTAGACAATGTTTCCCTGGAAGCATTTAATATTTTTGATTTATTGTTGTTATTCTTTAGTTTCACTCTAAATATGTCTAGTGTGAACTTATCTTTGTCTCAGATTATCATGCAAAATGTTCTCAGTGATACATATCTTTAATTCATGGAAATTCTTGGAGCTTTTTTCAAAGAACATATATAAAAATGTCTTCATTTTCCTTTTTTGAGAACTCCAATTAGATATATGTTTGAGCTACTAAGTCTAAACTTCATATTCTATAAATGGCCTTTTTTCCTCTTTGTCACTCAGTAGTGAAATTCACTTAAGTAGTCAGTCTTCAACTCTATTCAGTTTATAGTTTACACTTCATATAGATTTCCAAAATTTTAAAATGCTATACTTTCTATTTTTCAAGAATTATAATATTTTTCTCTCCTAATCTGTTTTATTTCTGCCTGCTTTGTTTTTAAATGTCTTGTTTTTGCTTAATAAACTGTACCAGAATACCATACCCTGCATGGCTTATAAAAAACACAAATGTATTTCTCACAATTCTGAAGGCTGGGAAGTCTAGGATCAAGGCCCTTTAATGAGTGGTGAGGGCCCATATTCTGTTTTATAAATGACTGTCTTCCTGCTGTGTTCTTATATCAGGGAAGAGGCAAAGGGGCTGTCTAGTGTCTCTTTTATAAAAGCATTTATCTCATTCATGAGGGCTCCAACCTCATAGCTTAATTACCTCCCTAGTGTCCCACCTCTAAATGCCATCACATTGGGAATTAGGTTTAAATATATTAAATTTGGGGGTACATAAAAGTTTAGTCCATGGCAAGCATCCTAAGATTATAATTTTAAAGGCTTTGTCAGATTTTCAGAAAGGTAAATTTCACCAGAAGTTAACTGATTTTCCAACCTTTTACTTTCTCCCATGTCCTTGTTAAGATTACATGCATTTGTAGATTCCACATATATTTTAGATGTTTGGGTTTCATTCATTTTATGTAGGATTCTAAAAAATTATTTGTGTTTTTTATTAGAGTATTCAGCTATAACCACAATCCTATTCAGTAATAAAATGCCACAAACCTCAGTGGCTTAAAATAACAATTATTCACGGATCTACAGGTCAGAAGTTGGGGATCCAGAATCTAAAACGTGTTTGGGCTTGGCCCTATGCTTACATTTTTCTCCATGTCTACCTCACATTTCTTTCCTTTTCCTTGGACCAGCAGGTAGGACCACACATGTCCTCATGGAAATGATGGAAGCTCAAAGACAGTCCAACCTAACAAGAACAGTTCATACTCTATCTTATCTGCCAATATTTCATTGGCCTAAAGAAAATCACAAAGCCATGCCCTATATGTAGGTGGTGGGGAGGTGAGGAAATATATTTCTTAAATGTTGTGAGAAAGGTAGTAAATATTATTAAAGAATAATGTAGTCTGCCAGTTCATTTGATTTCTATTTTTGTTTGTCTTTTCCTCTGGATCTGTAGTTTTGTGATTGCCTGATGCATTGGGCTCCCACTTCCTACTCAAGTTTTACAATGGCATTTTGGGGTTCCTGTTCTTGGTAGTATTGGTAATATTAGCAGAACCAGTCAGTGAGCCATTGAATGACTTGAATCAGTTTGTCATCCTGAGGCTCTGTCTTTCTCTTTCTGCCTCCCTAAGCCTAAAGCTTTCCATAAAGCCCTAACTATAAGCAGTAAGTCAGCAATTTCTTAGCCTCCTTTCATAAGCAGGAGTGCATTTCAGGCTCCAGAGTCTACTTACTCTGGCACATTTTGTACCTACTAAACTTCCAGCTGCTGCTGCCTTCATCTATACCAGAGGGCCTAGGATTCACCCTACTCACCACTTTATATGTATTTGATACCGAATCGCTTATGACATTTTAAGGCAAGCTATGTATTTGCAGTTTTATCCTTATTATTTCCTCTAGTATTATTATGTGTCTAAAGAATGGGGGAGGGGAATTGTATTTATGATAAATTATGTTATCCTCATTGAAACTCCAACTTAAAAAGAAAACCCTAATCTTACTTGATTTACTACTTATAGGTCTCCCTAGGACACAGATGATCAGTGTGAACGACAGGGTTACCAAGTAGAGAGAATCTGACACCACGATCCAAGTGTTGGGGCCAGGGAAAATCTGATAAGTGTATGTTCCCTTATAATTTGACTTCATCACCAATACAATGCCAATCCTCCTAGTTGGCTTAATTTTCTATTCTCAATTGAAAAATATCCTGCAGTTAAGTGTAGTATTTCTCAAAATGTAATCTTTAATAATATTTAAAAATGTGTGACTTGATTTTAATAATAATCATAAAAGTTAAAATAAGCATACTCTAAATTATACAACTACTTACTTTATAATTAAATACTGCCATGTGATTCCAATGGACATGTTTGCATGTATGTGTACAATTGTATATGTTTGCCAAGAAAAGTCCAAATGAAGTTGGACTAAATTTCTAAAGTAATTTAGATAGAAGAATTTGTAGAATAATTGAAGTATTACAGGCATATAGTTTTGTCAACAAGCAAAGATCAAAAGGACCTGCACATAGGACAATTAATCTTATTCTTGTAATTACCAACAATTCATTAGCACTTAGAATAGGAGAACTACTACGTAAACGTATTTTTCATTTCTGTTTGATACTAGCAATAAATAAAGTAGTACTTTATCTAATGTTATTTTCAATAATGCCCAAAGATTACCATATCTTCACATGAATGAGAATGCTTTACAACATTATCAAGTGATACATCATCAAAACTACTATGCAAGAATCTCTCAAAGATGAATTTAAATGGTACTGAAATATCCCTCTTCCTATGCCTTCTGTCTCAGTCCATTTGTGTTGCTATAAAGGAATATCTAAGACTGAGTAATTTATAAAGAAAATAGGTTTATTTGGCTCATAATTCTGCAGGCTGTACAAGAAGCATGGTACCAGCATCTGAGGGCCTGAGAAAGCTTCCACTCACAGTGGAAGGGGAAGGAGAGCTGACAAGTAGAGATCACATGGCAAGAGAGGTAGCCAGAAAGACAGAAGTGGGAGGTGACAGGTTCTTTTTAACAACCAGCTCTCCTAGGAACTAGGAGTGAGAATTTACCCACCCTCCTGGCAGTAAGGGCATTAATCTTCTCATGAGGGATCCCCTCATGACCCAGACATCTTTCATTAGATCCTACCTCCAACATTGGGGATCCAATTTCAACATGAGGTTTGGGGGGGCAAATATCCAAACTATAGCATGTTCCCACAAAAATGCATAAAGTCCAGATCATTGTACATATGGAGTTGACCAAAATCTACAAGAAAGAGATACTTCCTATCTTAAAATTGTCTAGACAATATAAGAAAGAAAGCTACAAAAGTTATTAATGAGGTTAATATATCATTAATATTGAAACAAGAGAAGGAAGAACAACAGTACAGGAATAGGAAACAAAAAACCAATCTTATTCCTGAGTATAGATGCAAAAATCTCAAATAAATTATTAGCAAAGTAACTCTAATAAGAGATTGAAAGTTGATAGCATATATGCATATAACCTATATGCATACATACATATACTTTCCAACTTAAAAACAGTGAGTCATTTTTTTAACCTGATAAAAATATTTATCAAAACCTTAAAGCAAACTTTATACAAACTGATGAAGCATTAGAAGCATTCCCAGTAAAGTTGAACACAAGACAACTATATTCATTTCCACTACTAATATTCAAGAAACTGATAAAATTAGAACTGTACAATGAAGATAAAATTTATATTATTAAATATAACATTACTGCTTTATATTCAATGAGACAAAAATATTTCTCTTTTAATTACTGTTATTGATTTTATTTCTGTTTTGTACAATTTGTAAATTTTTTGCCTTATATGTGTATAAGTGTTTTACATATAAATAAGTTTGCCTATACCTACCTAATCAATAATTATAAAAACTTAAGTAAATGCTAAGGATAAATAATTTTTCCCTTAAAAAATGTTAGTTTAATAATTAAGTTTAACAAACATCATTCTAGAGGGATCATATTTAGTGATATTCCCCAGACCCCTATTTTCTTCATATTCTATTCAATAATTGTATCAATGTTTAATATTCATGAATAATTTAGATGGAGACATGACAATCATCTTGATCACATTTATGTATATTCTAAAGTTGGTAGGGAGAGCTAAGGCTAAATGAAGAAATGAGAATTTAAAAAATCTCTTTTAGCTAGGATTCTGAATTTGAATCTCCACAATGAAAATAACAAATGTAATTTTCAAATTCTCTGTTAAGGTTAAAATAACCTTAAAAATATAATACTTGGATTGAAAGCAGTTTCTGTGCAAAGGCTTTTAAATGAACTGAACATATGCTCAATAATATTCAATAAGAGTCTCAGCTTGTGAAGGACCCAAAAACCATATCACAAATAACAGCTGATCATGTCTTAACCTGAGCAAGAAAACTTAGAAAGGGATAAGCTAGCTCTCGTCATATATTTAAAGAACCTCTTATGAAACAGGTTTTTAAACAATGTTATAAATACCATTCACAAGAATAAATCATTGACTCATATGTCTTGAGGCTGGAGGAAATCATACTGAACCTCATGCATGCTAACCAATAAATTGGGTTTTCTTTTATATGCTCTATCAGAATGTGCTATAGATAGAAACTAGATCTACTGTTTTGACTGAATTGAAATATCAATTCATAAAATTTGAGAGTTTAAGACCTTATTAATTTTCACCACTTACAAGAATTCAGCAGCTATAATGAGACAATCCATCCAATTTTTGAAAACACTTATGAAAAAGGTATCCTTATCATTAAAGGGGGGAAAAATACCTCAATGTAATAGTCAGTTAATTCAGATAATCAGATTATCAAATAGTAACTTATTAGTGTTTGATTTTGTGACTAGTCAGTTTGATTCACATGGATAAATTGCTTGGGACCTGTGAGAAAATGTTGTAGACAGCTGGCTGTGGAACTGTATTCCCTTAACCAAGAGATTCAGGGAACACTAGACTAAGGAGGAGAAGATCACCTCTTTCTGAGGGTTGAAAGAGAAATACTTAGGGTATAACATTGCCAGGTTCAATGCAAATTTTGTAGCCAGAAAAAAGTATGGCACAAATTGCATAATTTTTGTCAACTAGTCTCATGGCTGACACCGATCAAAACAAAGGAAAGAAGATATTTTGGGAAAGGAGGGGGTAGAGGAGTACTCTCTAAATGTCTTATTCTCTAGATATTCAAGAGCAGAATAAAGCATTCCTTTCCTAACAAACAAACATTACTGTTCTTATAGCATGTTGTCTCTCAGATTACTTAGAAAGTAAAGGCCACAGTTCAGGACCTGCACTTAACATTCTGTGACCAGTAAATGCAGTCATTTCAATATCCCATTTTTTTTCTAATGCAAGGTGGCTAAAAAGAAAGCATGCCATCAAGCCTGGAGCACACAATCTACCACCCTTCATTCTCATCCTATTAGCTAGATAATGATGTTTATTGTGTTACTTTTATGATCCTACATGCTTTATTATTCCCATTTCATCATATAAAATTGAGGCAATTACTGTGCTTACATTTTTATCTCATTTTTCTAGTTATTAGGTTGGTGCAAAAGTAATTGTGGTTTTTGCCATTACTTTAAATGGCAAGAACAACAATTACTTTTGCACCAACCTAATAGATATTATCAATGTTCCCATTGGGATAACAACTAGATTTTGAAGCCTATTGAAGAATTTTGTCCTTTTCTGTGACCTGATTGGAAGATGGGAGATGAAAGGATGCTGATTTAAAAGAGAGCAATGCCCCTGGTATGCAAAAACAAGAAAGGGGGTAAAAGTACTTTTTGTTAAAAAAGAATTGTTCTGTTCTTGTGCTTGTCTTTACTGTCTAGCATGCTACACACAAAATCTATATAAAACATAAAGTATCTTCAAAACACCAGTCTCCACAGCCCAGGTGACTCTTCATGCTATAAAAAAAACATGGCAGTTCTTAAAAAATTAGACTTTAATGGAAAATAAAATACTTCACTTTGCAATGCATGAGGTAGAGTGTAGATGGACTGAGTAAAGATGTAATAAATCTATGTAATTTGTTCTGCCCTTGGAAGAAAAGCTCTCTATTGAAAGTAGAAGATATTAAGTCCCTAATCTCAGAGAATCTTTGCTATTTTTCATCAAGAACAAACATATGTAAAGGACAAAGTAGGGTGCTTACATCAAGAGCTGGACTATTTGTTCCTTGTTAATTGTATTGCTCATTCCATCAGCATCATTAGGCACCTTTCAAAATGCTGTGGCTGAGCCTGCTTTAGTCTCACGATGACCGAAAGGAAAATATGGAGAGCAAAGGCCGAGGGAGAAGAATAGACTCGCTATGTCAAGCTGGAGAGAGAGAATGAGAATGATACCATGATTTCGAGATATTGAGCACTGATTATTTTTTAAATATTCCAGGTCATTTGGCAACACTTGTCCTAGCCCTACCAATTGGCTGCTGCTACCTTGCTTTTAGTAAATAGTAACTATATAGATGGAAGCCCTTAAAGAGAGATGCAATGGATCCCAGCGTATTGCACACCATGCAGAGCCTAACATCATAGGAGAGCATTATGCTCCAAACAAAACATATTCCTGGACATGTCACTTTGCTTGTGGAGACTTGATTTTGTTATTTTTAATGGAGTGAAATTTTGATGATGAGGTTACCTCTCTCATATTCATCTGCTTGCTATTTTCCTTTTGTTTTGAAGCTTTTAAGTGAACTTTTTATTTTTGTAGCATCTTATCAAAGTGGAAAATATGGCAGTGAAGGAGTCAGAAGATATGGGTCTGAATGGGGCAACATGCACCGAAATCTCTTCATGATGGAGAATTTCCCTCCCCTTTGAAGTTACTTCCCACTAATAAGAGAAAGTAGGATGTAAGGTTGTTGAAAAGTTGATTCACAAGAAAACTTTTTACTTTTGGTCACTACCACATGGGTCACATGAAGAAGTGGAAGAAGAAAGTTTGCATTCTCTGAGTGCCCTATAACTTCCACAGAACTGTTTTCCAAGTGTCTGTTATGTAAATAAACTCAAATTAACTAAGATGATCCAATGATGCATATATCATAAACAGAAAGAGTACAGGAAAATGTCCCATTCTGTGCCCTGTGTTTCCCCATCTTGGAGGCCAAACGTTGCCCTTGAATGAGCACAGACACCTCATTTCTAAATGACTCACTGTCAGATGCTGGCTCCAAGTCTATTAGATTATCATCATGTCATCTTCGTTTTTGGCAGTGTTTGAAAGCACCTCTAGCAGCTTTATTTGAACACTGTTTTCATACCCCAAAGCTTGAATCTATAAAACAAACACACAAACATTTATAGACATCTTTATATCACTTCAAATTGTTGTGATTAGTGTACACACTTTGAATATTATTACTTAACCTCCAGCTGATGTTTAAAAAGTAACACTTTGGAACAAGCCATTCTCCAAATGTTCTATTAAGGATGCTGTTTATTTATATCAGTGTATAGAAAAGTACAGCTGTACAAAACATAAATCAATGTCAAAAGTAAAAGGCATTAAAATTCATAAGGTTCATTTTCCGACATCCAGAGCAAACTGTAGCTGAGAGTTTGTCACAGACTTAACATCAGCAATAAAATTATATAACTGCTGATGTCACATTCTTTGAGGTACACTCAAAGGCATCTAAAATTTTATAGCTTAGTTTTGCTTATTTTTAAAATGAACATATATTACTTTTAATTTTGTTTCTTATGATACCTAGAAGACCTGAATATAAAAACAGCATCAGAGGAGAAATAATTTGCAGTCCACAGAGTTTTAACCAACATGAAAAAAATACATACATATGCATCCATTTTGCTATTGATCAGCAAACCACAGGAATTAGTGTTGGTTTAACATCTATTAAGGGAAACAGTACTTTCTATAGCAGAATTAAGAAGGGTTATTACTGAGTAAGGAAGAACTAAAAATGAATCATGCAGCTACTGACATACACTCACAGTTAGCTAATATTTTGTGTTGGCTTTCAGTTAGGAAGGCTAGTGCCGTTTGCCTCGTGATTTCTGAGATCTTGATTTCTTCTTAAATATTCATCTTATTTGGGAGGATATTTGTTTTTCCTGTTATCTGAAAATCTTATTTTTCCCTTAATGTTCAAATTTTCTTGAAGGCAAGGACCATATAGCTACATCTGCATGTTCCCAAGAACCTGGGATACACTTGTTATTGTTTTCTTTAGGGGTGGAATAGTGACATTTGAGCGAACACAGACTGAATAGCAGTGAGCTATTACTGTGGAGGTAGCCTAAGGTAGATCAGCACATTTTCGAGTTCAAAAAAAAGGAGTAATAGCCACCACTGCTTACACTGTCACTGTCGACCAGATACTGTTCTAAACAAGTTACTCATAGAAACTCTAACCCTCTTAGCAGTTTTACAAGGTAGGGACTATTATAATTCCCATTTTACAGAAGCAGAAACGGAAGCACAAGGAGCTTTTGTAGCTTGTCCAAGCCGCACCAATGTTGTGTGGTACAGCTGGGATTTGAGCCAGACATTGTGGTTCAAGAGTTCATTCTCTTAAGCACCACTTTATATCACCTAGCTCAGAGATTCACAAGTGTCCAATATGAGGCAGGAATTAGGTATTTTGATCTCTAATGTCTTTTCCTGAGACAAAAATGTAGCGTACATTTTGTAATATACTAAAAAGTATATGTTCTTGCACTGGAAAGAACTGCAGAATAATTTTTCCTTTGGAAGATGCATATACCATACCCATTTCCCCTTCTCATGGGACTGTTAATGTTTTTGTGAGAGGTTTTATGTAAACACATTAGACACACACTTGAAAAGCTATGTTTATGTGGCAAAAACTTAGACTTTATGTGTGAAATTACTAAGGACTCACAGAGAACCTGAATTCAAACGCCTTTTTTATGCACATAAGAGAGACAATAGAATTTTAGAGGAGAGGGAGGCAATTCACCCACAGTCATTACATAATTAGCCAAAGCAGGTTTCAGTTTTTTGTTTCCTCCATTTACTATGTAGCATTCACAACATACAGCTCTGCGATTATTAATGTAGTCATAACGCTCCGTTTCTTATTCTCCTTGGCTCACATCTTCATAAAAATGACAACGAAGAAAGACTGCACAAAGCACGATTCCCTTGTACTAGGGCGCATCCTGCGGCTGCATCCTGCGCATGAGATGGACATGAAGGGAACTCAGCTCCACCAAGATCCGCCTGCATGACCAGACCCTGATGCGGGCATTAGAGACGCGCCCGTGGAATGCAGCCTAGTCTGACTGAGAACAGCCCTGTGAATACAAATGTTTCTAAAATGGCTGACTCTGTACAAGAGTAAATAAGAACCTTTCCAGCTTTTCATTTAGTCACAAGATCAGGAGGTCTCGTCACCCCAAATAGAGTAGAGAATTGAGGTAGTTTTCCAGCTGAGCCAGGCAAAGTAAGAAGATGGGGGAAGGTGACTTTCCCAGCAAAGACCTTGCCTTTTAATGTTCTTTTTAAAAGAATAGAGCTCAGACTGAACTAATCCCCCATGAATATATGCCTTAGGAAATAATTTTTATTAATAGCTGAATATTTTTACTTTCTTTCCCAGGCACCCAAATATTAGGCTTATGATATTTAGTTGCATGCATATATCATTGTGTCAAAGAAAAGGGGGAAATCCAGCCTTAATAAAAAATAATTTATTAACTTTTCCAGGTCCTATAAATTTAATATGCTGTGGGTTCCTGCTCTCATTGCAGATTTCTTTTAGAAGTATATTTATGAGTATGAGCTTATAATATTTTTCAACAGTTTATCGGTAAATACCAACAAAACAAAGATCTCTGATGCACATAATCCACAGAAACATGGTTCGGGTGACTACATGTCAGTTAGCCATGCTATTTGTTTTGTGTCATTTTTCTCTCAACCAGTTCATTTCTTTCCCCAAGAGAAATAGCTGAAGCTGGTTTATATTGCTCCATAAATGTTAAGCATTGATGTATTCATTTTCTGAACACAAAATAACAATAATTTTTTGTCACCCTCCTTCTAAATCATACTCCCTGTTCTTAACACTATGTTTTATGTTGTTGTTGTCGTTGTTAGGATGCAAGTTTATTTTATTCTTTTTTGCAGTAATAATAACCACAAAATATAATCTCTGTATAAATATAATTTTTCTTCTCCATAATTGCACATAAAATCTATCCTACTTGGAAACTGCAGCAAGTAGAAGAATCACTATAAATGCTGGCCTCAGGGAATCTACGATTTCTTCAAGATTTAAGGCAGAAATATTCAGAGGCCAGGTTACTCAAACAAGACCAACCATTTTTTGTTAGTTTTTTTATTTTTCTTTTCTGCAAAATATTACCTAAAGGTAGCCCTAAGCACTAAGGGATTGAGGTTTCTATTTAGTCTACAACTGAACTAACAGGTTTTTGCTACCTGTGGGTATCAACTTGGGATTTCAGTTAGTTAAGCAGCTTTGGATCTAAAATAAAACACTTAAGGGACCAGTGAAAATGTAGATTGCAAGAAATCTGCAGACTTTGGAACTTATCAATTTATTAAAATTTACTTTTTTTTAGAACAATTTTAGGCTTACAGAAAAACTCTAAAGAGAGTATAGAGAATTCCCACATATTCCGTACTTACATTCCCCTTCGTGTCTGACTGAAACCCCATCTGTGTGCCCTCTCTTTACATAAATGTAATAAAACCTAGGCATTATTATATTTTTGTATTTCCTACTGTGTCTATATGTGCTCATTCATGCTATGCCCTAACAATTATATATGTATTATATATATATACACATTACATGCATAATATACATATATATTATATGTATGTATGTGTATGTGTTGTAGATATGAAAATTGATATTTTGTATTTTAAATTTGGGAATAGAAATCTATAGTACTGCCCGAATAATGCCATCGCACTTGGCTTAAGAAACCAAGAACAGCTTTGAGAGGTGAGAGAGTCCATGGAAAGCTGGAATCTGTCCACCTTCTGATGAAATTTGACCCTCTAGGGGGAACTACCAATAGGGTAAAAGATGCCACCTCTGCTGTGAAACCTACACCACAGCCTTTGCTCTTTGTATTAATTCTGGACTTATTTCTAAGGATCAAGGATAGTGGAGCATGGTAGAAAGAATTTTGTAATATTATCAAATGTTTCAACCTCTTATCTTTGAAATATAGGGTTGGGACTAAATAATCTTTAAAGTCCCTTCTCAGTCATAATATTGCGTGGGGCAGAGGTGAAAGGAGTGCTTTATATGGATAAAGAAAAATTCTCATCAATCTGTATCCTTTTGTCCTGTGCATTATCAAAAGAAAGACAAAAATATAGAATTTGCTTTAAGCCATGTTTATTCCAAGCTAATGTAAAATTGAGAAGTTTGATTAAAAATCAAACATGTTGAAAATACTTAGAAGTATAATGGGCCGTGGAGAAACATTAGAGATTTTGTCCTTAAAAAAGGTAAAAGTCTTTGAATAACATTTACTTAATAAATGATTTGATGTTTCTTTCATCAGAATTATTGTTTGTGCAATTGTCTTTTCACTATGCTGTTCTTATATTTCTTCAAAGATTTTTTGCCTATTGAGGCACTTTCATATGAAACATCTTTGAAGACTTTTCTGAAAACAGCATGGTTTATATGCAAGAGACAAATTTAAACATTCTCTTGCCTTTTCTTCAACCTTATTGAAGACAATAGCTCTGAGTAATATCAGCCAGAGGGTGTTCTATTTCTCCCTCGCCATTTGTCTATGTTATTTTCCTATTAGGAAAATAAACAAATTCCAGAACTTTCGTTTCTGTGTCCAAGACCCTGACTATGCAACAGGGAGCATAAAAAAAAAAAATACTAACTGACAAACAAAGTTACCCTGAGGATGTCTGCCCACTTTTATTTTGTCCTTAGATTGGTTTTAGGGATCTGTAGTCTGAGCTTCCACAATATAGTTAGAGGCAGCAGAGGTACTGTATGCATGATTTTTACTTGTACCTATTTCCCAATTCCAACTGTTTTTAATATATTCTCTTGATAAAAGTTTATCCCTTCTTTTCAGTCAGGCTTTTGCCTGATTTGATAGAGAGTCCCTCTGGCTCATGTTGAAATTGAAATGTATATCTTATTGTTTGCCTATATACCCAGATGTCCAGACATTGAGTTTACTTTAATAAATGAAATATTGAAAATAAACATAAAGCTTTGGGGATGCAGTTGCAAGGGACAGGATCAACATTACTACATTAGAAATGGTCAACATAAGACAGGAAGCTGCTATATCTCAGGTGCAGATCCATGGGCTTCCCTGAACATATCTCTAGCGATTTTTTTTTCTCATTTCATGAACTTTTGACAGGCTCTAGGCAGCAAATTTTCAGTATAATAAAGTAGCACAGCAGCGTTGCAAAGAAGAAAAAACGTAGACTTTGGGGCCAGATTTGGATTTTAATTCAGGTTCTGCCATTTGTAAGACTTTGTGATTTAACCTACCTGAACTTAACTTTTCTTACCTGAATTTTAATGTGCACCTTGTGGAAACATGGTAAACATGAAACCAAACAACGCACTGAGGAGATATTAGTAAGATGCAGGCAATATGCTAGGCCTTAGGACTGCAACAATGAATGAGAAAGACACTGTCTCTGTCCTCATGGTATTACAGTCCAGTCGGAGGGGGGCATAATTCATAAACAGGCAATTATACATTGTGATCTACAGGAGCTGAGGTAAGAGTATATGGCAATGTAAAACAGTGATAAGTAATGCAGACCTGAGTGATTAGCAAGGTTTGTTGAATGCAGACAGTGATATCTAAGCTGCTAATTAAGAGAGTAAGGAATACCCGTGTATTTATATGAAGTCCAGCACTGTACTAGGTTCATTATAATAGTTCCATACATGACATTTCTCTTTACCTTCCCTTTTTCTATGTTCCCTGAAGCCCTCTGAACAGATCCCACATAATGAGTTTCATTCACTGATTTTAAAATTATTTGTTGAGCACCAATCTACTGAGCCTAGTGCTAGTGACTAAGGATGTGCCTGTAGACAAGGAAGCAATGCTGCCCTTTGGGAGTTTACTATCTGATGGAGTCAACACACCAAACCCTAGAGACAATTACCATTCATCTGGAATGTGTAAATAGGTTAATCTACTGGGTTCCTTAGAAAGTACTCAAAGACACCCAAAATTTGAGAGCCACTCCAAGAACCACCAGTGATGGAACACGACTTAATGCACTGACAACAAAGATTTTGATCTGTTTTAAAAATATCTTTCTATTTTTTTTAAAGAACAATGTTAGAAGGCTTAGAAATACCAGCATCCTTGACTTCATTGCTCTCTTGGCAAACATGGGTACAATTCAGCCATTTCCTGGAATCATACTCATTCTAAGGGGAAAGTTAAAAATAAAATTAGGGAAGTGGGTAATTTTTTATTGTAGAATCTATTTTTTGTTTTGTACAGATACAGCCAAAAAAGGAAAGAAAGACTGTTTTCTTTCTTTTTTTTTTTTTTTGAGGAATGCCTATTGTGATTTGCTAGGTATATTAATTTGCTGCAATTCACTGCAGAAGCTAATTTTTATTTTTTGGAATTAATTGAGCTGAAAGCTGGACTCATGACAGCGTATCCCCTCAGTGGCCAGCACAGAAGCTGAGGACAGACGGCCATTTCAACTTTACTAGCCTGACATCCTGCATAATCAATGCATGTCAGCCACAAAGACTGGCTGCCTATGCTTATGCCCATTTGCAAGTTGGCTGAATGCCCACTCACAAATTGGGATGCCAGTTCCACTAGGGCACAAGTGTCAACAAAAGATCACTTCAGACAAGAAGCCTGCTCAGTTTTGCCAGAGCCATCATTTTGTTTAGGAAACAAAGAAAAAGATTTAAGGTAGTTAATCCCATATTGCTGACAAATGGCTATTTACATCCCATCATACCTTCAGCCTCAAGGGACATTTTATTTAATGACTTAATGCAATCTTCTATATCCTTTAAATTTGATTTTCAACGTCTGCATTTCAAATGAGGCAAGAAGGAGACAGTATGTCAATCCTGAGAGTCTCTGGAAATGTCCATTTTCTTTATTCCCATTATATGCATTAGAGATAGAAAGAGTAAGCAAAGCATTATTATGTGCATAATGTCTCTAGACACTAATTAGAATGGTGAATAGTGCACCTAACAAAATGCAAATACATTCCTTAATATTCAATTAATTCAGCAAACATCAGTAAAGCGCCAGGCACCCAGTAGGGATTGGTGTCTCTGCCTGGAGTCTCTTCTCTTCCAATCAAGCCTGCACACTTGCTGTCCTATTAATCAATCTCACTAAAGCATGGTTCCCATAGTATTAATCCCACACTCAAAATACTTTCAAGGTTTGCCACTGACTATGAAATAATTTCAAACATTTGACAGGGAAGTAAAGACCCCTCATTGAAGAACCCTCATATTCTAGCCGAAATCAAAATGTTTATTTTCATAAATTCTTGTAGGCTCTCATAAAAACTAAACTGATTATTCCAAAATTTTTTCCATCTATGTCTTGACCTCATTGCATCTCTGTATTTCCCTATCTGCTCTCTAAATGTTGAAATTCTTATCATCTTGGTAAAGATCAAAAGTCCCCTCAGCTTCCCCTAATTTTTTTTCAAGTTATATTATCAGGCAGCACAAACCAGGTGCTTTTACAAAAGTTCCCTTATTTAATCCTCAATTAAAACTAAAAAGGTAGATATTATTATCCTTAATTTTCATATAAGTAACCAAATACTGAGAGAAGCTGAGGACTGACAAGGTATCAATTGATCATTGGCCATGTTTATGCCTGAACGCAGGCTTTCAGAGTTCAGTGATCTTCCACTATCGGGCTTCCATCTTCCTCATGGGGCCTTCCCTATCTTCATCCCCTACAACACGTCCTTCTTCTGAATATTTATAAGACTTAATTCATGCCATTCTTGAGATTTTAATTGCTTTATAACTTGTATTATTCAACAGTTCATTAAAGATTTAGTGAGCAACTCAATCATTTTAATGGAAACTGAGGATGATAATAACGGCAAGAAAAAAAGAGAAGGGAAAGGAAGAGAAGAACAGCTAGTCATTTCTCATCTCAATATATGTGTCAGAGCTGTACTGAGTACTTTCATAGACTGTCACCTTGTATCAGTACAACAAACCTCAAAGAAGGTATTATTATCTTCAAAATAAATATGAGTTGCTGCCTTATACTAGAAGTGGAAAAAAATTAGTTGGAGGTGAGGGGACTTGCCAATTTTACCAAGATGATAAAAATTTCAACATTTAGAGAGAGGATAGAGAAATACAGAGATGCAATGAGAACAAGGCATAGACAGAGAAAATTTGGAGTAATCAGATTAGTTTTTATGAGATAAGGAAACTGAGGCTCAAAAAGGATAAGCAAATTTCTCAAGTTTGTGTAAGTCACATAGTTATTGGGTGATGATTCAAATCTATTCATTCTTTAATTCATTCAACAAAATATCTGACTGCCCTCTATGTGTCAGGCTCTGTTCTAAGTGCTTAGTACCCAAAAGTGAACAAAATAAGCAAAACTCAGTCTTCAGGAGGAAAGTGATCCTAGTAGGGAGGATCAGCCAGTGAAACTGAATATACAATATGCAAGAAGACGAGAGGGGGCATAAAAGTTGAGCAGAGTAAGGGAAGTCAGAGGTGGAGTTTGGGTTTGCAGTTCTAAATATCATGGTCAGTGAAGGCTTCACTGAGAAAATGAAGTTTGAGAAAAGATATGAGGAACTAAGTGTAAAAAGGAGAAGGGCATTCTAAGCAGAAGGAAGAGTCACTACAAAGGCCCAGGGTGGGAGCAAATTCACCAAAAGTAAAATGGATGAAAATAACACAACCTGGAAATGTTTTAATTTGCATGAGGAACAGGTTTCCTCAGCATCCAAAAACCAACAGACAAACAAAAACTTGCTAAAATGTTAAATACTATTTGACAGCTATGTGTCAAGTACTCTTATAAGGGATTGACATGTATTTATGTTTAATGCTTACAAGAAACAATGAGGAAGGTACTAATATTACTCCCACTCGGGATGAGAAAATGTGGTAAGGCATGTTAAGTATCTTACTCTTGGTCACACAAGTTTTAAGAGCTGGAGCTGAAATGCAGATGGAGTTTATTTTATATATTGATTAATATATAAACTATATTGATTATATATATTTTATAATATAATACAATATAAAACATTGATTATATATTGATCAAGATATAAACATATTGATTATATATTGATCACTATATAAACATATTGATTATATAGTGACCAATATATAAAACATATTGATTATATTGATTACATAAGATATAATTATCTATATATGTTTATATATGAACACATACCTAAATGCATATTTTATGTATATACGTTTTAATAACTTTTTATTACATTTATGTTGCATAAGTCATATCTAAATTTACATGTAAATACTTATACCCATATATATAAATTTAAAGGAGTTGTAGCAAATTGATTATAAAAATTGTCCCAATATTCCACCCTTCCCTTTGCAATATGACTTCAGAGCTTCTATCAACAATAAGTAGAGTCGATCTTTCCTGCTCTTTGGTACGTGCTTTGATAAACAGAATTCAGTGAAATTGACATTGTGCTATTCCCAAGCATAGAGCTCAGGAGACCTTACACAGTTTTCCCTTTGTCTCTTGGAATTCTGGTTCTGATATGAGAAGAATAAACCGTGGTTAGCTTGCTGGAAGATGAGAGATCATGAGGAACAGAGACAAGTCATCCAAACGGACGGAGGTCATCCTAGACCAGCCAGGCTAGAGGAAGCTGACCCCAAATGCCCTGTCCATTAATGACAGATACAAAAATGAGCCAAGCGCAGCTCACATGAGAAGTATGTTCAGTTGTTCTGTAGACCCATAAACATTAATAAACTATTATGTTTATGTCATTAGATTTTGAGAGGTTAGCAAGAACTAATTAAAATAGGAATTTTTTAAATATTGGAATTAGAGGGATTTTAGTATCATATCTGTTTTTTATTTGCTTATGTTTTCATCAATAAACATTTATTATATTTCTGAGAAAAGTTTAATAAAATTCCACAGATATGTCCCAGTGGTGGGAACTATAAATAATTTCTTAAAATATACTTTAAATAAATATGTACTATTTTGAAAATATATTCACACCTCTACAAATATTAATCATGCAGCTTCTATGCACCAGCATTATGCTAAATGCTGGGACTAAACAGTGAAAAAACAGCTCCCTGAAAAATTATTATCATGGCAATGAGTGTAACCACAAAAATACACATTTCTTCCCCCACTCCCCCGGCCCCAACAAAAAAAGCCACCTTATAAGAAACCCAAGCCGGTCTTGGGGATTCAAATTTAAAAATTAATTTTTAAAAAATATGCGTGGTGGGAATAGTGAGGTGATGGTGACTTAGAGAATGCTGATGGAGAGGCTACTGTGAAAAAAAAAAAAAAACAACAACAACAGGGAGTGGGTAAGGATGTAAAAAAAAAACTTTGAGTAGACAGTAAGATATTTGGAGGAATTCATTTCAGATGACCTAGATTTCAATAAAAATCTTCAGTGCACAGAAGTTCAAAAACAGCATATTAATAACAGTATCTGCAGAAGAATAGTGAATGTGGAAGGATGGCATTTGACTAGAACTCTAGATCAAAATGTTGACAGATATTTTAAGTGATTTTGTCAGTACGGCTAGAAACTTTTGCAAATAAAAAAAAAAAGTGTACAAGCTCAGACCATCTCTTAGAAAGACCAGGAATGCACTTGAGTCCAGAGTTTGGTGCAATCATTCCCTGGTACCACCTTTCCCACATTATAGAGCCCTTTCACCGAGTGTCCAGCAGTCCTCTTGGTCTCTTTTCTTCTTTCTTTTCTTCCATTTCACCCTTCCCAGTGTCTCAGCTTCAGCCTGATGCTGTATGTATCATGTGCAGACACTCAGTTTCTACTTCATGCTGCTGGCCCCTGAATTCAAGTTAGTTAATCATATTAGTACTACATCTTCATATTTTCCCAAGGAATGGAGTTTGCAGGGTGCAGTTTCCTCTTCCTACTATTATGTGCCACTGCTATCATACTTCTGAAGCAATGTTACAACACCTGCATCACACTTGGAGAGAGAGTGATGACGGGGAAGGGTGACAACAGAAGCAGAGAAACAAGCATTATTCCTCTTGTGGGAATGATTAAAGTGGTCAATAGAGTAGAGCACCCTATCCTTCCATGCCTATTAAAGGAAGACTTGGGACATGTTCTTTCCTGGTTATGGGTGAATCCTGTACATTTCTATTTGTTTCTCCTTTTTGCGTCCACAGACAACATTATGAAAATGGGTGAATCTCCTTTGAGTAAGCCATTGTTTATATTATTGGTATCCAAAAACTGGTCTAGTTCCACAGTGGAGTGAATTCATTTTCCCAGGTGCATAGCAAATAATACTTACACTAATTTTTTTTCAGCTTGCTTTTTATCTTTTACCATTTTCTCCTCCGTAATGCAGTAGTGAGAGTAATAATGGAGTGTGCCTACTCAAGATTATGTCAGGGACTATTCAGAGCCAAACACAGACACTGGATGCTATGGTTTGAATGTGTCCTAGCCAAAATTCATGTTGAAATTTAATACCCAATTCAACAGTATTAAGAGGGAGTGCCTTAGGAGGTGATTAGGCCGTGATTGGGATTAGCACCTTAAAAAAGACCTATAAGGAACTAGCTAAGCCTTTTTTGCCCTTCCACCTTTTACCATGGGAAAGCACAGCAACAAGAAACTATCTTGCCAGCAGAGAGCCTTCACCAGACATCAGTCTACCAGCACTTTCCTCGTGGATTTCCCAGCCTCCAAAACTGTGAGAAAGTAAATTTCTGATCCTTATAAATTACCCAGTCTCAGGCATTTCATTATAGCAGCACAAACAAACTTTAAAGAAGTCACTAAACTGGGTTAAGCCCAGATTCATGTGAAGAGAAGGAGAGAAGCAGAATGCATATGAACAGCAAGAGAAAATGCATATCTGGACCACTTCTACTGTGGTGAGTAACCTCTGGTGATAACTGAATGCAACAGATTTAAAATTGCCAGAAGCTCCATTGGCATGTGTAAACTCTAAGCTGGCATAAGGCACAAAAGAGTTGTACCAACCAAACAACAACAATCAAAGGGGGTTTGGAGGTGGAACAACTGAAAGCGACTGGAAGATCACTTTTATTAAGAGCTGGCTGGCCACAAAGAAGGAATCTAATTAGTGGTGACGGATTCACTTCTTTTAGGGCTGTTTGATGGGAAAGAAGCTTCCAAAGAACTCTTGAATACTTACAATTATACAATAAGATGGACAAATATAAAGGTTTGGGTGGAGTGGCTCATTCTTGGAATCTCAGCACTTTGGGAGGCTGAGGTAGGGAAACTGTTTGAGTCCAGGAGATTGAGACCAGCCTGGGCAACATAGCAAGACTCAGTCTCTACAACAAGATAAAAATTAGCCGGGAATGGTGGTGCATGTCTGTAGTCCCAGCTACTCAGGAGGCCGAGTGAGCCCAGGAGGTTGAGGCTGCAGTGAGCCATGTTTATAACACTGCATTCCAGCCTGGGCAACAGAGAGAGGCCCTTTCTCAAAAAAAAAAAAAAAAAAAAAAAAAGAAAGAAAGAAAAAAAAATTGACAAATATTAGATTCAATCCCATTGGCAAAATGAGATCTTAAGTGGAAGTACATGCAGTTTCATTTTACTATTCTCTCTACTCTAGCGTGTTTGAAAGTTTTCACAAAACGTAAATGAAAAATAAATTATTAATCAATAGTAGCTAACAATAGCAAAGAAAATCTGTCAGTTTCAAAATGTTCTCAATGGGGCCTCAGGTGGACAGATGTACTCCTCAAATCCCCACTGAAGTGGTATTTTTTTTCTTAAAATAATATACATTGAGAAATACAAAAGCAGCCCCCATTTTGAGTGGGCCCACTTCTATAATAGAATATTGTTGCCTTTTCTTTTCTGGATAACCACAGAGTCTTGATAGATAGATGATAGATAGATAGATGATAGATAGATAGATAGATAGATAGATAGATAGATAGATAGATATTCAGTTGTAAACCTACTTTATGGAGACCTTTCTCATCATCTGAACTTGAAACATCCAGTTGCCTTCAGGATGTCAAAAATAAGTGAAACTGTATGTCTCAGCATCTTGACTCACAGGATGCCCAGAAGTAGCCCTAGAGGGGAAAATGGTACAAGATAGAATTATAGAAAGGGCACTTCATTTCCAGGAGTAACTGGAGGGATTTTTTATATATTTTAGCACAGTCTCTGCAAATATATTCATAATTTTTTCATAAAGAAATAGCATGAGCAATACTGGTTTTCAGATGAGCTATCAATGGAATTAATCTCTCAGCCTTTTAGAAACCTATCGTGAGAGACCTGCTTCCTCTTTTTAATTTGTGATCTTTCCTGAGACACTTATACAGAATGTAACTCACTTGTGTACAGTTATATGGAGTGATAAAGAAAGGATTGTTACACAACTAGGTATAATTTTGCATCCACTAAGTCAAAAGGTGACACATTTCAGATTGCTGGCAAATTTATCATTGCTCCTGACATTGTACATCATTTGAATAAGAAGCCTCTTTTTGCTTCAAACTCTTTTACAAAAATGAAAAAGGAGTTAGCAAGACCAAAGCAAATATTAATTCTCTTCTGTTTCAAATCTTTTTCAGGCATGTATTGATTGGAAACCAACTCAGCAATTTAATTAGAAATACAAGGTTTTCTCTTTCCCTTAGGTTCAGATCAAATTTACCATTTTTTCTCTTATATTTTCTTATGCTGAAACTATAAACATCAGCAAAGGCCTGAACTCCCAGGTATCCTTTAATTTAATTCTGGAGTAGTTATGATCTAAACATCAGAGATGATAACCCAGCTACCTTTCTCCACCTCAACTTGCCCCAGAGCAAATGATTGGTGAGAATGTGTGGACAAGGGGAATAAATAAACCTGGAACCCCACAGACTCCACAACCATCGTCACTCCCAGTCATTTACTAGTATTTTCTTGGAAAATCTACCTGGGGAATGCTGAATGAGGCATTTAGAACAATTTCTATTCATCAGTCCCAATAGATCATTTTTGTTTCTTTGTAAACACAATTCCATTTTTTTAGAACTCTTAATTAACAGAAAAAGAAAGGAAAAAACTTGGTGAAATGAATTCAAACAGATATTCAATTTTGAAGCAAAATATGAAAACATACTTGATTGTATTTGGGGGTACTCTTACTAAAGCTGGGCTAATTACTATGGATTTTTGTTCAAAGGCAAAACATTTTATTTATCATAGCCTAGGCATTCATAAATAGTAGAGCAGTGAACATATTTATCTAGTGACTTGAAATGGCATGAGGAACTCATGGTCAAGGAAGGCAGGGGACTCTTGGGTTGCTGCCAATAAGAGCCTGTGAAAGGCCTGAAAATACATTGATACCTGGGCCTTTTCATCCCCTGGATTCACCACAGCCAGATAAAAGCATGTGACTATCCACAGCAGTCAGGCCAAGAGACTAGAAAAGGGGAAGAAGGTTGCAAGTACAAATTGTACCCATTTATTTAATCCAGTAAGCCAATCAGACTATAATATGTAGTGCATCTTTATTACTTCCAGATGTACATGTGTTCTTCCCCACGTTGTCAACATGATGTCAGATCACAGAGGGTTCCAGTCTAGTGATTGCTTCTTGCTTGTAGTAAACAGTAACTGCGTAAGACTGTTTCACCAGCAAGTACAAAGAGGAGAAAAGGACATTGCTCAGAATCCTGCAACATATTAAATATTAATTCTATAGCCCCATGGTTAAGAAAACAGACTCTGAAACCACATTTCCTGGTCCCGAATCAGAACTCCAAAATGTCCTACACTTAAGCAAGTTAACCAAGGTCTCTTTGTCTCAGCCTCCTCATCTGTACTGCAGGAAAAGTCCTATAAATATGCCACACAGGATTGTTGTGTGGGCTAAATGAGCTGTTACAAACAAGGCCCTTAGAATAGTGCCTGACTTACAGTGAAATTTCAATAATCATCTTTATGGTTATTGCAAATCCTACTCATCACTTTTGTTCTCCAGCCTCTTCCTTTCAGATCTCAAACTAGGGAGGTGAAATGCATGAGACCCCCTTCCCCAGCAAAGATGAATTTCACAAACTTTAAAACATCTGAGTAGATATTATGGTTCTCCAGGATTAGGCATGAAGAAAAACAGCCTAAGAAATAATAGAGACTTGAAAAAGCATAAAGAAAGCCTCAGGGAGCAGAGAAGCCTGGAGGCAGAGAGAGAGAGAGACATCTTGAATGCCAGCAGAAATTAGAAAATAATATAAGGAGAGAAACAACTCCCTAACCAGGAGCAAGGTGGAAGAAAACCTGAACCATCCACATGGCACCAAAGCAAAGGTAGTTGTTATTTATGCTTATTTTCAAGACAGTTTTTTTTTTCTTTTGGTATGAGAGTGGGAAGGGGTGAAGTAAATTACTAACTTTTGGGTTTTCTTCTTACTCTTACTTATTTCTGTTTGAGAATTTGCTCCCCATTATAATTTTTCAGAAAAATGATGGCCACCCTCCCAAAAAAACCCAAACAAACAAAAAATTCCCAAACCTGAAGAAGGTTTGCAATCGACATGTGAACAAGACAATAGAAAAAAACAGCACAGGAGGTTACAAAGCTGGAATTTCTCTCTTATTAAGCCATAACTTATAAAGTAAATGAAAATTGAGCTCACATTGCTCTTCCTCTGTTAGTTATTTTCTGGAAAGCACTAGGGCAGGAATTTTTAGCAACTAGTTTTTTTTGCTATTTCAGATAATATTCAAAAAAGTTTATTACTTGCTTTACTTCTCTGTTGAACAATAACCAATGATATTTACATCCTTCCAAATAATTACCAAATATCTCACAGAACATCTGGAATTCTGCAAAACATGACAAAATGAACGATAAACTCAGAAAACTTCCCTAAAATGAATTAAGCCCCTCCACTCCTGTCACTACTGTTTACAAAATCTGACTTTCCACCAGACATAGCATTTCTTTTCATTTTGATTTCCTTAAAAGAAGAAATGTAGAATACCTTTAGCAAGTGTGTTTTCCATGTTTTGAAACAGAATTCCAAATAAATTCTCATGAACTAGAATCTTTATCAGGCACCTGTAAACACTCCACGTGTTGACTGATCTAGCAATTCACCCATGACTGACGGGCTGTTCTCTACAGTTCATTTGTAGCTTTTCTATAGTTAAATTAATACTAACTACAAACTTAGCAGTTACAGGTAATGGCACATTATCTTTTCCCTACCATGCCCTCAATATCTTTTGAAAATCTCACACACTGGATAGAATTATGTAAGAGGTTCAGGACTGTAGCTCCAGAAAGTATGCATTCAATTGTCTGAATTACGCCCTAATTCTCTCCTTTCCTAACGCTCTATAAACACTACATCCCTGTGAAACCAATCATTTTTTAAAACACAATTGAAAAGACATGTGAGGAATGTTTTGGATTTGTGTAGTTAAATAAAATATTTCTCCTTAGCATCCTGCATTCTTTCATCAAGAAAATTATTTAGTCAAAATAAAATTTTACATCACTAACTCCCTCAGCAAATAAACTACTTTTAGATCCCCAAAGTGACTTTTACTACCTATTTTTTAAAATACTCTTTGACATGATAAAAACTGTATCTCAAAGGAGCAAGGGCAAATTAGCCTTTGATTAGAAAGCAAATAATTCATCATTCTTTCTTTAAATCATCTTCTGTAAGTAAACATTGATGAGTACATTGAGATTTTTAATGTATTTTTCTTGAAAATAATAACAATAATGTGAACCATATATTTTACAGTTATTTTTATCCATTGAATCCACTGTGTCCCAGACACTGTACGAGGCATGGAGTCTCAAAAAATGAATAAGATCCAGTTCTTGGCATTGGTGAGTTTCCAGTATCACAGGAGAGAGAAAGAAAATCAACCATCACCATATGGTTTGATTAATTCTATGCTAGGGGAACACGTGGGACATCATAGAAGTGGGGCTCTCAGTTCAGCTTCAGGAAGAAGTCAGGGTGATTCAGGCCAGTTATACAGTCAACAATTACTCAGCACTTACTGAAATATTTTCCTGGAAACAGGAAAATGTTCTTTAAGCAGAGCCCAGCAGGCTCTTATTTAGTTATCTACATAAAAGATAACTATATTGATAATGTGGGAGTAAAGAGATTGAGAGAAAATTGTATGCAAAGGCATGGAGGAGAGAATATGCTATGTTTAGGAGACTCTAAAAATATTATCATGGCTGGATGATAAAGTGGTATATACAAGAAGGGTCACTGTATGCATGTTCTTTGATGTCATCCTAAGGATTCTGAAGTTCATCCTGAAGGAGAAGGTCCAGATATGCCACTTGTCAATTTATTGCTGTTCAGCTCCAAATCCACTTGCTGTTCAGCTCCAAATCCACCCTTCTTTTCCCTGCTTGTGATATTGGAGCATTTTTCTTATGCCTTATTAGTAGAGGATGCTAGAGGGTGCTAGAGGGACCCTGTTCCTACATTCTGGTATACATTTTTATGGCAGGATTCTGAGTACTTCCGAGAACGGCTGTCTATAGAGTCCAGACAGAACATCTCAGCAAACTTCTCTGCCACGCAGTGGCCCACGTTCACACTCTTCTCAGTGAAGGCTGAATATCAGTCATGGTGGAGGCACAGGACCTCTTCCAGTTTGGTTCTTATTCTACTTCAATCTTCTTAGCAGTGGCTGCTCCCTATCCTCTCTAGATCTCCTAGTCCAATAACTCTAATCCTCTGTTATGGTTAATAAGTCTTAATGTTGGACTATTTCTGTTCAAATTACTGTGTTTATGTTTCCTAATTAGATCCTGAATTGACTCAGAATTGGTGCTGAGAGAGGTCCCAGGAGATAGATCCACAAAGATATGATTTGGAAATTGGTTTGGTTTTGCCTCTGGTCTTGAGCTGAGTGCTGAGCTCCTCAACAATAGGAAGTGGATGTTACTAATCTATGGCATGCAGTGGCATCACAAGTATTCAAGCTGTCACCTGTGGTTGCTTGTGATGAAGTGCCAACTGAAGCATGTGCTTTGGGAGTTCAAATGACTACAGCACTTGACCTTATGACAGTAATCCAAGGATTACTAAAGAATTAGGGTATGCGATGAATTCTCCTGAGTGCACTAGAGTGCTTATAGAAAGACAATGACAAGCTCAGGTCCTTTAACTATCAGTCAAGGTTTGAGAACCAGAATCCCTTCTTAATTATAGCTATTAGATGCTATCACTGAAAATGAAAGGTAACATTTATTTGTGTACGGTTTTATTATTATTATTTACAACAACAGTTGAAGTCACAATATCACAAATATCTTTTGTGAATGTTAAGATATTGGTTGGGAAAGCATGGGACCTTAAAAGTCTGACTGGTAATATATGGTTGGATTCAAATGAAACTGACATTCTCGAATCCCAAATCGCTTTGAATCTTCTTTGCCAGTGAAATTAATTGCCCTACATTGTCTGAGGAGACTAGCTTTTCTCTGCTTAAAAGCCCTGTGATAATCCCGCCTGGGTCAGATATATTAAAAGGGGATACTCATTCTCCTAAATACCCTCCACCTTGCAAATGTCTCATGCTGCCACCGGACCCACAAGTAGGTTGAAATCTCAGCATGCTCAAGGGGGGACAGGTACATACTATGATTCAGGATAAAATAGCTTACACATCCAACACATTACCAGACTTTGCTTACATGTATTGGCAGAAACATGAAGAGTATGGGAGTAGATTCTAAGGATGTTAGAAAAGACTGAGAAGAGTGAAAGGTAATGCTAGATCTGGCTGAATTAATTGATATATCTGCACTTACTAGAGACTATGGATTTAATGTGTTAGCTTTCAAGCTGAAGGTGGCTCTAACAGCTTAATTGGCTGGTTAGCTAAAATTCGGACTTAATGATGACCAGCTGTTAATAAGCTCAGACTGCTCTGGCGTAAAGTGTAGGAAGGAATCTAAAATCTTGAAGATGCATGTGCAACCTGCACACCCATCCCAGCTGCATTCCACAAGAAGACCCAGGAAACACTTCTTCATTAAGGCATTGAGAAATACATTAGAAAACAGGGAATCTGCATCATTTAAAACTCTATGAATGTTATTTTTTATAGAATAGGTATGACCCTAGGGGTGGGACTCTGATTAATCCCTCAAGTTTGGGGGAAGATATTGGTGTAAGAATGTAGGATAGAATGTAAGTGGTAAGACTAGAAAGAAATCAAATAGTAAGTTAGGCCTGTAATGCAAGTGAAAAATTTATAAAAGCTTAAACTAAGGTAGGAAAAGTGAGGTTGGAAAGAAATAAATGGATGCAGAATGTAATTGGTCAGTAGACTACATACTACTTAGACTTCCATCTAACATAAGGAATGAGAAAGAATTAGTCCAATCTACTTCCACTTTTCTCATTCTCATTAGATGATGACAGGAATCATGTTATGATTCAGAATAATTTGAAATAAAAGAAGCAGAGTGTTTTGGAAGGAAATTTGTTTTGGGATATTTTGAGCTTACAAATTTAGGTAGAGGTAGGCAATTGTATATGCAGATCTGGACCACAAGAGAGAAATCTGACCTCAAAAAAGAGTTGTAAGCATAATTAATGTGTAAGTCAAAGCCTTAAACAGATGTGAGATAGTTTCGATAGATTGTGTAGAAAGAAGAGAAGGAAGGGCAGAGAAGAAACCCCAAGGAGACTTGTATTTAACAGGTGGGTGAAGGACAAGAAAACCAAGAAACACAGAGAAGGGGCAACCAGAAATGCAATTGAAGAAACATGAGAGAGCTCAACACAGGGTCACCAACAGTGAAAACACCACAGAGATGCCTTGAAAGAATATTGATGACCTTAGCAGGTCACAGAGGACAGGGGACTAAAGACAGATTTTAGTGGGTAAGAAGTGACCAAAAGGTGAAGAAGTGGAGACGCTGTGGTAGACACCGTGGCCACACTAAAACTAACCTTTACCCATCTCCACACTATAAGCTATAACACCAAATATCTACTCTCAGAATCTCCTTTGCAAATAGGGATCATTGCTTATAGGCAATAAACTCTAAAGAGAAATCTGCTGTGAGTCTTTAATGAGATTTAATTTTTCTGTTAAATAAAGATAGTCACTGAGGAGGAAAGGGGACAAGGTATGTAGGGTGAAGAGCACTGGCTATATTCCTACTTATGTATTTGAATTCAGTTGTGATGTTGATGCTGCAGCAGCTGTATTGGCATTATGAGGTAACAAAACTACATATTAAACCAATCATGTTAAGGATGGTAAAATTGTAAGATGGAAAAAGAGCGTCAATCCTTAAGGACACAAGAGGCCAATACCAGCAAAAATTTAACTCCAGATTTTTTGTTTTGTGAAAAGAATAAACCTTTATTTGTTTTGCTTTGGCTGTTCAGGTTTTTGACAATTTGCAGTACAAAGCATTCCTAGAGACTCTCTTAAAAATCTTTTTTTGTGAGAGTAAACAGGACAGTAACTGGGACATAGGACTTGAAATTTATGGGAAGGTGTTTTGCTTTTTTTGTTTGAAGATTTAGGTATTTGTTTACATTTTATTTTTTATTTTAGGAAGAAATGTATCTGGGCTAACTTGTAAGCTGAAGAGAAGAAATCAACAGAGAGGAAGGAAACGAGTGTATAGGAAAGCAAGATAATGCATGATGGAGAAAAACCTCAGATAAGACTAAGTGATGGATAGTAAAGGTAAAGAGATTAGCCTCATATAGATGGAGAGAAACATCTCTTCCTCTAGGGGGACAGAGATAAATTTGGAAAAAGAGTTGGAAAGAAAGGGCAAAGGGAAGCTGAGAGAATTGTCATTTTATTACCCTGTAATAGTTCCCAGATCGGCCAACCTTGCCACTCGGTTCTACTCACCCAGCCTAGAAAGTCTTTTCCACTCTGTCCAGGATCCAAACCAGCTCCAAAAAATCAAATCTCAGTTAGACCAGGGATGGATTAATTTCTTACACCTCCCTCCTCCCCACAAGCTACTTTGCAGTTTAGTACAGGATTTAGTACAAAAGAATAAATCTACTAGTAGAAATGAAGGCAGGCATCGGGAAAAGTAATTTCAAGGACCTTCAATCCAGGCCTGTAATAGGCAGTGACCTACTTACCCTGCAGGTAAGATGAGTCCTGCCAAAAGACTCAGCATGTGCTTCTGTACTGTCCAGGAATTTAGAAAGGTGATGTGAGATCCCTGGGCAAAAGATGCAGTGTCAGAACAAGTTTGACTTTCATTATTTGTATCTCTGGGTTATCTTTGGCTGCAGTGATTTAGTATGCTAAAATGAAACCTCAGTAGGACTATGTAAAAATAAAATAAAATAAAAACCTGACTTTTTGTCTACAATGAATGTGGGAGCAAAAAGTCAGCTACTGCTGAACTTTGCTGCTCACCTCAATTGAGTCACTAAGTTTGCACACTACTTATTGACCTTGAGGTTTAGCAATTGCAAAGGCTGATTTGATCAAAGATGGAACAAACTGTCTTATATTCTGACCTCTAGCAGTCACTTCACCTCTTTCTAGATTTTTAGCATCATAGCAAATGGCCCAGTCTTTCACATAGCTGGCAAGTTCTCCATTGTCATTCTCAGGAGCAGGTTTAAAAACAATGGAAAGCTTTAAGCCTTTCCTCTTGGCTGGTAAAGAACTTTTAGGGAACCAGAATCACTGCTACCATTCACCCTCCTATACCTGGAATTGGCTTCAAAGGACTCTATAGCTTCACATTAAATAGGTCTTAATACATAACTCTTTCAAGAGGATTCATATGATCTTATGAATTATTATTCATGGCTGGGCTGTTTCTAAGCCAATTCAAGGGCATACTGTACTTTACAAAGCCAAAGCTCACACCCTAAAAGTCTACCCATTCCATTCAATTCTAAGCATTATTCAGTGCTTATAAAGAGAGAAAAAAAAGTAGTGATGACTCTTTATACCCTTATTATAGATTCCAAGGAATAAGTGGGTGTTTACCCCATTTTAAGAAGGCAAAGAGAAAGCTGTTAAGCACTGATTAGTAAGTTAACTTTCTCAGATACAATGCCAGACCCATCACAACCTCCCCTGTGCAAAAAGGAGAAAGCCAGAAAGCTGAGCATGTGATATGAGAAAGTTTTACTGGAAGGAGATGTGGATATTACTAAGCACTGACAATGTTGAACTTTGCCTGAGCCCCGTGCTCCTGGAAAATAGCTACGGTCAAGAAGTGCTCCCACGCTTTTGTGTTCTAGGAGATGGCTTCCTCTAAAGAAACACCCTTTCCAGGATGACTTGGAGAAGACTCTCACAGATGACCACTTTGTTTAATGATGACAAGGATAGACACAGACCCTCTAAATTCCCATTCTTATTACCTGAACTGTTTGTCCTCACTGGCCAATCTGGACAAAATATCCAGTAGTCTAATTCATTCCAACTTCCAGGCTCCTCTCCTCCCCTCAGGACCCTGAACTTTGAGCTACCTTCAGCCTGTGCCTGCATGGGAATGTGGAACAGTGCCTCCTCAAAGACCCCCTCTTGAAAATCAACTCACTCTAAATGCATTATCTCATCAACTGTACAGTCACACTGTCGACTTGTCCCACATCCCCCCACCATAGTTCTTCCTAGCCTTGTTTATTCCTCCCTATAAAAAGTCCATGTCCACATGACCTTCGAGATGCTTAGAAACCTTCTTGATTGAGCATTTTCCCTATTGCTTAAGCCCCTCCTGCTGTTGCAAAGGTCTTCTCCCCCATTGCAATAATTGTTTCAAATAGTCTCTTCTTACCTACCTCTAGATTTGTTTTTATTTGGCAAGACTTAGTTTAGTTGGCTTCATGTCTTTCTTCAAAGAGAGCAGGTTAATCTGCAACCATGTTGTTAAACTAAAATCAAGGCCCAGAAAGATGAATAATCTGAGGGAGCATACTCTACCTCAAAACTCAAAGAACTTTGCTGTCTGATAGAATTTGTGACCAACTTTGCACTGACAAAGATAGTACAATATAACCTGTGCATGTTATGAAGCTGTCACATAATACAAAGCAGGGGGAGTGAGGAGACAGTGTGGTGATAAAGTGTATCACTTAGCAGGGCAGCATGATATAGAGAGAACCATCCCTGGCCTGCAGATCAGGCACCCCACGTTCCTGTCCCACCTCTACTAAATGACCTTTGGAAGATGACTTATTCTCTTTGGGGCCTCTGTAATTTTATCTGTAAAATGAGGGGATTGAACTTCATGATCTCTAACCTCCCTTCCAGCTCTAGAAGTCTACGATTCTAAAACAATTTAGAGTAAATCATAAAGACAAACCTTCAGGCAGTCAGATCAGCAAAGGTGACTGCAAAGAGGGCTACATGGTGTTATGGCCAGGGCCGTAATGAGATTTGTAATTAAATATAACAACATGGGGTCATAATCAGATCTCATGCTTCAGAAACCACATTAATCATGATAGGGATCAGGTAGGTCACTCTCCCCAGAACGCAATGGGGACCTTGAAAAGGAAAGTGAAATGTCCCTTTCCCTCTCCAGCACCAAGCAGTATGCTTTACAGGGAGAAAGCCCGGGCCGGGCCGGGAGACTTGAGCTTTAATTCTGCACTGCACTTTAGTTTCCACCTCGGCAAAATGAGAAATTTAGATCTATGTTCTCAAACTTTCCGAAAGTATCTCTAAAACAAAGAGGAAGCTATTGCCCCGAAGCCTGCCAAAACATGTCAAGTTTTTATTTTCTTAAAAAATGAGTTAGGTATTTACTCCTACTCCATGTTCTATTTGAGTCTGTCTCAAACTTAAAATATTTAAAATAATTTATCACACTGTAAAACTAATAACCCATAAAGACTGTAAACTTTGGCTTGCAAATTCAAGACACCGAAGTGAGGTGGGTGGTAGTTATCTGCAAAGAGTAGATGTAGGTGTACCCCGGCTAGACCCTTCTAGAATTGATATTCTATGATTCTTAGAAATATTCTTGCTTTTGTACTGATCTATCTTTTGTTAGATCATAAACTGTGGTGTGTGTGGTGGGGGACTGGTGGGGGGACATTGGGAGAATAGCTATTGGTTAGGATGATAAAAAGGGAGCAACCCTGGATGAGTGATTGCCAGAAAGGAGGCCTTTATCATGAAAATGTTGATTCCTAGGAGAAGGGAAAAAGCAGGAAAAGCAGACATAGTGAGGCTTCAGACTCCTTGGGGCTCAGATCAAAGGTAGCAGATCCGCCAAGCCTGAGGCCAGCCCTGAAGGACAGAGACAATAAGATGGCACAGCCTAATAAATGCCGCAAACCCTGCTCTGTCTGATTCAAAACTAGCATTTTACACAATGACACAATGCAGTTCCATCTATATTTAAAATGATGTGATTTAGACACATTTAATTCACACATTCCCATACTCATACCATTAATTAGGCCACTTTGATGGATCACGGTGAGCTACAGCTAAGATCTAGCCCTGCAACTGCCTAGGTCTGTACACATGTATTGAAAGACCCTGAGGTTATTACAAAAGTGAAGTGGTTGATCATTAAGCTGCCCTTCCATGGGTCATCTCAGTGTACCCTATGATCTTCCCAACCAATTCTCCCTGCCTTCAAGACTATTACATCATCTACCCCTCCAACTTAAAACTTACTTAGGACCCACCTTAAGATAGGGAAATGAAATTGAACAGGGCACAGTTCCTGTCCTCAAGTAAAATACAGAAATTTGAACAGCTGATTACAAGCAGTTCAATTTAATAGAGGTATAAACTCCTTCTACTCTTGTCTTAACTCTGGAGCAGAATTAGCAAAAACAAGATCCTTCTGGATGCTTGCTTCTGTGAGAAGGTGGATGCTAATTTAGATTCAACCCGAAGATCTTGGGGTGACCCTGGTACCTTATAACTGTGGAATCTACTTCAAACTGCCACAAACTAGACATCATAGAGGTACTTGGGAGCATTGCAGTCTACCAATAATTTGATATTCATTGGTTGAAATATTTTAAATAATCATTGTACTACTTGAATGTGTACAGCATTGTTCAGGAATTGGTTCAGTATAAAAATTGATATAATGTCACCTCTGCCTCCCAGATCTTAAGGTCAGGATTCAGCAAATTCAACCTTCCAGAAGAGCCTTTAAGTTTGTAGAGAAAATGCTACCAAATCTAGTGAAAACAGCTATTGCAAAGATTACAGTCTCCTGAGATATAGCTGCATTAATATAATTTTACATACTGTATTGGATAATCTTGGTATTTTCCTAGGTGGAGTAGACAGAATAATGGTCCCCCAAAGATATCCATATCTTAATCCTTGTAACTTGTGAATACACTATGATATTTGGCAAAGGGGAATGGAGATGACAGAGGGAATTAAATTTGCTAATCAGCTAACCTTGAGATAGAGTGGTTATCCTAGATTATCTGCTGAGATCATCATAATTACAATGTATAAGTGGACGAGGGAGGCAGAAAAAGGAGAACTAAAGAAATAGAAGCATGAAACGCCAATATTGCTGGCTTTGAAAGTGGAAATGGAAGATAAAGAATCAAGTAATGGGGATGGCTCCCAGGAGCCAAGGAATAGTTTCTTCCCCAGTGCCTCCAGAAAAGAAAACAACCCCCACACAATTTTACTTTAGCTCAGGAGACCCATTCAAACTTCTTAGCTCCAGAACTGTGAGTTAGTAAATTTGTGTTATTTAAAGCCATTAAGTGTGTGGTACCTTGTTACGGTAGCCATACAAAACGAATATACTAGTTACATGGAAAAGAGAGAAAAGCAATTGAAGCAGCCAACAACAGCTCAGGTAGAGAATAGGGAGTCATAGAAACCAGAAGCAGACCCACAGATGGCTGAAAAGATTGCCTAAAGAGAGAAGGGACTAAAACCACCAATTAGGAGAAAATCATACTGTGGGGAGACCACAAACCACAATAGCCCTGAGAGAGAGGAATGTGGAACCACAAAGTAGTCAGCCACAGAGCAATGGGAGTTGTTAAAAACTAAACCAGTCCTGGCCTACAACAGCTGCCTCCGAAGGCATAATTTAATTCTAAAGTTGACTGTCTTATGTTCCTAAAACCGACCAAGTCAACATGAAAATGTTAAACTGCATTCTCTATGTTCTTAGAAGGAAGGAAACTGTGGACTATTTAGAGTTATTTTCTCTTAGTTGCCAGAGCCAGCCACTTGCATGCATAAAAACCAAACATTAACAATAAGTTATTCTTAGTGTGGGGACCCACTAGAAAAAAAAAGTAAATTCAAATGTCTGCGAAGGCAAGGGCATGTATAGCTTGAAAAATATCCTTTGGTTTCCATGACATCACTTAGTCATCTCTTTCCCACACTGACCACGTCTCATTTTTCTTCCCCAGTTTCCTTCACTCATTACATTTTGGTTCTCCCAGGTTTACTATCTCCAGATTTTTTCCTCCTTCTTCTCTCTATGTGCTATGTAAAATCTACCAAGCTGGTGGCTTTCACTACCCTGTACATGACAATGTTCTCAAGCCTTATCCCTAACTCAGAATTTTCTTCTGAGTCGCCGATCTGCATTTCAAGCATTTGAATGCCCAGTAGCATGAAAAACTAAAAATGTGCCTAAATAAAGCTTATAATTTCTACCCTCATTTACCTTAAAATTCTATCTAGTTCTTTATTCTTTACTTCATTTAATTGGAACACCATCCATTCATTTGCTCAATTCCAAAAGCTGGACATTACTTCTCTTTGAGTTGCACGATCCTGGCATTGGAACTACTGGTAGCAGCCCTTTTCTTAGGACTCACATGCACTTTATTACGGCACTGTTTTGACTATTATTACTGCTTAACAAACATTTTAAAACCAAGTGACATAAAACAACATTTTATTATGGTCATTTATTCTTTAGATCAGGAATCTGGAAAGAGGACAGTAAAGACGGTTTGTCTTTCCTTCATGATATGTGTGGCTTCAGGAAGATTCGTAGACTGGGGATAACTTAATAGCCCTGTGTTGGCATCATCATGAGTCACATTGTAGCTATCTTTGGAAAGCATAATCTGCAGCAAACATCACACTTTTATGAATCTTTACATACCTGTGGCATTTGTCACATTAAAATTGTTATAGAAATTTACACTGATCGCAACTTTTAAATTATGGCAATTATTACAGCCATTGCCAGATCTTGTCAATTGAGGCATTCATTTTAAAAATACATATATATTATAAATTTGGGAAAATATTTTGATAAACGTTTTTTACTTTTTTTTTTCTTTTTTTTGAGATGGAGTCTCACTCTGTCACCCAGGCTGGAGTGCAGTGGCGCAATCTCAGCTCACTGCAAACTCCGCCTCCCAGATTCAAGCGATTCTCCTGCCTCAAGCCTCCCGAGGAGCTGAGATTACAGGCATCTGCCACCAGGCCCGGCTAATTTTTGTATTTTTACAAACAGGGTTTCGCCATGTTGTCCAGGCTGGTCTCGAACTCCTGACCTCAAGTGATCTGCCCACCTTGGCCTCCCAAAGTGCTTGGATTACAGGCATGAGCCACCATTCCTGGTTGATAAATGTATTTTTGATGTGTCCATTGTAATCTTATGTAGGTTTTTTTTTTCTTTGTACTTAAAAACATTGTTTTTAGAAAGATTCCTCAGATAGCAAATGGGATTTAGGCACAATAAAAGGTTAACTCTCAGTATTACTTGAATAAGTGAATAAATGAATAGCAGAAATAAAATTTTGCCATTTAAGTGGTAATTTCTAGTTAGGTAAATTTTTAAAACGCAGATCACCGCACTTCCCAAGAATGCGAAACAAATGTAATACTCTTTTGGGCTAAGAATACATTTTATTTTGTCTGCTTGGGTCCCTATTTCATTAGTGTTTAGGAAATCAGTAAGTATAATTATGTAATAATTAAGCAATAATTAAAATACCATATTATGGTTTCTGTATTATAACACTCTGAGCAGGTCTGATTCTATGCATCGAAGCAAAGTAAACAAACACATGAACCTGGAGAATGTTCCTTTAGTCCTGCCTTTCCCACAGTGAGTTCTATAAAATGCTGGTTCTGTTATACATGAAAATAAAAGGAAAGAAGTAAGGAAGGGAAGGAGAGAGAAAAGAAAAGAAAAGAAAAATGTTGGGGTGTTTGCTGGTCAAATTAGATGGAGAAATACACGGTTCAACCAAGCGTAAAATATTTCTTTGTAATTGGACATTCATGTTGATGGCAGGTCCCTGAGAAGAGAGAACACAGAGCACAGTGTTTTCCAACCCTTCCTTCTCCTGAGTATCACATTTTATGGAAAAACTGGTCCAGTCCAGTTTCCTCATGATGTGCCTACAGAAACCAAGGTCCAGAAAGGCAAATGACATGCCCAAGGACAATCAGCTATGAGGAGCAGGGCCAAAACTGGAATCTGTCTCCTGGTTTCCAGTCAAAAGCTGTTTCCACTTTCCCACCATGCCAAATAATTAACAGTGCAGGTGCCTCCTTGCACAGAACAGAGTAATATCGATAAATCAAAATGTCGGTTGCAGACTGGTTGTTGGAATAAGTAATCTGAATGGGCAAGAATGATGAGACAGAAGCAATCCTTCATAGTATTTCTGCTCAAGTAAGAGCTGCTGACATATTTTAGGTATGTAGCCTCTCTTTGAAGAACATCTTTTTACCTTCCTCTATTCCTGAGACCCCTATAGCATTTGTGGTGGGATGAGGCCTGGGGGCTTCAAGCATGGCACTTGGCAAGATGCAGAGCAGAGAGCCAGTTCTATGGCTGCACAGAAAGCGAACAGTGGTGATGACTGTCTCCTCTGCCTTCTGAGAAGCCAAAGATGAGAATATGACCTGAAGAGCTGACTTGGAGTACCATCCTGCAAGATTCATTACATTTAGGTGTGAAGTGTTGCTTTGTTTTGTTTTTCATTCACATCTACAGATTGGAAAGAGTTTCTTCTCCTTTCTCCTCTTGAAATAATCACTTTCGGCCAGGCACTGGGGTTCACGCCTGTAATCCCAGCACTGTGGGAGGACGGGATGGGCAGATCACTTGAGGTCAGGAGGGAGACCAGCCTGGACAACATGGCGAAACCCCATCTCTACTAAAAATAATACAAAAAATTAGCCAGATGTGGTGGCATGTGACTGTAGTCCCAGCTACTCGGGAGGCTGAGGCAGGAGAATCGCTTGAACCCGGGAGGTGGAGGTTTCAGTGAGCCAAGATCACGCCACTGCACTCCAGCCTGGGTGACAGAGCGAGACTGTCTCAAGGAAAAGAAAAAAAGAAAAGAAAAGAAAGAAAAGGAAAAGAAAAGAAAGAGAAGAGAAGGGAAGAGAAAAGAAAAGAAAAAAGAAAAGAAAAGAAAGAATCAATTTTAACATAATAAAGCAGAGAAGAAACCTATGGGATTGTTAATTTGACTTGTGGACAGTCTGTGTATCTTAACAATTACACATCCCGAGGGCAGCCTCCTTCCCTTCTTTTTTTTTTTTTTTTTTGTTTTACTTTGTTTTGTTTTGTTTTGTTTTGTTTTGAGATGGAGTTTCGCTCAGTCGCCCAGGCTGGAGTGCAATGGCACCATCTCAACCTCTGCCTCACTGCAACCTCTGCCTCCCGGGTTCAAGCGATTGTCCCGCCTCAGCCTAGTGGGGTAGCTGAGATTACAGGCACCCGCCACCATGCCCAACTAATTTTTGTATTTTTATTAGAGATGGGGTTTCATCATGTTGGCCAGGCTGGTCTTGAACTCCTGACAGGTGAGCCACCTGCCTCAGCCTCCCAAAGTGCTGGGATTACAGGCGTGAGCCACTGTGCCCGGCCCCTTTTCTTCTGTACCCTCAGAATCTAACTTGTGAATAGCTAGTCAGAACTTAAGAACTGAGAACCAGCTAAAGAAAATGAGGTTCTTAGGTAAGGTACAAAAGACGATCAAAGATTCAAAGGCCCTGAGAGAAGAGGAGAAACAGGTGGGCCAACAGAGGTGGGCCACAGCCCTGAGAGAGTAGACAATCCCAAGGTCAGAGAATGGAGGCAGCCAAGAGTAAGTGAAATGGGGTGGAGGGCCGAGCAAGGGAGCTGAAGAAAGGTGGCACGCAAAGACTGTTTGAGGCCTACGTGTACACACTTGAATGGCTAACAAAATAGGCCATTTGGGTTACGAATTGCATCGTCCCTTCCTTCCAATTATGAATCACAGTGTTAGAATGACGGTATCTTGTCAAGGAAATGGTATGACAGTTTTCAGATACTGCAGTAATCTCATTCAATCTGTTCCATTCTTTGCTTCTACTGCAGCCACTTTTCTTCAAAATTTAATAGTAAAGGTGTATGTGATTGGACTGCAAGGTAATCGTCAAGGGACTCTTAGAAATTCTCCTCAGAGATAATATAAAATAGTTGACCATGTCCCAACAGAAATACCAAATTTGAAAAAGATGTGTGGAGAGGAGGATAGTGAGACAATCTGAAAAATAAGCTAACTTAACTGACAAGTTTCCTGCCCTCAAAGAAAAGAAGAAAAAAAAAATACACACACACACACACACACACACACACACACACATATATATATATATATTCCCCATCTAAAAAGAACGTAATCCCATAATGTGAAAACCATCCAACCCACACTGCTAGGGTGAAGGGGAAACATATTAGCAAAAACGATACAGAAAACGATTCTGAAGTGCTGACTGTTCCATAGAGTAAGTGAAAGCAGAAAGCAATTCAGGTATAATTTTCTTGAACAGGAAACAACAGCCAAATTCTTATTCAGAGATAATCCGGTCTCTACGAATTCCTTCTTTCACAAAATCTCCTTTTCCCCATCTTTTAAATTGGGTGACTGGGAATTATCCTTTTGGAGAAACTCAGCAAGATTTCTCGGTTTGCCTTTTTACAAAGGAAGTCAGCTAGAAACCGCCCCGTCACTGACGGGGAGGCAAAGGACTCTCGGCGGCCAGGCCCTGAAGCCGCATTGGTGGGTCTCCATTTAGTTTGTCCTTTAAAGTCCGGAGAATGATTATTCCATAATTCTCTCACCTGATTAATTCTTAACTATGAACATAATTACACTCTCCAGAAGGTAAATCGGTCTTATAAATCAGTCGTCGCTGACAGTTCACTATGCGCAGCGCGATCGCCCGGGGTTGGCGAGCTGAGCTGAGGGTGGGTGTTTGCCAAGTCGCCGGTCCCCTGCGTCCCCGCCCGCCGGTCCCTTCTCCGACCCGAGACCCCCGCCCGCCGCAGCCCGACTCTGGGGCGTTTGGGAGGTGGGCCTGAGGTTTGCCTAGGACTCGAGTTCCTTTCAAAGGAAGGCGAGAGGGAGATGGGGAGAAGGAGACTCGGAGACTTCTCTATTAAAGCCGCGCTGAACTCTAGCCTTCTGGCAAGCCGCGGCAAGCCGCCAATTTGAAGTGTGTGAGCTTTAATCTGCTCCTAGCCTGATGGGCTCCCGTGTCCACAGGGAGCTGGGAGGCATCCATTACGCCGGACCAAGGAGATGGAGCGTCTAGGAAATATGTTAATGCCGGAGCCCTCCCCGCCGGCCCGAACCTGCCCTTGCCAGTCTGACAGCCTCGGAGAAAGTGACATTTCGGGAGAGTGTCACTCCTAGCAGGGCTCCCAAAATTCACTCCTATTCGTTGCATTAAACGTTTTTTTTTAAAGACTTCAATGATCCATTCATTTGCTAAAAATGCGATGTTCTGTTTGTTTTTTTGTATTTGTAAGTCCAGGATGGGTGGTTTTTGTGCACAGAAAAACCCACTTAACTTAGTAAACAATGGCTTTTAAATTAACACATGAAATATTAAAGTTATACATTTTAAAATCTAGCTTTTCTTAAGCGTTTGATTTCTACATATAAATCTTCTATTCATAGTATAGCACATTCAGCAACAATTTTTTAGGGAGATTGGCTAATATTTGGTCCTATTTACAAACTTTTTTTAAACCTCTTCAAACATTTTAAACCTGATTTGTCAATTGAGTATATCCTATTACCTATTTAAGTTTCTCAAAGATCTGATGGACAAACTTTTCTAGATAGTTTAGTATAATAGCTTTTACAAATTAATTACATGGCATGGTGAACCCCAAATTCTATTAAATGTCCAAACTGAATGTATCGTTGGTAAGACGTGAACTAAAATGACAAGTATGAATCAATTACACAATTAACATGTTTAACTGGAATGACAGATTTACCTGTTATTCTAATAGATCCAATTCTCTTAAATACCGTAATACTTAAACTATGAAATATACTCATATTTCTTAATAATAAAATATCACTACTACATATTTGATTTCCTTAAATATTTCTATACTTATTTCTAAATCTTCCTCAAGCTAACAAAACATCTTTTTCATTAAGAAAAATAAATGTAGTTTGGTGGTTGTCTTTCTAAAATGGCCTCAGCTTGCTGAGATTTCTTAAATAACAAAAGGATAACAGTCATACTTAATGGTCTGCAATCCTGATAGAAAATAGGGAGTGCTATTTATAGTAGCTATAGCAATAATTCCAAAATCTAAAGAAGATGGCACGTAGCCCACGTCCTTTGGTCTTGAATCATAGCATTACCTAATTTTCAAATTAGTTTAGTTTGCATTTACATTCAAACTGACTATAACACTCAAGTGAATACTTTCATATATTTTACTTTTAAGTTATATACGCCTTCCAGTTGTTAAAAAGTTTAGCCTAAAACTACCTCCTTACGTATTTTAAGTTTGGCCTAAATGTTTCTCCATACATAGTCAACTGTAACCTAAGTGGAGATGTAAGCAGACTGATACCTACTCTTTTGGTAATCACTGAGTTTCATCCAGTCAAAGGTGGCCAACTGTTCAAGCCCATGTTCAAATAAGGCAAATGCCCAGCTGTGCCCAATCTGGCTGTTTCTATACCTCAGTGCCATTTTCTGTACCTAACTTTCCTTTTTCTGTTCAAAAATGTTTTTTCTGCCACGTGGTAGCGCCAGAGTCTCTCTGAACCTATTCTGGTTCTGGGGCTGTCTGATATGGGAATTGTTCTCTGCTCTATTAAACTATTAAACTTAATTTGTCCAAGGTTTTTCTTTTAATGTAGTCTAAACCTAGAGTTTTTAAAAGACATTTTAAAAAGGCTTTTTAAAAAAATGATAGAGAACTTCAAACATACACAAAATAAACAACATAATGAGATCCTGATTTCTCCATGTGTCAATCACTGAGTTCCAACAACCATGGTGAATCCTGCCCCATTCATACACTTATCCACTTCCCCCCTGCTGCTTTATTAGGAAGCAAATCTTAGGTACCCTATCCTTTTATCTGCAAATGAACAATGAGCACTGCTTCTTAACACAATCAGTTACCATCACCACACCTAAGAAAATTGACAAATTTCTTAGGAAGATATCCAGTGTTGAAATTTCTGATTCTTTCATAAATGTGAGAAAATTTGTTGTACAGTTTATTTGAATCAGGATCTGGACAAAACAAAAATCCACACCTTGAAATGGCTGATGTTTTTTAAAATCTCTTTTAATCTGTAAGAACCTCCTCCAACCACTTTTTCTTGAATTTATTTATTGAAGAAATGAAGGGTTTGTCCTGTAGAGTTTCTCTCATTCTAGATTTTGCTGATTGAATCACATTGGGGTAGATTTACATATTCTTCATTCTCTATTTGGTACAAATTACAGTTTTCATAAAACTACTTTATAAACATTGTATCCATCCAAATAGAAGTGCACAATGCCTACCTCCTTGTCCGTCTCTCTCTCTGTTCCCCTCTCTCTCTCTCGATTTCTCTCTATGTTACTAGCAACCACTAATGACCAGAGCCTGGATCCGTTAATTCTTCTGTGAAAAAAAATTACTCCTCATCCACTATTTGGTTACCTAGTGGTATAGTTCGCATAAGAGAGCAATATAAGCCTTTAAATTGTTACTTTATTTACCAATTTTCAAACTATTGACTCAGTACAGTAGCATCCTCCAATGATGATCAGTTAATTTTGTGTTTGTTTTTTCAATATGAATGAATGAATTTAAAAATAAAAGACCTGCACACTGGGCCGGACACACAGGACGTGTTTCTGGCAGAGCTGGCTGTGATGCGTGCTCTGTTCCATTCAGCATGTCTGTGTGTGCAGGACCTGGCTCGCTTCATACTGAGATGGCTGAGCAGTCAGACAAGGGCATAAAATACTACACCCTGGGAGAGATTAAGAAGCACAATCACAGCAAAAGCACCTGGGTGATCTTGCACCACAAGGTATATGATGTGACCAGATTTTTTGATGAGCATTTCTGTGGGGAAGAAGTCTTCAGGGAACAAGCTGTAGGTGATGCTCCTGAAAACTGAGGATATCATGCACTCTACGGATGCTAGAGAATTGTCCAAAACATATATCATTGGGGGGGCTTTATCCAGATGACAGATCAATCACAAATCTTTCAGAAACCCTTTTTACTACTGTTGATTCTCACTCTAGTTAGTGGACTAATTGGGTGATCCCGGCCATCTCAGCACTCACCGTAGCCCTGAGATATCACCTCTACATGGCCATATCTCAGAAGCCCATGAAAGAAAAGACTGCTTTGGACAAAGGAGAAAAAAAAGCCAATGTTAACTACTTTGACTGAGAGAAAACTTCACCTGAAATAATAATTTTAATATGTCCATTTCCCTTTCCTCTTTCATTAAAAACAAAAGAAAAAGAACTGTTTTATTCTTTCTACTCTTGAATAAGTGTGCCTTCTTACTCGTCAACTTTATTTTGATCTTTCTTCACTACATAATTTACTTATTGTAAGTATGATCTTTTAAAAATATATCTGGCTTTTAAAATATACAAAATAAATAAAAATGAAAGAGTTACATAGTCCTGCTTTCAGGTGACTTGTTCTCCAGTGAAAAGGCATAACTTCAAGTTTGTGCAGCCCACCGGTCTATGCTTCCAAAGTCCAGATTTTAGGAAATGGTTAACAGGAAGACATCGAGGGAAATAACCTTAATGAAACTTTCATATCTTGTGCTGTAGAAAATTTTTAGAAATATATTTAAGATTGTTGTGTTTGGGTAAATAAATGACAATTTCATTGGTGATTTTTTATGTGTCAGGATTGGCTCAAAGCATTTTAATTGTATTACACACATTAACTCATTTAATTCTTATACTGCTGTATCATCCCCATTTTACAGATAAAGATACCAAGGCACAGTGTAGTTAAATAATATGGCCACTCTCATCTACTATATAAGTAGAGAAGCTGAGATTAAGATTCAGAGCCTGAGCCCATCACAACATGTTTTGCTATTGAAACTTACTTCAGTGTAGAAATTTCAAAAATGAAATAATTCATCTATGTTCTGAATAGCAAGGAACTTAAATCCCTGCACAACATTGAAAAAACAAATAAAGCAATTCACACAGACCAAGTACCAGAGCAATCAAAGAAATTATTTATAGCAAAAGAGAAAAGAGGATATTATTTAGAAATGAAATATGGAACTCTGACTTTCGAAGGTACAGAACTAAAACATTAAGGACATTCTGAACTCAAAGACAGTTGGAAACCAGCAAGGTAGGGTGGAAAGTTCAGTCAGAATCAAACATACCCAGATACAAATCCAGCCTTAACCACTTACTAGCAATGCATCTTTGGCTCTTACTAACATCCCTGAAACCTGTTTTCTTTCCCTGTAAAATGAGAAACAAAATAATCTTAAATCTTAATATCAGTCTCTTCAGTTGATTAGTAAATTGCTAAATGGCTTCCTATAGGCATTCAATGAATGGTCGTTTCTGATTCTTTAACTTATTCAGTGTTTTAATATTTCATTTTATATATTTTTCAGTTAACCACTTTTTTTAAACTCTTCCGTGTAAAATTAAATGAACTTGAATGAGTCCCTGGATGTAAGCTTTGCTTCTTTTAACCAAAGAATAATTATTTTAGTCATCTTAACCTGGGCTAATTCTTTTAATTTCTGCTGAATCTCCTAGGAAATACATAGGGGAAAAATACTAGGCAATATAACTTTCATTAGATGACAATTTGGTGTGACTATAGGGAGTACTGAGCAAAGGGGGAAAGCTAATTGTATAGAGTAGAGAAGTCTAATTCAGAGAAAAGAGGCCTGTTTCGAGTTCCTTCATCAAAATTATGCAGTGATACAAGAAGAAACTTCCCTATATATCAAAACAGAAAAAATGGAAATGTAAGTTTTGACACAGTCAATAACAGAGTCACCAAATTCACTGGCCAGTGGTACACATGTGCAATTTATATTTCTTAAATCGCATACACACTGCTATTGTTTGGATGTACCTTTCCCTCCAAAATTCCTGTGTTGGAACCTGATATCCAATGTGATAGTATTAAGAGGTGGGGACTTTGGGGAAGTGATAAAGTCATGATGGCTTCCTCCTCCTGTATGGATTAGTGCTCTTATAACAGAGGTTGAAGGGAGCACCCCCCTGCTCCTTTACCCACACCTTCCACCATGTAAAGATGCAGCAAGAGAAACCATCCAGAAGCAGAAAGCAGCCTTCACCAGACACTGAATCTACTGGCAGCTTGATCTTGGACTTCCCAGCCTGCAGAACTGTGAGAAATAAATTTATATTGCTTACAAATTATCCAGTCTTAGTGTTTTGTTTTAGTAGCATGAATGGGCTGAGATACACTCAGATGCACACACACATGGCATACTCATTTGCAGTTCTCTATCACCTAAGTAGTGGCTAGTATTAAAATGCTGACCCTTTGCTCCCTGTGCTAGTCCTACACACTTACCATAGGCCACTGGTCACAATAGCAGTCCTTAATGCATTTTCAAGCCAAACGTGGCAAGTCCTTAATGCACTTTCAAGCCAAAAATCCAGGATATACAAACACTGGGGCACAAAATAACGGGATGAGACCAGGAAGGCCATTGTGCCCATTAAAGATAATAATAATAATTTGCTCAAAACACTCAGGTGCAAGAAATGACACATCTTCTCTATTAAAAAAAAAAAAAATCAAACTTTGTGTGACTCTCTGCTTCTTGTTGCTCAGTTACAAGATGCCTAATTCCTGCCAGAAAGCTTGAAGAGAAGGTTTTTATTCTGAAGGCCAGGATTTCTACTGAGATTCCAATTGTCCATGTCAATAATGACAATGGTCAACTTAAATGAAGGAGACTCTACTCCCTATTTGTCTAGTTTGGGCTGAGGAGATTTGCCATTATTCATTCATTTAATGAATATTTATGGAGCACATACGATGTGCTAGGCACCATCTTGGAGACGAGTATTTAATAAAACAGACAAAAATCCCTTCTCCCATAGAGATTGTCTTTATTCTCTATTTCCCTCTGTTCCCCCCACCCCAACCCTGCACCTCTAGAAATTAAGTAAAGAATAATCAATGCTAAGGGGAAGTAGTGAAGCAAGGAAGACACACAGAGTCAGAGTGAGAGGTTGACATTTTAGAAAGAATGGCCGGGGAAGGCCTCATGCAGCAGGTAAATAAGACTGAAGGAAGCCAGGGAATTAGCCATGTGGCTCTAGGGGAAGTGCAGCCTACATAGAAGAAGCATAGAGCTCTAAGGTCATGAAGAGGGGGTAAGCCTGGCTGTCAAGTACTTGGGAGGCGGGTGCAGCTGAAGGGAGTGAAAGAGGGGAAAAGTGATAGACGGTAAAATCAGATTTTAAAGGCACTGGATAAGAGAGAGTCATGCAGTCTCTAGGCAGGGACCCTTAAGGCTCTGGAATGAAAGTGGGATGCAAATCTCGGTCACCCACTCACTCTCCACCCCCAACAGTCTCCCCATTCCAGCAGTTCTGCCTGAAGCTCTCCTTCTTTCTCATGGGTCAGCTTCTCTACTCAAAGTACCCAGTCCATTCTTGCTCCCACAGGGAAGGCCGGGTTCAATCTCAGTTAATCAGGCTAGAAACCTAAATAAATCCTCTGTGAAGTGCCAGACTCCTCTGTTTTCTGCCTGAAGGGAAAAGGCCATTTAAAATGGCCCAAAGCAAAAAAGATTAGATACCCAGACCTAATCTCAAAGGAAAAGGAAGGGGAGGTAAACATTACTCTCTATGGAAGTGAGAACACAGAAATCAGCATCTCACCAAATTATTCTAGTGCCCTGGGTACATGGCGGACTCTGAGGACAGTGTCTGCTATATAGCATGGCACTGACCATGGCCTATAGTAATTACTGATTTACTCTCTATGTCACCATCTTTGAACTGTCAACTCTATGGGGGAAAAGACTGAGCTTTATTTAATTTTCCATCTCTCACTGCTATCACATAACTTGAAAGGTCAGTGCTCACCAAATGATTGTTAAATAAGTGAAATAAATGAATGACAGGAATAATAAATAAATATTCATGTGCTTTGTAAAAGAATTGATTGCTCGTGAAAGCCAATGCAAGAGAGAGGGCAGCCTGATATGGCACAGCCCAGCTTGAATGACCACCTCCAAAGTGTCATAAGGGGTACTGTGTCAGAAACTACTGATTGTTCCCCAGTATCCATTTTCTTCTTCTTCTAAAGTCATATAATTTTTAGCAGGGCCCAGGAACACTCAGAAAAAAAAAATATTCTCGGCATCCCTGGCATCTTAGTGTGGCCTGTGGCCATGTTCTGGCCAACAGGATATTTGGACGGATATGAAAATTATGTGTGTCCTTCAAGGAAGGAAAGTGTAGCACTTCACAGTGGCTGGGATGAGGATATGCCATGAGCCACTTTGGACCATGCTGAATGAACAGTACCCTATGGCTGACAAACCAAAGGGAGAGGAGACTGTATCTCTAATACAGTGAAGTCTTTAAACCAGCATTGGACTTCTTATGTCTAGCCTGTAAAAAGTCATTATTATGTTGGGTCTCAATTACAGAAAGTGAGTCCATATCCTTATGAACATTGATGATTATTCAGTTTCCTACTTCATTAAGATTGACCCCCCCGCCCCCGACACACACAAGCAGTATAGAGCTTCTTGCTAAGGTCAGCTGAAAATAAACATTGATAATGTTTAAAAGAATGTTAAAGCCATCAAAATGAATAATGATTTAGAAGAGATTCTGATGCTTTCATCTTTAATTTGCCACAGGAGAGCTGGAAAAATATAAACTCTGAGTTCTGCCTCATATGAATTAAAATACACTACCAGTTATACATTCTGTAATTCTTCTTCAATTTGGCAAGATTTGTTGAGTTCATAAAAAACAATGTCCATTTCCCCACTCTGCCTCCTATTTGCTTTATATTAAACAGGCCTGTGGATTTGTACTGACACAGCAAACAAAGGCAAGGTCAAATATTATGTGGTAAACTTAATCAGTATGGAAAACCAGGGTAACTCTGAGTCTGGTAGATTCCATAGTCTAAATATTTTTCCCAATTTATTTCTCCTCTGCCACCCCACTGCCACTGCCTCTTAGTTTCTTGAAAGTAAATTTATTGCCTCTAATCCCAGCACCTTCCAATTAAGCCACTGAAAATAAGAGTGCTTTTTACAAAATGAAAACCCGACAATATACTTTTGCTGCTCAAACATATTCTAAAGATCCCTAAAATCTTCAAGATAGGGCTCCAAATCCAGAAAGAACAGACTTTTGTGATCTGGTCTCTGTCCCCTCACCTCCTACCCTATTGAACTACTCAGTATTCCACAAATTTCTTACCCTTGTTGCCATCTTCATGTTTTTATGTTGCTCTTCCAATTGACATGAGCAGTATCTCTCCCAGTGTGTCTTACGATAATTTCCTATTCTTCATCCCCTTAAAAATGTTTCTCAGATTTTCCCATGGTAATTCTTCTTGCCTGCTCCCAACGCATCCTCTCAATACCTCTATAATGGGATTTAAACTGTACTGTTTGTTTCCTCTTCACTAGCTTTCACTTGCTCTTGAAGGAACGTGTCATAAGTCTATATCTCTCCATCTCTGGCATCTCACACCCTGCCTGCCATAGAGTAACCACTAGGTAAATGTCAGATAAATGAATGAAATCTAATTATACAACCCTTTCCCCATTTCAAAAATATCTTCCATTTTTTAAGTTTTTATTTTGACTTGAAATATCTGGAAAATTGACTTAACTCTCCCTTTTAACTCAACACTGTTAAGTCAAATCAGGGCAGTTCCAGAAAGGACAGAAGGCATCTACAAAGGGCCCCTGCCAACACTGATCACTTAACCAACTGAGAAGGGTGCCTGTTTGAAGGCAGAGCCATTGCCTTTACTATTATAGAAACCCAAATTGGAACAGAAGGATTTATGCGAGCTCAGAATTCATAATAATGACTGTTAATAACACAGCAGAGGAATACAATCAAAATTGTCATAGTTGCATGCAAAATAACAACTTTAATTGGCAAAATTAAACTTCTAATAGCCAAAGCTCTATCAAGGTGGCTGAACTCCTTTTGGAGCCAAAGTGACTTGGATAATAGAAACTACATCTGATGTATTTTAAGGTCTTCTGTTACCATATGTGCTCCACTCACTGTGACAGATGGGTATTGATATTTTTTTCTCAACTGCACAAAAGCTAGCTGAAGCATATGCAAAACTCTTAATGGCATTAAAGTTTTGCCAATTAAAAACATGTTCAGGCATTTGATACAGTACTTGATACCATGTTTTGCAAGTTCCATTCTAAATTTTAAATCATGATTTTTATTACATTGTTTGTCAAGCTAGTGTGACTAAAACAATTATCACATGGGTCATTTTGTAGCCATTTTATCATTTTGGCACCTGTCAGAATTAATGATGAAAAAGCAGTAGAGTCAATAAAGAGTTATAGAAAAAATAAAATATTGCTACAAATAATGTGTATGAAAAGAGAACATGTTGCATGTTTTCAATGTGGCTCATACATTACTAAAGATAAGCAGATTTGAGGGGGATACAACTATGCCATTAACATAAAGGTAGATCTCTCTCAACTGATTATTCAAAGTTATTTCTTTCTTTCAAGTAACCACAAAATTCAGAGCAATTTCTATTGGATGAAATGATTTTAAGAGACTGAAGTTTTCTATATTGTCTTAGTTAATCAGTTTTTGTTTTACGCTTGTTTGTTTCATATCAGCATTTTAAGGGACTTTTAATTTGCTCCCTGCTCCTTCAGCTGGGCCGTACACATAGTTCTCTCTCTGGATGTTTAAGACCTTGAGAAAGACATTTTACCTTTTGATCATACTGTTTTTGCAGTGTCTATGAATATGTATTTAAATGAGTCAGTGGACTTTCTCCTAAAGATAGTGGAAACTTTCAAATGTGTACACTTGCTTATGTCAGTATGGGTGCTTGTGTTTTTGTTAATTGATTTCATAACCTTCCCTTTACCAAGTTGCTACCTCTTTTGTAATGACCTCAAGCAGATACTAGGGGAAAGGAGGTAAAGGAGAGGAAAAACGAATCAATAAAGAAGTTTCAAAATGAGTTAGTATTAGATTGATTTTAAACTCCTCCAGAATCAATCAGGTACATTTATTGAAGTGATGTTTGGAGTTAATTCAGTTAAGGAAACATGATACCCAAACAGGTTACATACATAGTTGCCTAAAGCCTCAGAAACAATTGACAGACTCCAGGATTAGAGCCGCCTTCTGATTCCTATAGTGGAAATAGTGCCTTTTTCACTACAGTACAGGACACTACGCGGCACTGCCTGATAGATACTGCTGTTCTGCCTTCCAAATGGAACAATCGCTTTCTGGATGTAAACAATGCCTATCTGTTACCTAGGGGCAGATAATTCTGATGATAGGACCCAAAAGCCATCTAAGTCCAGCAACAACAACTATTTTCGCAACCTACTCATCTGACAAAGGGCTAATATCCAGAATCTACAATGAACTCAAACAAATTTACAAGAAAAAAACAAACAACCCCATCAAAAAGTGGGCGAAGGACACGAACAGACACTTCTCAAAAAAAGACATTTATGCAGCCAAAAAACACATGAAAAAATGCTCACCATCACTGGCCATCAGAGAAATGCAAATCAAAACCACAATGAGATACCATCTCACACCAGTTAGAATGGCAATCATTAAAAAGTCAGGAAACAACAGGTGCTGGAGAGGATGTGGAGAAATAGGAACACTTTTACACTGTTGGTGGGACTGTAAACTAGTTCAACCATTGTGGAAGTCAGTGTGGCGATTCCTCAGGGATCTAGAACTAGAAATACCATTTGACCCAGCCATCCCATTACTGAGTATATACCCAAAGGACTATAAATCATGCTGCTATAAAGACACATGCACACGTATGTTTATTGCAGCATTATTCACAATAGCAAAGACTTGGAACCAACCCAAATGTCCAACAATGATAGACTGGATTAAGAAAATGTGGCACGTATACACCATGGAATACTATGCAGCCATAAAAAGTTATGAGTTTATGTCCTTTGTAGGGACATGGATGAAATTGGAGATCATCATTCTCAGTAAATTATCACAAGAACAAAAAACCAAACACCGCATATTCTCATTCATAGGTGGGAATTGAACAATGAGTACACATGGACACAGGAAGGGGAACATCACACTCTGGGGACTGTTGTGGGGTGGGGGGAGGGGGGAGGGATAGCACTGGGAGATATACCTAATGCTAGATGACGAGTTAGTGGTGCAGCGCACCAGCATGGCACATGTATACACATGTAACTAACCTGCACATTGTGCACATGTACCCTAAAACTTAAAGTATAATAATAATAAAAAACAATAAAAAAAAGAAAGGGGCATAAAAGTATCTGGTTAAAAACAGATTGAACTTTTCAGATTGGGACATCACATTGTTCTCTGAGGTTTGGTGATGCTTAACATTTGTTAGGGGGGATCAAGCGGCTGCCCTCCAAAATCCGTTTACTGCAATGATTAGACATGAGCAGGACAATAGAGGGAAAAGGGGAACAAAGTCGAGTGTTCTCCAGTCTCGTACCAGTTTTGCAGGCAATGTAGACTCAGTACCTCACTCTCTGGTCCACAATGCACATCACTGAGTTGGTAAGCTAGAGTTTTTATAAAGATCAAGAGAAATTTTCATTTCATTCTAGCCATGGAAATGCCGCCAAAATCTGAAAGCCTGAACTCTGCAGGAATGAGAGAACAGTTGGCTTCTGCATCTGAAATAGACTCTGGCAATGGTGTGAGCATGTAGCTAGGTCGCATTTTGCAAAATAGAAGCCATTATCTTTAGCATATCAACCAGACAGAATTAAATTGTAATTACATGGAGACATCCAAAAGCAAGCTATTTTGTCTTCAGTTAAATTCAAAGAAGTGTAATCGAGATTACCAATTTGAAAAGAAGTTTAGACAGGCAATAAATGTGGCTAGAAGAAACATGGAATTAGAAATTTAAAAACCACAGTCTGAATTTTAAAGACTGGTAAATAATATTTCGGAAACCCAAGTAACGTGCTATATTGAATTTTTCCATCCCTAGATTATGGAAAAGAGATGTGAATTTTCTGCAAGTTTCACTGATTTGTTAACCAACTTCTTTCCTTATCACAGAGTTTCATTTGCTTTTTAAGAAGTAAATATGAAGATACTCGTTATTAAAGTGTTGTAAAGAGTCATATACTGTTAGAAAATTGCTTACCCAAAGAAACAGATTAATTCCACTTTACTCTCAGTCCTCTTTAATATGGGAATCAGGCCTCTGCTGTGGGAGAAAAATATTTTTAGAAAAGATAAAAATCGGGTCAGTTACTGTGCAGACTGAAAAAATAGCCTGTATCTATTTAAGATGGCCAAGAAGAAAAGGTAAAGACAAGTTCACCCACCAGCACATTTCCCAATAATCAGATCATTCCCGAGGGAAACTTCAGTGGTTTTCTGCTTTACAACCACTTGATTAGATTCTGATCAAAGAAGCTAATAGCTAGTTAACTTTGTAAACCTTAGTTTAAAATTTTGACCCACCAGACTTGAAAGTAAACTGCAAATTAGGTTTTTTTTGTTTTGTTTTGTTTTGTTTTTTAATTCCACATCTTTCAGCAATCTGATGAAGTGGTCATTCTGGCCAAGCTAAAAGGGGAATTAGCAATTCCCCTTCAGAGAAGCCCTTTCTTCTCCTTTCAGTGCTGAAGATGAGCAGCCTGGCTCCTTCCCAAAGTGTGTTGCAGCAATAAAATATGGTGACAAAGGCATTTTCATGAAGATTCTTTACAAAGTCCAGTTAAGTATGTGTAACGTACATACATGAACATAAACTAATTAGTTGAGAGACAGAAACTAAATTCACCTTGAAAAAAAAAAATGAAATCGGGTAATATGAAAGATTCCAGAGGAATTCCAGAGTAATTTTAAATGCCATGTTATTCATTGTATGGCTAATGTGAACTTTATATCCAGAAAAAATTGGAGTCTAATTATTTCCTTACATATTTGTTTTTGTAAATGTCACAAATAAGGCAATGGGCAAAGCAATGTCTGAACAATGTGCTGACATTTTTCTCCTAGTTCAGGTGCCTCTCAGCACCTTCCATCTTAGTAGCCTCTGTCCAGAGCCTTTTAATTCCAATGGTACAAATGAAGAATTTGAATATGTTATTTCTATCAAAGAGCTTCAAATCCAAGAACAAATACCTCCCTTTCTGCCACTTAGGTTACACAGAGACATATACTTGGCATCACTTTGATAGATCCAGGTACCGTTTTTCTTACACATAAATAACCTTAACCTCCCCTTGACTAACCTTTTATAATTCATGTTTTCATTCTTCTATTTACTCTTCAGTTTCCATTTGCCCTCCATAGCAAATCCAAGTTACTAAATGCAGCCAGAAGGCCTTCCATTTATCACCTCTACCAGGTCAGTCTGAGTGTGTGACAATTTATAATGCTACCTTTAACTAAATAGTGAACATTTGAGAAAGATAAGGCAGCTTCCAAAGCTGGCCATTATCCAAGATAGTGAGTAGTTCATTCAGTAGGAGAAACTTAGGTTTGAGAGTATCTTCCAGGAGCAAAACTTCCTATGGGCACCAGAAAGAGAAACCCATGGGATGTGTATGTCCGTTCACCCTGACTATGTAAGCCTTTCTGAAAACAAACCAAGCAGGAAACTAAAAGCAGCCAGTATTTTATTTTTATTTTTTGTTCTTATTCATAAGTCTATCAAATAGCTTAGCTAACAAATGCATCAACTCATTCTCTGGCTTGGATTTGCGTTACATTTGGCCTTCACAAATACTGTCCAGATGTTGGCTAAATTGTGTCTGCTTTCAACAGAAGGTCAATAAACTGAGAAAACTGGCTTTGTGTTTTCTACAAATTTATTGATCCAAATCCTAGTAATGAAATTAAACCACAGTAGGGATAACCAAGGCTTGAGATGGAGGAAAAGAGCTAAATATTTTTCTCTTGTCTACTCCAAGCATAACTATAATTTCTCCACAAATTAATTTACATTTTGGAGAGGGCCAGTGGTTGTTAAGGAAGAGAAGAGGAAGAAGAAAATGATGGTGGGGAGATTAGGGTGAGAAGAGAACAAAGAGAAGGAAGTGTGAGAGGCTGATAAAAGGACAAGATGCAAGGTAAAATTAGAACAGGCTAAATAATAGTGGCTACTCACCCTCAAAACAGTTACATAGGAGTTCCACTGCTCCTCATGCCCCACTGTTGCACATGTACACACTCTGTAAGTTGTAGGGCTGCCATAGATGTAAGTAAAGTCCTGTGCAAGTGCCTGTGTTCCATTTTCTTAACCCCTATAGAAATAATCAGGTGTTTTTCTCACCTATGATCCCAGTGCTTAGGATTTGAAAGCCAGGTCAATGAGTCAGAGAGATATAGTATCACAAGACATCTTTGGGTGTCATGTAATTATCATTAAAACTGTCTTAATTCTTTCAGATTACCAAGGAGTTATTCAATATATACCATCTTATTATGCCAAATGGCATCTTGCAAAGAGAAATGTACCATGATGTAATAACTAAAACACTAAGAACATCTGACTTGGCTGGAATTTGATTTTTAAAGACTTATAAAATATATACAAAAATGGAAAAACATTCAAATTATTCACAGATAGTCATACTTTGTAATGACTTTCTTAATGTAAAATATATATGATAAAGTTGCACCAGGCTTAAAGAGATAGTATGTGGAAAAAATGATAAAAGTGTTATTTTATATTTTGATTTATTTGAAGATCAGTCTACCACAAATTTAATTATCCTGAACAGAGATTGAAACCAGAATTACATGAAGAAAACCTTTCAGCTCAACTAAAGGAGTCATAAAATGCAAGATTTTACTCATAAAAAAGTCTTGAAGCCAAGAGATTGCATTCAGTTAGAATTGCTTGAAACACATGACAGCCAATTAGAAGCAGGAAAAAACCACAAACTGATAGAAATGAGAAATAGCTGTTTGAAGAAGAGACCTAAGGGGGGAAAAAAGGAATAAAACTATAATCTGGGCTTATTTGGAGAAGAGGAAAATAACCTCAAGACCCTTAATAATTTCTGAAGGATAATGTTTTTTAGTGCATTTTGACAATATTGAATGATGAAGAAAATATTTGATATTATCAGTTAGATTAAAGGAAACATGACATTTTGAAAATAGTTTTATTTTAAAAACTATTAAAATACACTGTTGATGCTTAAATGGGTGAAAATAGTGACATAATATGAATAGGTGTGAAAGAAAAGGAAATGAAAAGAACAATCAATCAATCAGATATTAGAGGATTACAGGTACCCAATTCAATCAGTGAATCCATAAATTCCCCTTCCCTTGTTTCACTGAGGAGAGAATGTCCTGATGACGGCAATCTTAAGTACGATAACACTTTGTATAAAAGGCACACATCAAATCCAGGGATGAAGATCAAAGATGAAGGCGGGAAGAGAATGCATCTTTATCCTACTGAAAAAAAATTATTATGCCCTCCACAATAGAAGGAATGCCTGGTTGAAAACAACAGTAGACGAGAGGAGAGTGCAAAAAGGTAGGAGTGGTATGAGATGAAGCCCGAGATGCCAAGTAGAGACAAGACCATGCAGAGCCTTCTAGGCATATTAAGGGCATTTAATCCTGATCTTTTAAGCAAAAGGAACCCACCAAAGTGTTTTAAACAGGGAAGTGACATGACTAAATATGAATTTACAAAGGCTCATTCTGGAAGTAGAATAGAAAGGGGTATAGGATTCTGGGAAAGAATCCAGGAACAAATGGATGGTTATGGTGGTAATGGAATGGCAATATGGAAAGTGATGGTGAAGGATTGAATAATGTAGCTTAAGTGCAGAGAAGAGTTAAGAATGTGCTTATGTTCTGAGGTAGTAAGTGGTGCCTGGTATTAAAATAGTGGACATAGAGATGAAGTGAAGATCATGGGTTTAGTTTTGGACATGATAAGTTTAAAGAAGCTTTAAGACATCCACGAACTAATGGAGGCTGTTGGACAGACAAGTCTAGAGCTTAGAGAATGAGTTTGGGGTAGTTAGATAAACGTGTTCTAGATACAGAACCACAGAAATACTGACTATGGTTTTGCTTAGGATGATTATTTTCCTTCTGTACCATAATTCAGTCACACTCCAATAAAGATTGTAGTATTTTAGCAGTCTGCTTAGAACTGGCACCAGCTATTACACGAAACAATCCGAAAATCCTCTAAACTGAAGTAAGAATTCACCAGGATGAAATGCATCTCCATTCTGATGACATTTTAGGTTATATTGCAACTGGGAATCTATAGACCTGTGAGCAAATTTATTTTTTTGGAATCTGATATGGTACTTTATTATCTCTTTTGGGCCCAGTCTTATATGTCCCATAGCAGAAACCACTGTTTGTTGATCCAAGAATTCCTTATCCTTCTTTGTTAATAGAACCAACTTCTTTCTATATTCAGGGGAAGGAGACTCCCTTTCTAGTTCTTGCTTAGTCTAAGACAGTAATTGACTTAAAAGGGCTTTTTTAAATTCCTAATATTTTTTACCATAACTAATGAAAATAAAAACCACTCAACAAGCTTATTGTTACATATTCTTAACGTATGTTAATTCAAGAAACACTGTGTTCACTTTGTTCCCAGTGTGAGATAAGTGTATGATAAGCTCCATGAGGCAGGACTGTGCTGTCATGGCCAATGGCCCTCAAAAGGCACTCAATAATTGCTACCTGAAAAGAGAATGACCAAGTGGGATTTCTGCATAAGAAAACTGAAGCTTGTCATTCACTTTAGAAAAAAATCTAAAGGCTTCTGGAAAATATTTTCTTTCCTTTGAGAAGCAGATACCAGTAAAAACTATCTGCATTTTATATTTCTGGACAATACTTTGTCTGTATTGACACCAAAAACTGCTGCATTTATTAAGTTCTAGCCTGAAGATAAAGGTGACACAAGGAAGCAGAGTTAAGAGAGCCACGAAGAAGAGAGCTGGAGCCCCAGCTTGGAGTCCCAAACCTATGTAAGCTGCCCAAGTGAGATAATAAATTTCATTATTGTTCAGGTCAAGTTGAACTAGTATCCTGTTATTTGTAGGCTTAGGCATCCTAACTTACAAAGTACCATTTCTACTTGAAAACAACACACTGTTAGGCATGACTAACTTTGTGAATATGTCAGATGACATCTGGTTCATGAAACTTATCCCAAAGTTTTGGAGAGAATATTCCAGTACGCATTAAACTATTAAACCCAAACAGACACAGTAAATGGGAAGGGATAGGAATTCTGTGTTTTATCAGACTTTTCTTTCACCATTTTTACAAATATGATTTATCAAAACAGCTAAAGGAACTGTCATGGGGTTTTTTTGCTGCAGGGATTATCAGAATTAGCATCATTATTATAGTAAACCTGCATGATGTACACTAGCATGATGTACACTAGTAAGATGAGGTGGTCAAAGTCCCTATAAATCAAATCATGTCACAGACCCCATCGTAGAGTATACTTCTCCATTGGAAGTACAATAATAGTATTCATCTGCCCTGCCAAGTGAAGGCAAACTTTGAGGATTGAGAGATACAAACAAAAGGTTAATGAAATCAATAACTATGTCCCAAGTGTCATGATTTTTATTAATTTAGAGCTAAAGGAAATTATTTCCAGAACAGAAGCAGCATTAAGGTCAACCTTGATTACTATACTTGTAATCCATGGCTGTTCCTAGGTGTCATCAAGCTTTCTGTATTAGCCAACATGAATTTAATGGGAAGGTGATAGAAATCACTATGTGCAACGGATTTTTTTTTTTTTTTTTTTTTTTGACACGGAGTCTCACTGTGTCACCCAGGCTGGAGTGCAGTGGCGCGATCTTGGCTCACTGCAAGCTCCGCCTCCCAGGTTCACGCCATTCTCCTGCCTCAGCCTCCTGAGTAGCTGGGACTACAGGCTCCCACCACCATGCCCGGCTAAGTTTTTTGTATTTTTAGTAGATACGAGGTTTCACCATGTTAGCCAGGATGGTCTCGATCTCCTGACCTCGTGATCCACCCGCCTCGGCCTCCCAAAGTGCTGGGATTACAGGCATGAGTTACCATACCCAGCCCAGATTGATTTTTTTTTAATGGGCCCTGTACTCCACCTCTCTCTGTAGCCACACTCTTTGCCATATGACTTTATAATTCTTATTAAAGATACATAGTCGCTTTTCCCACTCTTTGGCTCTGGGATGGTCTTATGACTTGTTTTGGCCAACAGAATGAGGCAGAAATTATGGTGTGTCACCTCTGAATGTAGTTCTCAAGAGAACATGTATATTTCTGCTTGCTTTCTCTGTTGGTCCTTTCCATTAAAATATGTCCGTGCTAGCCAGGTGGACGATGAGACACATGGAACAGAATTGAGTTGCTCCGGTCATCCCAGCCTAGGCTATTCTAGATCAGTCCCAGACATGTGACTTGATTTGCCCATAGCCCAAATCAAGAGTCACCTAGCTGATTCATATATTTTCTTGAGCTATGCAAGCTGACATCAGCTGAACTCAACCCAGAGCAGTTGAATCTCAGATTCATGATCAAAATAAGTTACGATTATTGCTTGGCACTGAGATGTTGGTGGTCATTTATTATACAGCATTATTTTGCCAAAGGTTAATTGATACTCCATGCTTTCCTTTGCAAGTCTTTTATGTTAGTGATGTTTTCCACAATACCCCATAATTGTAGAATTTATTGTTTTTGATTCTATAATGTAGTACGCTGCTTGTTATGAGTGGAGATCTTGAAGGTCCTTCAGTTGAATCCTCTTACTGTAATAGCCCTTATCTTAGAGGTCAGTTTGTTAGAGGGATGATGGGGACATTCTGGTAGTTGCCATTAATTTTCCAATCTCAACACTCTCCTGTACTGCATAAGGCCTACAACCTACTGATTGTGGCAAAGGTATCTCAACTCAATATGTCTGTAACTATATTCACGATTTTTTCAGTGAACCTGTTTCTCATCCCTTATTTCCTGTCTCAATAAGTGTCACTATCATCCTTGCATCCTTTGCTCAAGCCTGGAAATGGGTATCATCTTGAACTCTTCATCTACCTCCAAATCTAGTTAATCATAAAATGCTATGGATCATCAAAAAAAAAAAAAAAAAAGAATCTCTTTGCCTCTCTCCACATTGAATGCACTACCCTAGTCCGAATAACTTTAACCCATTTGAGTTACTACAACAGGCTCCTAACTCACTAACTAATGCAAATAGGTAATTCACTGGAAGGATGTGGCCCCACCACTCAAAATCAAAGGCAACATTTCAGATACTAGCTCAGGAATGACAGGAGCCCAAGCAGCTCTGGAGATCCAGGCAGTAGGCATAGCGGTGACTTGTCCTTGGGTAGCACAATAATAATATTCATCTGCTCTGCCATTTTTACTTCTTCTTGTTACTCTATTCAAAATATGAAGCCAAGACAGAGAGTCTGACTGACTTATCTTAACGTCACATGCTCACCATTGCCTAGAAGAATGCAAGGCACCCAAACTGACTATTCCACCTAAAAAGAAACTAAAATGCTATTAACAAAACAACAAGAGACCAAATGCTGCATAACCAAACAACAATATTGTCAATTCCTCTGGTATATCTGATCTTTCTCAAATCTTCTCATTTTGTCAGAATTTCTGTTAGACTGTGTTTATACCTTTATCACAGAAACCTGGCACTACAAGAAAACTGCAAATTGGTGTTGCAATTTGACACTTTCCAAGATCATTTTCTAGTCTTATATTTAAGCAGCTTCAGCATGCTGATTGCAGAAAGATGCCCTCCTGCCTCAAGGTCATGTATAGCATGGATTGCTAGCTTCCCTTCCTGGAATATGGAATGGGGTCTTGTTCATAAAAATCTGATAATCAACATCCTACACATTCTATGCAGGTTTATGGAAACTCTTCTGTTATGGTCAAAGAAAATGTGTTGCAAGAAATGGAAGCCCAACTCAAAAGTAGCTCAAATGAGAATGCAGCAGATATGTGTGGATGTAAGAGTTAGAGGAAAGATTATTGTAAGGATAGATACATGATTTCTCATGAGTAATCAGAGTTCAGGAAGTGAGCATCAAGCCAGCCCAGTGGAACTCAGCAGCAAAAATGTATAAACTCATTCGTGGGCTTCACTAATTTATCTCAGATGCTCCATACATGTGTGCCAATTTCATCTGCTATCAACTGAGGCGGTTCTTGATGTCCCTTTCCAAATTTCTTAAAGATAAATTTGGCTGGTTCAGCATGGGCAGAAACACTTCATAGAGCTCTAGGAGGTGCAGCTATGGTAGACACTGTTGATTGCCTTCTCAATAGCCATTTATTTACTAACAGCCAGTGTGCCCTAAACAGGAAATTTTGCTTGAACTAAGTGAATCACAGTGTACTTTGACAGTAGCTGGCTTGGGCATGCAATCCAGTTCTGCCCAATGAGATGTAAGGGAAAGTCTTCCAAGAGGACTCTGAGGAATGTCTTCTGTGATACAAGGAGATCCTAAGAAAGAATTATCTCTTTGTTCTTTAACTACATATTGCCCAAAACTGTAAGATCTATGGCCATAAAGGGAGAAGTCTGAGGACCAAAGTGATATTCTGATCATGTTGAACAGAGCTTGATTTTTGATAATGTTTTCTATTTACTGATTTAATCTACAAGTCTTCGATCAGGACATTTCTTGTTACATAAGGCAACAGTCCCTACATTAAGCTACTTTTAATTGCATATCTATTTCTTATAGTTAAAAAAATCTCGTTACAGCAGAATTTCTGTTTTCTGGGAGCCTAGGTAGGAATGGAACCCTAAGACGTGTCTAATGTAGCAGGATTAAAAAATAGTGCTTAGTCATATGTCTACCTAATTATGATTATCTCCTTTTCTGAAGTCATATACGTGAATGTAATTTTCAGAACCTCTTTATCTTATAATGTTTTGCAATAAATATTTTCTTTGGTACTGTATAGTGGTAGATAATTGCAGATGAGTCCCATTAGTTTTTATTACTCATTTCTTTAGTCAGGATTTAGGAGCATTACAGATATATTTTGATTCTCTAAATTTTATTTATTTCTACCAATTCACCATCCTCTTCACTACTTCCTTACTACCATATAAAGAGGTATCTTTTTAACTTATATAAATTTATCTGTAAAAACCAATTTTTTAACCAAATGCGTTTTCTGCTCTGATAGGGGTGTGGCCATCAGTTTACTTATTTAGAACCATATACATATATGGAATTGATGAGTGAAAACAAGTATCCTGAATTAAAAATCCACTTTTGTAATTTGACTAATTTTTTACTAATGTGGTAGTCCCACCTCCCACTGTAAATAAATAGAAAACTGGTTAAACACAATATTAAAGTTGCTTTTTCTATATAACTAATAAAAAGCAAACAGGCACAACACAATGTCAGGGCCATAACTGAACCCCCTGTATACAGAATAAAGCAGAGAAAAATTACTTTTTTTGTGGAAAAGGGAATTAGAAAATTTCTACCCAGTGATCTGGAATGGCCCAGGTAAGCTTGCCCAGAACCAAGGGTAAGGAAAATATTGCTTACAAGAAATTAACACTGCAGACCAGCAGTGCACATGAGTATGAGATCCAAATTTATTACATCTGCTTTATTTGGTCTGACACAGACTGCTTGGTAGCCACCCAATATTCATTCTCCCCTTATTCCTTACAAAAAAATAAAAAGCCTATGTTATTGGGGTTGGGAGTGTGCTCAGTTAATATATAAATTTTTCAGATTCCCTTGCATCTAGGTAAGTTCTTATCACTTATACTTATCATTTATCACCTGATAACTTACCACTTCTTAAGTTCTGGCTAATTAGCTATAGTCAGATGTCTTGGAAGTCTTCTTAAATGGCAGGTAAATCTATTCTTTTTCCTCTGACTTTCTCCTGCTTTCTCACTTAAGAACAGATGACATAGTTTGACCTTTAAGAGTCAAAGAATGTAAGCTGCGTATAAGGCTGGTGAAATAGAAAGAAAATAAGACTTGAGGAGTTCAAGATGTAGAGCTAGCACAGACTTCCTACTTAGAGTCCTACTTACAAACTAATTTTATCAAAAAAAAAAAAACTACCTCTATGTCTAAGTTCTCTAATAATAGCAGCAAAATCAGTTCCCAATTATTTCATATCAGATTACTAAACTGAAAAATTTACATAAAAGTCATTCTTAGACCCTTACCAAAAGCAAAATAAAACAGCTTTATAGGAAAGCATTCCCTATTCTGGACACCAAAAGTTTCTGAGCATGCACACACACACACACACACACACACACATACACACATACACACATGTGCATGCAGAACAGAAGATCTACTAGGAATCTACAGCCTATTAGGAGAGAGGGTCAGGGTCAGCAGACAAAACAAATAAGAGATTGAGTACCCAAGAACCTGATACTTATAAAACAGTAAAATTATATAAAAATATTAAAAGTCGTAATCATTATAGAGGTTACAAACAGAATAAAAGCCATAATCAAAGAAAGCAACAGTATTATTTAAAAATGGAGAGCTTGAAACACAACCAAAGAACTTTCAAATGAAAAATTTAGCCACTGAAATATACATACACCACACACACACACACACACACACACACACACACACACACTAGAGAGGTTAAACAACCAATTAGTCAGAGCTAAAACTAGAGATGAGAAAGGATTTGGCATGTAGTACAAAGTGATAAAGAATGGGGAATATGACAAAACTATGAGGAGAAATAGAAGAAAAAATAAAAACATCCAACATATATTAATAGCATTTTTAGAAAACAATGGTTCAGGAGAATTATGGAGATGCAACATTTGAAGAAATACTTGTCAAGCATGTTCTAGAATTAAAGCAAGACCTACCTAAGTGCTCAAAAAAAGCAACATGAAGACACAGTAGGAAAATGTAAAACTACCTAGCTATAATGTTGTGAAACAGCAGAACTTCAAAGACAAAAAATAAAAATATTAAAAGCAACCAGAGAAAAATGCAGAATACCTAAGTAAAAAAATCAGCAAATCTTGGAATAATATCTTCTTCAAAGTACTGAGGAAAATAATTGTCAGTGTGGAATCCATTACTTAAAAACTATTCAAGAGGGCCGGGCACAGTGGCTCACACCTGTAATCCCAGCACTTCGGGAGGCCAAGGTAGGCAGATTACCTGAGGTCAGGAGTTTGAGACCAGCCTGGCCAACAATGATGAAACTCTATCTCTACTAAAAATACAAAAAGTTAGCCAGGCATGGTGACAGGTGCCTGTAATCCCAGCTATTCAGGAGACTGAGGCAGGAGAATCACTTGAACCCAGGAAGCGGAGGTTGCAGTGAGCCAAGATCGTGCCACTGCACTCCAGCCCGGACAACAAGAGTGAAACTCTGTCTCAAAAAAAAGAAAAAACAAACTATTCAAGAGGAAGAAAAAAAGTTAAACATATTTAAATATAGACTAAGATATTTTACTATTCACAAACTCTTGATGAAATAAAAAATTTAGGAAAGAGATAATAGAAACTAAGAAGATAGCTGGTTGCAAGAAGCAAGGTAAGCAAGTATTGATTAAGCAAGATTGATAAGCATGTTAGTATATCTAAATAGCCATTGGATGTACTGCTACTGCTAATGACTAATTTGGTAACCTCATAGGGAAAATAAAGATGTCAGATCCAAGCTGAAGCTATTTTTCAATTGCTTGGAAACAACCTAGAGATAAGAAATTTGGAAATTTTAAAGTCTAGTATGATTACTTACAAATTTTAAGGTAACCACAAAAGAAAAGAAATGTAAAAGCATAATATCTATCTTCTAAATCAATGGAGAAAAAAATAAAGATAGAGAAAAAAATATAATTCGGGCCTGGTGCAGTGGCTCGCACCTGTAATCCCAGCACTTTGGGAAGCCGAGGCAGAGAGACAGCTTGAACCCAGGAGTTCCAGACCAGCCTGGGCAACATAGTGAACCCCCATCTCCAAAAAATATATAAAAAGTAGCCAGGCACGGTGGCGCGTGCCTGTAGTCCCATCTACTTGAGAGGCTGAAGAAGGAGAATTGCTCAAGCCCGGGAAGTGGAAGTTGCAGTGAGCCAAGATTGTGCCACTGCACTCCAGCTCGGGTGACGGAGCCAGTCTCTGTCTCAAAAAATAAAATAAAATAAAAAGAAAGAAAGAAATCTAATTCAATAGAGGTCCAGAGAGAAATAAAAGAAGCAAAAAATTAAAAGCATGACAGTATAAAAAATTATAAAATAAGATGAAATGGTAGAAATATTTCAAATACATCTATAAGCACAATAAATATTAATGGATTAAGCTTGTCTGTTAACAGATTCTCAGCTTGAATAAAAATAATATGAATATTAAAATGTATTAATTTTATAATAGACACATAAAATAAATGACAAAAAAGATTGAGAGTAAAGAGCAAGGAAAGAGATATACCAGGGGAATAGTACTTAGGAGAAAGATGATGTGGCACTATTAATATTGGAGAAAAATAGGCATTAACATTAAAAAATTATTCTTGAATATGAAGGTATCATTACTTAATAATAAAAGAACAATTTACCAGAAACATATATCAATTCTGAACTGTATGCAACTTACATTATAACTACAATATATATAAAATATTGATTGAAAGTATTTTAAAATTAATTTTAAAAATTGACAAGTATAGCTTGAGCAATCACATTCAGGGCACTGACAAGTCTGGGGAAGAAATGAAGGGAATAAGACTGGAAAGAATACAAGGAGCCTTCAGTTCTAGTTTTAACTTTTATTTTTAAAAAATGATCAGAAGCAATGTGGAAAATGCTAACAGTTTAAAAAATCTGGGACGGAATACAGAGTATTGTTCTCTGTAGCTTTCTATGTTTGGAATACTTCATATACTTCAAAATGGTATTCAAAATATAATGAAACTAAATATTGTTTTCAATATCAACCTCTGAAATGAATTTTTAGTCTTCTTTTAGTCTTATTTTCACACAATTGTAAAAAATGTATTCTACATTATAAAATAGTCTAGTATTCATCTCCTGTATTTTTTCCTTTTTCTTATACCTTCTTTAAAAAGTGAGAACATAGCTTGCTACCTTTCCTTGGAACTTTAAAAATTGTTGTTCCTTTCTTTGCTCCCCTTTTCCTCCTCTTCTTCCTTTCTTTTCTTCTTCCTTTATCTCTTTCTCCCTCCCTTGCTTCTTCCTTTCTTTCTTTCCTTCCTTCCCTACCTTTTCCAAAGGAATTACAAGAATCTAAACTCCACATTTTTTCCCAATTCTTTTCATAATTGTTAGAGTTCCCAGATAAGCAACAAGAAGGCCAAATAAATTTGAATTTTAGATAAACAACAAATATGTCCCACATATTGCATAGAATATACTTATAATGAAAAGTTATTGGTTTTTTATCTAAATTACAAATTAATTGAGAGTCCTAGGTTTTTATCTCAGAATTCTGTCAATCCTAAACACTTTATCATAATTGTAGTTTATTTTCATGGATCATCTTTCTCACAAATATTCTCTAATTCTCAAATATAAATACAGAATAGATCTGATAGAAGGTCTTCTCATCTTAAATCTGATGAAAAAGGCTATCTATCAAGGATAGATGCTATCAAGTTATACACTATCTATAAAGGATACTAGTATCCTAGTACCAGTACTGTTATCAAGGATGCAATTTTGACTGGTTTGGACACAAATTAATTGGATCTTAAGTACAAGATTGCCAGAGGTGGTTTCAGGTCCTCATACCTTTGTTTGAAGCAAGTTGTAAAAACACTGTAAATTTTACTTTTTAGTCTTTGCAAGTGAATTAATTATTTGGCTTTTCCTCTAACTTGGCTTCAGATTTTCTCTAAAAGAAAAATTTCTTTCTCATTTGTTGAATTTGTCTTGTTTTGTCTCTTTCTCTAAGGAAATAAGAATCATATCTCAGATTATCTTTAAAATGTACCACGGTTGCATTTTCTTTCAATCGGGTGATTTCAGAATGTGATCTTCCAAAGGTTCCTCCTTGGTCCCTTACTATCTATCTTCCTAGTTGAATTCTTTTCTTAACAGTTCTCTTACAGAGATTCTTGGTTACTGAGCATCATGGAAAAGAAACATCACTGAAAGATTTGAGTAAGAGCAATAGAGTAGGGAATCATTACCAATTGATTAAATGAACTAAAGAAAGAATGATCCAAAGAACAGATACAATAATTGTCATATGATGTATCAACAATTTGCAAAGAAAATAATAGCAGTCTTTAAATGGCTAAACAGAAAAAAAAAAAAACTAGGTTTGGGGTTCTGTATCTCTTTCCAAGTGAATCCTTTCACAGTATTTTTGTAGATGTGTCTTGTTATGTGCCTTTCTTAAAGAGTACCACTATTTGCTTTAAAATTGCCTATAACTTAAGAAAAAATAGAAATCACTATATTAGAGTGGTGGTTTCTTGTATGCTTCTTCTTCTTTAAAATATATTTTCTTTTTGCAATAAACAAATGCTTTGGTCTGAATGTTTTGACCCTCCCCAAAATCTATGTTGAAATACTAACCTCAAGGTGATAGCTTGGGAGTCAGGATCTTTGGGAGGTTATTAGGTCAGGAGAGTGGAGCTCTCATGATTGGGGCAGTGTCCTTATAAAAGAGACACTAGGGGGCTAGTCCATCCCATCTACCATGTGAGGACACAGAGAGAAGGGGCTGTCTAAGAACCAGGAATCCATCTTCCACCAAACACCAAATTTGCCAGCACCTTGATCTTGGAATTGCCAGTCTCCAGGATTGTGAAAATAAACTTTTGTTGTTTATAAACTACCCAGTATATGATATTTTGTTAGAATAGACCAAATGGAGTAAGACACCAAATAAAATAATAAATTTGTTACAAATAATTTATTTTCAAATTGGTTTTTGTTTATGCAGGCTAAACAGTCTAAAATAAGAACCATATGGTATTTGTTAGTCCTGAGTTGTTTGTTTTTCTTTTTGCCTTTACAAATTTCTAAATCTTGTTGTAAGATCAAATGTATTTATAAATAAATTGAAAGAAAGAAGGCCGGGCGCGGTGGCTCACGCCTGTAATCCCAGCACTTTGGGAGGCCGAGGCGGGCGGATCACGAGGTCAGGAGATCGAGGCCATCCCGGCTAAAACGGTGAAACCCCGTCTCTACTAAAAATACAAAAAAATTAGCCGGGCGTAGTGGCGGGCGCCTGTAGTCCCAGCTACTTGGGAGGCTGAGGCAGGAGAATGGCGTGAACCCGGGAGGCGGAGCTTGCAGTGAGCCGAGATCCCGCCACTGCACTCCAGCCTGGGCGACAGAGCGAGACTCCGTCTCAAAAAAAAAAAAAAAAAAGAAAGAAAGAAAAGAAAATAGAAAAAGTAAGCAACCATTTATAGTATATATGTTATATATAAAATAAAATTGTTATAAAATTAAATATACTCTCTATTTTGGATTTTTTTCTTAATATACGAAAACCATTTTCCTTTTCCATGAAATATTTCATCATGTCTTTTCAATAGTTTCCTAGTACTATATTATCTGTTAAAAAATGAAAGCTTGACTTTTTTGAAAATTTCTTTATCCTTTGAAACTCTGAGCTTTTATCTATAAAATAGAATTTGTGGGGAGAGAGAGGCAACTAAGGCTGAGCTATGATGGAGTGTCTATGAAAAAGAGTATGTTCTTGTCAGTGTAACTAATTCTACTGAGGACTAGAGGACAGTCACAATGTGAAACTATGTTTTACAACTCCAGGGATAAAAATCAGTGAAAGGAAAGGTGAAAATGATGAAAGTCAATGTGGTGACACTGTTAAAGATTTACCTCAATGTGCCTTTGTTGGTAGAACTCACTGTGCCCTCTGCAAACGGAAAAGAAAAAAAAATTGATTCCCTTTATTGCACTCATCTGTCATAGATAATACCCTGTATAAAAAGGTGGAAGGAAGTGGTGAACTTATAATCAGTCTGTGTACACATACAATAGGACAGCAGTCTGGAAACCCAGCAGGCCTGGGAAATGAGTGGCTGTCATAAAGAGGACAGTGACACTCAACTGAGATCAGTAAGCATGAAGCTCCAAAGAGAGGGGACAGCCAATTTGATCTTTTTTTGTGTGCACACTGTTGAGTGTGCCACATGCACCTTCAGACTTCGTGGGACATCACCATCAATTGCCAGACAAATGCAACCCACTCTGCCACCAATAGGAGGAAGTGAACTTGTTGTAGCCCTTTAAAGCACTCCACAGAGAATACATCCCTCCTGTAATAATGATAGATGGAGCCTGCCTCTGTCTGACCAAGGGGGTATATTCCAAAGCTGCTGAGATCAATGCCTGTGTGTCAGATGTTACTGTTAAAAGCAAGATTTCTAGAAATTTGTGAAAAGACTAGTTCAATTAGGCAATGCCTAGAACTTTTTAGCAATCATTACAATAAAGGCACCAGAATGGTTTTGTTATGAATTTCCCTTGTTTTATTCTATTATTATGATTCAGAAAGCACTGATAGTTTTATTTTTCCCTTCCAAACTCTGTATATTGCATATGTACTTACTTTAATGGCAGTAAGTTATGTTACGAAGTTTAACTGCCGGACAGTAATATCTAGCAATGCTAATTCATTGTCTGGTAAATGAAGTAGTGCTAAATTTTCAATCTTTAAATAATTTCTTTCCCTCTGGATGGTCAACTTTTCAGCCTGTCTTAGTCTTTTTGGGCTGCCATAAAAAATACCTAACTGGGTAATTTCTAAACAGCAGAAATTGATTTCTCCTAGTCTGGAGACCAAGAAGTCCAAGATGCAGGAACCAGCAAATTTAGTGTTGGGTGGGGGCCTGTTCCCCATAGATGGAGACTGCTTGCTGAGTCTTCACATGGCAGAAGGGGAGAACAACCCCTTTGGGCCTCTTTTATAAGGGCACTATTCACATTTATGAGGCCCTCATGGTCTAATCACCTCCTAGAGACCCCAGTTCTTAATACCATTGCATCAGGTATTAGATTGCAATATATGAAAATAGAGGGGAGGAGCAAGCATTCAGACCATAGCACAGCCTGTTCCCTAATACTCATGTGCATGTCACTTAGCGCTCCCGCCTAAATCCCTACTAACTCCACTTTGCGTCACTCTGAGAGCCTCAGGCAGTCTGAAAACCTCTGTAGAGTCTTCATAGATGTTTCATTCTCTTTGGAGTCTTCATACATGAACAGACCAAAAGGTGGATATCTGAAATATTTTGTGAAAAAGGAATGGTGGGCCCCTCTCTTTAAATTGCTGTCACCTTCTCCATCATAGAAGCTGCTTGCTCTCCTCCACGCCTTTTTGATGAGTAGAGATTCACTTGATCTTCCCGTGGAGGCTTTCCTCAATGAAACTATGTATTCCTCTCTGTGAGATCCCAATATCATTGACACACTGTAATTAAGATATTCCATCATAATTATTGATGAGGAAATACCTGATTTTTCAGAACTGTACACTCTATTTCTTGTACAAGCCACGTTTAAATGTTCAAGCCTGTATTCCACCAGACAAATTGACCATTTAATACACTGAACATTCCTTGACCTTCATGTAGTACAAAGCAAACCAAAGAGTCTGAATTTACAATCACACAAAACAAGACGACAAATCAGATATAATTTTCTTCTTTTTGTTTTTGAGGAAAATGTTTAAAATCCTAAAAGAAAGGTGTTTGGGGAATGCTGTTGTCAGAGAAGCAACAGAGGATACATTTATCCAACTTATCATCAGGATAGGGCTCCTTAGAGAGGCTGGCATAGAGGCAAGGTTTTGATAAGGGAAGACATGTGGCTTTGTAGACAAGGATTAGAAAGCTGTTCTGAGCATAAAGTAGAGCCATCCTTTGACAGGAATAAGAGAAAAGAAATAAAAAGGTGGCGAGGGTGAATGGTTTCTCTTTACCCCTTGAATCTCTCATTGTCCACCTGACAAATCACATCTATCCCATTTTCCAAAGCTCTCCTCAAGGCTTAGGAAAACAACCGAAATCAACTCACATTATTGTATTTGTCACACCATGAGCCTTCTCATTCCCCCTAGATTGTGTCTTACAGTTTATGCAAAAGCTCATTTAAGTTTTGAACTGACTAGTTGGAGAACAGGCATACTTCGTATTTTGTGGGCGTATATATCACATTTGTGAACGTACTACATGTTAGGTCATGTGCACACATGGGCTCTGGGAAAGGCAGGGCTTATATACAATACACTGAAGTTTTAGTTTTGTTTCTGATATTTTCCGATGATGTAAGTTTGGGGCAAGTTATTTATTCTCTGCATGTCTCAATTTTCTCCTTTGTAAAATAAAGGTAGTTAAGCTTATGCCAAGAATGTTGTGAGGATTAAATGAGATCATGTTTGGGCAGCCTTTAACACAGTGACAGATAGTTAGCTATCAATAGATGGTATTTTTATTATTGTTGTTTTCTTGTTAAGATGAAAATTCTCCTCTCTTAAGGAGCTTGATCATGAATGATGAGTTTGGAAAATATAATGGTGGGTTCATATTTTGAACACCAATTATCCATGACTTTGGAAAAGCTACTAAAATTTATCTGCTTCTTCCTGGAAAAGGATAAGGTCAAGATATGTAGTTTGAATATGTGGAGATAGGTATATGTATCATCTAATATTGTGAAATTTTTATATTTCCAGTTGGTTCCTTGATAGTTTTTTTATTATAATCCTTGAATTAGGACTCTGAGTATTTAGTAAGTACCCATTAAGTAACAGTACTTTTATCTTCAAGAAAGACAGTTTTAAAAAGTGACTTTGATTTAATAAATTGGACTTCCCCTTTCACACTGTGCACATGATCAGTGATCCTATTTCCCAGATGCTTTGCAATCAGCCCCTTGACCAGGAAAGAGTTATTACTGCTCAGTGAAGTTTGATACAGGAAGATTATTTGGACAGTTTGTGCTTCATTAATACAAGTTTGGTTTGTGAAATCCCCAAGCTTTGCTTTACAAGTCTTCAGATTAAAAATTAATTACAACGATTATCAACAAATATAAAAAGTCAAGAAAATAATGAAAGCCCATCTGTCTGTTTGGCTTTGGAAAGCATAGCACAGTGGCAACAACTGAAAACTACCAGCTTTTACAGTAAGTTCTAAAAGTAATCCACCATGTATAAATACTCTTACTTCTTTTATACAAAACAAACTAAATTCTTTCTTTAAACAAATGAGCTTTTCATCTATTTGCACAATGCGTTCTTATCTCTTAAACACAAATTCATCATGTAGATCACAGAAATTCCCTGGCATGGAAATTTTTGAGATAGTTGATTATTGCTGGGTCACCATTTGGAGATATCTTGTGCACAAGTACAGGCAAAAGCCCTCTCAAAGATTGCTTCTATTGTCATTAAACTTCTAGGACATTTTGACTGTATGTAAGGCATTATACATATGTGTGCATGGGAGGAGAAATATGCTAAAATAGATCATTTACATAAGATTAATTCTAATTATATTTAAAGTGGTCATTCATTGACAAAGAGTGATAATGTGCTCTTGAAACAACTGTTGTTTTCAAATGTATTTTATCTCTGGGTGTCATGCATTTATCATACATATAAAACCCATGAATATCTGATTTTCCTTTAAATAAAATGAAATAATAAATATTATAAAGATAAAACTGAAGAAATAACTCTTCTGTAGTCAGAGAAAAAATAAAATTTTTCAAATCAGTAGTTTCATGGATTTTGTGTTTATTCCCAAGTTATTCTACTTCCCCAAAAGAAATCCTTTGAATATTAAAGAGATGTAATTAATGAAAAGGGAAACTAATAAATATATCAGAAACAGTTTACTATTAGTTTGTATGTATTCTAAATGCCTCAACTAGAATGCAAATGAACTTTCAAAATTAGATTATTAAGTTCTAAAAAAGATTGTCCTCATAGTTATAGAAAAAATTATCACTGGTTTCTAATATCTAGAAATCGAATAACTTTTTTAAAGATGTTGGCTTAATTTTCAAAGAAACTTAAATACTGATCAGTGTAACATCCAATTGGCTAAATATGATATAATTTTCTACATGGATCAAATATAGACTTTTTAACTCACAATTAATTTATGATAAATATTGTATAAATTTATGATAAATAAAAATTCAACCTAAATTGAAGTTTTCAAAACTGAATGGTACAGTGTTAAAGAACTAGTGAGAAAAGCAAAAGAATGGCCAGAAGTCAAATGAGTTACCCTGAAAAATCCTCCTGCTAAAATGTAATCATAGTTTGGATAAATTAAAACAATTGTAGTTTTTAATAAATTACTGAGTTTGCTAAAATAATGGAAATTTCTAAAATGAGAAAAAGTAGCTAGCTGAAACTAGAGCAGAATCAATAAGCAGTAGAGGTAAACAGAGCAGGGGATTTTAAGGGAGATTTACCTTGAGGCAGATGTCTTCATCAGCTCTGTCATCCAGGGACTATGCCTTAGGGCTCTGGCAAGATTGAGGCAGAACTTGAAACTCTTGCTTAATCATAAATTCATTGAAAGGAGCTAAGTGGTCCCACACCAGTATTGAGCCTGGAACTTGCAGAATCCAAAACTTCTATAAAATAGAAGGTCTCCCATTTATGCCCTCAGAATTCCTGCAGATTAGGTTCAATAAGATATGAGTCCACAATGAAAATTAAATAAGCAATAGAAATGGGCATCTGTAAGTGACGGTCAACAGAAATAGCGACAAACAGAATTAAGTGTCCCCGCCCAGGCATAGTGGCTAACTCTTGTAATCCCAGCACTTTGGGAGGCCAGACCAGGAGGGTTGCTTGAGACCAGAAGTTTGAGACCAGCCTGGGCAACATAAGGAGACCCCATCCCTACAAAACTTAAAAAAACAAATAGCCAGGCATGCTGTTGCACTCCTATAGTCTCAGCTACTTGAGAGGCTGAGGTGGGAGGATCGCATGAACCCAGGAGGTGAGGCTGCAGTGAGCCATAATTGCACCACTGCACTCCAGGTTGGGTGACAGAGTGAGACCTTGTCTAAAAAAAAAAAAAAAAAAAAAAAAGATAATGTTTGATTTTGATTTCAGAAGTTAAAATTGAAATGGAATTAAAATTATTAAAACTACCTGAAACAATGGAAAGTTTGAATAGTTCTGCAGTCATTAAATAAATTTATTTATTAGATAAAAATTCTACCATAAAGAAAGCCCCAGACCACTGGGGTTTTACAAATAAAATCTACCAAACTTTTGGATAACAACAACAATTTCACATATGTTTTCCCTCTAAATATAGAAAGAGGACCCTCTCAACTTGTTTAAGACATAAAACAATATAAGGAGAAGATTAAGAAGAGAAAAAGACACTCTCATTCACAAACATAGATACAAAATATTTAAAAGTTCTTTGCAAATAAACCTCCATGGTATATTAAATGAAGCTGAGTTGACACCAGAATATTTTAGACTGATAAGATTTCTAAATATAATGCACCACAAGGACAGAATATAGGAGAAAATTCAGAAGACCTTCTAAATACCTATAGACAAAACATTTACAAAATTGAACACGCTTCATGATAAGAAACATGTTTAAAATGCAAAATGGAAAAGAGAACATTCTTAATCTGATAGAGGGCATCTATATCAGACTAAATATCATTCTTTTTTTTTTCTTTGAGACAGAGTCTCACTCCATTGCCCAGGCTGCAGTGTAGTGGTGCAATCTGAGCTCACTGCAGCCTCCATCTCCTGGGTTCAAGAGATTCTCCTGCCTCAGCCTCCTGAGCAGCTCATATTACAGGTGCCTGCCACCATGCCTGGCTAATTTTCGTATTTTTAGTAGAAACGGGGTTTCACCATGTTGGCCAGGCTGGTTTGGAACTCCTGAGCTCAAGTGATCTGCCCGCCTCAGCCTCCCAAAGTAATGAGATTACAGGCGTGAGCCACTTCACCCTACATAAATATCATTCTTAATGAAGAAATTGCAAAGAAAAATGATGTTATCATCAGAAACAATGCAAAAATGCATCTTACTGTCACTTCTATCCAACACCGTACAAGAGGCCTTAGACGGCAAAGTAAGACAAGAACAAGAAAAGACATAAAGAATGAAAAGAAACAACCAGAAATAAACTTATTTCCTAATTACAGATGTTATACCTGCCTGTGATTGTCTACATACCAAATCTTAAATAATCTACGAATTGATATAATTAATAAAAGAGCTGCTGATGGCTCAACAAGGTAATTGAATATAGAATGAATAGAAAATATAAATTGCATTTTCTATGTACTAACCAACAATAATAACTGAACAGAGAACATCTCTATCAAATTCTTCAGTAACTCACTCATAAATCTTATTCTCAGTAAAAATGTCTTTGATTACTTTATTTAAAACTACAACCCACTACCAAGATCACTACAGGATCACCACTATTCTGCTTCCTTTTTTCTTTTTGATAGCTCTTTTCACTGTTTTATTTATTTTGTGTATTATTCATCTCCCTCAGCTAGAATGAAAAGTCTGTGAAAGAAGAATTTTTTTTCTGTTTTCTTTCTTAATTTTTTAAATGACTCTGGGTTTTTAAATGACTCTGGGGTCCTGGGACCCAGAACAGTACCCAACACATAATAGAAATTCAAAAATAATTTGTTGAATAAATGAATAGATATATAAATGTATATGCAGTATTTATAATATCAACAAAATCTAAAGTACCAACTAATTTTGTAATAAAAGATGAAGAATCTTATACAATTTCAAAGGTAGACATACAAGGGATGATATATACCAAGTTTACATACAGATGTTCTCAATATTGAAAGACATAATCGATGTCCAAATGAATCTTGTAGATTCAAGGCAATTTTAACCAAATCCCAGCAGCATTTTTAAGAAATGTGTCTAATTTTAACATTTCCATGAAAGATTAAAGGCTCATGAATAGCCAGAATCCTTCCAAAGATAAGAGGACGAAGATGTTACAGGAGCTTGCCTTTTAGATTGATACTTATAGTAAATATGTCTTGGGATGAATATAGAAAAGATGACTAATAGAACAGATTAGAGAACTCAGAAATAGCTTATTACATACATGGAATATTAAAATCTAACATGATATTGGAAATCATTGTAGAAAAAGAGGACTATCCAATAAATTGTGCTGAAACATTGATTTTCCAAATTGAAAAAAAAAATACATAAAATGAGACCTTTCTGTTTTCATTATACACACAAATATATTCCAGAAGAATTATAGATATAAATGTGAATGACACATTTTAATACATATAGAGTCACATATAGGAAAATATATTTTGACCTTTATAAAAGGTAGAATTTTTTTTTTTTGAGACAGAGTCTCGTGCTGTCACCCAGGCTATAGTGCAGTGGCATGATCTCAGCTTACTGCAACCTCTGCCTCCTGAGTTCAAGCAATTCTTCTGCCTCAGCCTCCTCAGTAGCTGGGGCTACAGGCACGTACCACCATGCCTGGCTAATTTTTGTATTTTTAGTAGAGACAGAGTTTCACCATATTGGCCAGGCTGGTCTCAAACTCCTGACCTTATGATCTGCCTGCCTCAGCCTCCCAAAGTGTTGGGATTACAGGCATGAGCCACCACACCCAGACCTATAAATGGTAGAATTTTTTAAACAAACCACAAAAACTTTTAATATAAAAAATATTTATGAATGCTATATAAATCAACAACTTCGTTTATCAACAGATGCCACAATTAAAGTGATCATTTATGTCACATATTAAGAGAATAAAATTAATAACCTAATACATGGAGAATTACAAATCACTGAGGAAAGACAATGTAATAAAAAAATAAAGGACAAAAGAATTGATAGCCATACTTTAGTAGAAGAAACAATAATGGTAAACAATCAAATAAAAGGATGCTATACCTCATTAGTAATCAGAGAAATATAAGTTAGGATGCAAAGCAGATAATATTACACTCACTAAATAGACAAAATGATAAGTATTGCTAGGTTACGGAGTAATGTGAATCCTAATATTGTACCAATAAATACATAAATTGGTTTAATAATTTTGGGAACTAGTTTAGCATTATTTGGTAAATTTGTTCATATCCATAGTCTAGTACTCATGAATTCCACTTCTACATATGTGATCCGGAAATCACTTAACATGTACCAGTAGACATCTGCAAAAATATTCAAAGCCTTATTGTTAATAATAACAACCCAAACTTCTATTGACTGGAAATGGATAAACTGTGGTATACTTAGCTAATAAAATATTATAAATAAGTTAAAGAAGAGATAGGGTTATAAGCAATAATATGGATAAGTCTTAGTAGCATAGTGATGAGAGAAAACAAGTTCTAGAACACTACATACAATATGATACCATTATTATAACACTTTGTCTAAAGTAAACATATTTAAACTATATATTCTGCAGCATAGCTCACATATGTGGGACTACAGAAGGTCTAGTGTATAGGACAGGGAAGGAGCACACGGATGATGCAATGGCATTAGTGATGTTGACATTTCAAGTTGGCTGATAAATAATTTTAGGTATATTTGAAAGTTTTATTATGCTATTATATACATTATCAAATATTACATAGTATAAAAGAAAATATAAACAAAACTCCAATACCTAAAAATATTTTTCCAGTATTCCAACTGTTGGAAAGTTAAGTAAATATTTATTTGTTAACATTTTCTAAACGATACCAAACATCAAGTTTTAAGAAACTTTATTGCATTATGGGATATATAAACTGTGTAATAAGATAAAAGTTGATATTTCTCTACTATTTAGACATTAATTAAAGGAATTAGAAATGATTTATCGAGTCTTTTAAAGAAAAATATCCTAAGGAAGACATGATTTCATCACCAAAAAACTCATAACCTTATGCGTTGTGGAATACCTTAGGAAGATCACTGATTTTAAGATAGTTGTACATATACTTTAATAGAAAAATTAAGTAGTACTGGAAATCAAAGTTAAGTAATTTGGGGATTTTCTTTAATAGCCCCTTACATTTTTGTAAAGGTAGAAGGATTGATTGCATAAAATATTTTTATTATTACTAGTTCCTGGCATCTGAAATGGCCACATTGTAAGATAAATTCCATAAAACTTTGGAAAAACAACAACATAACTTTAAAAGATATGTGCAAACGGTTAATGAAATAACAAAGTCAATTATTCATACATTACACAGAATCAAAGTGCATTATCGTATGCAGCAGAGATTCACAGTATCTTAAGTTGCAGGAATGACTCCAGGACAAATCAATAATACTGTGGAAAAAATTTACACAACAAAATCAGCACACAAATGCAAGTAAAATAAGGTATCTCTCAGCTATGCTCTGTGTAACTTATACTTTGTGACCCTGGGTCTCCTCTTTCAATATAATCTTGAGGCTACAGAAAACCAATCTTTTATTTCTTTGTTATGAAAATCACCCCAAACTAAGCTTTTTTTTTTTTAACCAAACAGCAAAACCAGCTTTCTTTATTTTAATTCTGTCTTGGTACTACTTCCTTCCTTTATTTATAGACAGTGGGTTCTATAGCAACCTTTTCCCCAGCTTTTGAATGATTGAGCCTCTGGGTCAAAGAGTTGCCCCTCTTGCCAGATCCACTCCAATTAAGAATCATGGTTCTTTTTATGAGCAAGGCTTTTTGTTATATGAATAAAATGGAGACACTATAACTTAACCAATAGATGATATTTTACCATACACGGACATTGAGATTGCGCTGGAGAGAGAACAGACCAGAGTAAGAGAATTTGAGAAAGGATGTCATGTTTTGCTACAGGACACAAAATTATATTTCATAAGGAGTTCTTCTTAGGGTTCAAGATATTTCAGAAGATGAATAAAATAAAGAGAAAACACAATAGAAAATCAAGCAAGCAATAGTTATGCAAGAAAAATGTAAGTTCCAATTCACAGCATAATAAAGCAAAGTGTTTACATTGTCAGTATTTGAAAAAAAAGAATTCAGTATGCTTTAATGCATATTATCTTACCTGTGGAAAAAAGTAAATGGAAGATTCTTTTCAGATATATTTTTGATAAAGCATCACAAAGGACAATCAGATTTTGAAGAAAGGAACATACTAAAAGGCAAATATTTAAGCATTCAGAGGCCTGCTCCAATTTTTGCAGGAAAAAGGAAATATAGATAGTAATGGAAATTTTATTTCCAAGAAGAGAAGCGTGTAAGACAGAAAAAGCACAAGAGAAGATTGATTTGGTAGCGAGAAGGCAAAATGAACTATAGCATATGTAAAATTGAAAGCTCCTTCCTCCCAACATCTTGGATGAAGACCAGAAACAGCAACTTCACAACAGGTACCACCAGCCCTTTCTAACACTGGCTGTATGTGCTTCTGTAAAAATGGCTATGTGTCAAACAGTGGAGAAATATAATCATTATTTTTAGAAATTTTTAGACATTTTCTATTTCCTAGCTGACTATCATAATTTATTTCCCACAGGGTTGTTCATCATCCATAAAAATGGTGTAGGATTTGTGAAGCAATCTTGAGTTTCTATCCTATGGGACTTCTTAGTGTAGAACCAGAAGAAACCTACAGTGATTTCAGTGATTTTATTTTATTTTATTTATTTTCATTCAACCTGGAAAAGAAAACTATTTGTTGACAAATTGTATTGAAGACACTTAGCATAGGATCATAATTTCAAGGGCTTTATTTTTAATCTCTTGAAAGCTTAAAAATTTGGAGGTCGTTTGATAGATTAAATGCTATGCAATTAGTCTGCAGTGTTCAAACAGAGACAGCCAAATACTGCAAGGGAAATGGGGTGGAATGGGGGTTTACTAGAAGAATGCAGCTGAGAAGTAGGTCTGATTTTTGCTGCGTTGTGCTGCAGACTCTGTCAGAAGTACATCTTCGTATTTTGCCTGAAGAAAGCATATAAATGGCTGTGAGACTGGAGATTAGAAACCAACCCCCATTGCTGCTAAAGTGTTAGTTTGGATTCATATGCCAGGCAGATTATATTCGTGTAATCTTTGTGTGAAATGTTGAGCCTGAGAAAGCAAGTTGTTAGCAACGGATTTTTCTCTAGTCCCATTGAAGTAATATTCACAGGGCCTTAAATAATTTGTATTTGCAAAATTAGACTACCTGAATGCAGTATCAGTTGACTGGTCCTTTTTGTGTTTTGTTTTGTTTTTTTGATGGAGTCTCGCTCTGTCGCCCAGGCTGGAGTGCGGTGCTATGTTCTCAGCTCACTGCAACCTCCACCTTCCCAGTTCAAACCATTCTCCTGCCTCAGCCTCCCGATTAGCTGGGATTACAGGCACCCGCCACCACACCTGGCTAATTTTTTGTATTTTTAGTAAAGACAGGGTTTCACTGTGTTAGCCAGGATGGTCTCGATCTCCTGACCTCCTGATCTGCCCACCTCAGCTTCCCAAAGTGCTGGGATTACAGGCGTGAGCTACTGCACCTGGTCTATTTCTAACACAATTGCCAATCTGCTTTTACCAGTTGAAAATAGTAAAAAGTTAAACAAAACTGAATGCAAACATAACTGAATGCAGTGCCACATGCCTGTTGTTCCAGCTACTCATGAGGACAAGATAGGAGGATCTCTTGTGCCCAGGAATTTGAGCCTAGCCTGGGCAACACAGCAAGACCCCCATCTCTAAAAAAATTAAAAGTTAAAATAAAAAAATACAAACAGAACAATGGAACAATGACAATAGAGCGAATTATCTGACTATTTTATATTTTCTTCATGCTATTTTTTCTCAGAAAACTAGGGATAATTCAGGAAGATTCTCCAAATTTCTGGGTGTTTAATCTATGTTGATCAAAGATGGTGGTACTTTGTGTTGTATTTATTAGAGTCTTATTCCACTATTCCCCCAGAGCTTTAAAACAAGAGAAAGAGAACAGATTAGGCAAACTTGGGGTTAAATTCTGGCTTTGTTTCTGTGTCTTCTCAGCGGGAGCACCTGGGCTAACTTTTTTCTCTACGCTCAATTTTCTTATTTGTAGTGTAGGTGTATTCATCTGTTCCCATACTGCTAATAAAGACATACCCAAGACTGGGTAATTTATGGAGGAAAGAGGTTTAATTGACTCACAGTGCAGCATGGATGGGGAGGCCTCAGGAAACTTACAATCACGACAGAAGGGGAAGCAAATCCGTTCTTCTTTCCTTTGCAGCAGGAAGCAGAAGAATGAGAACTGAAGGAAGGCGGAAGCCCCTTATAAAACCTTCTGATCTCATGAGAATTTACTCACTATCACGAGAATAGCATAGGGGAAACCACCTCATGATTCAATTACCTCCCACCGGTCCTTCCCACAACACCTGGGGATTATGGGAACTACAATTCAAGATGAGATTAGGATAGGGACACAGCCAAATCATATCAGTAGTATAGTAAATAATATAGCCTAGACATGTAGCCACTGTATTTGGTGTACAGTAAAAGCTGATGTATACAATGTTTTTTTGCTTAAAATTAGTGTGCTGTATTAAATTTTCTATTAGGGTAAATACAATAAACTTCCTGAGATCATAAATATTCTAAGCATTAAATGAGAAAAAAAAAGATAGGAAGCTAAGGACAGACTAAGATGTATTTGGTTGCTAATTGGGTGGTATATGTCTAAGAGTGATATTGTCTGGTTAATTTCGGTATCAATTGTATGGCTGTAATAGCTAATATTTATTGCATACTTAGTCTTTTAAATATATAATGTAGTATAAATTAAATCAACAAATCCTCAAAGGAACCTCAGGATGTAAGTACTATTAATATCTTGCTTTCACATAGGAAGAAATGGAAGCACCAAAATGTTAAGTAACCTGCCCTCAATCTGGCAGCTACTGAGTTCATGCTTGAATTACAGCCCCAGTAGGCTGGCACCAGTCTGGTAGCCACCAAGCCCTATGGCCTTTCCATGTATTTTTCCCAGTACAGATTAGATGCATATCGATGATGTACATATTGAATAATCACACTTTGGGTGAGTTCAAATTAGGGTAAAGATTAGGGTTACATCTAAAATTAAGTCTTTTCCATATATTGCTATGCTTCAGTTTCTGATGTGGTATCAGCTAATGTTTAACAGTCACCTTTATCAGTTTTTAAAAACTGATACTAATATTGAGCCAAAAAGATGAGAATATATTTTTTTCTGATATTTAAGAGTTCACAATTGGCCAGGCAGTGTGGCTGACACCTGTAATCCCAGCACTTTGGGAGGCTGAGGCGGGCAGATTGCCTGAGCTCAGGAGTTCAAGACCAGCCTAGGCAACATGGTGAAACCCCATCTCTACTAAAATGCAAAAACAGCCAGGTGTGGCAGCACATGCCTATAATCTCAGTTACTCAGGAAGCTGAGGCAGGAGAATTGCTTGAACCCAGGAGGCAGAGGATGCAGTGAGCCGAGATTGTGCTGCTGCACTACAGCCTGGGCAACAGAGCGAGACTCTGTCTCCAAAAAAAAAAAAAAAAAAGAGTTCACAATCCACTCACTTCCTTTGAAGTCCTTGGGGGATGAATAATGCCCCCCTGAGCTTAAGTGAAAGTCATCCTACTTTTGCATGAATGGCATCAGGTAATATTTAGTCTGATTAACCAGTTACTGAAAGGCTGACGGATAGGAAGAAGGAAAGGGTAGGAAGGGACTGTATCCATTTTCAAGAAAGGAAGATGAGAAGAGGGAAGATTAAGAAAGGATACTGGGAGTAGGGCATCCATAGGCAAAAATCCTGGAGGACTTGGGCAACGTGATATTTTGGGACATGGTCAGTGTCCAGCAGTGTTTTATGCCAGGACTATACTGTATGGACTAGGTACAAGATACATAGTATGCACCCAAAGTCCAATGGGACACCACTCCCCAACATGCTAGTAGAAGGAGACCACTGTTTGAGGGAACTCGAGATCAGTTCTCTCTCATTACTTGAGAATATTAACTTTTCCAAGGGAAGAAATTTCTTTCTCTTTTCTCTTCTTGCTTTTTAAAAAAGAAGCAGCACACTTTCTTGAAAGTTTGTATTGAAAAAATCACTTAATACCACCCTCCATGCCCTACCTCATTCTACCCCCTGCCTGAACAATCAGAATGAGCTCCCCAAAGTGGGGGCATAAAACAGCTTTTAGTAAAGCCACCTTCTGAGGGGACACTGAAAGAGGAAATCAACAAACCTTTTGAATGGTCTTTATGTCAACATTCATAAAATAAAACTAACTAAAATTAACTAAGTAAAATGTGATAGTCTTTTAAAATTAAAATTCTAACTAAAATATGATGGTCTTTCCTATGTCTTAGCACCATCGTTAAACATGGGAGTTTGGCCTTAGCAAATGCTCAAGTTGAGAGATAAGTGGTAAAACATCAGTGGTCTCAGTATCTAATGATACAAAACCAATACTAAATAATTAATGCTACTTTAGTAGGACTATGTTCTGGCTACTGGGACAGAGCTGTTTAATGGTCTAGGGAGACCAGAAGCTATGTTTTAGATAACAGAAACACAGGTAGTACCTTATTTGTATGTCATATTTTCCATTTCAGACTTTTTTTGTTATTCATTGTTGGGTTATAGTATGATCCTAAGATTTTAATCAGTGTTACATGTCTCTGAATAATTTGGTTTACAGTGTGTGCAAATGAAACAAAATTAAAGACCTGATATGGTTTGTCTGTGACCCCACCCGAATCTCATCTTGAATTGTAGCTCCCATAATCCCCATCTGTCATGGGAGGTAATCAGATCATAGGGGTGTGTTTTTCCCTTGATGTTCCTGTGATAGTGAATAAGTCTCATGAGATCTGATGGTTTATAAAGGGCAATTCCCCTGCACTTACTCTCTTGTCTGTAAGATGTGTTTTTGCTCCTCCTTCACCTTCCACCATAATTGTGATGCCTCCTCAGCCATACAAAACTGTGAATCCATTAAACCTCTTTTTCTTTATAAATTACTCAGTCTCTGATATTTCTTCATAGCAGTATGAAAATGGCCTAACACACTAAATTGGTATGGAAAGTGGAAAGTATCCAAAAACGTGGAAGAGACTTGGAACTGGGTAACGGGCAGAGGTTGGAACAGTTTGGAAGGCTCAGAAGAAGACAGGAAGATGTGGGAAAGTTTAGAGTTTCCCAGAGACTTGTTGAATGGTTTTGACCAAAAAGTCCAGGAGAGGCAGTCTCAGATGGAGATGAGGAACTTACTGGAAACTGGAGCAAAGGTGATTCTTGCTATGCTTTAGCAAAGAGACTGGCAGCATTTTGCCCCTGCCTTAGAGATGTGTGGAACTTCGAAGTTTAGAGAGATGATTCAAGGTATCTGGCAGAAGAAATTTCTAAGCAGTAAAGCATTCAAGAGGAGACTTTGGTGCTCTTAAAGGCATTCAGTTTTATTCATTCACAAAGATATGGTTTGGAATTGGAACTTATGTTTAAAAGGGAAGAGAGCATAAAAGTTCAGAAAATTTGCAGCCTGACAATGCAATAGAAAAGAAAAACCCATTTTCTGAGAAGAAATTCAAGCTGGCTGCAGAAATTTGCATAAGTAAGGAGCAGCCAAATGTTAGTGCCAAGACAATGGGGAAAATGTCTCCAGGGCATGTCAGAGGTCTTCACGGAAGCCCCTCCCATCACAGGCCAGGAGGCCTAGGAGTGAAAAATGGCTTCATGGGCCAGGCCTGGGGCCTTGCTGCTTTGTGCAGTTTCTGGACTTGGTGCCCTATGTCCTAGCCATGGCTGAAAGAAGTCAACATACAGCTCAGGCTGTTGTTTTAGAGGGTGCAAGCCCCAAGCCTTGGTGGCTTCCACATGGTGTTGAGCCTGTGGGTGTACAGAAGTCAAGAATTGAGGTGTGAGAACTTCCACCTAGATTTCAGAGGATGTATGGAAATGCCTTTTTCTTTATAAATTACCCAGTCTCAGGTATTTCTTCATAGCAGTATGAAAATGGATGAATACAAGACACTAACACAAACCAATAGAATATTCTGACCTTAGACAACTGGCTTTTTAATAGCATAATAATAATACTTAAAAAGCAGGAAGGCCAGTTGGTTGTAGTTAGTCTTGTTTATTCTGAGTTCTGTTTACAGGATACAAAATGCAAGAAGAATTGGACAATTATCCATCTGATTTGATCAGTGTAGACAGCCAAACCAGTTAATTCAACAGGGAAATAGAGCCCTGACTAGCTACACTGATCAAATCAAGAGAGTAACTGCCAGATCTCCCTTCATTTTATGCCGAGTAGATGCTGCCTTGGGGAATGGCTTAGATTCAAAGACTCTGACTGTTTGAAGTCCCCCTAAAGTCTGTTAATTGGGACTCTTTGGACAGTTAAAATTGTACAGCTTGGGTTGGTTGGCTAACCAGTTCTCAGACACAAAAAATTCAGCTACCTTAAAATGGCAAAAAAAAAAAAAAGAGACATTTATAAAATAATTATTATAATAGACTGATTTTGCTGTGAAAAAGGAAATAAAACAAACTTGCATTTGGAATAGTTAGTAATTCTTTCATTTGGTAAGGTAGGTGGGAAATGTAAAGATGAATTTTTCAGTTCAGAGTAGTGTTTCATGTCTGAGTCCTATAAGCACAGGGTCACATGATAATTCCTTTAGTCAGCACCAAGGTTTATTAATATTAGCAGTTAACAGAAGACTAAACAACAATTTTGGGAGCACATTCTAATTTTATCCCTAAAAATTAACATGGTAACATTTTTCAGGAACATGTCAAATTATTTTTCAAAGAAACTGTCTTCTTCATAAAATAATGAGAAGATAGAGTGAGCAGACAGTGCAGGGTAGACGTCAACAAAGTTAAAGAAAGATATCCATGGTGAATGAAACTAACAGACTTCAATGCAGGTAGTCGAAGGGCCATATGTCTGAGTTTATTACCAAGAATAGTCCATTCTAGTACAAAACACAGATTCCAGTCAAGATTGATTAGACTCTTCTTTGCATATTTGGATGTTTACACAAAACACACACACACAAACACACACACACACACACGTACTCTGTCGCACTCAATTTTATGCCCTCATTTCCCTCAATATTAATACCACCAAAACAAACACATATAGTAGTTTTTTAATTAAACTCTGTAAATCTTCATGCCTGCTAGATTATTGGGACAGAGGAATGGGTAACTTTGATATAATCTTTCTGGGATGATTTCCAATGGAGATGGTATTTCTCTGTACCTGAATAGTAAATTAGTCCCTATTACATCTCAGAAGGCTTGATCAGAACTGAATCCTCTCCCAAAAAATAGCAAAATCAAGCAACGATGTTTATTCATTTGCAGTGTAGTTGATTATCTCCTAAAGACTATGGGACTAATTCAACTTCATCTAGAATCTGAACATATTTAAGTTATTTCCAGAGATTCTCAGTGTCAAAGGGAGTAGAAGGAGAAGCAAGAAGAACTGAGAAGAAAAATGAAAGGAAGAGAAGGAATAAAGGAGGGAGGAAAGGAGGGAGGTAGTCAGGAAAAAATAGACGAAGTAAGAAAAAAAATGTTAGAGAAGGGTAACTTCTCAGAAAGGAATAAATTAACCATTCATTTCACCAAATTTTTGTTGAGCACCTATTAAAATTCAGCATTGTTTTAAGCATACAAAGCATATAAAGGATAAAATAAAGCATAATTTATACCTGCCTATATAGTATTTAATAGCTAAACATTTTCATTTCTTTAATACAACAACCCACTGAAATGATTATTATTACCATTGCCATTTCATAGATAAGAAATTTACAGCTCAGGGAAATTAAGTTACTTGAACAAAATTCCTCAACAAACTTGCTTACAAAGTTGGTAAGAAATGCATCCTGACTTCAAGGAACCCTCACAAAGAATTAACTAGCAATGAAACTAGTAACACTATGGCATTTGGAAACCTGACACTATGAATTAGTCCACTATAAGTGTGGACTTAACAGCAATAAGATTTCAGAAGCAGAAAAGATCAATAAATATTTTATGCCAAAGCCAGGGCTTGAGCACAAGCAATAGAAATGGCTGGGAATAGGATAAGCAGATAAATGGTAGAGACCATTTTGGTTAAGGGAAATACTGTGAGCAGAAGTGCTGACTAGTTCCAAATTTATAACACTGGAGGAATGATTTGCTAAAGTTTTCCGGGAGTAAACGGTAAAAGGAATAATGGGTGAAAGAGATTGTGCTTCAATATCTAGGTGATGGATAGGCATTAAAAGTTTTGAGCAGGGAATGGACATGAAGAAAATTGAGTTTGGGGGAAGGTCAATTTGGCAACAGTCTGCAATATGTATTCAAAAAAAAGAAAGAGATTAGAGGCAGAAGAATTTGTTAGGAGACTATCAGGATATGTTTCCCTAAAATAATCGAGATTGCCCTGAGGATATTTCCCTAAAATAATGGAGTTTTCCCTGTAGGCTTCCTCAAGCAGGGATGGAGGGTCAGGAAGGATAATTCAAACTGGGTAACAGCAGAAAAATTATAAAACTAGGAGTTTATTTTATGAGAATATTCTACCTATTATGTAAGAGTTTATATAAGAAATATCACATTTATAAAGGCCCTGAGAATTCATGGGTATTATGAGGGGAATCAGTGCTCATTGTTAAAATGTGTGGAAGAACTGGTGGATGAGGAAAGAATAAAAAAACTAAAGCAAGCCAGCAGTCCCAGCTACTCTAAGGTAAAAATGGGAGGATCGCCTGTGCACAGGAGTGTGGGGATAGAGTACACCATGATCACGCCTGTGAATAGCCACTGTGCTCCAGACTGGGCAAGATAGGGTGATCCTGGAAAAAAATAAAAAAGGAAAAAAGAAAAAAGGAAGGAAGGGAGGGAGGGATGGAGGGAGGGAAGGAGGAAGAGAAGGAAGGAAAGAAGGAAGGAAGAAAGGAAGGAAGGTAGGAAGGAAGGAAGGAAGGAAGGAAGGAAGGAAGGAAGGAAGGAAGGAAGGGAAAACTAACTAAAACTACAACAAAACAAAGAAAATCCCACATTTAACAGTGTAGCTAGTGACTGAGAGGCATGAGAAGAGTCTGAATGTAAAAAACCCCACAGAATGGGGAATCCTTTCACCAGAAGACTAACAGAAGGAAATAAAGGAGCATGACAGGAAGACCACAGGGAATGTGACCTGACAGACAAAACTACTGGATGATGGAGTAGGCTCTCAAGGGAAGCTGAGGACATTTCATCAGCCGGGATATTTAAGGTGAGCCTGAACAAAGCTCCAAACGGCTGCTGTGAGAGCAGCTATGCATCCGCATGAAAAGACAGGATGGTTGCACATTCTGCACATGTATCCCAGAACTTTAAGTAAAATTAAAAAAACAAAAGACAAGACAGGATGGTCATGTGGATCATTCCACCTCTAATATATTTGACTCCTCGTTGATTTAAATCGAACATGAAAATAACATTTCTCATGCTGACAGAACTTTTCATGTCTCCCAAACAATTAGAGTACTCTCAGACACATATAACCCTTTTCTCAATCCTCATAAATGCTGTTTACATGTTTAACACCTTCTCAAAGCCTTGAGCATCCCCCTATCCTTTACTGTTGACCTGGCCACCTATTCCTATATTCAGAAAAATTCCTTTCTTTCTTTCTTTCTTTCTTTCTTTCTTTCTTTCTTTCTTTCTTTCTTTCTTTCTTTCTTTCCCCCTTCCTTCCTTCCTTTCTTCTTTCTTTCTGTATTTCTTTCTTTCTTTCTTTCTTCTTTCTTTCTTTCCTCTCTCTCTCTCTCCTCACTTCCCCTCCCCTTTCTCAAACACACACACACACACACACACACACACACATATACATTCCTTACTTACTTCCTTCTAGTGACACACACTATTGGTTACTTACCCAGTCATCAATCATTTTCATGCTTATAGAATCCAAATCTTTTCAGGGGCTGGGTAGTCTGAGCCCAACACAGAGAGGACTCATGCTGCAGCCTCAGTAAGTAACTCATGGTTGATAAATGCTGGGGTCATTCAAATTATTGATCCCGTGATAGGTTTAATAGTGGACATGGGTCACAATTCTGGCCAAAGATCATTAACTGAAGTCTGTTAGGAAGTTTCTGGAAATGTTTCCTTCACTCTTCAAAAGGGCACGGTTCTAACACAAATTAAGCTATATGTAATAGGATAACCAAAATCTAACAAACCCATTAACCTCTTTTCAGTCGTTATCCAACTTGGAATCTTCTGGCTTGGAATTGCTTGCCCACTCCCTCTTTCAATGTCACTTGCTATTATTCTCTTGTTTTTTTCTGGTTCTGAATCTCGGGATCCTTTATGACATATTCCTCCTATGCTTACTCTTTATATGTTGTTGTTTGCCAGATTCCATCTTTTTCATTTATTCCCTTCTTTCTACTTTCCATGCTCTTTTTATTTTTTTAAATGATTATGATTATTATGATTATTACTTGAGACAGAGTGTTGGTCTGTTGTCCAGAATGGAGTGCAGTGGTGCAATCTTGGCTCACTGCAACTTCCACCTCCTGGGTTCAAGCGATCCTCCCACCTCAGCCTTCCAAGTAGCTGGGATTACAGGTGTGCACCAACACACCCAGCTAATTTTTGTACTTTTAGCAGAGACAGAGTCTTGCCATGTTGGCCAGGCTGGTCTCAAACTCCTCTCCTCAAATGATCTGCCCACCTTGGCCCCCCAAAGTGCTGAGGTAACAGGTGTAAGCAGCCATGCCCAGCCCTTTTCATGCTCTTTTAAGGTGATCATCTACATTTCCCTGGCTTCTACAGTGGTTATAACCTCATTCCTTCTTTCTTGAGTCCTGGATCCATACTTCTTTCTAGTTACCAGACATTTTAATGCAGATTTCATGAAAGTAACCCAGTTAATCTTTAAAATAAATCCAAATTAGGTCTTCCTATTGACATTTCCAGGTTAATTTTACAACACGAATAAACTGGAAACTCTGGACTTATTTTAGACTTCTCCTTGTCTCTCAAATCCATGCTTCTAATCAGCCAACAAATTTTATAAATTCTGGCTAAAATGTTTACTGAATCTCTCTTTACGTTTTATTAATATTAATGCTGCTTCTCCTTTGGGTGAGATGTTTATTTTCAACATGTAAAAGTGTGCCCTAAAGTAACAGGTTCAGACTCTTCAAGGTGCTGATGATGTTGCTGAGACACAATCCTATTGGAAGTTGAACAGAATCATATAACACTGATGTTATCAGGGTCTTGTTAATCTCATTCATGGTATAATCTTGAATAATTACCTTTTGCCTCAAGAGTCAGAAGTCTTCAGTATGGTAAATAGGAATTTTTACTTTGATAGCCATTTTATCCACACAGTGCTCTGAGATGATCATAGTCACATTTTCACTACTGCATTCTACAATTAATCAAGATCAGGAGGCATATGTTAACCAACAGCTGTTTTCTGTGAATAAAGTAATAAAGCACTTTTATTCATACAGCAAAATCCTCCCTTCCTGCTGGTGTACCTTTTCTACATCACAAGCCCCAAAATAACCCTTAATGACATAAGAATGTATTATCTTGTATAAACAAAAGAAAAAGTCATTAAGCGCATCTTCCTCTTATATGTTATACACATATGCCAAGAAATAATTCCAACTCTGAGTATCAGTGGTATCATCCAACGATACATTCACGGTCCTGGAAGACTAGCCTACTTTATATAGAATGTTCAAGTGACATATAAATCAATCTCACACAATGAGAAGGAGAAAATAATTCCAAGTACAATGAACGAATAGGATAACAACCCTGAAGTAGGGGTGATCTTGTTCAAAAACAGGAAGAAGGTCAGTGTGGCCACATAGCACATTATGAAGAGAGGGGTAAGGATGAAAGTTTAGGAAGGAAGACAGGAACTCCTTTACGATCTTTTGGCAAAAGTAAGAATGTGGTGTTTCAAAGTAAGGGTGTAGCAGGGGTATGGGATGACACAATTTGCCTTTTAAAGGTATTACTCTAAGCTGCTTTGTGGAGAAGAGACTGGAAGAGGGCAGCAGAGAGACAATTAGGAAATAACGTGCAAGACAAATTAGAACAGCTCAATTTAAGGTCAAAGCAGTGGAGGTAGTGGGAAGTGTTTGGATTTAGAATAACCTTTTTTTTTTTTTTAAATTACAGGCACATTTGGTGAACTGCATGGAGTTTAGAGAAGAAGATAAATCAAGGGTATTTCCTAGTTTTCAATCTCATAGTTCAAGTTTGACTGGAATTTCTTACAAAAATCTCAATTTCAATGTTTGAACTCTAATCTGTTACATTCTTTCCCAAACCAGCTCCCTTTCCTGCACTCCATTCTCCAGAACTGGCTATTCTATGGATCCATCTACTCATGTTAGAAACTTGAGATATATCTTTGACACATTTATTATCCCTGACATGTCTGTCACCATTAGCCCCCCCAAATCTAATCAATTACCAAGCCCTGTCAATCCAACTTCTAAAATATCTTGAACCTATCCACTTCTCATGTGTCTACTAAAAGCATCCTGGTCCAAACTACAACTATCTCTTTCCTGGAAATGTAGACTAATTAGTTAATTTACCTGCGTCTGATCCTCAACTGCATATGTTCATCATATAGCAACCAAAATGATCCTGTTAAAAAACAAAACTCATTTCGAATATTTTTTAAAATCCTTCAGTGGCAGCCATTTGTTCTTGAATGAGATCTAAACTCTTTTAAATGGTCTACAAGTTGTGCAAGGTCTAGCTACTGTTCACCTCTCCAGCACTACCTCATGCAACTCTGCCACCCACCCCCAATGCTCCAGTCACATGGACGTACTTCAGTGACTTAAAGCCCCATACCCCTTCCTGCCTCAAGGCATTTGTGTATACAGTCCTATCTGCCTGCCTCAACACTTCACTACTCACACTCTCCCTTAAGATCCCGGGGTAAATGTTGTTTCTACAGGGAAGAAATTGCTATTATATGTTATCCTAGCACCCTCTATTTTTCCTTTATCACACTACTAACGATGGCAGTTATCTTTGTGAACATCTGTTGAATACCAGTGTGTCTCCCAAATCACTCTAAGCCCTATGAGGAAAGAAAATGTTCCGGCTTACTTTGCTATTCAGTCATTTTCTTCTCTTCTTCTTTATTAACTGTTTCTATTAAGTGTATAACAATATCGGCTTTTAAGTAAAATTAAAGTCATTGAATATTTTTAACCAGGGAACGTTATGATCCAATGTATATATTAGAAGCCTAATTCTCCAGTTCCTCTGTGGGGAATGGCCAGGTAATCTAGAGGGGGTGTGGTGGTGAGGAAATTAGAGACAGGTGAGGAAGTAGGGAGGAATGAGTCTAGGATGGGTACGAGTGGTGATGAGTATGTGCAGGAGGAGTAAAGTGTAGGTATAAGTAGGCATGAGGAAAGATGGTTAGGCAAGATTTTTTCATGACAATCTAATCTTTCCACTAAAATCTGACCATGAAGGCAAGGAGAAAAATGAGAAAAGAGTTTAACAGGGATGTGGAATCAAGGGAGGTTATAAAGATAAAAGATGTTACATTATGTCTTCATACTTCTTAGGAATGATCCACAGAGAGGGAAAGTTTGATGGGGTAGGAGTCAAAGAGGGTAACTTAAAAAGCAAGTTCCTTAAGCAGGTGAATGTGGATGGGACCCAGAGTACAAGTGGAGGAATGGATTCCTCCATAGAGTACATGCAGCAAGCTTCCCTGTCACTGGAGGGAAGGAGAAGGTGGTTGCAAGTGAAAGTTAAATTTGGTGATAAAGAAATGAAGGCATTTGCATTTGATGTCTTCTAATGTCTCAATTAAATATAATGTGAAATCACTATTTGAGAATGAGAGAGGAAAGGTATGGAAGCTTTGAGGAGAAAAGATATAAATAGTTTTGTGATTTTTTGTTTGTTTGTTTGTTTGTTTTGTTTTGTTTTGTTCCTGAGAGTAGGAAACCTACTAGGGAAACATACTTGGAACTCCAGGCAGTGTTAACTGACTGAGGATTGTGAATATGAATTTAGAGTAAAACTTGTCAATAGATAATTTTTTTCCAGCAAGATTTTGCTGTTTTGGTGCAGGTATAGAGAAGATAGTTAACTCCATTGAGGTGGTATGTTAGAAAGTGATTACAATAGGAAGGGAGGATGACAGAGTTGAGGGCATCCATAAGGAAGATTGTATAATGATGTTATAGAAAAAAATGAAAGCAGAAAGATGTCAGTAGGGTCAATGGATTGGAAATCTGGATGAGATAAAAAAATTGCTGGAGTGAGAGAGCTTGAATAAGTAAGCAGGAGGGTTCAGGGATGATAGCGTAAGAATTGAATGTTTGATATTGATATTGAAATTTAGGGGTGGTTCAATTTCTCATGATGACAAGAAGCAGGGTATGGCAAAGAAATGGGTGAATGGGATGTAGTGGGAGAACAGTAAGTGGAAATATGCAGAGTGCAAGGTATTGGATAGATCATCCAATTGCATGTTGTGATTATGACAGCAATGATGGGACTTGGAGTCAGGAGAAGGGCTGTGAACCAGGATCAAGGTTTCAAGGAAATAAAGAAATATCCCAAGTCTGACACAGCAAAGGGGAGACAGGAGAAAGAATATAACCATATTGCATGCATGTCAAAGAAAGAAGCAGCTTTGTTTTGTTTCATTTCTATCTTGTTTTGTCTTATTTTGCTGGAGAGTAGAGGAGTAGTGGTCTGGAATTAAAGTGTACCAAGTAAGTCAAACAGACATAAATTCTGCCTTTGTGGAGCTTACAGACTAGTGAATGAGAAAGATATGAATCAAATAATTAAATAAATAAGTCTATAAATTACAAACTCTGGCAAGTGCTATGAAGAAACAGTACAGGCCACTGTGACAGCATGAAACACAGTGACCAAACTGATCTGTGGAGTGGGGGTAAGCCCTGATGATGTGATATTTGAGCAGAGATCCAAAGGATGATTGGGAGTTAGGGAGGCAAAGGATGATTGAGGCAAAAGGTAATTGAGTTTTTAGGGTAGGTATGACAGAAAAACAAAAGGTCAGGAGAATGAAGGGACATTTTGCATTGAAAGTAACAGACACGATGGATCAAGGAGAAATCCGAACCATCAGGAGAAAATGAGTTAGTCTGGAAACTAGGGCTGGCACTAGATTTAAGGAGAGGGCATATGGAAAGTAAGCACATGACAAAGCTATCAGAGAGAGGAGGTTGTATCCAGAGATTCTTCTTCAGAAGTATGAAAGTTAAAGATTTTCATAAGGTCAAAGATTTGTCCCTATGAGTGGGTTGTGTGAATGAAATCTTCAGATGGTTGAAGCTCTATTCATTAATGGTTTGGCTAAACTGTTATACTTAAAAATAATATTATAAGTCACATGCAAAAGTCTCCAATAAATCTGGATACTTAGTGTGAAATTACAGCAAATAGGTGGGAACAAAAGAAGTCTTTTATATGAGGTTGAAGGGATATATTCTGGACAAATCGTGTAAATTGCACAATATTTGAAAATTAACCTCAGTTTCACTGCATGCAAAATAGGAATAATAAGCCCTGTTCTGGATAGCTATTGTGAGGCCAGCTATAATGTGAACCATGGCAGAGTACCCAACCTCTAGGAGAAAATAAAAGATAGTAATATCAATTATCATATTAATGTTTATCAATAGAAATAGTTACTGGGTATATTATTTATTGTTTAAAGAAGGCTTCTCCTTTATTTAGCAGCCTAACAAATATAGAATTGCTACACTTATGTGTATGAGAAGAAAGAGAGCAGCACTAGGAAGAATGCCTATCATGTAGATCCTTAGTAAGTTTCAAGGACATGGGTTAAGTTACAGAAGCAGAGCTGATACTACAACAGGGGCAGGGTGGGGTAGGAAGCGTAAGGGAGAAAGAGGGCTCACAATTCTTCAATAGTGCCCCTCTGAAAAGTACAGCCCTAGGAGGCCCATCAACCAGCAAGTGTTGTCATTTCCCTGTCAAGAACTTCAAAGCTCAAAAGACTTTGCACAAAGTCACAAATAACTCAATAGCACAGATAAGACCAAAGATCCATGGTCATTGTTGCCTCCTTTACTACTGTATCTACTGGACCATAAAGTCTCTCTTGTAGTTGTTTTGTCATTGGATATGGTATCTCCATTCTTTCTAATATGAGTGGTTCAAACTGAGGTTCTTGGGTTCAGAGCCCCAGTAAACACTGCATATCATGGTATTCTTTCCTGTAAAACTCACTGATATGGTTTGGTGTTGTGTTCCCACCCAAATTTCATGTTGAATTATAATTCCCAATGTTGTGGGAGGGACCTGGTGGGAGGTGATAGTGCTGTTATTACGTTAATCAATCCGGAATCATCACTGAGAAAGTTGAAATTCGAGATCGAATACAATGTAGAGTAGAGGAGCTTCAAAACACTGGACCCTGGGGCCTCCTCAGCCAATGGATGCCATGGATTCTCCCCTTCTTAGGACCTCCAGCAGCTATAATATTGCTACTCCTCTTTGGACCCTGTATCTTTAACCTCCTTGTTAAGTTTGTCTCTTCCAGAATTGAGGCTGTAAAACTACAAAACGTTCTTCAAATGGAGCTTCAGATGCAGTCCATGACTAAGATCTACTGTAGACCCCTGGATTGGCCTGCTAGCCCATGCTCCAATGTTAATGACATCAAAGGCACCCCTCCTGAGAAAATCTCAACTGCACAACCCCTACTACGCCCCAATTCAGCAGGAAGCAGTTAGAGTAGTCGTCGGCCAACCTCCCGAACAGCACTTGGGTTTTCCTGTTGAGAGGGGGGACTGAGAGACAGGACTAGCTGGATTTCCTAGGCCGACTAAGAATCCCTAAGCCTAGCTGGGAAGGTGACTGCATCCACCTTTAAACACGGGGCTTGCAACTTAGCTCACACCCAACCAATCAGAGAGCTCACTAAAATGCTAATTAGGCAAAAACAGGAGGTAAAGAAATAGCCAATCAACTATTGCCTTAGAGCACAGAGGGAGGGACAAGGATCGGGATATAAACCCAGGCATTCGAGCCGGCAACAGGCAACCCTCTTTGGGTCCCCTCCCTTTGTGTGGAGCTCTGTTTTCACTCTATTTCACTCTATTAAATCATGCAACTGCACTCTTCTGGTCCGTGTTTGTTACGGCTCAAGCTGAGCTTTCGCTCACCGTCCACCACTGCCCACCACTGCTGTTTGCCGCCATCACAGACCCGCCACTGACTTCCATCCCTCCAGATCCGGCAGGGTGTCTGCTGTGCTCCTGATCCAGGGAGGCGCCCATTGCCACTCCTAATTGGGCTAAAGGCTTGCCATTGTTCCTGCACGGCTAAGTGCCTGGGTTCATCCTAATCAGGCTGAACACTAGTCACTGGGTTCCACGGTTCTCTTCCGTGACCCACAGCTTCTAATAGTGCTATAACACTCACTGCATGGCGCAAAATTCCATTCCTTGGAATCTGTGAGGCCGAGAACCCCAGATCAGAGACATGAGGCTTGCCACCATCTTGGAAGCCGCCCACCATCATCTTGGAAGTGGCTCGCCACAATCTTGGGAGTGGCTCGCCACCATCTTGGGAACTCTGTGAGCAAGGACCCCCCGGTAACAATAGGATCATGGGGGTGGATTTCCCCCCTGCTGTTCCCATGATAGTAAGTGAGTTCTCACAGGATCTAATGGTTTAAAAGGATGTGGCACTTCCCTCCTTGCTGTATCTCTCCCACTCCACCATGGTAAGATGTGTTTGCTTCCCCTTCACCTTCTACCATGATTGTAAGTTTCCTGAGGCCTCCTAGTCATGCTTCCTGTTAATCCTGGGAAACTGTGAGTCAATTAAGCCTCTGTTCTTCATAAATTACCCAGTCTCAGGTAGTTCTTTATAGCAGTGTGAAAGCAGACTAATACAACCAGCGTGTTGTGAGTTGAGCAAAGAGGTGGCCAAGCCATGACTTAGGATTGTAAGTACCAATCAAGAGAGATTACTGATGAGCCCAATTCTCACACATTCCTCAGCCCTGGCTCCTCTGCTGTGGCACTTGGAGCCTCATAGTCACTTTGGGGTGATCTAGCCATGGTTACAAGCCCTTGCCCCTCACCTGGAGTTTTAGAAGGCTGAACTGGTGGGGCAGCTGTTAGAGGTGACAGCTGGCTTGTAAGGTAGCACTCTCCCTCTTATTTGGAAGCACACTTTAGGCAGAGAGTAGTGATGCTCCAAAGGCAGTATTCACTCCTCCTGTCTGTAATATCCTTAGCTATTATCACAATGAGTATAGCACTTTAGGGGGTAACCCACTGATACAGTCGTGCTTGACTCTAAAATGTACAGTAATGAACTGCAGCAGCTGCAGTGCTCTAAATCAAAGATTCCTAGCACAGAGGCAAGGGAATGGGAAGGGTAGTGCCTCCTCTCTGTAAGTAGATTCTTTGCCAGGCAGCTTGCCTGCTACCTTAAAAGTAAAATCCTATTATACCTGTGAAACCCTGCTGCAAAGGGCAGAGTCAGACAACCAACACAAAGGAATGTGGGCAAATTCCTGGGATGCCAGACCACCAGGCAGAGCTTTCAGGGACAACAATTATCCCATCTGTTGAATCTCTTGAAAAACACTAAAAAAGTGCAGGTCAATGCATAAGCCCTGGGCAGTCACCACTGTTTTCTGGGCAATCCCTAAAGGCCAATCAGAATGACAAAGCCACATATATTGCAGAAGTTTTTACCTTTTTATTCCAGCTAAAGATATATGTAGATTGAAAAACAAAACCAGGTTTTTGTAGATGCAAGCAGAAGATTTTAGAAAATTACTGTGATTTCTACTACGTTTATAAGAGAGTCCCTATGCAGTAATGAACAGGGGTGATTTGGAGCCAGTAGAAAGTAAGAAAGTAAAATTACTATTATAGATGCTCTGGGAGCCCTGACTATATTAATGCAAATTCATTTTGGAGGTTGCTAAATTATTTACATAGTTGTGGAACTTGTAAACTTTCCTATCCTCCCCAAAGCATTTCCTTATTAGGGTTCCCTGAAAATCAGAGGGGTAGCAAGCAAAGAGAAGTAGGTCAGAGCTTCTGGCTACCATCCATATTTCGACAAGGTAGAACAAGGACACGTCCTGAGCAGGGTGACACAAGGAACCAGAAGGATTATAATACTCATCTTGCTTCTTCTATGCCTTCCCTTTGAAATGTTCAGTAGTCCAGACCACAGTAAAAAGGTGAGGCAGAACAGGATCCAGCTACAGAGATCATATCTCTGCCTTTAGGGAAAAGAGGAGAGAAGTAGCCAGGTGGGAGCATAGGACAAACAGAAACAGAAAACTTCTCCAAGCAGTAATCTTCCCTGCAGAACAAGGGCCATGAAATTGCTATTCTGCAGAAAAATCTATTTTCTTTTTTTAACAGAAATCATCTAACCTCAAGGTTAGAGATGAGAGCAGGAGAGAACTGTCTGTTCCTCTCTTCCTTCACCAGATTCTCATCTCAAAATTATTATTCTATCCTTCTTTTCTTCTCTCTCAATGTTTAAGCTGGTATGTTAATAACTTGTCAAGATGTCACCACTAATGGTCAGAATAAAAAGCAAATTATTACTAAGCTCTACCCTTTTTAAAGTTTCCACAAATTCACACAGAAACATGATTACTTATGCCTAAATATTTCAGATTATAAGTCAGTTGTCTACTTCAAAATAATGGCTGATTTGTAGATGGTCTTTCCTACTTTATCTCCAATGTCCTTATTGGCCCTGAGGGTTTTTCATAATTTCTACCAATTATTTCAGGTTACGTTGTTCAATCATGTCATGGGATTATATAGATTTCATGAGCAAGCATCCTGACCTTTTTCTTCAGGTAAACCCAGTCATCTTTCTGGACTCACTCTGGCTCCATCATATCTCTAGCACACGTCTTCGTAAGATGTTCTCTGTGAATGGTGTGATTCTTGGACAAGAGCTAAGATCTCATTAATTGTTCCAGTTGTTTTCCAGGATATTTTGTCACTTAATTTATATCACGGTATCGTATTTCTTAGGTGTATTAGGTTGTTTGAAGATAGATTAAAAAGTTAACTTTATTTTCCATTCCTATTTTAACAAAGCCATCACGACAAGCTTCTACCAAGTTTAGATTTTTAAATTGTGCATTCATGGTATGTTGACTACAGTGTGATGAAGCTTATTTTTAATAACACTAGGAAGATAACTTCAGGAAGTTCATATTCTGTTCTTTCATTTGTACTGAAATTGAATAATTCTCCAGCTGACTAAAATGAGAACGGCTAATTTTCTTCATGAGCAATGGACTGTAAACAACATTTTTATAAACTACTGTCTTGGATACAGAATACCATGAGTTTAAAAAATAATCAGTCTTCACTGCTGAGAAAGTGGGTCATCGTTATTTCTCTTATTTCAAACATATCATTGAGAGTGTTATTCAGTAGAGTACATCTATCTGTAGCACTGTAACCAGAGATGTGGTGCCTGCCCTCCATAAGTTTATGATGCGCTGAAGAAAAGGTGCACACAGATGATGAAGCACAAATTTCAAAATTTAGTTAGGATTATCTTGTGAGCTGAGTGGTAAATCTCAGAGACCAGTAACTCAACCAAATGGGAACTCCAGGTCTCCTAGAGCCCAGTTATACTCTCATATGGCAAATCAAACTCAAATGAAAATAAAGTCCTTAATATTTAAAAAAATAATAAATTATAAATTTTTGGATAGCATATTCACATGGTTAAAAATAAAATAATGTAAAAATATATAAATCAAGAGCTCTTATTCCCATTTCATCTCTATTTCCTCCTTTCTCACTCACTCTCTATTAGTTAGCACTTTGATTAGTTTCTTAAATATTCTTTCAAAGTTTTCTTATGCAAATGCAAGCAAACTCAAGTATTTCACTCTTTCTTACACAAAAAATAGCATACTATGGACAATTTTTGTATTTTGCTTTTTCCACTTGATAACATATGCCAGAAATCTTTAAGATCAAGATATAGAGAAATTGTTATCCTTTTTACAGCTATGTATTATTCCACTGACAATTCATGTAATGTGTGGATGTGCTGGTTTATTTCAACAAGATCTAATCTGGATTCTGAGTTATGGTTAAAAATATAATCCTGAATTTTGTTAGGTAAGGTATTTACAGCAACAACACTTCTTTGGTGTTTGAATGGTTGTGGAAAATTTGATTTTTGAGGCATAAGGAACTTTTCCTTTTATCTGGGCTCACTCAAAGTCAGCTTCAGAAAGATAATCTAGACATCTCAAGAAGTTGACACATGCTGGTCCTTTGGTTGTGTTTACAAGCAGACTACTTTTTCTCTAATCTGGTTTAATCTTGGTGTGTTGGTACATGTACACACAGACACAGTGCATGTACGCTTTCTAGCCTTTAATTTGCACATATTAAGGGGAAAGGTGATGGGTGACTGGTGATGTAGGTGGTGACAATCCCTATGAAGAATCAGGGATACCGCAGTTCTTTATTTCTCCCCAGAGCAGCTGGCATGTTGAAGTTATCAGACCATATCAGACTTAAGGGACATTAAATGTCAGGAGAGCAGACCTGCTATAGAAAGCTGATGGGAGCTGCGGGAAACTTTAGTATCAAATGTTCTCCTGTATAATAATAGGCAGCAGCATCAATCTCAGAAATGCTGCTACAAATGTCAAAGAAAACCTTCCCTGTATATAGATTAAAGTTGCAGATAAAAACAGAGGACCAAATCAAAGCCCTAGTGTTCCTTTTTTGAAACCACCCTGCCAAAAATGCAATTTCTGAGTTATCAAAAAATAGAATCTCTCAAACAGCATTCATAAAGTTTCACATTTTGGTGTTATCACAGAGGCTTATATTGAGGAAATGCTATTTCTTCCTTCCCTCCCCTTTCAAGGTTGAAGCAGCATCCTATCTTCTCTAACAATGTTAACTTCAGAACCGCAAGCTCAGAGACTATCAGCACTGTGTTTTGCAGAGCCAGAGCTCCACATACCAGTGTGTGTTTGCCATTTCCTAGGAAACCCCTCTTTTCAAAAGGATCCAGGAAATAAACTTTTAAAAATGACTTTATGAAGCCAACATTTGTGACCTCTGAATAAAATTTCATCCAGTGAAGCAATTTAGATTGCTCCCTAAGTACAATGGAGTGTCAACTGAGAAATCTCAGTGTAAAAGCCTAAACAGAATTTAGATTAATAAGGCCTGTTTTGGCTGTGACAATTCAAACATTTACCATTAAGAATTTGATCTATCAAGTAGAGGGTTAGGCTGGGAAAAACGTCTTTTTTTTTTTTTTTTTTTTTTTTGTAAGGGGAGAGACAATATTACAAAAAGAAATTTTCATCAGCTACGGTTAAGGCACACACACACATTCATATATATATGCAAATACACACATACACACATGCTTAAATAAATAAGCTGTTGCTCTACGAGGATGCCTGCTGGGATAAGGTTAGCAATTTGCCACAGAGTTCAGAGTAGGGAACGTCTGGGAAACAGAGTCAGTGACTCTATTCCTTCTACCCACTTACCTACTAAACATGACCCTGTCATGTTTCTGTGACAAGTGATGTTCAGCATAATGTCATCTCCCTTGATGTCACCCTCAAGAATGTCTTGCTCATTGACACGTCTAGACAACCCTGGTTATAGAAGGGCTCTCTGTACATTTTTTTGATAACCTGCATGTTTATTATAGAAGATACAGTTACAGGAGTTTTTAAAATAGCAAAGCATTAATGTTTAGAGAGCTTAGTAGTATTTGATTTTCTTACATTTCTCTGAGCTATGCTACTCATTTCCTATGCAATCTTGGGAATCTCTTAATCTTTCAAGTGACTCTGTTTCCCTTCTGAACTCTGTGTGGAGGGCAGTTTTTTGAGGATAAAGATTCTTGATATTATCACTGAGATCAGAGTGGTTTCAAAGGCTCCTCTCTTCATCTCTGATAAGTGGTCAATAAGTGATACCACTTGTGAAGGATTTCTTTGCCATATTCTGTCTCCCAAGTTGCCTGCAACCTGGATAATTGTTCTTAGGGCCGTCAGGGTGGCAGTGCTACTTCAAATATCAAGTCTTTAAGCAAACTATTCCTTAGCTAAGGGATGCTGGGCTTACTATATAGGTGATAGGATGATCTGTGCAACAAACCACCACGGCACATGTTTACCTATGTAACAAACCTGCACATCCTGTGCATGTACATCGGAATGCTCAGGAACAGAATAGCTCTTTTTTACAAATCAGTAGCTTCTTAGTACCTGCCTAAATTTATTGCCCCTTTTCCTCATATTCTGTACAACGTCACTTTATAGTTTCACTCTCTACATGTAATATTAATCTGAATTTATATCAAGTAGTTCCATTACTTTTGGTCCTTAACTTTATTTCTACAGCCCCATTTCAAAGATTTCCAAGTTTCCCAAAATTACATCACCAGTGTGGTTTAAAGCAAGAACTCATTAAAAAAGAGGCTCAGGCTGTGCTTCCTCTTAGCCAGATATCCTTCTAGTTTTTCCTCTTCTAGATAAGAAAAAAGAGAAACAACAAATTCAGGGCTTTTTTTTTTTTTTTTTTTATCATGGAAAAATATATTGGTTTTACTCATCTTCCAATTCAGGCAAAGTTTTGTGAGTGATGATACATTTCACAACCCTTCCCTCCACCATTCAATTTTTTATTTTTCCCACGTTAGAATGTAAGCTTCATGAGGGCAGATATTTGGCCTTATTTTTCCTCTGTGAAGTATTACAAGCAATTAGAGCAACGCCTAGCACATATAGGTACTCGATAAGTATTTCTTAAATCAATGAATGTCTTACTCCTGTAGAGTTTTCTTCACTTAAACCAGCAGGCTTTCAAAACTTTAGGGCCAAATATTTTAGTCATTCATTCCTGCATGCATGAATATTTACTGAGTGTCTGATAGGTGCCAGGCATAGTTTTGAGGGCTTCTGTGATGTTAGTATGATGTTCATGGAACTTTCATTCTAGTGAATCAGCAGACAACAAACAAGCAAGCAAACAGATACAAAATAAAAATTGCAAAGTATGATTGGGATTAAAAATAATAATAAATGGCAGGGTGCGGTGGCTCACGCCTGTAATCCCAGCACTTTGGGACGCCAACGTGGGCGGATCACGAGTTCAGGAGATCAAGACCATCCTGGCTAACACGGTGAAACCCCGTCTCTACTAAATATACAAAAAATTAGACGGGCTTGGTGGCGGGTGCCTGTAGTCCCAGCTGCTCAGGAGGCTGAGGCAGGAGAATGGCGTGAACCCGGGAGGCGGATCTTGCGGTGAGCTGAGATCCCGCCAGTGCACTCCAGCCTGGTGGACAGAGGGAGACTCCATCTCAAAAATAAATCAATAAATAAATTAATTAATAATAATGATAAATAAGTGCTGTGACAGAGAATAATGGGAGTGCTTATGGTCAGACTTTCAGGAAATTATTTGTTTCTCTCTCTTCCTTTTTTTTTTTTTTTTTGACCCTGGGATATTAAATGAGAGTTCTCCCTTTTTTCCTGAATCTTCTCAATAAAATAGACTATTTTCAAAAAAAGTTACAGACTAGTTTCTTCACTAAGGCATAAACTTTGTGAGCCATAAAAAAATCTTAAATTTAAAGGACATGAACTTAGTTATACACTCTAGATTAACTTAAGGGAGATAATAGTGCATCTTAAAAGAACCGTATCTTTATGCAATAAACAATTTTATTAGTCATAACAATGCTGTAAATAGAATTAAAAATGGCAAATTCTATAATGCCACTCAAATTGGTATTTTTCCTTCTATTGTTCAGATTCTCAAGAAAAGTTTCTATTTGCTCATTTACTTCTTAAAATGGCCCACGTCACTCATTACTCTACAATCTGAATTTCATTACCTTATAGTAAGTAACCTTTCGATAATTGCTTTATTTTTTTACGTGAAAACATATTTTTTTTTCTTTTTTTTTAATTATACTTTAAGTTTTAGGGTACATGTGCACAACGTGCAGGTTGGTTACATATGTGTACATGTGCCATGCTGGTGTGCTGCACCCATCAACTCGTCATTTAACATTAGGTATATCTCCTAATGCTATCCCTCCCCCCTCCCCCCACCCCACAACAGGCCCCGGTGTGTGATGTTCCCCTTCCTGTGTCCATGTGTTCTCATTGTTCAATTCCCACCTATGAGTGAGAACATGCAGTGTTTGGTTTTTTGTCCTTGTGATAGTTTGCTGAGAATGATGGTTTCCAGCTTCATCCATGTCCCTACAAAGGACATGAACTCATCATTTTTTATGGCTGCACAGTATTCCCAATACCCTTGAAATCCACCCAAAGTGTTGCATGTATCAATAGTTTATTCCTTTTTAATGCTTGAGTAATATTCTATAGTTTGGAGGTACCCTGTTTTGTTTTGTTTTGTTTTTAACAATTCACCCATCAAATGAAGGACAACTAGGTTGTTTCCAGTGTGGAGCCATTACAAATAAAGTTGCTATGAGCGTTCAAGAACAGATTTTTGTGTAGATAATTTTTCATTTTTCAGGGATAAATACCTAGGAGCTTCTTCTGAGTTATATAGAAGAATATTGTATAGTTTTTAAAGAAAATGTCAACCTATTTTCCAGAATGGTTGTAGCATTTGACATTTCCACTGCCAGTATATGACAGATCCAGTTTCTCTGCTCACCTTGTTGGCATTGTATTGTGCTGTCAGGATGGTTTAAATTTTAGCTCTTCTAAAAGGCATGCGGCAATATCCATTGTGGTTTTAATTTCCATTTCCCTAATGGCTAATGATACTGAATATATTTTCATGTGTTCATTTTTTGTTATCTTTGATGAAGTGTGTAGTCATGGCACTGCTCATTTTCTACTTGAATTGTTCATTTTCACTGCTGTTTTTAATATTTCTTTACTCATTATCCATATGTGTCCTTTGTCAGGCCTTGTACGTACATGGTTTGCAAATATTTTCTCTCAAGGTGGAGTACCAAGTATTTTCATCCTTTAAACAGGATATTCTACAGAGCATAAGGTTTTAATTTTGCTGAAGTCTAATTTATGGATTTTTTTCATTTATGGACCATGCCTTTGATGTCCTAAGAACTTTTTTCACCTAACTCTAGGTTTTGTAGATTTTTATTTTCTCCTGTTTTCTTCTAAAAGTTTTATAGATTTATAATTTGCTTTTAAATCTATGTTTTATTTGGAGTTAATTTTTGCATAAGTTGAGATGTTTAAGTGTAAATGAGGTATTTTTTTTTCTGTTCTGTTTTGTTTTGCCTATGGATGTCCAATCGCTCCAGTACCATTTGTTGAAAAGACAACCAAAGACAATCTTTCCTTCATTGAATTGCTTTTGTAACTTTGTAAAAAAAAACTTTTGGCCGCACTTTGATTGTTCTACTTCTGGGTTCTCTGTCCTGTTCCCTTAGTCTGTTTCCATCCCTCCACCAATCCTACATCATCATGATTACTATAGCAATGTGGTGTCTTAAATTTGGATGCAGTGATTATTCTCATTCCATTTTTCTCTTAATCATTGTTTCAACTGTTATGGTTCCTTTTACATTTTTAAATAAATTTTAGAATAAGCTTGCTTATGTCCACAAAAATTACACTAGGAATTTTATGGAAATTACATAAAAAATTATAGGGGAATTTGAGGAGAACTGAGGTCTTTACTATGTCAGGTCTTCCAATCTATAAACACAAGGTATTTCTCCACTTATTTTGAACTTAAAATTTCTTTCATTAACACTGCAGTTTTCAACATATAACTCCTGTATATAATTTATTATATTTTACCTAAATATTTAAATAAGTAATTATAAGTGGCCTTTTATAATGTTTTAATTATAATTTTGTAATTAAAGTATAATAATAATTTTATAATTAACATTTTTATGTTTATTGCTAGTATATAGAAATATAATTCATTTTTTTATATTGATCCTGTATCCTGTGACCTTGCTGAACTCACTTGTTAGTTCTAGGAGGGATTTTTTTTTTTTTTATTTTGCTAGATTTCTTGGGACTTTCTGCATAGACCATTATGTCATTTTCACATAGGGACAGCGTTGTATCTTCCTTCCAATTTGTATTCCTTTTATTTCCTTTTCTTGCTTTATTCTGCAGGTTAGGACTTCCAGTACTGTATTGATTAAGAATAGGAAAAGAAGAAATCTTCCCTTGCTTCAAATATTAGGGGAAAGTATTTAGTCTTTCACCATTAAATATAATGTTAGTTGTAGGTGTTTCATATATTTTTTAATCAAATTTAGGAAGTTCCTTTCTATTCCTACTTTGCTGAGAAAACTTATCATAAATGGGTGTTGAAGTTCATGAAATGTTTTCTTTCTGTATCAATTAATATGATAATTTGACTCTTCTTTATCTTGTTGATGTGGTGGATTACACTGGCTGATTTTTGAATATTGAACCAACTTTGCACTTCATTGTGGTGTATAATTACTTTTACATGTTACTGAATTACTTTTACAAAAATATTTTGTTGACTATTTTTCAGTCTATGTTCATGAATAATATTCATCTGTATTTTTCTTTTTTGTACAGAGTTTTTCTGGTTTTGGTATCAGGCTAATACAGGTCTAAGAAAGTGAGTTGGAAAATGTTCCTCTCCTATTTTATGGAAGCAATTGTGCAGAATTGGTATTAATTCTTTAAATATTTGGTGCAATTCTGCAGGGAAACCATCTAGGTATACCTAAGATTTCTTCTTCTGGAGTTTTAACCCTATAAACTCAATTTTTTAAATAATTATTCAGATTATTTCATGTTGGGTAGATTTTTTTTCTTTGTATTGTATCCATGCTGTTTAGGTAGAAGGATTCGTTTTATATCATATATTCCTACATAGCTCCAAAGAGATACCGCCTTTAAGATGATACAGATTACACCTTTTAAAATTGTCTAGAAAGAAAGTAGAAATTCTCTCCATCAAAAAAACCTTCAGAAATAAACCAGGTAAAATATTGGGGAAACAAACCCTCTCTTGAAAACAGAAGCATTGTTAACAAAAGGTTTGAAACTAATGAAATAAATTTTGCTGAGAACCAAAAAAAAAAAAAAAACCTCAGTGAAAAGTAACCTGAATTATGAGCCCTGCAATAATCACAATTTTAAAAATCTACATTTCTCTTAAAGACCAGTTGCTATTTGCTGGGCAGTTTCTGTAAATATATATATTATGTCTATTGGTAAGCAGAACCAAGGATACCTCACAAAATTGGACTTAGAAGACCCTAATAGGTAAAAGATGGGTACCCAACACTGGCATAGGAATAGGTCCTGGGGTCCTGCTTAGGTTGTTCATCAAAAGCTGATAGAATCAAAAGTAAAATGACCTGATCATCACAATTCTTACATTCTTAAGTAAAAACAAATAAAATTTCTTGAAAAGTACAGAACTGGCTTTAGTCTAAAAAGCATCTGATCCTGCTCTAGATGCTGTTTTCTTAAAATCCTGCAAACAGGACCCAGATTTACATAAACATTTGAAAATAATCAAAGATCAGAGTCAGCTCAAATACCAAACTCAGGCAAAGGTCAATTTCTCTCTTCTTTGCTTCAACTGAAAATCAAAAAGGACTAATTTTACTAGTATCAAAAACATTTTCCCTTCTTAATAACCCATGTGACCAAGGCCAAATCAAATGTAATATTTGCCTTTACATCAAAAACAAAATGAGCTTTCATAAATCAGATTTTATGCAGTCTATAGTGTAAAGAACCAGTGAGAGAGATTTATCTCAAAATCCATAAATTGAATGCAAACTCACAAAATAAATTAAATCAAGTATGAAAGAAAATCAACATGTAGGTTTATGGGACAATAAATATGTAAAAAGGTGGAAAAATAATACAGCAGGGAAATCAAAACCTCAAGCAAAAAGGGTAGCAAGGAATGTATCATGAAGAAAAAAACAATAAAGTGACATGAGAAGAAAATGGTATTAGAATAATTTCTGAAAGAATGGAATTAAAATAATTTTTACATAGAAATGGGAAAATAGCATGACATGCCTTGCAATATTACAACAGGGGTAAAGTTTCTGAACAGTGATCTCTATAGGGCAGGGTCCCTTACTTGTCCTCTGGAAATGAAGCTTATTAGAAAATGACTTTATAGCAACTTTTATTTCAAAAACATGCTTTGCAAAAATACTATGGTTGAAGAAATGAAAACTGTTCCAAAAGGGAGGTGACTATTACTATTAGCTGGCTGCATATTACCAAAGCTTTGACTTATGCTATTGTTCTGACAGATGCAGCTAAACTGGCAAACCTTATCATAGTTTATAAGGAAACCCTTTGGAACAAAAAAAAAAACAGCCTGAATTGCCAAGAAAACCCTAAACAAAAAGAACAAAGCTAGAGGCATCATGCTACTTGATTTCAAACTATTCTACAAGGTAACTACCCAAAACAACATGGTACTGGTACAAAAACAAATAGACCAAAGAAACAGAATAGAGAACTTAGAAATAAGACCGCACACCTACAACTATCTAATCTTCAACAAACCTGACAAAAACAAGCCATGGGGAAAGGATTCCCTATTTAATAAATAGTGCTTGGAGAACTGGCAAGCCATATGCAGAAAATTGAAACTTGACCCCTTCCTTACACTTTACACAAAAATTAACTCAAGATGGATTAAAGACATAAATGTAAAACTCCAAACTATAAAAGCCCTAGAAGAAAATCTAGGCAATGACAGTCAGGACATAGGCACAAGCAAAGATTTCATGATGAAATCACCAAAAGCTATTGCAACAGAAGCAAAAATTGACAAATGGGATAATTAAACTAAAGAGTTTCCGCACAGCAAAAGAACTATGATTACAGTGAACAGACAACCTACGGAATGGGAGAAAATTTTTGTAATCTGTTCATCTGACAAAGGTCTAATATCCAAAGTCTACAAGGAACTTAAACAAATTTACAAGAAAAAAACAAACTCCATTAAAAAGTGAGCAAAGAACATGACCAGACACTTCTCAAGACATTCACGTGGCCAACAAAAAATTTTAAAAAGGCTCAACATCACCAATCATTAGAGAAATGCAAATCAAAACCACAATGAGATACCACCTCACACCAGTGAGAATGGTGATGATTATTAAAAAGTCCAGAAACAACAGATGCTGGCAAGGTTGTGGAGAAAAAGGATCGCTTTTACACTGTTAGTGGGAGTGAAATTAATTCAACCATTGTGGAAGACGCCATGGTGATTCCTCAAAGATCTAGAGGCATAAACACCATTTGACCTAGCAATCCCAACTCTGGGTATATACCCAAAGGAATATAAATCATTCTGTTCTAAAGATGCAAGCATGTGTATGTTCATTGCAGCAGTACTCACAATAGCAAAGACATGGAATCAACCCAAATGACCATCAATGGTAGACTATATAAAGAAATGTGGTGTTTATACACCATGGAATACTATGCGGCCACAAAAAGGAATGAGATCATGTTCTTTGCAGGAACAGGGATGTAGCTGGAAGCCATTATCCTCAGCAAACCAGTGCAGGAACAGAAAACCAATCACCTCATGTTGTCACTTACAAGTGGGAGCTGCATTATGAGAACACGTGGACACATGGTGGGTAACGACATACACTGGGACCTGTCAGTGGGGGGAAGGGTAGGAAGAGGGAAAGCATCAGGAAGAATAGCTAATGGATGCTAGGCTTAATACCATGTGATCAGCTGATCTGTGCAACAAACCACCATGGCACACTTTTACCTATATAACAAACCTGAACATTCTGCACATGTACCCCAAATTTAAAATAAAAGTTGAAGGAAAAAAAGAAAAAACAAAGAAACCCTCACAACATCGTGAGAGCATATGTCTTTAAGGTAATACATATTTTGTGGATGTGTGTGCGGTAGCACTGCAGAGGAGACTGGTGATACAGATGACATATAAGACAAAAGAAAAATGTATTTTTTAGTCATTTTATGGTGTGTGTATTTGGAAAGGGGGTGGAAAGAGAAAGGAGAAGAGAGAAGAAGAGAAAAATTAAGTGGTCTTTGACACTGCCATTCTAGACTGCAATTTTCTACGGCAATTAATATCTATATTACTATGGCAATTGCAAGACAGCATTAGTTCAGTAATAATAATAACAGTTAACATTTTTGAGCACTTGTCAAATGATAGAATTTGTCTAAACATTTTTGAAACATTATTACATCTAGTTCTCAAAACAACCCTACAAGGTATGTCTTTATAGATGATGAAACTGAAGTCTTAAGAAAGTTAAGAAGGTTGTAAAAGTTCACACAGCTAATAAATAGCAAAGTTAAACTCAAAAATCCCCTTTTACCACTGTACTATACTAGCCTAATATATTTGTTGACTGTTATTTAATAAATAATATAAATTACTTATCTGTGTTATTTTTCATAATGAGGGCTTTTTTTACCCATGTAGATTAAAAGCTCTTTCAGACAGTAATCAGACTTACATTAGCTTTGTTTCCTTATTTTTAAAATAAGGTTATACTTGATTTCAATCTTCAAGACTCTTTCAAGATCTACCACTCTGTCTAGGTTTCTACTTTGTAAAACGCTCAGCACTAGGAGAGCTGCCATCACCATAATAGGTGCTTAATAAAGTATTTGAAAATGGCTGTTTAATAAATGAATAAATCCTCACTTAAGGAAAAGAATGTCATAATATCAACAATCACTGCAGTCTCCATTTGGCTTGAGTAACTTAAAACATTTAAAATGTGCTAAACTTAGTTGTTTTAAACTTCATAAATGAATGAATCTGAAGAGTATTTTATCAGATGCCTCTTCCAATTCTTTTAAATTACAGTACTTTTTAGCTTCCTAATCTTTAGTTTCCTTCTGAGCCCAATTAAATATCTCCAAGCCCACCTAAGATTCCCACTCCCGCCTAACATTTTGAAAAGGCAATACTCTCAGTGATTAAGGTATTTCAAATTATAGTTTTTATTATCATTATATTTTGAATCACAAGACTTTTACACAATGAGATATCATTTCAAAATTATCCCAAATAACAATGCTGAAAATTCCAAACCATTCTCTGTTATGCCAATGTATAACATCTTCACATTTTATCAAATATTTTTAAAATCACATAATATTTTCCTAAAAATATTTAGGCATGAATCATTTTATCCAGTGCTCTCATAATTCAGTAATGAAAGCTCTCCCGAACTACGCTGACTTGTTAGTCTTATATTCTATCTTTGGTTGTGACAGAAAAATATATTTACAACTTTAAAAATTTCTGATCACTTATTTAGGTTGAATAAGTATGCAGCAAATTCAAAATTGCACAATTTTATTTGTGCCAAAATACAATTCAAAGATAGAAATAAGTGGAAAGTTAGGTGAGAGGTTCTGGGCAGCAACAGGAACAGAAGGAGGGAGGTTGTACTCATGACATTCTCTCATAGAGAACAAAACTTTAAATTTTAGAACAAGTTCTTGAATAAATATTTACTGATAAAGCAGCTACATCTATAACCATATAGATGGATTTACATCTTCTTAGGGTATTTACTATTGTGTGGAAACAGTACAGGCATCCAAATATGTACAAGTCTTGAAAATTTATAGAAGTTGAGTTACAGAGATCAACCAGCTAATAGTAACTTACAAAAGACTTAAGGCCTTACCTAGGCATTTGTTTAGGCTGGAAGAAATTGAAAAATAGCATATATTTATATACATATATTATTTATATTTTACCACTTAAATATATTTTACCACTTGTGAGATACTGTCTACTTCCTTAAATTCAAGAAGCTTTGGTTATGGCTATGTAGAGATTTTTAACTCTAGAAATCACCAAATATTTAAATCTAGCAAGTGTAGCCAGAGTTGAGACACAGCAATAATCCATGAAGAAGCAGAGGAGTATGATTCAGTGAAATTGATCATTCTATTACTGTAAGATATTGCAAATACCACAAGACTGAACAGAATATAGATGACAAGCAAATAGAAATGTCAAGTTACAAAGTGGAAAAATAAATAGGACCTTGGGGGTCTGTGATGTTTTAGATCTAGAGAAACCACGGGAGGAGACTGAAGAAGCCAGCAAAACAACAGAAGTATTGTACAGTGTTGCAGGTTGAAGTAGCCTATTGACTGGCCAAGACTGGTGCTTTAAGCATAAACACATCGGTTACTCAAGGATTAGACCAGACCCACCAAGAAATTATGTTTCTGTCCCCAAAAGTAGAACCTACATAATTCATGGCTGTGAGAAACAAAGTTGATGCTAGATCTCAAGGTCAGAAGACTGACAATGAGGGAGACTGTCTTTAATAATCAACAACCGCAACCATTTCACAAGCTGAAGAGATTTGATATTCATTCTTGCCTATACATCACCAAATTCTGGAAGCTTTCTCATGCCCATAATTAAGTTAAAGGTGCACCAACACAAGCACCTGCGTACATGTAACAGGCCATTTTGGATTGCTGAGGGGGAAACTGCTGGAAGCCTGAGAAAGAGGAGACAGCCCCCTTGTGGATTTCTCTTTGAGTGGCAGCAGCTGCCTTGATCAATCCAAGTTCCTTGGTTCAAAATCAGAGGGATTAACTTTGCTAGTTTACCACACCCATTAGTACTGACACTGCTACTTTGGGAAAATTCTCTACAATTAGAAGCATCTATGTATGATTGAGTGCTATCAGTTTACATAGGCTGGTAGTCTTTTTCAACTCTTTTGGAAGTTTGAAATATACAATAAATTATACATCTGTAAATACATATTCATTATATAATTATTTGAAAGCATCTGAATGATGCTAAAGTCCTGTGTGCTATTTTAACTTTTTTCCCTTTTAAAGCTCTCCAGTAATTAATTTTGACATGTTGACTCGCTTTTGCATAGGACCAATACACAGGCTCAGCTTTCTTCTATAATGGCTCCTGATAATATGGGAGACTACTGTATTTCAGGAAAAATTTTAGGGAAAGTTTGCTGAGGTTGGGCCATCCAAATCAAACAGCAGGAACTGACATTCAATTATCTGAAAACTTTAAATAACTTCACATTCTAAAAGGCTTCTGTATCACACAAATGAAGAAAATGTTAACTGGTATTAAGAAGTTAGAAAGTAGCAGGCCAAGGATCCAGTAGGTCTTTCAGGAATTTAACCTAGTCTGGAACTGATTCCTTATATTTTTACTGGGCCATTTTATTTATTGAGACCTAGGCCGCAAGAAGCCTGCTTCCTAAGCTATTTTCTTAGAAATATGCCTATCTTCTGAAAATCTTTTGGGATGAGAGCTAAGAAAATGAAAGAGAAAGCAGGAATCAGAAAGCAAAAAAGACATAAGAGAATCAAAGAATAAATACAGAATCAGATAAACAAAACAGTTGAAGTCTAGAAAATAAGAAAGCCCAAGCTAAAAGAAAATCTCTTTGCCAATAAAAATCCAAAATAAAACTCCCAAGGCTTATTCTAAGATTCAAACATAAATATTACATCTGTGGCAAGGAGCAGAGCATTATTAAAATTTTAATATTCTAACACAATTTCTCTCTTCTTCCAGAATACTTAATTCCCATTTCTCTTATTACCTGCATTTGAGAATTACATTTTTTCTAAGTCAATTTACATTTTTATAAAAATGATATAAAATACCTTTTCTTTTCTTTCTTTCTTTTCTTTTTTTTTTTTTAACAGGCTCTTGTTCTATTGCCCACACTGGAGTATAGAGGCACAATCACGGCTCACTGCAGCCTCGATTTCCTGGGCTCAAGTGATCCTCCTGCCTCAGCCTCCTAAGTAGCTGGAACCACAGTTATGCACCACCAAGCCCTGCTAGTTTTAAAAAAATTGTAAAGACAGGGGTCTCCCTATGTTGCCCAGGTGGGTCTCAAACTCCTGGGTTCAAGTGATTCTCCTACCTCAGCCTCCTGAAATGCTGAGATTATAGGCATGAGCCACTGTGCCTGGCTTAAAATATCTTTTCTTAAATATTTGTTGGAAAAATGTTATAGAGAAGAGGAGTTTTTTAGATAATAAATTGTGTTTATAATCAATCAAAAATTTCCTTTTCAAGTGAATAGGTAATACAAGTTAGATGTGTCTACTGGCTATTACATCAAAATGATTAAAGATGGTGAGAGGGCACTTTGGAAAAAGAATATTTGGCTTTGCTTTTCAGTAGCTGCATGATGCCAGGTCTTTCTAATGTTTTAGGATTTTTTGTAAAATTACAGTAACAGCAAATTCTCATTTTAGGTTTAAATGAGGTAATAATTGCCTACTATCTGACAGGCAGTAAGTGCACAATGAATGCTAGATGTTAATATAACTATTGTTATTATTATCATTGTTTGTATTATTGATATGGTTAAATAGACAATGATTTTCTAGAGAAAAGGGATAAGTATATAATTTTGATTCCTCATGTTCTCCACTGATTTACCACTGAATCACCACTTCAGACACTGTGATTAAAAAGGCAGAAAAACATGGAATAAGAATGGGGAAAATAAATTTGCCCAGCAACTATTTTACTAATCAATATTTTCAAATTTAATTAATCGTACAGGTAGAGTGAAGCAGTTGAAATTAAGTAAGGCTTTTTTTCATAAATCAATTAATGTTTCACTAAAATTTAAGTTCTTTGAGAAACTGTGTGTCTCATGGGACCAAACATGAGACATACATGGCAAGACATAATGGGACATAGAATGATTGATTGTTTCCCAAATTCAAAATCCTCTCAACACTTTAATAACATGAAAGTTAAAGGAAAAAACAAAATCTCCATAATTAAATTTTTATTATAACTAAGATATTCTCTATTAGAGATTTTTGTACCTGGTAAAGTATGAAATACTACATGCATCTCCAAATGAATCACTTCTTTGGTCACATTTGCCTATGAAATTGGGTATATTTAATTTGGATAACTTTATTTCCTGGGAGTTATGCCCCCAAAATTTTCTAGAACTGAGAAAAGACATCTATTGAGATGTGAAATAAATAAAATTCAGAGAAGGAGGACAATAAAGGTAAAATATATTTGAGAATAAATGCAGGAAAGTAGACTGTGATAAGGATGACAAAGAAGATCAAGGCCTAAAGATAAAAGGTCATCTTGTTCCAGACTTAATTCATATTGCATAAGTTAATGGTAAAATTCCAACCCCATCTGTAGGCATATCACAGACATGCCAAAGGATATGGCAGATTTTTAATCAATGGAATTCTAATATGCTTTAAGCTCTATGCTCAAGTTTAGATCATTTCAGATGCAAGATATATTTCCAGCAAGATCTCTTACCAAAAGCAAAACATCTGCTAAGAGCTTTCCATTTTTGCAACACCTTCTTTCAACAGTTTCTATAATTTCCAAAAAAAAATACATAAGCAGAGAATACAGCTAAATGAGAACAGCTGCATGAATTCAGTTTTTGAATCTATTCTTTCATTTCTCCCTTCTGTCCCCATCGCAGTTCTTAATATTATACGGAATGAAAGAGAAAGAAAAAGTAAATATGAGTGAGATTAAGAAATATATTTTATACCAATATCCTCTAAGCTAAAGTCTTTGCTCTAATAAAAATAAACAGGAGAATTTTAATGAGTCACCAGTTTTCTAAACTTTTTATAATTGCATAGTTCCATACATACAAACCATCTGAAATACATAGTTCCAGTAGACTTTATAGAATAGAGGGGATTTGTAGGTGAGGAAAATGATGTACTTCCTAAGGATCATTTGGCAAGTCATTAACATCTGGGAAGGGATGCTCAGAATGCTTGATTCTCAAGATCATGGCTAAGTTCCTGACGACTGCTAGAGAAGTTTCATGTGGTGTCTGCTATGGGCTGAGCTGTGTTTCCGCAAACTTGACATGTTGAAGTCTTTAACCCCAATTAACTCAGAATGTGACTGTATTCGAACACAGAGTCTCAAAGAAGTAATTAATAAATGAGGCCATTAGAGAGGGCCCTAAGCCAATATGACTGGTGTCCTTATCAGAAGAAAAGATGAGGATACAACACACACAGAGGGAAGACCATGTGAAGATTCAGGGAGAAGGTAGCTATCTACAAGTCAAGGAGAGGGGCTTCAGAAGGAACCAGCCCTGCTGACACTCAGACTTGATCTCAGACTTTTAGTGTCCAGATCTGTGAGAAGTGTATTTCTGTTCTTTCAGCCTCTCAGTTTGTAGTACTTTGTTACAGCAGCAGTAGTAGCAGGCTAGCACATGTCAGGCTAGTCAATTCTTAGTTTTTTAAAGATCAATGATAGTACATAGATTAGCCAGCTTCTTTTTTTTTTTCTATTTCTATTTTTTATTAATGTATTTCCTAGAAACTGAGTAGGAATAAAAAGAAAAATGAGTTTAGTAAAAGATTTGTTTGGGGGAGGCGATTTAAGAAAAAATATCTATTGTTTTCTCTCCTTGAATTCTAGCTGGGAAAAGTTAGGTGTTCTGTCCCCTGTACTCCTATTATGGCACTTGGAGTATTATATTATAGTTCTGTTCTAGATTGTGAACACTATGCAAGTAGGAATTCTTTTTACTTTGTATGTCTATAGATGCCCTCACAGTATCTGGGACAGACTATTCCTAGGACCTCAAACAGCTCTTGACACATACTGGACATTCAGTAAATGTAATAGGTGTTCCATAAATATTCTGTGAATCAAGGAACGCTAAAACAGTGGTAATTTCCCTCTCTTTCTTACTGACACAGAAACAGTAAGTGGCTTTCCAAAGATTACCTTAATTTTGGCTTCTGAAGCAGCCCAAGAAACCACACTCTTCTTTTCTTGACTTCTGAATGCTTAATGCAGGCAAAGGAACTGAAAACGGAGAATAGAATATCACCTTCATTATTATGACTAGACTAGAACATGATATAGAGGTATAACAACCACTATATCAACCACTAGATATAGCGGTATAGCAACCACTAGAACATGATATAGTGGTATAACAACCCTAAAATTAAAGATAGAGTCTTAACCAGGCACAGACAGAGCTTGATGGGCTGGAGGTCTCACCATGTGAAACATACCGCATGGGGGATGGGACACAAAGCCTGTTCCTTGGCAGCTGGGTCCCAAAGAGGGGAGAAAATATGAGAAGAGGGGGCTTTGAAACTGATGAAAAACATAAGCCACTTCACTTCTCCTAGAGAGGAGTATGCAAAGGAATAAAAAATCAGAAAAGTTGTTCTAGTGAAGCACCCTCTGCAGGAAAAGAAACACCAAAAGCCTAGAGTAGGTGTTTCCCAGCCACCTCCCTTCCAAAGAGTTTGGTATGCCCAGCATTCAGACGCAAGGCTTCTGACAATATTTGCCTTCTCATAGTGACTCAGCAGAATTGAGGATAAAAAGAATGTCAGCTTAACCTGAGTTTGGGCCTCTATCTAGAGTCGAATTGAGGCTATGTAATCATCAGTCTTTCACAAAATTTTTTGCAGCCCTAACATAAAAGTCATATTATAAAGCTCCACATTTGGCAAATGGTAGAAACCAAATAAATAGTAAAATGTTCATTTTGTAGAAATACTACAAAAAGAAACAACCTTGGAGAATTTCTGATTTGGCACAAACTTGAAAGGGAAGAGATTCAAAAATGAGGGCTGGCATAAAAAGGAATGAGATCATGTCCTTTGCAGGGACATGGATGGAGCTTGAAGCCATTATCCTCAGCAAACTAACACAGAAACAGAAAAACAAACATTGCATATTGTCATTCACAAGTGGGAGCTGAACAATGAGAACACGTGGACACATGGCGGGGAACAACACACACTGGGGCCTGTTGGGGTGGGGGTGAGGGAAGATAGAGCAACAGGAAGAATAGCTAATGGACGCTGGGCTTAATACTTAGGTGAGGGGTGGTCTGTGCAGCAAACCAACATGGCACACGTTTACTTATGTAACAAACCTGCACATCCTGCACATGTACTCCGGAAATAAAAATAAAAGTTGAAGAAAAACAAAAGAAAAAAAGAGAATGAGGGCTGGGAATGAGTGAGATGGAGACGGAGAGGGAGTAGGGAAAAGAAATTTTTTTCCTAAAAGATTTTCAGCTGTATTTGTGCAGCTGCTTTCTGTTTTCAGAAACAAAAAGCAAGAAACATTTGTTCTTTGGGTTATCAAATATTTTTTCCAGTTAGCCCTCAGTACCATAGTAAGGAACTATTGCCTATTACCAGTGGTGTGCTAGTATATGTTAAACAGCTGGCTCTTAGGGTAGGAGAAACCCTGATTTGTGGTATTTGCTGATTTCTGTGGTATAAATACTCAAACCAGGACCCATTTCAAGCTCCTACATGACATAACCCAGCTCACAAAATTCCTGAAAATTTAACAGTCAGCTCTCACAAGTCAGTACAGGCCAAGTTCAGGATATCACTGCCAGCAACCACATATACCAGGGAGAGGAAAGCTCCACTGCAAAAGGAACAGGTTGCCCCCGAAGGTCTGAGCTCTGTAGTAAACCAGGCGAAACAAGACTCTGGAGTCTACAGAATTAACCAGGAAACACACACGTCTCTTGCTTTGTTCAGGAGATGGACTGAGTTCTGGCACACTTAAGGACCAGATCTAGGCTCAGGCGGTGGGGCAGTCTTACAGCTCTTCTATGATTTTCCATTTTCAGACATTTGAGATAGGCAATGATTATAAAAAGGTAGAAGGAGCTACACAGGGACAGAAGCTCTCTCTGCCAAAAATAGTAATACTGATCTCAGTTACTACCTTAATCCTACTAACTAGGAGTTTAGTTATTATTTATCAACTTCTATGTTTGCTGGATGCTAAGAAGAGTTTGACAGAGATAAGGAACTTCCAAGGTAATTAGTACAAATATATACTGAACAGTTCCCCTGACCACCTACTGTGAGTGATAAAGCTTATAATTTACATACAGTATGTGTAAAATGACTAAACGCAAGCGTCTTCCATGTATTAAAGGCTTATATATGCACAGAGGCACAGGATGAAACTTAATTTTAATAGTGCTTTTTTTGGTTCTAATTAAGCCAATTGTGGATCTCTTTGTGGGTGCAGGGTGATTTTCCTTAGGTAGTTAATTAGAGGCTGCCAGTTTATACCTGTGTCTGACTAAGCACAATGGAGAGGAGTAAAGATAAATTAATATTGGAAAAACCTCAGATGGCAGAAGAGACTACAAATACTATTAAAGATTTAGCAGTATGAGGACAAAAGGGCTGCAAACTTTTTACAGTTCTTGGACATTTGTGTACTAGACTACTATTCTTATACTTGGAAACATGGCAAAGAATACAAAAGTTAGGTGAGAAGAGATTTTTTGCCTCCTTGTAATTTGATAATACACTATCTTCCTAAACAGCAATGGATTTTGTGTGTGCTCTTCTTGCTTAGAATATGGTCAATAAAGTCCTCTTTATTTTTAAAAAGTCTTTGTATTTAGCCTTACTGACATTTACTCTCAGGGATTATTCCACTCTTTCAAATGCCCACCTTCCATCTTTTACATAGGTGCCTTCTAAATCCAAACTTGTCAGAGATTTCCTGTGCCATTACAAGGACTTATATAGGTGCCTGTGAAGGGACATTTTAAGAGGGTTTAGACTTGCGAGTTCCTTCAGGTCACAGAGTCACACTCATAAAGCCTGAGCTTTGGAGCTAAACTGATGGGTTCAGATCATAACTCCAGCCTGGTTGCCTATGGGAGCTGCAGCAAGTGATTTAACCTCAGAATTGTCATTCTTCTTTTGTGATTTGATGATGATAATACGTTGTGATATAATACCTGTGAATTTTTAAAAAAATATTAAATATTTTTGCTTAACTATGTAAGTATAGTTCAGTACCAGGAGCAAAGCAACTGCTCAACAATTATTAATATCCACCTCTTTGTTAAATTTTTCAGTCTATATTTCTACTACCTAGCACTATTCAACCTACAACTGATTAAATACCTGATATGTTAAATATCTGATATGATAACCCCATATCCTTTAATAATCAATTGACAAACCTCTAATAGTCTATTACTTAATATTGCTTGGAAGGAAACCTAAGGTACTGATTTTCAAATCTGAAGGAGAAAGGGTGTCTGAATCTCTGGGGGGATTTTGCAAAGATAAATCCTCTTCCTCCATAGCCACCTTCAAGGGATCAACATTGATCTAGGATATCAGTTCTACTAGTTGTTTTCTCAGCCGTCTGAGGAAAGAAAAAATTATCAACTAAGCAAGGCATAATTTATAAACTATTTTGATTGTAGCAGAATGCAGCTTTTGAGTCTAAAGCCCTGAGTGCTGATGTTACAGCAGAATCATTTTCATTAAAGAAGGATCACATATGTCTCCACAAATAATTTATAGATTTTTTTAATTCAACGTTATTGTAGTTTCCACTTTTCTTATTACCTAAATATCTCTATCAGGCCTCTATCTTCAGGTATTTTCTAGGAAGCATGCATATGTGTGTGTTTGTGTGTGTGTGCACGTTTTAACATATTCTCCTTTCCTTTTCTTTGGATCTGCTTTTTAAACAAAACATTTATGTTTCTGCACTATGGTCAAGTGTCCCAACCCAAGATTTTGTTGCTACCTACCTGATGAGAATATTTAGCAAATTAAACTTAAGGCACACTTTATAACTTATATTGTACATTGACATTACACTTCTCTGAAGATATTGATGTTGCTCTTGAATTTCTTCTTTTATTCTTTAGAGAAACACTGCTCTGCTCTTTATTACATTTTATGATATAGCCATTTACAACTATATAAGTTTTACAGTTTTCTCTAGTTATTTTTCTTCATTAATGCTTTCCCTTCAAATTCTATTTTAAATTTATTTTGATCAGAACAGTATTTTCCAGCCAAACAATTTCTTTTTAATTTTATTATTTGGGTATCCTCAGTGATGATTCAGAATATAAAATTCTGATGTTCTATGCTCTTCTCAACATTCTATTTATCTACTAAAGTCACAACCCGAAAATAAAAAAGGAAAGAAATTGAAGTAGTCTGCTTCCTTCTAATCTTTAGCTTTCTAATTGGACTTCAAATTTGCCGGAGAAATAAATGAGAAAAGTTCTCACAGTATCATGTAAATCAGCTAACCTGACTAGAAGTCCATTTGTAAAACTAGAGTTTTACAAATTTCCCTGGGATCTCCAGCAAATCTCAGATATATGTTCAAGGAATACGATGCTCACCTTTTAATAAGTCATCTCAGGACTGAATGCAGAGACCTTTGTGTGCTTCTGCAGGGAAGACATCTTTTGGTGTCAGTACCTGTTCATTACATTTGCAAGTCCCTGTAAACCTTCCTTATTAGTCTCTGTTTCTAAAGAATAGACTCAGTAGCTCAGAGTTTCCCTTTCTTCTCCTTAGCCACGTTCTTCCATCCAACAGGCACTTGACACTGGTCTTGATTGTTTTTCATCTTCACAGAGGAAGTTGTTTTTATTCTGCCTTTTTGGATTATTTATCACATCCTATCTGGAAGTAAGGTTACTTGCACTTACTTCCAAATAAGCTGCAGCATAGAGGATGGTTCTCCTCTCTTTTATCTGCTTATCTAGCAGGCCGACTTACTCATATTCGTAACAGTGGGATTATAAATCTTGGGATTTCTGCCTGAGTCTCTAGCTTATTGGAAGATTTACCCCAGTTGTGCGTATTTCTTAAACTTTTGCACAAAAAAGGAAGCGGAAATATGTTTAAGTCTCTTGTCTCCCGACCAAAAAAAAAAAAAATAATCACACCACATACACTGGGGAAAGTATTTGACAGCAGGCAACCACTCCATCAATTCACTGAGAGAAACAGGAAATTTGCCTCTAAAGACTGGTCACTTAAAAATAGATAAGATGTTGCGCTATGCAGTTTATCACTGGCACACAGCCTGGAACCTAAAAGAGATACTGTTGTGGACAACTAACACTTCATTAAAAATTGAAAACATATTACTCACATTAGTGGTGAGTTCCTTTCGGATACTTAGCCTGGGTGCATATATTCTATAATAGTGCTCCCACTGAAGCCGACTGGGGTGCATTTTGCAAACCAGGGAAATTACATGTGCTTTTTATGATATTCCACTCTCCCACCCCAGTTACTTATAAGGTAACAATAACCAGGAATTTGAAGCAATGATTTGGAAAGAGCACGTACGGCTGTGAGAATAGCCAGACTAGCAAGGTTACAGACACCGGATTTGCAGATGCTATTAGACTTTAAAGAAGCTTTTTAAGAGAAGCTTTCTGTTAGTTGCCAGAGATGTGATTTTTCTCTATTTTTCTTGGCTAGTGTTTTGGGGTTTATATTTGGCATAATCTAATCTGATATTAGCCAAAAAGAGTACTGAAGAGAGAGACTTTGCACTATGAACTCAACAACAAAATAAAAACAATAGCAGTGTCTCAGGGCTGTTTTCTTAGAGATTTATTGGGCCTTATTAAATTTGGAACCAGTCAAGAAGAATATAACAGCTGCTGTGAATTTCAAACAAAAGCAAAACAGTCTCTTCTCTGTTGTCCTCCTTTGTAGTGTCCCTGTAAGCTGGTGAACTCTCTGGGCAGGATCTACCTTACTTATGCTTACTCACTGGAAAGCATGTTTACATATACAACGTGATACTAGTAAGAAAAATCCAGGAAATTTGTTTTACTTCTCATTTCAGGGCATTTAGGAATAGCTTATAAAAAGGAAGCTGAACTATGAAGCTTACAAAAACTGATTTCCACAAACCAAAGATTTTGAAGCTGTTTTCCATGGCATTTCTTCTATCCTCCATGCACCTAAATCTTTACTAAAGAATTCTAAGAACAGATTAAAAATTGTAGGAGTGATATGTAGAGATATCAGTATTAATTTGAGCTTATGCCTCAGGAAAACTGAAAATGCTAACGCAAGCTCCCAGTTATTTATGTGAAAACAAAGCCCAGGATGCAATATGACTTGGAAATAGTAAACAAAACAACTGACAAAAAAACCCTCACAATACAAACTTTTTTATTTTGAATATTTTTTAAAAAGGGAATATTCGGTGTGTGACCTAAGATCAAATGGAGCTCACCTAGAATTTTACCAAAGGAACATGTTCTTAATTATGTTAGCATATGTTCCTTTTGAGTAATGTCTTTTCAGCAATAAATTCAAGAAGTGTAGTCTAAATATGAGAAAAAAGAGTTTATTTGCCACATGGGGTATCTACAATTGTTTTTAAAAAGGGCAAGAGGACTTGAAGTTACAAGCGGAATCTGACAACAAGAATTAGTACTCTTAAACTGCAAATGAGACACCACACATTGTGATGGTAAAAGTAATCAAAGACATTTCACTGGACTTGCTTTTTAGGAATATTTAGGAGACGTCTTATGTTTGAGTTCATTTTAGTGCAATCCTATGGTTGTGTCCTTGTGTCAGTCAGGTTCCAGTCAGAAGACAGACATCACACCCATTATTTTATTTTATTTGTTTTTCTTTTCACTTTTATTTAAGGTTCAGTGGTACCTGTGGAGGTTCATTATATAGGTAAATTTGCATCGAGGGGGTTTGGGGTAAAGATTATTTTGTCACCCCAGTTCTAAGCAAAGTGCCAGATAGGTAGTTTTACTATCCTCACCCTCCTCCCAACCTCCATCCTCAAGTAGGCCTCGATGTCTGTTATTCACTTCTTTGTGCCCATGTATTCCAGGATTTAGCTCCCATTATAAGTGAAAACATGTGGTATTTATTTTTCTGTTCCTGCATTAGTTTGCTGAGGATAATGGTCTCCAGCTCCATCCGCGTTTCTGCAAAGGACATGATCTCATTCTTTCTTATGGCTGCATCGTATTCCATGGTGTATATGTACCACATTTTCTTTATTCAATCTATCATTGATGGGTGTTTAGGTTGATTCCACATCTTGGCTATCGTGAAAAGTGCTGTAATGAATATTTGCGTGGATGTGTCTTTATAACAGAATGATTTACATTCCTTTGGGTGTGTACCCAATAATGGGATTGCTGGGTCGAATGGTAATTCTGTTTTTAGTTCTTTGAGGAATTGCCATACTACCTTCCACAGGGCCTGAACTAATTTACACTCCCACCAGCAGTGTATAAGCATTCCCTTTTTCCTGCAACCTCACCAGCATGTGTTACTTTGTGACTTTTTAATAGTAGCCATTCTGACTGGTGTTCGATGGTATCTCATTGTGGTTTTGATTTGCATTTCTGTAATGATTAGTGATATTGAGCATTTTTATATGCTTATTAATCACATGCATGTCTTCTTTTGAAAAGTGTCTGTTCATGTCCTTTGCCCACTTTTTAATGTAGTTGTTTCTTGCTTATAAATTTGTTAGTTGCTTACAGATTCTGATATTAGGTTTTTGTCAGATGCATAGTTTGTAATTATTTTCCCTCATTCTGTGGGTTGTCAGTTTACTTCGTTTATAGTTTATTTTGCTGTGTAAAAGCTTTTTAGTTTAATTAGATCCCATTTGCCAATTTTTGCTTTTGAAGATTTGATATAAATAATTTTTAGCCTAGGTATAAGGGAACTGTAAAGTTAAGAAGTGAATGCTAAGGCATCAAAGAAATTGTAATTGCAGGAAGCACCTACTACCCCTAGGGTTGTGGGAGAAAGTAGATGAGATTAGAATTATTAAAAGTTAGAAGTTTGGAGGAGGAGGGGCACCAGAGAAAGGGCACTAAGAATCTCTGAGGAGGGGTGTCCAGCCATCTGGTATTGATATTGCCAATATTCAGAGAAGAGACCCTGTGTAGGTGGAATCCAGACTTTGAGAAGGGGGCACTTGCCAGCTGTGCTGATATCTTTGAAGGTGTTCAATAAAGCTGCTGTGGGGCATTTTGGAGAAACAAAAAAATGATATACTTGTGCTATTAGAAAAACTTTTGCTGCCAGGGCGAGGAAACATTGCTAGTGTAACAACAATAGAAGCAGGAAATAAACTCAGAAATAGAAAATGATCAGGAAGGAGCTTGTCTCTTCTTTCTCCTCCAGCCTCCTACTCTCTGTCTACTCTTTTTCCTACTGTCTGTCCTACTCTCTGTCTCTTCAAGCCAAGTCCAGCAAGAAGTCAACTAGCAAAACAGAAATGCAGAAATTGCAAAACAGAAATTTGGCTCTGTTTCCCCACCCAAATCTCAGGTTGAAATGTGATCCCAAGTGTTGGAGGTGGGGCCTGGTGGGAGGTGATTGGATCATGGGAGTGGTTTCTAATGGTTTGGCACCATCCCCCTAGTGCCACCTCATGATAGAGTTCTCACAAGATCTGGTTGTCTGAAGGTGATAGCACCCCTCCCTTTGCTCTCTCTCTCTCCTGCTCCACCATGGTAAGACATGCTTGCTTCGCCTTTGCCTTTTGCTACGATTGTAAGTTTCCTGAGGCCTCCCAACTATGCTTCCTGTACAGCCTGTGGAACCTCAAGTCAATTAAACCTTTCTTCTTCATAAATTACTTAGTCCCAGATAGTTCTTTATAGAAGTGTGACAATGGACTAATTCAGGGATATAAAAATAAAACGCCTTACTTTTTATCCATATAATGACCAAATGGCTCTAAGGTTTAGTTTTATTATATTTAAGAAAGAAAACACATTTTTACAGAGCCAAAAGTGGGCATATAGCCAGAAGTTACAGAATAGTTTGGGAATTTTCTATACTTATACTGTTTATATCTAAAATTGCAGGATACTCTGTCTTCTTGATAGATATACTTCTACTGGCAGAAAAAAAATCATCTTGAAATGATATGACAGATGCTTGACAATTCAGTCACACACAGAGGTTCACACTCCAAAAGCAATCATAGAAACTTAAAGCGTGATTCATGCTCAAAGATTGTAAACTTCCCCCAATTTTGTGACTGTATTTCCAGTAAATAACTCTGCAGTTCTTCAGTATCCATGGTTCCATTGATTGTAGGAAAGTTTAGCAATGAAAATGAATGGAATCTCCAATGGGCATTGGCCCAATCTGCATGAACAATTTGAGTGTGAACGTACTCACTTCCTAGAACAAATCAGCAACGTTCTTGTAATTTTCCCTTCAATTTCAAGTTTATTGTGCTGAACTACTCTATTGTATCAGTAAAAAATAAAATTTTGTAAACAATTGGTGAGCCAACATGTTGGAGGTCTCAGAGATATCTATTTCTAAAAAGTGTCTGATCTGAGAAAGCAGTTCAATGAATCTCTCCATCAGGTTTCAGTGAGTGTGTCAGTTATTAAACTATTGCCTCTCAGCATCAAAGCCACATGGCCATATTCAACATTGGGATGCTAAGGCTGGGGACAGAGAGCCAAATCATATAATTCCACCCCTGGCTCCTTCCAAATCTTATGTCCTTCTCATATTTCAAAACGCAATCATGCCTTCTCAACAGTCCCCCTATTCTTAACTCATTCCAGTATTAACTCAAAAGTCCAAATCCAAAGGCTCATCTGAGACAAGGCAAGTCCCTTCTTCCTATGAGCCTGTAAAATAAAAAACAAGTTAGTTACTTCCACAATGTAATGGGGGTACAGGCATTGGGTAAATGCTCCTCTTAAAAAAGGGAGAAATTGGCCAAAACAAAGGGGCTACAGGCCCCATGCAAGTCTGAAACCCAACAGGGCAGTCATTAAATCTTAAAGCTACAAAATAATCTCCTTTGACTCCAGGTCTCATATCTAGGCCACCCTGGTGCAAGGGGTGTACTCCCAAGGCCTTGGGCAGCTCTGCCTCTGTGGCTCTGCAGAGTACAGCTCCCGCAGCTGCTTTCAAGGCTGGTGTTGGGTTCCTGCAGCTTTTCCAGATGAATGGTACAAGCTGTCGGTGAATATACCACACTGGGGTCTGGAGGATGGTGGCCCTTTTCTCACAGCTCTACTGGGCAGTGCCCCAGTGGGGACTCTGTAGAGGGGCTTATCAACCCTCTAAATCACAATGGAAATTTATTTCTCACAGTTCTGGAGTCTGAAAGTTCAAGATCAGGGTGCTATCATGTCTGGTTCTGGTGAGGGCCCTCTTCCAGGTTGAGACTTCTGACTTCTTCTTGTAACCTCACATAGCTGAAGGAGAGTAAGCTTTCTCTCTGCATTCTCTTTTATAAAGGCCCTAGCACCATTCATGAGGCCTTTACTCTCATGACCTAACTACCTAAGAACTCCACCTCCAAACACATAGGGGATCCAGTTTTAACATATGAATTTTGATGGGGGGACACAAACATTAGTTTACAATAGTACCAAAGATAATTTTTGTTGAATTTTTAAAACTTTAATAACTAGCCATAGAACTTTTTTAATGAATAAACCAATTAAAAACTGTCTTTGGTAAACTGCTTTTACATTTTGATAAAATAATTTACAAATTGTATATTTTTTAACTTTTAAGTTCAGGGGTGCATGTCCAGGTAAACTTGTGTCATGGGGCTTCTTGTACACATTATTTCATCACCCAGGTATTAAGCCTAGTATCCATTAGTTATTTTTTTCTGATCCTCTCCTTTCTTCCACCCTCCAACCTCTGATAGGTCCCACTGTGTGTTGTTCCCCTGTATGTGTTCATGTGTTCTCACCATTTAGCTCCCCCTTTCAAATGAGAACATGAGGAATGTGTTTTTCTGTTCCTGCATTAGTTTGCTAAGGGTAATGGCCTCCAGCTCCATCCATGTTCCTGCAGAGGACATGATCTCATTCTTTTTTATGGCTATATAGTAATCCATGGTGTATATGTACCACATTTTCTTTATCTAGTCTACCATTGAAGGGCATTTAAGTTGATTCCATGTCTTTACTATTGTGAATAGTGCTGCAATGAACTTATGTGTGCATATGTCTTTTTCTTTTTTTCTTTTTTTCTTTTTTTGAGACAGAGTTTCACTCTGTCACTTGCGCTGGAGTACAGTGGTGCAATCTTGGCTCACTGCAACCTCTGCCTCCCGGGTTCAAGCGATTCTCCTGTCTCAGCATCCACAGTAGCTGAGGTTACAGGTGCCCACTAACACACCTGGCTAACTTTTATATTTTTAGTAGAGGCGGGGTTTTGCCATGTTGGCCAGGCTGGTCTCAAACTCCTGACCTCAGATGATCTCCCTGCCTCGGCCTCCCAAAGTGCTGGGATTACAGATGTGAGTCACCACACCCGGCCCATATGTCTTTATAACAGAACAATGTATATACCCTTGAGTATACACCTCGTAATGGGATTGCTGGGTTGAATGATATTTCTGTTTTTAGGTCTTTGAGGAATTGCCATGCTGTCTTCCACAATAGTTGAACTAACTTAACTCCACCAACAGTGTATAAGCATTCTTTTTTCTCTACAATCTCAGCAGCATCTGTTATTACAAATTGTATATTTATTGTGTCTAAATAGACACAATGATTTACGGGTCCACAGACCATCTCAAATTTCTAAGGCTAGACATGTTTCAGAATTCAGAAGCTTTCTGATTTCAGGAAAATACTGTGGCAGATATATTCAAATACCATTTGAATATTCACATTAACTGAGATCAGTATAGTTTTGTGTCAGTGCACACTAAATTAGGATTCATTACCATTATTACCAGATGAGTTACAATGAAACTTTTTAATTTGGGGAACATGTAAGGTTTAGGAATTATGAATAAAGGTTGCAGACTTGTATGTTATTGGCCATTGTCATAAATAAACTACCTACATATCAAGAAATTGCTATTTCCAAACATGTGACATTTTTTTACTACGAAGTCAAAGAAAATTTTATAAATGTAATTTTTAATTAAAATCTATAGCATGTTTGTATGTGAAAGGAGAAGTTAGTTGAGAGTCAAATATATGAAAAAGGTAAAAGTAACAGATGTTTTAAGAACATGAAAAATAAAAAGAGGAGGGAGTTTTATCTATTTTTTTCTTTCAACCACAATTTGTTAAGTGACTTCTACATGCCAGAATTGTTCCAAATGTAGACATTACAAAGAGAAATAAAGCGTAATTCTTATCATCTAGAAGCTATCAATATAGCTTTAAAATGCATTAAAGTATAAAAAATAATCCTAAGATAAAAATTCATAAAAGTACAGTAGGACAGAAAGAAGGAAGTAATTGCTTCTTTTGAAGAAAAGAGTCAAAACATTTCATTGACAAGATGATGCTTAAAAAATAAGCAGCTATTTTTCAGGTTGGGATTGGGGAAACTGAGGGGAAGGAAAAGATTACTTTTAGACAGAGGGACAATTTGAGCTCATGCACATGGTTGTGAGACTATGAGTCACAGGAAATGTTTCAACAGCCTAGATGGAGTTATTTTAATCAGTATCTGTACAAAAAACCTTTTGAGTGCCTACTATGTGCCATATACTATGTGCTATGGTGGCTATTAGGCATGTGTTTTCATGGAGCACTTAAAATGTGACAAGTATGACTAAACGAATTTTTATTTTTAAAATGCTTATTAATTCACTTAACAATAACAGACCCATTATATTTTAGCAAATAACATGTTTTTATTAAGTAAATTGTTTTTCAAACCACCCGGAGAAATCCCACTCCGGTATCATTGCTATCATTCTGGTGTACGATTTCCCAGTTGCTCAAGGTACTCCTGCTCCAGCTTAAACTTTCAACCTTTCCTGAAAAACTGGATTTAGGCTATTGGATCTGTCACACACAAAGGTGACTGTAGTTTTGCCAGCTCCCCTGGGGATACACCTAGTGTGTTGTGGTGTATAAAAGACCAGGACCAGGTCAGATTCCTTAGTTCAAGTTACACTCCAAAACCTCTCAGGGGATCAGGATGAAGTTAGACTTCAATTGGAACCATTCTTACTTAACTTTTAAACCCTTTCCAACTTGCTTTCTCCACTCTCTTACAGTTTTCTCTCAGGCATACTCCCTTAATAATTCTCTTGCTCCCAAATCCCCACCTCAAAGCTTACTGCTAGTAAATCCCACCAAAGAAAATGTGTGAAATTTGGTATGGCTACAGGCGATCCAAGAGGAGATGTTAGATTAATAGCTGGATCTTAATTTGCATGCCCAGAAATGAGACCTGAGCTTGAGATACAAATTAAGTCAGTCAAGTAACCATGAAAAGTTGGCATTTAAATCTAGGAGAATTTATGGCATCTTGTTGACAAATTGTCAAAAGACGAAGAGAAGATGGAACCCCAATAAAAAGTTGTGAGGTAAAGAAAAATGAGCTAACAAAGGAGAATGAAGAGTGACAAATGAAACAGGTAAAGAATCAGAAGATGACAGTAGAATAAGAAAGTTAAAGAGGGTATTTTCAAAGGGAAGGTATGGTCAATGTTACAAATGCAGATGGGTGGTCAGATAAGAGACAATCCAGACAACAGAGAACAGAGAAGGTACTATTGGAAGAGGAAATGTGCCGGTTATTGGTGGCATTTTTAAAGGTAGGTAAATATTGTTTGCAGGAAAAGGTTTTGGAGAAGTTGACCATTTAGGGAGGAGATAAATGGAGTATAGGAGATTGATTCCATAGAAAGAGATATCAAATGTGAAAAAAAAATAGAGTATATAACAAAATGAGTCACAGTTTTTAAGAAAATCAGGAGATTTGGGATCCAGAGCACAATACTGTACTGAAACAGAACCCAGCGGAATATCATGACTCAAGGAAAAGTATAGATTTGGTGCTGGGAAAATTGGGGAGACTCCTCTGTTGGCTATTTAATGATATATGAGAGGAAATTAGTAGCTGACAGCAGTGTACAGGAAGGCACAAGAGAGATTTGAGTAAGGATGAAATTTCAAAGATTTGGAAGGTGATTCTACCCTCAAAGTTAACAAAATTGTCCAACAGTATGCAATGCCAATTTGAGATTTGAGTTAATGTGCTTACCAAGTAAAATCAGTTTGTCTGGTAATGTGTTGGTAAGATTAATCTATGATGGGTATTTTCTAAGAAAGTTCAAAAACAGGAAATGAGGAGTAGGAATAAAAATAGGAAAAGGGAAAAAAGAAATAAAAATCAATGTAAATCAATTTATAATAGTATGGGGGAGAAAAATTGAGATATTTCATATTGTATGACTTTTATATTTTCCCAGTGAGGGAATAAGTGATCTAAAAATTGTTAAATGTATTCCATTATTAATATGAAAGAATACATTATTGCTAAATAAATTTTATAATTAATAACATGAAGCATACTGACAATATAATGTAAAATAAAAGGGGTAAAGTACAGCTGCTTATATAGTTAGAACTCCTTAATTTAGCCTATGTATAGACAAAGAACTAGAAGAAAACACACCAAAATGTTTACTGAATTATGGGATTTCATACTTTGCATTTTTTTTATTATACTTTAAGTTTTAGGGTACATGTGCACATTGTGCAGGTTAGTTACATATGTATACATGTGCCATGCTGGTGCGCTGCACCCACTAACTCGTCATCTAGCATTAGGTATATCTCCCAATGCTATCCCTCCCTCCTCCCCCCACCCCACAACAGTCCCCAGAGTGTGATATTCCCCTTTCTGTGTCCATGTGATCTCATTGTTCAATTCCCACCTATGAGTGAGAATATGCGGCATTTGGTTTTTTGTTCTTGCGATAGTTCACTGAGAATGATGATTTCCAATTTCATCCATGTCCCTACAAAGGACATGAACTCAACTTTTTATGGCTGCATAGTATTCCATGGTGTATATGTGCCACATTTTCTTAATCCAGTCTATCATTGTTGGACATTTGGGTTGGTTCCAAGTCTTTGCTATTGTGAATAATGCCGCAATAAACATACATACGTGTGCATGTGTCTTTATAGCAGCATGATTTATAGTCCTTTGGGTATATACCCAGTAATGGGATGGCTGGGTCAAATGGTATTTCCAGTTCTAGATCCCTGAGGAATTGCCACACTGTCTTCCACAATGGTTGAACTAGTTTACAGTCCCACCAACAGTGTAAAAGTGTTCCTATTTCTCCACATCCTCTCCAGCACCTGTTGTTTCCTGACTTTTTAATGATTGCCATTCTAACTGGTGTGAGATGGTATCTCATTGTGGTTTTAATGCACCAAGAGTTTCCAGAAACATAAATAAAAATACAAAGTATGCCAAAATATAAAGACCATCGAGACTAGGAAGAAACTGCATCAACTAATGAGGAAAATAACCAGCTAACATCATAATGACAGGATCAAATTCACACATAACAATATTAACTTTAAATGTAAATGGACTAAATGCTCCAATTAAAAGACACAGACTGGCAAATTGGATAAAAAGTCAAGACCCATCAGTGTGCTGTATTCAGGAAACCCATCTCATGTGCAGAGACACACATAGGCTCAAAATAAAAGGATGGAGGAAGATCTACCAAGCAAATGGAAAACAAAAAAAGGCAGGGGTTGCAATCCTAGTCTCTGATAAAACAGACTTTAAACCAACAAAGATCAAAAGAGACAAAGAAGGCCATTACATAATGGTAAAGGGATCAATTCAACAAGAAGAGCTAACTATCCTAAATATATATGCACCCAATACAGGAGCACCCAGATTCATAAACAAGTCCTGAGTGACCTACAAAGAGACTTAGACTCCCACACATTAATAATGGGAGACTTTAACACCCCGCTGTCAACATTAGACAGATCAACGAGACAGAAAGTCAAAAAGGATACCCAGGAATTGAACTCAGCTCTGCACCAAGCAGACCTAATAGACATCTACAGAACTCTCCACCCCAAATCAACAGAATATACATTTTTTTCAGCACCACACCACACCTATTCCAAAATTGACCACATACTTGGAAGTAAAGCTCTCCTCAGCAAATGTAAAAGAACAGAAATTATAACAAACTATCTCTCAGACCACAGTGCAATCAAACTAGAACTCAGGATTAAGAATCTCACTCAAAACCGCTCAACTACATGGAAACTGAACAACCTGCTCCTGAATGACTACTGGGTACATAACGAAATGAAGGCAGAAACAAAGATGTTCTTTGAAACCAACGAGAACAAAGACACAACATACCAGAATCTCTGGGACGCATTCAAAGCAGTGTGTAGAGGGAAATTTATAGCACTAAATGCCCACAAGAGAAAGCAGGAAAGATCCAAAATTGACACCCTAACATCACAATTAAAAGAACTAGAAAAGCAAGATCAAACACATACAAAAGCTGGCAGAAGGCAAAAAATAACTAAAATCAGAGCAGAACTGAAGGAAATAGAGACACAAAAAACCCTTCAAAAATTAATGAATCCAGGAGCTGGTTTTTTGAAATGATCAACAAAATTGATAGACCGCTAGCAAGACTAATAAAGAAAAAAAGAGAGAAGAATCAAATAGACGCAATAAAAAATGATAAAGGGGATATCACCACCGATCCCATAGAAATACAAACTACCATCAGAGAATACTACAAACACCTCTACGCAAATAAACTAGAAAATCTAGCAGAAATGGATAAATTCCTCGACACATACACTCTCCCAAGATGAAACCAGGAAGAAGTTGAATCTCTGAATAGACCAATAACAGGAGCTGAAATTGTGGCAATAATCAATAGTTTACCAACCAAAAAGAGTCCAGGACCAGATGGATTCACAGCCGAATTCTACCAGAGGTACAGGGAGGAACTGGTACCATTCCTTCTGGAACTATTCCAATTGATAGAAAAAGAGGGAATCCTCCCTAACTCTTTTTATGAGGCCAGCATCATTCTGATACCAAAGCCAGGCAGAGACACAACCAAAAAAGAGAATTTTAGACCAATATCCTTGATGAACATTGATGCAAAAATCCTCAATAAAATACTGGCAAACCAAATCCAGCAGGACATCAAAAAGCTTATGCACCATGATCAAGTGGGCTTCATCCCTAGGATGCAATGTTGGTTCAATATACACAAATCAATAAATGTAATCCAGCATATAAACAGAGCCAAAGACAAAAACCACATGATTATCTCAATAGATGCAGAAAAAGCCTTTGACAAAATTCAACAACCCTTCATGCTAAAAACTCTCAATAAATTAGGCATTGATGGGATGTATTTCAAAATAATAAGAGCTATCTATGACAAACCCACAGCCAATATCATACTGAATGGGCAAAAACTGGAAGCATTCCCTTTGAAAACTGGCACAAGACAGGGATGCCCTCTCTCACCACTCCTATTCAACATAGTGTTGGAAGTTCTGGCTAGGGCAATTAGGCAGGAGAAGGAAATAAAGGGTATTGAATTAGGAAAAGAGGAAGTCAAATTGTCCCTGTTTGCAGATGACATGATTGTATATCTAGAAAACCCCATTGTCTCAGCCCAAAATCTCCTTAAGCTGATAAGCAACTTCAGCAAAGTCTCTGGATACAAAATCAATGTACAAAAATCACAAGCATTCTTATACACCAACAACAGACAAACAGAGAGCCAAATCATGAGTGAACTCCCATTCACAATTGCTTCAAAGAGAATAAAATACCTAGGAATCCAACTTACAAGGGATGTGAAGGACCTCTTCAAGGAGAACTACAAACCACTGCTCAGTGAAATAAAAGAGGATACAAACAAATGGAAGAACATTCCATGCTCATGGGTAGGAAGAATCAATATTGTGAAAATGGCCATACTGCCCAAGGTAATTTACAGATTCAATGCCATCCCCATCAAGCTACCAATGCCTTTCTTCACAGAATTGGAAAAAACTACTTTAAAGTTCATATGGAACCAAAAAAGAGCCCACATCGCCAAGTCAATCCTAAGCCAAAAGAACAAAGCTGGAGGCATCACACTACCTGACTTCAAACTATACTACAAGGCTACAGTAACCAAAACAGCATGGTACTGGTATCAAAACAGAGATACAAATCAATGGAACAGAACAGAGCCCTCAGAAATAACGCCACATATCTACAACTATCTGATCTTTGACAAACCTGAGAAAAACAAGCAATGGGGAAAGAATTCCCTATTTAATAAATGGTGCTGGGAAAACTGGATAGCCATATGTAGAAAGCTGAAACTGGATCCCTTCCTTACACCTTATACAAAAATCAATTCAAGATGGATTAAAGACTTAAACGTTAGACCTAAAACCATAAAAACCCTAGAAGAAAACCTAGGCATTACCATTCAGGACATAGGCATGGGCAAGGACTTCACGTCTAAAACACCAAAAGCAATGGCAACAAAAGCCAAAATTGACAAATGGGATCTAATTAAACTAAAGAGCTTCTGCACAGCAAAAGAAACTACCATCAGAGTGAACAGGCAACCTACAGAATGGGAGAAAATTTTTGCAACCTACTCATCTGACAAAGGGCTAATATCCAGAATCTACAATGAACTCAAACAAATTTACAAGAAAAAAACAAACAACCCCATCAAAAAGTGGGCGAAGCACATGAAAAGACACTTCTCAAAAGAAGACATTTATGCAGCCAAAAAACACATGAAAAAATGCTCATCATCACTGGCCATCAGAGAAATGCAAATCAAAACCACAATGAGATACCATCTCACACCAGTTAGAATGGCAATCATTAAAAAGTCAGGAAACAACAGGTGCTGGAGAGGATGTGGAGAAATAGGAACACTTTGACACTGTTGGTGGGACTGTAAACTAGCTCAACCATTGTGGAAGTCAGTGTGGCGACTCCTCAGGGATCTAGAACTAGAAATACCATTTGACCCAGCCATCCCATTACTGGGTATATACCCAAAGGACTATAAATCATGCTGCTATAAAGACACATGCACACGTATGTTTATTGCAGCATTATTCACAATAGCAAAGACTTGGAACCAACCCAAATGTCCAACAATGATAGACTGGATTAAGAAAATGTGGCACATATACACCATGGAATACTATGCAGCCATAAAAAATGATGAGTTCATGTCCTTTGTAGGGACATGGGTGCAATTGGAAATCATCATTCTCAGTAAACTATCGCAAGAACAAAAAACCAGACACCGCATATTCTCACTCATAGGTGGGAATTGAACAATGAGATCACATGAACACAGGAAGGGGAATATCACACTCTGGGGACTGTTGTGGGGTGGGGGGAGGGGGGAGGGATAGCATTGGGAGATATACCTAATGCTAGATGATGAGTGCAGCGCACTCGCGTGGCACATGTATACATATGTAACTAACCTGCACAATGTGCACATGTACCCTAAAACTTAAAGTATAATAATAAAAAAAAACATAAACTAAAAAAGAAAAAGAAAAAAATAAAAAATAAAAAAATAAAAATAAATAAAAAAATACAAAGTAAAGACATACTTTGTATTTTTATCTACGTTTCTGGAAACTCTTGCTGCATTAAAACTTACCCACAATTTAATAGTATAAAACAACAACCATTTGACTATGCTCATGAGTCTATGGGTCAGGAATTTCAGAATGGCACATCAGTGGTTGTGAATATCTGCTCCATAATATCAGGTACCTCATGTGAAGAGACTTGAACAATTACTGGTGTCTGGGATGTGTTGTCTAGGTCTATATTTCTGGGTCCTTGCTGTGATTTGATTGCACATAATCCTCTAAAATTCATTTGTTAAAACTTAATACAGAATGTGAGAATATTAAGAGTTGGAGCCCTTTAGGTAGTAATTTAAGTCATGAGGGTTTTACTCTCATGATTTCATGAATAGATTAGTACTCTTATAAAAGAGTACTCTGATAAAAGAGGTTGAATGGATGCTCTAGGGCTTTTTCTTCTTTTCATTTTTTCCGTCCACCACGTGAAGACACCCAGTGTGTTGTGGTATGTAAAAGACCCTTCCACCACATGAAGATGCAGCAAGAGGCACCATCATGGCAGCAGAAAGCAAGCCCTCACCAGACACCAAATCTGCTGATAACTTGGTCTTGGACTTCCCAGCCTCCAGAACTGTGAGAAATAAATTTCTGTTATTTATAAATTACCCAGTCTAAGGTATTTTGTCATAGCAGCCTGAATGGACTACACAGGCCTTGTGATGCCTACTTTTCCAGATGGCATCTATTGGAAATGGAATATCTAAGATGGCTCTCGGGCTCACATGTCTAGCACCTAAGCTAGAATGGCTGGGGAAGCAAAGGGTTTGCTGACATTGCTGTCTCCCAAAGTGGCCCATCCTCATGGATTGCTTAGGCTTCCTTACAGTATGGAAATCACAGAATAGCCAAGCTTGTTCTAGGAAGCTAGCTTCTTCCAGAGTAATTGTTATAAGAAAAATACAATAGAAATTGCCAGTCTTCTTAAAGGGTAGGTTTGAAATTGGAATAATATTACTTTTGGCATATTCTATTATTTAAAGCAGTCACAGGCCAATCCAGAATCAAGGGAATGAAATAATAGACTTTACTTGTCAATGGAGGATGATATGTGCATAGAAGCAGGGGAGAAAATGATGGTTATTTTATAGACAAGCTAAGCATTAAAGCATTTTAAGCAGGTAAATGATGAGTCCAACTTTTATTTCATGAAGAGATATTTTATTACTCTGTAAAAGACAGGTCAGAGGAAAAGAAAAATGGAACTGATGAGAATATTTAGGAGAGTGTTACAGTAGTATAGATATGTGATAATGATGGTCTGCAAAAATGCAGTGATAGTAGAGCTATAGAGAAGAGGATAAATTTGATGAAGGCCCAGTTTTTCTCATGGCAAATAAGTCTCCATAGTTCTTATTTATAACATATGGGTTCATGGCTCTGCACTCCAAGTCATCCCTTTATTTGAAGAAATGGCCTATGTTTACAGATAAGTAGCTGTCATAACTAGATTTTTGCCTTCAGAAGCTTGGAGGTCTCAAGCACACTACTCATTTTAAAATGTTCTATCCCTTCGGTCCCACCTGATGGTATATTTACCATTATAATTTTCTGAAAATCACTGTGTATTTCCTATAAATATTATTAGGATTTTTTCCATTAGACAAAAGCCACATCCACAAATGTCTTTAAACCAGGCCAATCTCTACCTTGTGCCAAAAGTCAAGGTACTATAAGATAACATTGTTAAAATTCTTAGAAGACCTTTTTCTAGCCAAGAGAGCCTAGAAGGCATGCCCTTAAGATACTCAAAAGTTATTTTCTATCTAGTTGAGGGAGTTTAAGAAGCATAGCTTTAAGGATGACAGGACTTTTTATCCATCTGAGTCACTTTACAAGATACTGCCTTAGATTTTTCTGAAGTCTTAACAAGTGATCTTACTGCTTCACATTTAAGATCTTCCTTCTGGGGCTATCCTTATTGGTAGAACCCTGAATTTGAGTTTTTTCTTGAGTCCATTTCTTTCTTTGAAAGGTTTTTAATGAGAAAGGCCAGGGATGAGACACAGTTTCATTTTCTAGCCCAGCAAGTCCTCACTCTCTTTTATTTCCTCTAAATTCTGTTTTAAAAAACTGAACAGTTTCTTCTTTAGTTCACCTCTCTCTTCATATACTTTATCACAGGCAGATAGAATAAACAGGTTGGCTCTTTCAACATCCTGCCTGAAAATTTTCTTAGCTAGATCTATGTGGTCATTAGGTACTCATTCTCTTTTCCATGTTACTACAGGTAACTGTGTTGGAGACTTCTACCACAGCATAACAAAGGCCATCTTTTTACCAGTCTCCAACAAAAATTATCTCACAGTTCTTCAAGCATTTATTAATATTCTCCTTAAGATCTTTTCATCTTTTCCCTGCTGCTAAATCTCAATTCCAAGGACATAATTTCAGGTTTTTGTTATGGCAGTACACCACTCCCAGTGTCAATGACTGTTAGTTACATTTAGAGTTCAATGTTAAAAAGCATAATATTATATGAGTAACATGGAATTGGGATTATTATAGGGATTAGACCTTACATAGCAGTTGGGAGTTCTGAGGAAATAATGGTCAGGAAAGCGATGGTTGGATGTTCACTAACCAAAGACCACAAAAGAAACTTGAAAAAAAAATTGTCTAAGGGAGATTGCTGCCTTGGCATCTGATGGTGGTCCAGAAGGCACTGTAGGTTAACAAGGAAGAAAGATAGATACAGAACAGGGAAGAGCGAGGACAAACCGGAACATATGAAGAAAATTGGAACCCACAACACAAATGCTAACCATAATCTCTCTCTCAAAATATCTAACCCCAAAGTTACAAATGGCCTGCAGATAAAGCCGGTGCAGATTGCTATAAAATCACACACACACACACACACACACCTGGCTCAGGACCCAGAGAAGCTGATGAGGGAGATCCAGCTGCTCCACACTGATGAGATGAATCAGCTTGCATGAACTGCGACAGCACTTAGAGCCCTACACTCACTTGGAGCACAGGGTTCAGTACATATTTTTTCTATAAAATGCAATATGATAAAAACACATTAGGCCTTGCAGACTGTATGGTTTTTCTTGTGGTCACTTAACTCTTACCACTGTAGCACAAAAATGGCAGAAGATAATACATAAACAATGTGGCTGTGTTTCGGTACAACTTTATTTACAAAAAAAAAGCAGTGTGCTGAATCTGGGCCATGGGCCACATTTTACCAACCATGCTTTAGACTACAATGAGTACCATTGCACATTCATAGTCCAAATCCTGCTCAAATTTACCTTGTAGCTCACCCTGAACTTGAACCATACAGGGAGGAATACTTTGGAAATTATAGTTCCACATTAGGTATGTCAGTGCAGTACAAAGGCAACAAACTATGTTCCCAAATTTCTGCAATTTTCATGCCTCACTCCTATAATCATCAACAACAACAGCAACTCACAAACACCAAAAAAAATACACTTGTAGTATGTAGGTAGTGCCTATTCAGGCCTTTAAGGCCAAGAGGGTTTTGGTAAATATTAACTAGCAGTCATATGCCTTGCAGGATTGAGGAACTTTCATGAGAACATCACAAGGATGATGAACTCCTTCAAAGGACTTAATGTCTTTCACAGGATTATTCCCTCTGGAATAATCAACTGAAACAGTAATCCTTAATTCAAAGATTTTTGGAGGATTATATTTTACCTCATTCTCTCCCATATAATGTGTATAGTTCAGAGTTTTTAAAAAATAATTTTTTAGTAGTACAACCCTTTCTTCAGATGAAATCTTAATCAGAAGTGGGAATAAATAAAACATAAAGCAGCGCTTCTACTTGGAAGTGTAAAGAAATAAGAAAGATAAAAATTGAACACCTCTGGTTGAAACAGAGAAGGAGGAGTATTTGCATCACAAAGGTGGCTATTCACTGCAGATCTTACCATTTTTCTTTTTTATATACTTTAAATTTTAGTACATTAGGGTACATCTACAGGTTTTTGTAAGCACTATTCTCAGCCTATACTGTATACGGAAACCTCTTTCACCAATGAATACAGGTAAGAGAAAACAGGTAAGGAAAAACACAAAATATGAATTTGGGGGCAAAAGTGATTTGAAGTCTAAAGAAGAAAGTTGTCACAGTTTTCCCTAACATTAGCATTGCCATTTGTTCCGATAGCTAAGGCTACCTTGATATCCTGGGAGACCAAGGTAAACATCTTCTTTTATCCAGATTTTCATTATCTTGAAAAAAGGTATCAATTTTTATGAAACCTCTGCAAACCATTATTTCTTGTAATCCCCAGACACAACGGGTACGTTAACAACATTGTTGAAACAAGAACCATCCTTTTTTGAAAATGTTTCAGATATTGCTACAGAATGCAGATGTTCTCCTGAAAAAGCTCCTAAAGATCTGAAAATTATATCCCCACATCCTCTAGGCACTGAGTAGATCTGCAAAACAATGTGTTTGATTGACAGGAGAGAACTATTTCAAATGCCAGTGGGTAGCCTTCCAGGGAACAAGACTACAACAATAATGTTTTTCCCCCTACTGCTAATGGCCAATCCTGGCATTGAGCCCTTGGCTGCTGCTCCCCAACATGGGCATCCTTTTAGGAAATGTGCCTGCCACAGCTTGCCTCAGACTGATACGGTGTCAAGATGCAGAGAAAAGAAATGAGTTTAAGAAAGAAACAACTGGACTCTATCAGCATTGTATTCATTAGTGTGCAAGGTGGAGTTAACTGGAAGGACAAATAGGTTTTTTCTCAGACAGAAAGTCCATTTGTTCACTATGGTACATACCAGCTTCTGAAGATGGAACATCCTAATGTCCTAACTCCCACCTATGTTTAAATACAGAACACACTTCTCTTGTATTCATATTTTTGTTTTTATCTTTTTGAACTTTGATCTTAACAGGAATCCTCAGAAATCAAGGACAACAAAATATCTTAAACCAAAGTGGAGCTTATCTAGTTGTTCATACCCTATGCTCATATAGTTGTCCAGACCGTAAGATGACACTGATGATGGCAGCTGAGATCCAAATGTACAAACACGGATTAAGGGAAAATGCCCTGCTTCATGATTCCATAGCATATGGACAAAGATTGCCCTTTGCCTCATAGTTGTAGCTGCTATTTGAAAATCTTGGTGTGCAGGATTTGACTGTGCCTCCTAGGCTTAGAGTTGGCTCAAAGCCTTTTCTTGAAAAACTAAAAATAAATATAATAACTGCCATCGAGAATGGTAATGTAACTCAATAAAGAATATGATAAAAGGGACTACAAAAATCATCCTTCTAAAAAGGCTAGTTTTCTAAAGGTGGCTATGCAATATTTTCTACATATTGATATGATGAGTGTAAGATTAAAATTGGGTCTGTTTTAACAGACACTAATCAGGTAAATTTAATACATGTTCCTAAAAATTATAATATTATACACTTCTTCAGAGTTTCAAATATCTGCAAGAAATGGTTAAATAATCTGAGGAAAAAAATTAACTTTTCAAAATAATATTTTCCAGGTGTTTCTAAAGGTTAGAAAAATTGGTACTTGTCAAATAAGAATGGGTAGAAAAATCAGAAATATGCACACCATTCAAAACCATTATAATATGTGACTCTGGCATTCTTCCATCCATATATAATTAAATTACATTAGGCATTTATTGAAGTACACTGTATGTCCAGCATTGAACTAGATGCTAGAAATAGAAATAGAAATGATATTTATTTGTTGACTTCAAAGTAGAGCTCAAAACTTAATGGACGAAATAGAAAGCGTCAGAGATTGAATACAAAGTTAAAATTCCTTTTTGGTTAGGCTCACTTGGTAAACCATACCATGGACAACCCACATTCCTTATTAAGGTACGTTTGTACTAACATGTTAAAAACATCATGTGACGAGTAATATACAAATAGTGTGAACCAAGTGCTCTGGCAATGTATTGGTAAGGCTTCCCAAAAGTCAGAACAACTGAACAGGGGCTGGCCCAATGAATAACATTTACTCAGCTTAGAAAGAAGGGAGGAAAAAGTTGGAACAACATGATCTATGGAGATGTGAGAGTGTGTCATGTCTGAAGAAAGAAAACCCATTGTTTACATTCTTTAGAAATATATAACAGTAATAAGGGAATGTGAGGTTAATAAAAGATTACAGTCATACCATAAAGTAAATAAGTAGTCCAATTTACTGTTAGAATAAATTGATCTTCTGAATTTTGTGGTTCTAGAATTGACAATGATAGAGGTCTTTGTTTCATTCAGAGTTTCTATTTGCTATCTCAAACTCCTACATGTTTGATTTCCATTTCACAATAAAGCAAACCATAAAGGCTAACCTCATAGCTACATGTCCTCATTAATATATCATAAACTTTAGCATAGAGTCTGAAGCAAAGCATAGCATACGTTTAAAAAAATAGGAAGAATTTGAAGATAACAGTTCACGGATTATTATAGTGTATTTCTGTTCAAAAGGTTAAAACAAAACAAATATTAGATGGAAGCAACTTTGACTGGGATAGCAATAGTGAAATGGAAAAGAAGAGACAAACTAGAGGAGCACTTTGAAATAAGAATCAAAATTAGTGTAAAGAGAAGTAGATGTCCTACATTCCAAATTCTGGGAGAATAGAATACCACTTGCCATTGGGAAAATTGAGAAAGATACTGTTGAGATGAAGTCATCTGCGTCTACTGTTTTGTCACTTGCCAATCTCTCTTGCTTGGTGGCTTCTAGTTAGAAGGAGGCACTGGGGGAAAATGGAAGGTGAGTTGCGGTAAAAGATGCTCTCAGTCTCAAGCCTTCCCTTCGTCAGTATCTTTCAGCACTTCAGTATACACAGAGCAGAGTGTCTCCTCAGTCCTAGCACCAGTGTATATCACACCCCCTTAGCAATCTTGGACACTGGCTGCCCAGATCTCCCTTGGCATCTCTAGCACTGGCTTCACAATACTTGCTCCGTGGTTTCAGAACTGTCTAGGTAGTGCCTCCTTGAGTACCAAGCCCTTGCTGGCGCTCCAAGTAGCACAACACAGGGGTGTTCCCAGCCTCTTATAATGCCAACTCTTTTCCCTTGTTACCCCAGCCTGAAGTATTCTAAAATAGCTGTATCCTACATTAATGTCTGGATTACATCACCTTCTTCTTTTTGTTCTTTCAGCTCTATATTAACACATTTGTTACTAGTTACTTATATGTAATCATCTCTGTTTGAAAAACAAAGCATTATTTCTCTTTTACTGACTAGACCCTAAGTTAGCCAGTGCTTATTACCAACAGTGGACCATGGAAATAGTCACCAAGATTGGATTCTTAGAGTGAGTTGCTGAGCTGTGTGAGTTTAAATGCAGGGATGTCATAAATTCCACTAGAAAATGTGAAACTAGTAATATACAGCAAGTACTGGAATAATGGTTTCTTAAATTATTAACTGAGATTACTTGAGAGTAAACTGCCTATAAAAGGTAACAATTTGGGAGAATAATAGAGTGCTGCACTTAACTATTATGGTAAGGATGGTGATTTTAAATACTGTGGGGTGAGGTGTTGCTTCTGAAGAGTTTACAGAAATAAAATTTAAAACTCAAGGCTTTAAAATTTCTACCACAAGATATGGTCAAAAAATATCCATAGCAGCCGTACAAGAACCACTTATTTATTTTCAGTGCACAGCAGGTATGGCTGAAAATTAGGTTAAAAATCTAGTTGGGCCAGATGCTATATTATAAACTGAACTCATACACTTGCCAAGTATGTTATTTGAAAGTAAAGGTGTTTATTGGAAAAGAAGGTACATACTAAGACTTCAAATGGGGACGCTTGGATAGCCGTGGAAGAATCTGAGATATGTGAGCATCTTTGGCCAAGTAAAAGAAATATCTCCCTTTAGCAATAGCAAGATGGCTGAATAGGAACAGCTCCAGTCTGCAGCTCCCAGTGAGATCAACACAGAAGGTGGGTGACTTCTGCATTTCCAACTGAGGTACACAGCTCACCTCACTGGGACTGGTTAGATAGTGGGTACAGCCCACAGAGGGTGAGCAGAAGCAGGGTGGGGCATTGCCTCACACAGGAAGCCCAAGGGGTCGAGGAACTCCCTCCCCTAGCCAAGGGAAGCCGTGAGGGACTGTGCCATGAGGAACAGTGCATCTTGGCCCAGATACTATACTTTTCCAACGGTCTTCACAACCTGCAAACCAGGAGATTCCCTTGGGTTCCTATGCCACCAGGGACCTGAATTTCAAGCACAAAACTGGGCAGTTGTTTGGGCAGACACAAAGCTAGCTGCAGGAGTTTTTTCTTCATACCCCAGTGGTGCCTGGAATGCCAGCAAGTAGAACCATTCACTCCCCTCGAAAGGGAGCTGAAGCAAGGGAGCCAAGTGATCTCATTCATCAGATCCCACCCACACAGAGCGCAGCAAGCTAAGATCCACAGGCTTGAAATTCTCCCTCCCAGCACAGCAGTCTGAAGTCAACCAGGGACATTTTAGCTTGGTAGTGGGAGGGACATCCGCCATTACTGAGGCTTGAGTAGGCAGTTTTCTCCACACAGTGTAAGCAAATCCCCAGGAAGTTCAAACTGGGCGGAGTCCACTGAAGCTCTGCAAAGCTGCTGTAGCCATACTGCCTCTCTAGATTCCTCCTCTCTGGGCAGGACATCTCTGAAAGAAAGGCAGCAGCCCCAGTCAGGGGCTTATAGATAAAACTCCCATCTCCCTGGGACAGAGTACCTGGGGAAGAGGCAGCTGTGGGGGCAGCTTCAACAGACTTAAATGTTCCTGCCTGCCAACTCTGAAGACAGCAGCAGATCTCCCAGCACAGCACTCAAGCTCTGCTAAGGGACAGAGTACCTCCTCAAGTGGGTCCCTGACCCCCATGCCTCCTGACTGGGAAACACCTCCCAGCAGGGGTCGACAGACACCTCCTACAGGAGAACTCCAGCTGGCATCTGGCAGGTGCCCCTCTGGGACAAAGCCTTCAGAAGAAGGAACAGGCAGCAATGTTTGCTGTTCTGCAGCCTCTGCTGATGATACCCAGGCAAACAGGGTCTGGAGTGGACCTCCAGCAAACTCCAGCAGACTTGCAGCAGAGGGGCCTAACTGTTAGAAGGGAAACTATCAAACAGAAAGGAATAGCATCAGCATCAACAAAAAAGACATCCACACAGAAACCCCATCCGAAAGTAACCAACATCAAAGACAAAAGGTACATACATCTACAAAGATGAGGAAAAACCAGTGCAAAAAGGCTGAAAATTCCAAAAACCAGAACTCCTCTTCTCCTTCAAAGGATCACAATTCCTTGCCAGCAAGGGAACAAAACTGGATGGAGAATTAGTTTGATGAATTGACAGAAGTAGGCTTCAGAAGGTGGGTAATAACAAACTCCTCCGAGCTAAAGGAGCATGTTCTAATCCAATGCAAGGAAGCTACAAACCTCGATAAACAGTTACAGGAACTCCTAGCTAGAATAACCAGTTTAGAGAAGAACATAAACGACCTGATAGAGCTGAAAAACACAGCATGAGAACTTCGTGAAGCATACACAAGTATCAATAGCCAAATCAATCAAGTTGAAGAAAGGATATCAGAGATTGAAGATCAACTTAATGAAATAAAGCATGAAGACAAGATTAGAGACAAAAGAATAAAAAGGAACGAACAAAGCCTCCAAGAAATATGGGACTATGTGTAAACACCAAACCTACATTTGATTGGCATGCCTGAAAGTGACGGGGAGAATGGAAGCAAGTTGGAAAACACTCTTCAGGATATTATCCAGGGGAACTTCCCCAACCTAGCAAGACAAGCCAACATTCAAATTCAGGAAATACCAAGAACACCACAGAGATACTCCTTGAGAAGAGCAACCCCAAGACACATAATCATCAGATTCACCAAGGTTGAAATGAAGGAAAAAATGTTAAGGGCACCAGAGAAAGGTCGGGTTACCCACAAAGAGAAGCCTATCAGACTAACAGCTGATCTCTCTGCAGAAACCCTACAAGTCAATATTCAACATTCTTAAAGAAAAGAATTTTCAACCCAGAATTTCATATCCAGCCAAACTAAGCTTCATAAGTGAAGAAGAAATAAAATCCTTTACAGACAAGCAAATGCTGAGAGATTTTGTCACCACCAGGCCTGCCTTACAAGGGCTTCTGAAGAAAGCACTAAATAAGGAAAGAAAAAAGCAGTACCAGCCACTGCAAAAACATACCAAATTGTAAAGACTGTTGACAGTACGAAGAAACTGCATCAACTAACAAGCAAAATAACCAGCTAGCATCTTAATGACAGGATCAAATTCACACATAACAATATTAACCTTAAATGTAAACAGGATAAATGCCCCAATTAAAAGGCACAGACTGGTAAATTGGATAAAGGGTCAAGACCCATCAGTGTGCTGTATTCCGGAGACCCATCTGACAGACAAAAACACACATAGGCTTAAAATAAAGAGATGGAGGAATATTTACCAAGAAAATGGAAAACAAAAAAAAAATGCAGGGGTTGCAATCCTAGTCTCTGATAAAACAGAATTTAAGCCAACAAAGATCAAAAAAGACAAAGAAGGGTATTGTATAATGGTAAAGGGATCAATGCAACAAGAAGAACTAACTATCCTAAATACATATTCACTCAACATAGGAGCACCCAGATTCATAAAGCAAGTTCTTAGAGACCTAAAAAGAAACTTAGACTCCCACACAATAATAGTGGGAGACTTTAACATCCCACTGTCAATATTAGATCAATGAGACAGAAAATTAACAAGGATATTCAGGACTTGAACTCAGCTCTGGACCAAGCAGACCTAATAGACATCTGCAAAACTCTCCATCTGAAATCAACAGAATATACATTCTTCTCAGCACAATATCACACATATTCTAAAATTGACCACATAATTGGAAGTAAAACACTCCTCAGCAAATGCAAAAGAATGGTTATCATAACAGCTCTCAGACCACAGTGCAATCCAATTAGAACTTAGGATTAAGAAACTCACTCAACACCACACGACAACATGGAAACTGAAAAACCTGCACCTCTACCTGACTACTGGGTAAAGAGTGAAATTAAGGCAGAAATAAATGAGTTCTTTGAAACCAATGAGAACAAAGACACAACATACCAGAATCTCTGGGACATAGCTAAAGCAGTGAGTAGAGGGAAATTTATAGCACTAAATTCCCACAGGAGAAAGCGGGAAAGATATAAAATTGACACCCTAACATCACAATTAAAAGAACTAGAGAAGCAAGAGCAAACAAATTCAAAAGCTAGCAGAAGACTAGAAATAACTAAGATAAGAGCAGAACTGAAGGAGACAGAGACACAAAAAACACTTCAAAAAAAATCAATGAACCCAGGAGCTGGTTTTCTGAAAGATTAACAAAAGAGATAGACCACTAGCCAGACTAATAAAGAAGAAAAGAGAGAAGACTCAAATATTATGCAATAAAAAATGATAAAGGGGATATCACTACTGATCCCACAAAAATACAAACTACCATCAGGGAATACTATACACACCTCTCCACAAATAAACTAGAAAATCTAGGAGAAATGAATAAATTCCTAGACACATTCACCATCCCGAGACTAAACCAGGAAGAAGTCAAATTCCTAGTAGACCAATAGCAAGTTGGGAAATTGAGGGAGTAATTAATAGCCTACCAACCAGAAAAAGCCCAGAACCAGATGGATTCACAGCTGAATTCTACCAGAGGTACAAAGAGGAGCTGGTACCATTCCTTCTGAAACTATTTCCAAACAACAGAAAAAGAGATACTCCTCCCTAACTCATTTTATGAGGCCAGCATCATCCTGATACCAAAACCTGGCAGAGACACAATAAAAAAAGAAAATTTTAGGCCAATATCCCTGATGAACATCAATGTGAAATCCTCAACAAAATACTGGCAAACCGAATCCAGCAGCACATCCAAAAGCTTATCCACCACAATCAAGTTGGCTTCATCCCTGGGATGCAAGGCTGATTCAACATATGCAAATCAATAAATGTATTTCATCACATAAACAGAACCAATGACAAAAACCACATGATTATCTCAATAGATGCAGAAAAGGCCTTTGATGAAATTCAACAGCACTTCATGCTAAAAACTCTCAATAAACTAGATATTGATGGCACATATCTCAAAATAATAAGAGCTATTTGTGACAAAACCACAGCCAATATCATACTGAATGGGCAAAAGCTGGAAGCATTCCCTTTGAAAACTAGAACAAGACAAATATGCCCTCTCTCACCACTCATATTCAACATAGTATTGGAAGCTCTGGCCAGGACAATCAGACAAGAGAAGGAAATAAAGGGTATTCAAATAGGAAAAGTGGAAGTCAGATTGTCTCTGTTTGCAGATGACATGATTGTATATTTAGAAAACCTCATCATCTCAGCCCCAAATCTCCTTAGGCTGATAAGCAACTTCGGCAAAATCTCAGGATACAAAATCAATGAGCAAAAATCACAAGCATCTCTGTATACCAATAACAGACAAACAGAAAGCCAAATCATGAGCGAACTCCCATTCACAATTGCTACAAAGAGAATAAAATACCTAGGAATCCAACTTACAAGGGATGTGAAGGACCTCTTCAAGGAGAACTACAAACCACTGCTCAATGAAATAAAAGAGGAAACAGACAAATGGAAAAATATTCCATGCTCATGAATAGAAAGAATAAATATCATGAAAATGGCCATACTGCCCAAAGTAATTTATAGATTCAATGCTATCCCCAGCAAGCTACAATTGACTTTCTTCACATAATTAGAAAAAACTACTTTAAATTTCATATGGAACCAAAAAAGAGCCCATATAGCCAAGACAATCCTAAGCCAAAAGAATAAAGCTGGAGGCATCACACTACCTGATTTCAAACTATACTACAAGGCTACAGTAACCAAAACAGTATGGTACTGGTACCAAAACAGGTATATACAGACCAGTGGAATGGAACAGAGGCCTCAGAAATAACACCACACATCTACAACCATCTGATCTTTGACAAATCTGACAAAAACAAGCTATGGGGAAAGGATTCACTATTTAATAAATGGTGTTGGGAAAACTGGCTAGCCTTATGCAGAAAATAGAAACTGGACCCCTTCCTTAAACTTTATACAAAAATTAACTCAAGATGGATTAAAGACTTAAACAAAAGACCTAAAACCATAAAAACCCTAGAAGAAAACCTAGGCAATACCATTCACGACATAGGCATGGGTAAAGACTTCAAGACTAAAACACCAAAAGCTATGGCAACAAAAGCCAAAATTGACAAATGAGATCTAATTAAACTAAAGAGCATCTGCACAGCAGAATAAACTATCATCAGAGTGAACAGGCAACCTACAGAATAGGAGAAAATTTTTGCAATCTATCCATCTGACAAAGGGCGAATGTCCAGAATCTACCAGGAACTTAAACAAATTTACAAGAAAAAAAACAAACAACCCCATCAAAAAGTGGGTGAAGGATATGAAGAGACACTTCTCAAAGAATACATTTATGTGGCCAACAAATATATGAAAACAAGCTCATCATCACTGGTCATCAGAGAAATGCAAATCAAAACCACAATGAGATACAATCTCATACCAGTTAGAATGGTGATCATTAAAAAGTCTGGAAACAAAGATGCTGGAGAGGATGTGGAGAAATAGGAACACTTTTACACTGTTGGTGGGAGTGTTAATTAGTTCAACCATTGTGGAAGATAGTGTGGCAATTTCTTAAGGATCTAGAACCAGAAATACCATTTGACCCAGCAATACCATTACTGGGTGTATACACAAAGGATTATAAATCATTCTACTATAAAGACACATGCACACGTATGTTTATTGCAGCACTGTTCACAATAGCAAAGACTTGGAACCAACCCAAATGCCCATCAATGATAGACTGGGTAAAGAAAATGTGGCACATATACAGTGTGGAATACTATGCAGTCATAAAAAAGGATGAGTTCATGTCCTTTGCAGGGACATGGATGAAGCTGGAAACCATCATTCTCAGTAAACTAACACAGGAACAGAAAACCAAGCACTGCATGTTCTCACTTATAAGTGGGAGCTGAACAAAGAGAACACATGGACACAGGGAGGGGAACATCACACACCAGGGTCTGTCAGGGGGTTGGGGGCTAGGGGAGGGATAGCATTAGGAGAAATACCCAATGTAAATGACGAGTTGATGGGTTCAGCAAATCACCATGGCACATGTATACCTATGTAACAAACCTGCATGTTCTGCACATGTATCCCAGAACTTAAAGTATAATAATAATTAAAAAACGCCCTTACTGAATATGGAGACTAATCATCCATTGCTTGAATACTGTAGCAACTTTACTGAAGGCAGTTGCCTTGCAAAGGGATAATTATTTTCCTTATGATAACCTCACCATCCATCATTACTTTTATACTCATAACTAGAATCTGATTACTTATTCCCCAATAAGAACAAGTACAAAATCTGACCCAAGAAGAGATAACTTGAACAGAAAAATATTTGCAAGATTTCTCTAATTTATATCAGCAAACACCTGAAGAATATGGATAGGAATAGATTCTAAGAATGTTAAGCAAAAAAAAGGGAATACAATATTGTATTAGGCCAAAGTTTTTACACTGGGTGCACTTACCTGACACACTGGAATTAATGTGTTAGCTTAAGCAACTAAAAATTGCTCTGATAGTTGGCTTTGTCAGTTGACTAAGGCGGGGCTCAACAGTGATCCATATTCAGTGGCCTATATTTAAAGTTTAGATGATGGAACTTCCCTAACATAATGTAGGGGGAGGAATCTCAAAACAGGCAGATGAAAATGTTAGAGTGGATTTACTGTATGTGACCCATCCTATTTCCAACTATTTCTCTGGAAGACCCAGAAGGCACTCCATTTTCTTAGACATTGAAAAATGTATTCGTGAGAGGAGAACCAACATCATTGGAAAACTCTGTGGTGCCTGTTCTCTGAAGGTTAGGGATGATAATGGGCCATATGCCACTGACCTGAGTTCCCTAATTTCAATGAGCGATATAGGGCCTCAAGTGCCAGAGGCCTAATGCCTTGAAAATATGAGCACACTTACTGTAACAGACAGAGGGGAATGATCAGATAGCAATCAGACAGGGATCTCTGTTTTGACAGGGATCATTGATGGTAGCTAAATAACCATGGTGTCCTTAGAATGAAATTAATGAATTGTCAGTTAATTCATTTATAGCTAGAAATTAATTAATTGATATCTAGAAAAACTCTAGGAATCCCAAATGCTACCATCATTCACTAGTCAAAGCAGGAAATGATGATGTTGGATGATATATGGAATTCTGGCCTGGATTTGCCTCACAATGTGCTTAGTTGTCTGTGGTTATTTCCTCAGTTCCAGGTTAAATAATTATAATAGGCTGGTAGAATCCTCACGTTGATGCCCTGACCAGTGGAGTGAGAAACACCAGAATAGTAAACCTAAAGCAACATCATATTCTTATGGAAATTTCCAGGATTATTGTCATCATTAAAACTTGAAAAATAAAGAACTGATGATACTTACAAACTCTCAATATTCTCAGCTGTGCAAAAGGCAGATGAGCATTGGTGAATATCTGTGGATTATGACAAACTTAATTATGTGGTGATTCCAACTGCAGCTGCTGTTTCCTATGTGGGATTTTAGATATGGGTCAGGCATGAGGAAATCAATGCAGAAATTGACTGTGTTGTTTTTCTCTATGCTGATTATACAGAACCACCAAAAGCAGTTTTCTTTCACTTATGCCAACTCTTTGTCATTATCTCCACTTCAAGGACCTTAAACACCTTGATGCTGCACAGCTGTATTAGTAAACTCAGCTGGTATCTACCTGAATTAAACTATGATTGTTGACATATTGTATTCTTTAGAGCAGCTGAAACAACATTGGATAATCTATTTTTTAAAGGCTTAGTAGAAGTGAAGCCATGTGAAATAGTAAATTGGCAACTTTGTTTTATCCACAGAAATTAGTCTAATTTTTCTTCCTTTTCACTGGTTATTTTTGGTAGATTATACATTTTCACAAAATCATTATTTTATTATTTTATATCTTTAATTTTTTACATCTATTATGGGCAAAGAGGTGAATTAAAGTCTTCTGTTTATCTTGTAATTTTTGTTTTATGAGGTTGAGATATTTGGTTCATGGATATTCAGCACTACTGTATTTTCATTGTGAATGATTTTAATATTATGAGGCGCCCTTCTTTAATGTTACAAGGCCAGAATTCTGCCTTACAAGTAGATACCAAGCATCTCCATTTTTCTTTTGGTTTGCCTTTGTCTTGTATAATTTGCCAATTTGTAATTCTCAACCTTTCTAAATTACTTTGTTTTAGCTAATTATATATAGATAAACAAGAGTATATTTCTACATATTCATAGAGAGTATTTTGCTTTATTGAAGAAATCTTTCTGAAAATGCATGAGCTAAGTTCATTTACATTTATTGATGTAAAAGATATTTCTGATCTTATTTCTACAGTGTAATATCACATTACTTTTTTCTTCATACAATTTTTTAAAAGACAAATTAGTGGTCTCATTTGTTTGCTTCATGTTTTATGTGTAGTTCCTCTGATAGGAAGGTCTGACTTTTTTACAGTAATTATTCCTATTTTGAATAATAATAAAATAGTATCCCATTTTTGTTTTTGTTTTCTTCACCTGTTCTCTACTTTATAATTTCTGTCAACATTAACTTTATCAACACTTACATTTGTACTTTTAAATACACCTATAATTATTTTTCTCAGCCTTGTAGGGTTCCTTTGACTTCTAGCTAACAGAGTACTTTTGTAATTAGTATACTTATCTCCCATTTACTTTCTTCCTTCCCAATTTTAGGTAGCTGTGTGATTTCTACATATATAGGCATATAACTTTCACATTATATTTTGTCCTAAATTTCGTATTTGTCTGAATTATGGTTTTATAGTTACATATATTCCATGCTCCCCATGAATTGTTTTGCTACAATTTCCCCCAGCTCATCTCTGGGTTGAAATTAATTTTCTAGTAGTTTCCTCAAGAAAGACTCTTTGGAAAATGATTCCTTCGTTCCTACATGTTCAGCACTGTTTATCTTACATGTTCAGCATTGTTGAATAAAAAATTCTTGGCTCACAACTTCTTCCCTTGAGTATTCTGCAGCTCCTTCTCCACTGTCTATTGCTGTGGTAAAATCTATGGACAGCTTTATTTTTCCCCCCTAATAAGTGTCTTGTTCTTTTAATGCTACTGCCCAAAAGAATCTTTTTTTTTTCTTTATAATCCAGGAAATTTACTAGGCTTGGTCCCAACATTTAATTTTCTGGGTCAGTTTTTTTTTCTGGATGAAATGGGCCCTTACAATATCTAGATTCAAATTTTTTGTCCACTTGTTTTTTGTTCTTTATCTCAGGAAAGCTTTTTTGAGTTATATCTTGAACTTATTGTTTGTTCCATTGTTTTGATTTTATTTTTTAAACACTGTAGCTATGCATCATTTGGATATCTGTTGCTTATCTTCTATAATGCCTTTTGCTCTCTCATTCTTTAAAACTTTTTCTTTAATTCTGCATTATTTTGCTTTGTTGACTAGGCTATTTTTGGAAGCTTTTAAGTGTATTTTTGTATCTATGAATTATGCCTGTTCCCTAGTTTTATAGAAGCTAGAGATTGTGGGTCTTTGTTCATTTTTTTAAAATTGTTATTAATTTTAACTAATTTCCAAGGAAGAGAGATGATGTCTTAGTTTCATGTTTGTATAAGAAGGCCCTCTAAGTATTCAAATTAAAATCAGTAACAAGAGAAGGCTGCCCTCTATCACTACTGCTTATTTAAAGTCTTACTGCAGATTTGGGCACATAGTTAAAAAAAGGGGGAAAAAATGTCATAAAGATTGAAAAAGAAATAAATTAACATTCTTCACAAATATTCACAAGTGTATGATATTCTTTTCCCCCAAAGGAAGAAATATATTACTTTTCTACATAGAAAACTCAAATTAATATATTTACAAATTATTAAAATTAATGAGTTATAAGAGAAGCTAGACAAGATATCAATATGGAAATATCAATTGTATGTCTGTACCACAGAAATAAACAGTACAAAGTGCCAATTAAAAAGTTTGCAGTAGCCACAAAATATTTAAGGTACCCAGGAATAATTCTGAAAAGTTATAAAGCAGTTAAAGACTTATATGGAGAAAAATCATAAAATTTTGTAGAACAATATAAAAGAGATCCTAAAAGGAAATTGTATGCTCTTCATGGTTAAAATGATTCAATACCAAAATGAGGTCAAACCTGCCACAGATTGAGCTAAAGATTTAATGTGGTTAAAGGCATGGCTGGATTTTATAAGGAACTTGATAAACTAATGGTAAAGTGTATATGAAAAGGAAAAAGAGTCCATTAGAGTCAAGGTGATCCTGAAGAAGAAGAAAAGAGTGAGTTGCCCTACAAATTACAAAGACGTGAATTTACACTGACATGGGAGAGTATGATAATGGCATAGGGCTAGACAAAGGCTGGAAACATGACTGTGTATATACATTTATTTTATGACAGAGATTGCATTGTGAATCACTGAGTAAATAAAGAACTATTCAATAAATGAGGCTTAAGTAGTTGATTGTCCATAAGGAAAAAAAAAATAAATCTACTGGACTTCTACTTCAGTTCCAGATAGATTAAGACTTACATATGAAAGTATAACTTTTTTAAAAAACTGAGAAGATAATACAGAAGAATATCTGCATAACCTTAGAATAAGGAATAACTTCCTAAATAAGACACAAAACTACTAACTGTAATAGAAAATTAAACTATAATTAAAATTTAAAACTTCCATTCATCAAATGACGTCATTAAAAGAGTAAAACAATACGCCACAAACTGGTAGAAAAAACTTGCACACATTTAGCCATTAAGGGTTTATTCTTATAAATCAATAGAAAGGGATAATTCCTATAGCGACATAGACAAAGCAAATCACGGAAGACTACAGACAGGATACAATCACTTCTCTAAAGCTCTAAAACAAGCAAGAGAAAATAAGTCCTGTTTGGGGCTACATATATTTGAATAAAAACTTTTTTTCATGAAAGGGAGTAAGAAAATTCAAATCAGCATAGTGATCACCTCTAAGAGGAAGAAATGGAGATGGATAAAGTAGAAATACATGGATAAATAAATTCAAGGATTTGATCATTTTTAAGTTCTTTGAGTAATGATTTAATTTTTTTATAATTGTTAAAGGAAATCTTTAAAGATTTTCTGTATGTTTTATAACCAAAGTATGGTATTTATATCCTTAAAATCAAGTTTATTTTTGAATTATAATGTACAAACATAAAAATGCATAAATCATAGGTGTATAGGTCAGCAAAGTACCACAATATGATTATATCCATTAACTACCACCCAAGTTAAGAAATAAAACATGGCCAGGCACAGTGGCTCACACCCGTAATCCCAGCACTTTGGGAGCTCAAGGCAGGAGGGTCGCTTTAGCTCAGGAGTTAGAGACAAGCCTGGGCAAAATGGTAAGACCCTGTCTGTACAAATAATAAAAATTTAAAAACTAGTGGGTGTGGTGGTGTGTGCCTGTAGTCCCAGTTACTCAGGAGGCAGAGACAGGAGGATCCCTTGAGCCCAGGAGTTTGAAGCTACAGCTGTGATCATGTCACTTCGCCTCAACCTGAGCAAAAGAGCAAGACATTGTCCCCAAGAAAAAAAAAAAAAAAAGCAAAGAAATAGAACATTATCACACGCACACACACACACACACACACACACACACAAACTTTCTCACTACCTTCGCCTTTTTTCCATAGATAACCAATCACAAATATTCTTTTGCAAGAGTGAAATTTTACGTATAAAATATCAGAAAGAATTTTAAACAAAGAGACTATGTTTCTGTTTACATCAACTGTTTCTAGGAAAATCTTCATCTTCCACCAGATAAGACATTTTATATAGTAAGGGAAGAATCAGACACTTACCCCGCTTACAAATAAAACTGCTACACCCTCACAGCCAAAATGGTAGTAAAATTAATACAGTGCCCTGACATTTCCTGAGAAACTATGATGATAGTTTGGTCCCAAGAAAATCCTCAGATCAGCTCTAAAACACTTTCTACTTGAGAGTTCATCAATGTTTGAACACAGCTGTACTGTGTCCCATAGTTTTCTCTTTTTTGATCTATCTATGCAAGTTCCTTTAGCCATTCTTTATGCAAGTTCCGTTCTTTATAGAACTTTACCATCTGGATGTATCCCTTTGGGTATACGGCAATTTGAAAATGCTCATCCTAAGACATGGTGCCAAGAACTCCATCCAATATATCAGCTGTGTTCTCACCATTGCAGTATCCACTAAAGCTATTACCTTCTTGGCACTATACTACTATTAATGTATCATAAAATTATACTGTATTTTCTTTTTTTTGAGATGGAGTCTCACCCTGTTGCCCAGGCTGGAGTGCAGTGGTGTGATCTCGACTCACTGCAACCTCCGCGTTCTGGGTTTAAGCGATTCTCCTGCCTCAGCCTCCCAAGTAGCTAGCATTGCAGGTGCGCGCCACCACGCCCAGCTAATTTTTTTATTTTTAGGAGAGATGGGGTTTCATCATGTTGGCCACGCTGGTCTTGAACTCCTGACCTCATGATCTGCCTGCCTCGGCCTCCCAAAGTGCTGGGATTACAGGCAGGAGCCACTGTGCCCGGCCCTGTTTTTTATGTAAGACTTGTAACTGTACTGACTGTTATAAACCACCAAGTCCATTTTCACATAAATTCTATCATGATTTTTACCTCTTATTTTGTTCTTATTTCAATAATCAACTGATTTTCCTCTGTGTTTGGCCTTGTTTCATTGCATTGTTAGTTATCATTGATAGTTTAGCCTTCAGTGTTCTGGTTTGGGAGATAGACATTGAATCTTATACCTGTATGGTGGCTGCTTTATGTATTATTTTATTTGTATAAAGTCTGCTAGGATAGGACTGGGATTATTGTTCTTATTCAAAATATTAGAGAGACTAAAAACCAGGAACATACATAAACTTGCCCCAAATTTAGGTTTATTAAGTGGCAAACCCTACACCTGAGCCAAAGTATTTTGAAACAAAGATTTCTTTTCACTGACCTAGACTATCTCAAACTCGATAGTTCTAGGCAAATAAAATTTAGCTTTAAAAAAACTCATTTACTAGTAAGGATCTAGAATGAAGAAATATGCCCTGAGATGAGAGTAGTTTGAGGACAGAGCTTGGCAGAAGCAAACCTGAAGTCATTCCACCTTCATAAGTGCTAACAAAATTGGTGATTCCAAGAACCATGCAAAGAGAATTCTAATACACATTTTGATAGGGTACACCACAACACACCTGTCAAGGGAAATAATTAGATCATCCTGGATTCAATTTAGGAAATTGTCAAAAGTTCATAGCCCTCTTTACTTGTAATGCAACGCACATGCTGATGTTTCTAGCCATTGCAAAAAAATAAGTAGGCTGAAGTTAGGAAGTCTCTTCCAGGTTTACTGGAAGAAGGCCTGAGACGTCATACTTCAGATTCCTCAGAGGCTGTATTAAAAGGAACCATGGAACAGGAGTAGTGTTCTGCAGCCTTGTTCAGAGGATATGTCTGTGTACAAAATATGTAACAAATAAGGTACTCAAATATCTCAATTTGGCTACTTTACAACAGATGGGTATGAATGATTGCAATGATCTTCAGATGTGACTTTATCAGTCATCACGGAACCAAAGGTAACAGGTGGTTCTTTAAGTTAAAGAAATCTAACTTGAAAACCAAATCGTAGTAATTAAAAAGAATCATAGTGCACTAGAACAGCCAAGAAATAGACTCCAGTGTGTGCCCTTGGTCAAGTCGTTTCTCCATTCTGCATCTCTGTTTAGCATTTGTAAATTAAAGTGTAAATGAAACTAAGCAGAGTTATTTTTTCAAAGCGAAACTGCTAAGAACCTCACAATACATCCAGATAAAACTTGTGTAAAGAGGATGGGAAGACAATACCTCCATGGAATGCTAAGGTACAAAAAATAAATAAAAACTGAAAAACTACTGGAATAGTTTCATCTAGCTCTAATATCACACTGCTTTCAGTAATTGACAGTGAGTTTTAGTTCTGTAAGCATTCTATAATTGAGTATGAACTAGCAAAACCATCCATGGTTAGTATCAGATTTGTATTCAAAAAGCAATCTCTGGCAGGTATGTGTATTGAAAAAACACACAGTAGGCAGATTGGAAACTTTTGTCTAAGAGGGAGAGACCAGGACCTGAACCGAGGAAACATCCTGTCCAGAGAGATAGCCTACCTTTCCCAAGAGTGTTTATTCATTTCATTCATTGCAATGCTCCTCTGTCTACCGTGTGTGTGTGTGTTTCTCGTATTATCAGCAAGTCTCTAAGCCAGATTTACAAGTTCATGATTTCTTCTTGGCAGGCGGGGAGCTTTAGTGCAGTTTTAGGTACAGAAAAATTGGAAGGAAGGTTCGGAGAGTTCCTATATATCCACCTGCCCCCACACATTGGTAGCCTCTCCATTATCCCAATCCCTCACCAGAGTGGTGCATTTGTTACGATTGATGAGCCTACATTGATACATCATAACTACACAAATTCCATAGTTTACCTCAGGATTCACCATAATTTCTTTTTTAAAAAATCCTAAAATCATAAACAGAGATAACATATATTGCCTTAACCTGAAATTTCAGTAAACACCCTGGCTAAATACAAAATTAGGCTTCAGATTCAATCAAACTTAGTTTCACCTAGTTTATATTTTTTAAAGAATCATGAAAAAGCAGAACCAAACATATTTTGATTACCTCTCTGATAACCAGAATTTTCAGTTAATAAAAATATTCTAATTTTGATGGTTTGAAAGCGAAACAAAAGAGAGACAGAACAAAAGTTAGGATGTCCCAGTTCCATTCACACTGAGTTTTCTGCTTGGTTTGAAACATAAATACACTCCAACGTATTAACTTGAGCCCTCATTGTTTGCGTTTTCATGATGCCTAGAGGAAACAATCGGAGCCAGGATTTGGCCAGAACTTACATCTGTGAGGTCTCAGCGATTCACATACTCCAAGCTTCAGAAAAGAAAAGAGTGATCTACCTCCCCATCAATTGCCAGGAGCATTGGCAGATCCTGTTTAACACCAGCAGGACCACCTGGACCCCCGAGAAGGCCCACTTAATTAAGACATTAGCTTCTAACATACTGAACAAAGCTTCCTAAATTCATACACTGACAGTGAAGTGCGGAATTCCTCACTGAAACATGTTGAAATCCGATTTCAGCTCCCTTTTGTGTAGAGCAACCTGCACTGTGTAAACTGTCAGCCTACCCTTGCTAACTTCATTAGAGAGAAGGCCAATAACAAAGCTCAGCTGATTATAAAAGAAAGTGAAGAGACTCTGAATGATTATAGAATTCTTATAATGTGCATAGTATTATTATGGCACTCTGCCCAGGGCTCATCAAAGATAAATGAGGTTTGAAGAGTAGATTTTTTTATGCTAAACTTAATAGACATTCCCTTTCTTTTCTTTTTTTTTTTTTAAATTGGCAAGGGAATGGAAAAGACATCAAAGCAGTTTTCCTATAAATCTATACGAAAATGAATTTCAGAGTCAACTTTTCTGCTTTTATTACCTATGGTGTTTTTATTTTTGGGGGAGCTGAAAGGGAACATAATTCAATGCCTTTCAAGTTGCTTTGGAGAAATATAATAAATCCAATATATATGGAAAAGTTTATAGAGTTTTTTTTGTAAGATACATACAACTCTAAGATCTTCCTCTGATATTAAAATTGTTTCTAAAAATTTTTCTTCAAAGTTTCTCATACATATTTCACTAGGTTTCCTAGACACTTAGTAATTTATTATTCTGAATTCCAGTGACAGGAGATGAGGTTTAATATTTTGACTATATGAAGCTGTTGTCTTTTCCAAACTGCTATTTCTAAAATCCTCATCCAAACTTTAAAGTACAATAACGTCTCTCATTTCAGTTTCTACAGCTAAGAATTCGGGGAGAGTGTCCACTAATATTGCAACATCAGCCTCTGAATGTGCTCCTCGTGTGTGAAATTATATTTTTATGACACTTCTCTGGTTTTGTTTGAATCAGCTCTGTTGAAAATCATCTTGAACCCAATTTTTATTCAGTAACTGCCTCTCAATACACATTACTCTTGTAACTGTTAAAGATATGTTGCTTCAGCTTTTCAGGCAAGGCTATTTGAATGCACAAGAGGGTTGTCACAGTGTGCTTATGAGCATGTCAAAGTTAAACAAATGCAAAGTTGCTTAGTTTCATCAGTAGTTAAATCTCATTACAAAACCAATACTTTAAGATAAAGTTCAAAGTTCACAGTTCTAAAAAAATGGAACTTAGCTGTAGTGACATAGTGCTACTTCCAAATTATTAAGCTAAAACAACCATGGATTCCAAGCAAATTTTCTCTGGGGGGGAAGGTAGCCTCAGAGTCAAGATAAACCCTTCTGACCAGAAAGTCTTGAGTCGTGATTCTAATTGTTCCACAGACTGAACACTGAGTTTATCACTTTATAAATGGTTCACCATATGTAAAATAAATACAAGCTGCCACACACATACAATTAACACCTAAAATCATTAGTCATCTTTTATCTGCTGTATTCAAGAGAATGTTGTTTGTACTAATTAGAAGAACCCTGGGTAAGAGACAGACTTGTCTCCAGGTTTTCTTCATTTACCTAAATTTCAGTTGCCTTACAGAGTAGGAGGTAGAAATTAATAGATATGTGTGAAAACATAGTAAAACTCCAGGGCTTTACCTCAGAAGCCAAATCATAGCACAGCAAGGAAAATCTTAAATAGATGTTAAGGAATTGAAAAATATGTACACCTTTGAAAGTCAACCTTTCCTAAATGTGCAGAAAAAAGTTGACAGACATTCGGTGATGTTAATGGTATTGAAATGATCCCAGATTTAGAAGACTGTTGCAGACGCGGCTAACAGGAGCCTTTCCCCATGGACTAAACACTGTATTTCACAGCCCTGGCTAAGTATTAGAATAACCTGGACAGCATGTGAATTAATTGATCAGGGTTGGAAAAGGATGTTCTTTTAAACCTCTCTAGTTAACCCTAACGTACAAAGATGGAAAAGAAAACAGATTGGAAATAGTGCAGAAAATGTTCAGAAGGTTCACATTCAGAACATAATGTTTGCAGGTTCCCACCACCTCCGCTACATAGAATGGCATGCCTTTAAAAAAAGAAATAGTTTGGGTGGAGTCCTGATTGCATCAGTAGATTGAAATCTGTTGAGTAGTAGTAGAACCTCTCCTTTTCATATAATATCCACCACACACGGCAGTGTTACAAAATTTAATACACTAAATTAGATATGCAGGTAAAATATATTGCTTTGATTGTATCTGTAGCTTCCTTCAAGACAACATCCCATGGGTAGCAGGAAAAGAAAATAATAGAAGTTTAAGCTTAGTCTGATTCAAAAATCAAATTAGTCCTCTTATAGTAATGTATTTCTTAGAGAAAAGAATCTGTTTCACAAATAACCTCCTTATTTCCTGCTTCTTTTTCCAAGACACTAATCAAACATCACATGGCATGTACCTGTGAGTTTTCATAACATGAGACGAAGGTAGAAGAGAACTCGTGTCATCCTAGTTCCACAAGCATGCACAGATAGCATCATCTGGTCTATGGCAGGACAATACACTGTCTACTGATACCATGCTTGCTTTGATGTTCACCTATGACCAGTGAATCCTCTGATGTTACATTGGCCAACTCAAACTGACTTGGCTTCTTTTTCAACCTTGCTTGTTGGAGACTCTTCAGTATCTGCCACATCATCTACACAACCTTAAGGTTTGATGATCCAGCCCTCCCTCCATCCAATGCTGTTAGCCTCAACTCACCCTGCCACACATTTTGGAAGGTGGCAATTCTGCCACCTCTTTATCTTTTTCCTGAAAAATATGATAATTTGATATTTAAAAGATATCTTTATATACAGTGTGGAATGATAGACATTGCAGACTCAAAAGGGTGGGAGGGTATGGAAGGGGTGATAAATTACTTAATGAGTGCAATGTACACTATTTGGCTGATGGATACCCTAAAAGCCCAGACTTCACCACTACAAAACATACCCATGTAACAAAACCACATTTGTACCACTTACATGTATACAAAAAATAAAATAAGATGTCTAGAGTTGGAATGAAATAGAATGGCATTCAGATATACTTGGTACTGGAGGGCTCTAATTTCCTCACTTAGCTGCCAGCTTCCCTTACTCATCACTCATTTTTTCCTGTCTTGCCTCTTTTTTATTTTTTTTAACTTCTCCTCTGCTTGCCCTAGAAGCTTGAAGATATAAAGGCTGTATCAAAGTGTATCCAATTGAGTAGGAAAAAAGCAAAAGAAATTGCCTCAGTTTTTGTTTTTTGTTTTCTCTTCCACTTCACTTTCTAGTTCAAGGGTCAAAGAGCCATGTCAGGACAAAGCCAAAAAAAAGGCCATGTGCTTGAGACCCCAGTCTCTATATGAGAAGTGAAAGGTTGTTGAAGAAGTGAAGGGTGCAAAGTTAGAAATACAGAAGCTACCACATTGTTGACCCATCTGGATACTTAAAGTTATTCATTTAGAAATAGGAGGAATTTGCTTACTATTTTCTAAAAATTATATTTTTGGAAGAAGTGGAACTTGTAACATTAAACACTAAAATCAAATGACTATTAGTATGTTCAAGGCTATATCTCTTAAAACGCTAAATAGCAGGGGAAAAAACTATTTTCCTGTAATTGCTTATCTGCGTAATTTTAAATGGTAGTTTTCTTAAAATATTCATTTAACCTTTCAGAAAACATAACACTTTTGGCAGGAATGCACTTACAATTTTGTAAGATAGGTAGATAATAATCAACGCACATGTATATATGCGTTGGGGTGTAAGAGAGAGAAGAAATTTATTCTGGCTGAAGAAACAAAAGCTAGACTGCAAGATCACTCAATGAGTCAACATCACGGTGCAGATGAAAACTCTTTACATATTTACTTATTTAAAATCACCCTAGGGTGCAGACCGGAGCAGTAGGAATTAATTAGATTATACAAAATAGAACACCAACGACCAAGAACAATTCAATTCAACCCAAGATGAATTTTTAAATATCTCTCATTTTGCGTTCTAAAAATGAGTATAAAATCCATTTGCCCAACTAACGCAAGCAGCTAATGTCTTTCATTTTTTGTGGCTCTGGTCAATGACTCCATTTCTCCAGCTATAATTTAGAAATTCTGAGAAAATATGTTCTTTTCTCCCTCACTGGACCACAGAACAAAAGTATTGATAAATATAAAACACCATTTGACCTTTCACCTTTCCCAGAGAAAATTATTATATATCATGATATATATATGTATTTATGTATAGGTATATGTGTTTGTGTGTTTTTATATCTCCAAAATACTTTATTTTATGGCCTGAGTTTGTGAACCTCTCATGGTAGGTAGTTCCTACCTGCCATGAGCTTGCTTTACCTCTAGACTCTCTATAGTTCTATGCTGAAAATATTTTAACTGTGAAACTAGCTACAAAAAGTTTACAAAGCTACCAGATATCTCTGTTAATCATTGATAGTGACCTGAATGAAGAGTAAATTGTGCTCCTTGTCAGACTCCGCCTTTTGATGTGTCCAGCTCTATCTCCCATTCACCAGAAAACAGTCCTAAGGGAAAAGACTGAGGGAGGAAATAAGAAACAACATGACAACAACACATGCTATTTCCAAAGGGTCCGTGAAGTTTCACAAGCATACTATTGTTTTCCATGTCCACTGGGAAAAAAACAGCAATATCTCTCTGTCACCAAAATATATATATATATATATATATATATATATATGGTTCAACATTGTGGGAGATAATTTGATCATCAAGTCAAGAAAGCAGAGGAAGATCTGAGTCAGGGGAGGCATGATTTCTCCATCCTAAGAGATTAAGTATTAGCTCAACTGCCATTGAAAGAATGGATTTAGATAGGTCAGATGTTTCCACATCACAGGAGGGAGTGTGAATACAAGGCCATAAGGTCATTTCAACAACTCTTTCCCACTGTTTTTATTATCTCATGAATCCTGCCAATTTCCTTATGAGGCTTTCATGTGGTATTATTAGATCTATTTTGCTGGAGGAAAAACCCTAGGAAAGGTGCAGTGAAATGATGTGTTTGAGGTCATGTGAGTTATCATCCAGGCCTGGAATTAGCCACCTATGCACTTCTCAGACTGATTTTACTGTCTGTGGCCCCTCTCATAACAGAAGTCACGAGATGCTTGGACTCTAGACCCAGTTTTCTCCAAGTTGATCTATTTTTTTTCCCAAAAATACTAATGTATTAGAAATTAGTCACATATGAGTAAACCTCATGCATGGCTCCCTAAACCAATTAACATGTCAGCTCTAATGTACTGTTAGACAAATAATTTGAAATATTTGTAAAAGAGCAGCATGAGAATTTAATCTCCGCAATTAGGCAGGGATCTCAGTTAACTTTTGATATGCCTGAGGGAGCTCACAACTAAGAAAGCACCACCATTTTTACTGCCTCTTGTTTGTGTCAGGAAAAGACAATGCTGGGATGCTCCAAAAGTTCCAAATCCTAGTATTGGAAAAAAAAAATGTAAGAGCTCTTCATGGCATCAGGTTGACAAGCAAACCAGCCAATCCAGAGACTTATCAAACCTAGTCCTAAAGATCACAGAGGTAGAAGTTGCAAATTCTTTAAATTGGAGATTCCAAAAGGTGGCAAACTGTTTTCCTTGGGTCTTAAATTAGTTTCTTCTATGATAATTACAGCCTGTTTATCTTAATCCTGTGAAATGGAATGATTAAGGAATCTATAATTTCATATAGCTCTTAAAAATAGTTCCCAGTATAGAGAATCTCCAATTCCTTTTCTTCCTTAAAGGTATTTCCCATTTTATCATTTTGGTGATGAAAATCTGGAGTTTACAGAAAATCTTGAATAAATAGTTCACGAAATAACTGGCTTTTCATTGTTTGCCTATATGGCTTCCTGGGCCTGAACAGGTAATTGCCTAAAGGTCAGAATTAAGGGAACTGAAAGGACCCTCATATTAAAATACCTCTCTCTCAGCATTCTCTTACAGTGCCTAAAATGGACATGTTATTTCTCTTGGGTAAGAAATAATATAAGAAAAGTATCTTATCAAAGTGAAAATACCATCTAGAATGATTTAAGAACTCAGCTATTAGCTAGAAGTTATTATTTATTACCTAGATAATTCTCTAGTTAAAAAGTAAATTAATCATATGATTTAGAGTGGGGTTTTTGTTGTTGTTGTTATGAGATTTCATTAACTCTAGTTACATTCCAGGCACTGAAAGTGTGGGACACTCTACAAGTATATTCTGAAGAAGGTCAGAGAAGATTCAGCACACCCACATGGAAATTTCCAGGAGGCTTGAGTTGAATGCCAGTGTGTATATTATGACTGCACCCAAAGGGAGGTGAAAGACCAATGAAAGAGGAATAGGAAGATTATGAAAATACATTCACTGACTTTATTCTTTTGCCTGGAGTTGACCCTAATATTATATATCTTTAACTGAAAGTGCTAATTACACATTGTACAGGGTGAAAAAGGAACTCGCTGTTCTCTGTGGTTTTCTTCACTTTGGTTCCAATGTTTATAGAATTGTACTATTAGAGGAAAAGGAACCAAATTATTTCCCCCTGTATTTCTTGTTCTCTATCCCGTTGTCTGTTTCCTCCATCCCAATAATTTTTTTTTCTTATCTCTCACTTCCAAGTCCACAATACTCCTGCAAAACATACACACTTTTTATAACTTTACTTTCTCTGGCCCACATTTTAGCCTAGGACAGATTTAAATTTATTGTCAGAAAAAATAGGTCAATACCGAGGGAATCTACCTACTTCAAAACCTGAAGCTAAGTCCCCAAACTAAAGTAAAGGGAACACACATCCAAAAAATCCCACCACAGAGTAAACAGGCATTATTCTCTTGGTTTAAACGTCATTTCTTATCTCCCCATTTCTTTCCTTGCTTATTGACAACCCTTAGTAGTTTCAGAGAATAGGGTTTTCTAAAATATTTTGAACTATAAAGTCAGCAGTTTTGAAGGTAAAGCAGGAACGTTTCAAGGCAAACACAGTGGAGCTCCTTCCTCCTTCCTCTCCTATTCTTCCATCCAGCTAAGACAATTTGATTCAGGAATCTAAGCCCCAGCCACATGCTTGACCCAATGTTCTATCACCACATTCTGGGCAAGGCTACTCATTAACTGGCTTTCTGTGCTAGCTGGCTGTATGCAGAGAGCTATCAAGATGAGACTTTCCCTGTTCCTTATTCCTTGACTAAAGTTAACCTTGGACATTCTATTAATTACTCCAAAGAATAATATGTGAAACAATAATCAGAAATAAAAGCCAAATCCAATGAGTTCTTTAAAAAAAGGTGCAGTAGGTCCTGTAATAATGTTGTTTCATTATAATGTTGTGAAAATATATAGATTCCCAGCCAGGAGCCACTGTCTGTGTGGTCTGCACATTCTCCTCACGTCTGCATGGGTTTTGTCCAGGTACTCTGGTTTCCTGCCACAAATGTGCACACTAGGTGATTGGGGGTGTCTAAATGTTCCCAGTCTGAGTGAGTGTGGGGGGTGTTAGAGTGCACCCAATGACAGAGTAGTGTCCTGGGCTGGGTGGGTTCCCGCCTTGAGCCCTGAGCTGCTGGGATAGACTCCTGCTACCCATGATCCTGAACTGGAAAAACTGGAAAAATTTTTATCTTATTTGTTTTTATTAATCTTTCTTAAATGTATGCATAGCTCACATTTATTTCAATGTTTAATATTATAAGTGTTTTGTTTTTTATTTAAAAGTTTAATAACTTTTTGTGAGCAAAAATATGCCATAGGAACTTAACTTTTGTTTGTATCAATTAGCCTATGGTAAAATTAGTTCTGTTAAATATATATATCAATTCAGTTAAAGTCACTGTTTCCAAGAACCTACTGATGACATAAAGTAGGGCCTTATTGTCCACCATCAATGTCAACATTACCCTTAATATTGACCACTGAATGCTGACCACTGGCCCCTTAATAGGCTGACCGTACCATAAGTGCTTGTCCTGCTTTCTCCACTGGTTTCTTTGTATCATTTACATTTTATCAAGCATCGAGCCAGCCTCACCATGTGCAGTCCCTCACAGTGAATATTTAGCCATCTGTAGCACCTATGAAAGAAAGTGAAATTGCTAAAGAATGAAAGTTACTTAATAACTCAATTAACAGACAATAAAGGAAAGCATGGGTAGAACAAATAAATAAACATTGCATTAATGAATGAGCTTTTAAATGGCCATTTTTATTAGTTTCCCTTCTCATCAGGGCTCATTATAAATTCCATCTAGAGAAAGACATAACTGGGTGACCATCACCAACTTCCCTGATGCCAGTGATGAGGAAAAGCCATCAAAGGCAATAAGCCACTGTTGCTTCCCCCGTATCTCTCTAAGTATCTAGTAAATAAAGGTTAAGTTCATGGAAATACCAAACTTCCATTTGTTCAGCCCCAAACTTTGGAGTCATTTTCTTTTACTTTCCCTCTCTCTCAGGCCATATCCAGTCCATTAGGAGATTCTGTTGGCCCAAGATTTAGATTAGATCCATAATATGGCCATGTCTAACCTTCCAACCACTACCACCCTGATCCACATCACCATCATCTCTCACGTGGAGTATATAATAGCTTCCTAACTTACCTCCTTGTTTCTCAACACAACCCCAGTGATGTGTTCTTTAAAAAAAAAGGTGCAGTAGGTTCTGTAATAACATTATTCATTATAATGTTGTTGAATATATATATATATTCCTAGCCGGGAGCCACTCTCTATGTGGTCTGCACATTCTCCTCATCTCTGCATGGGTTTTGTCCAGGTACTCTGGTTTTCCGCCACAAATGTGCACACTAGGTGATTGGGGGTGTCTAAATGTTCCCAGTCTGAGTGAGTGTTGGGGGTGTTAGAGTGCACCCAATGGCAGAATACTGTCCTGGGCTGGGTGGGTTCCCGCCTTGAGCCCTGAGCTGCTGGGATATAACAGGTAAGTCAGAACTCCTTATTGCTCTGTTTCCAACGCCCCAGTAGATTTCTACATCTTCTGGAGTTTTGGCATCAGTCCTTCACAGTGATTCACAAGGCTCTTCATCATCATGGAACTCTCCCCGCCCCAGCACAAACTGCTTAACTTTATATCCAGCTGATCTCACCCTTGCACACTCTGCTCCAGCCACCCTGGCCTTCTCACTGCTCCTTGAAAACGCCAGGCACGTGCCTAACTCAGAGCGTGTATCGTGGCTGTTTCCTCTGCCGGGCTGTTCTCTAAAATATGCTCCCCCGAAACCTGTACATGGTTCACTCTCGTACGAACTTCAGGTCATTGCTTAAGTGGAATTTTTTCCATAAGATCTATACCAATCACCCTATTTAAATTTCAGCCTCCCACCCCCAGACTTTCCAAAACCCCTTATCGTCTTTTATATTTTTTCCTCATCCTTTGGCAACTACCAAATTATTTTCTTATTATATTAATTGTTACATCTCTTCCTTCTACCCCCAAGGGATCCAAAATGACAGAGATTACTGTCTTTTTTGCTTATATGTTTCTAACAAGCCTTCTGGAATTTTGATAGGAATCTTAACAATATTACGTCTTCCAGTCTGTGATTATGGGCTGTCTCTCCATTTATTTAGAACTCCTTTACTTTCTCTCAGGAACGTTGTGGATATTATGAACTATTGGTTGTGTTCACCAGTACTTCCATATTGCTGTAGTTAGTAGACCCACTACTAGATCTTATTATTTAATACATTAATAAACATATGTATTACCATATCATAGATTTATTCTTTATATTTTAACAACTTAAATATAGCTGGCTTATTTAAGTAAAATCAGAGTAGACGTACAATCCCATACAAAGAAAGCTGTATTTACATTACTTCTTTTCATGGCTGTAAAGTCGAAAAGAAAATTGAGATTATTTTGTAGTATCCACTGCAGATGCTAATCACCAGATTTGCTTTCTTCTTGTGGGAAACCTTCTGCTTGGGGATACCTGACGATTAACTATACATACATAGCATATATATACATGTATGTACCTGTCACCAGCATTTCTTACCATAAATGAGCTTCCTATCATTCTGAAATATCCAAAGATGCCTGAAACATTCTTCAAAAAATTTCATAAATTGAGTAAGAATAGGAACTATTTTCTGTGGGATTTTTTTCTGTAAACTTTTTGTAGTCCTATTTTGTTTATCCACAGAACTTTACTTTTCTCTTCCCCACACTCCTCTTTAAGTTATAATTGTAGATTTTTGCAGCTTTTTTGCTTATGAATTGCTCAAGTGGGCTGTCAGGTAAAGCTTCTCAATTTAAATTCTATATTTAGACATACACTTTCCACGTCTGATTTTTTTTCCTTACCTTTCTTAAGCAGCATTTAGCAGGATGTGTGTTGACGTGTGTGCAGTGTAAATATGTGCTTTAAATGACTAAGTTTCCTGGATAACCTAGGACTTATAGAGAGATTAGGTACTACAGCTTAGAAGATCATTTCTCACAATTTCTTGGAACTATAGGGTGTGGGCAGGAAGACTGGAGCCTTTTATCTTCCACCATGTCATATAGCCATTTAAAACCTTCAGTGTTTTTCAGTAGCTTTGATTTTACACTGGGTCCAAGCCACACGTAGATGTGCCATATATTAAATAAGACAAATTATATAGAAAATTTAAGTAGGGGATATGGCCACACCTATGACCAAAGTTTTTTATTCTAACCTTTTATGTTCAGAGAATATCAAAATCTGTAAAAAGCTCTCATTTGAAGAAAGATGTTCCCTGTCCTTTCCTCAGCTAAAGATGATGACATGTTGAGGAATTTGATAAAAAATTAGTTCCGTAAGTATTATCACTACAAAGAAGCAAAAGCCATCTTCTGATGGTAAAATTGAGAGCCAGTCAAATGTCAACTGATCCAAATGGCTGAAAATAAAATGTCAGAATGAGGAAACCTTGCTGAACACATTTTACTTTAAATAGCTGCCAAGAACAGGATTCTTTTAGGGGTGACTATGCCCGCTCTGTGGACAGCAACTACACTCCAGAAATAAAGGAACCATATATGCATTTCTCCTTCTGCTAAGGAGAAGCTTAAAGGCTAACCTCTGGGCCCCTTGACTTGCTCTTCAAGACAGACCACTTTCAGGGTTCATCAATACTACAAGCTTTCTGTCATCAAGGGTGTGTGCTGCAGGATTGGAACATCTGGGCATGGCTACTCCAGCACAAAACACACAGCCAGCACCGCACACACACACACACACACACAGACACACACACACAGTGTTCTTGTTACTAACTAGATGCAACTAGTTAACTTGTTCCTTCACTAGTCATGCAGTACATAATGACACTTAGGTCAATGACTGACCACATACATAACAATGGTTCCATAAAATTATAATACTTTACATTTACTGTACCTTTTCTATGTTCTGATACACAAATACTTGCCATTGAGCTACAATTTCCAACAGTATTCAGTACAGTAATGTGCTGTACAGGTTTGTAACCTAGGAGCAATAGCCTATACCAGATAGCCTAGGTGTGTAGTAGGCTATACCATTTAGGTTTGTGTAAGCACATTCTGATGTTTGCGCAACAACGAAATCGCCTAAGGATGTGACTTAAACAATGCATGACTCTATTTCATTTATATTTCTACTGGAGAGCTAGTATTTTTTGCTCTTGCGTAGTTCAAATTCAGTCTTTCCTCACTGGCCCCCGAACCTATCTGTTAATTCCAAGTTGAACAGCTCTTTCTCTGCAGGACCCAACCTTGACTGTGGGCTTCTATTTCTCAATCCTTGATTCCCCTTAAACCAATTTTAATCAAGTTTCCCTACTCTAATTTTTAAAAATGGTACTTCAAATATCAACACTCTGCCTCAAATCTCACAGAATAATCTAGTTTCTCCTATGATGATTGTTTGCTCTTCATATTTTTACCTTTAAAGAAAAAAAACCTCACACTAAAAATCAATTGTTTCTGAAAATGATATTAATCTCTTTCTTCTAGAGCCTGTCACATTTTAACTTTCTCTATTTCTTATTCTATGTTATAAATTTCTCGTTAAAAAATGCCAAATATAGACTTCTCACCTTCCTTGTCTTTAAAACCCAATTAAATTACTATTATTTTTCTCATATCTAAAGAGTGTTATATTAAATCTACCTAGGATTAGACCAAGGTGTTCGCCAGGTCACACTACATGTCTTCAGAAGTTGAAAATGTACTTACGGTTTTGAAAACTAGTCATTCTTTAAAATACTGTTAAAGTGCAGTGTACTTAAAACAATCTCAGAAAAACCTTTTTGTAATTTGAATTTCACCAACTAATTATCTTCCTTGTGAATTCTAATCTTAATAAATTGAGTTGTTGTAAAGCAAGTACCACCTATACTTAATCTCCACGTCCTCAGGAAAATATTTTGGAGCACTGGAGACAAAGGCTTTACGTTCTTTAGCTGCTCTGTTCTGCTCGCCCTGTAGACCAGAGATCTCAAATGTTTTGGTCTCATGAGTCCTTAACATTCTTAAGAAGTATGGAGGATTCCAAAGAGCCTTTTTTATGTTGGTTATATCTATTAATATTTACCATATTACAAATTTAAAACTCAGGAATTTTAAGGACATGTATTTATTAATAAATAGCTTAAAATAACAATAAACCCATTTTATGTTAACATAAATATGTATTAATGAAACATAACTATATTTTCCAAATGACAAAAAATTAGTGAGATGGATTTGGCTCCACATTTTTGCAAATTTCACTAACGTCTGGCTAACAGCTGGATGTTCATATGTGCATCTGCATTCAGTCTGTTGTGATAACTCACTTCACGTTTCATCTGCAAAACTCAACTGCACACTTCTTAGAGACTAGGAGTGGAAAGACAAGTAATATTACAAAAAAATAGTTTTGACTTTGAGAACCCCCTGAAGGTGTCTTAAGAACCCCTTAAGAGTCCTCAGATGACACTTTGAGAACTGCTGCTATAGAGTCATAGTATTTGTTCAAATTAAGAAGTAAAGTCTAAGTAGAGTGAGGAACAATGGTGGAGATAGTAAATGCAGAAGAGTGTAATGTGTCTAACTGAGAAAGGACAAGGTTATGTTAGGATGGAGCAAACCTGCTGGCCATTAACTGGTAGAATCATAATGAGATTTTTGTCTTAGGATAAGTTACAAACAGGGTTGGAGGATGTATTTGGCAAAAGGGCAAGATGTGTGGTAGGTGATGGTAGAGTACTCTAGAAAATTTTAGTGTGTCCTTTCTTCTTTCTCTGCAATTCTGTGGGGAATGAGCATCACCTTTTCCAGCAAAGGCTATCTAGTCTGAAATACTACCACTTTACCACATTATTTTATATATTCTTAAGGACATGTCTTTCAGTTCCAAGCATCATTCTGCTCCCTTAGTCCCAATCGTATAGGAAAGAGATACTTGTCTTGCATAGTAAACACAAAAACCAAGAACAGCAACAAGAAGTAAGCAAACAAACAAGCAAAATATTGGCACAAAGATCATGTTTATAACCTTGTTTGTGGAGAAGAAAACTCAAGGGTATCATTTTTATTAAATTTCTGTTCAACAAATTTCTTCTTGACATCATAGTTTTCTATCACCTTACTTATTCAGTTGCTGTTTCAGTTGTTACTATGAAAACAGAACACGCCTAAACAGATTTACCTCCAATGGAAATCAGATGTTTTCATGGGAAGGTGTGCCTTTTCTTCACCCTTTGATCACCCTCTTTGTGGGCCTCTGATTTCAGGCCCATGCTGTTGAGGAAGAGAGTACTTCCAGGTTTGGAGATGGAGGCAGGGGCCCCAGTAATGTAGCAGGTCCTGCTTTCGGTAAGTGGGTGCCACTGTCTTCCCATAGCTACTTAAAAGCTGTAGGAAGTATAGTGTGTTTCCTACTAAGTCCGCTTGCCAGTCCTGGTTTTTTAATTATATGTTTAGAAATGAGTTTCTCCACTGAAACAATGGTTACATGGAGAGTTTTTTTTTTCCTATAGTCTTCATAGAATGACTACTTTTTTAAAAAAAATTAATTATTAGAGTCCTCTGTGTGCATGAGAGGGAAAGACTGAGACAGAGTGAGAGAGGAAAGAAAGGGTAATTTTGTTTTCAGGATTAAGAATCTGTATCAAAAAGATCTACTAAGCAAACTTACCAAAGCCATACTCTGGTTTGAGCTAAGAGAGGCCAATCTTTTGTTGAACAGCCTAATGTAATAAATTGCAATCGAAGGGCTTTAGATTTCTGTACAAAGTTTTCAACCAGATCTAATTGGAAGTGCAACTCACATAGCCAGGAGCATTCTAAAAAACAGAGCAGTGAATTAACACTATTTTTAAAAGTCAAGAAGTCTCTTCTCCTTCCAAAGGAGAGTTTTTCAGACATTAGCTTCAACTGCCAAACATTATACAGAAAGTCCTTTTATAGAGATTTTCTCCCTTGACCTTCTAGTTTTCCCCCTCTTTCCACTCTATCTCCACTCCCCTTTCCTGCTCTCTCCTTTCCCTGCCAATTCTTCACCGCACTCCCAACCATCAGCTGTGAAGGAAGCAAGGATTGTATCATAAATGACCTATTAATCAGCGGTTTCCTAGATAATTTTGCTGAGGAAAGTAGAGTTTTGGAGAACCTAGGCTGGTTTCCAGTCAAATAAGAAAATGTTCAATATGTATCTGAAGCTTTTGTTAAATTAGATTGAGGTAGTGATTATATCTGACTGCAAAAAAAAAAACTTTAAAGTGTCTTTTTTCCTAAACTATGGAGTTTTTTTATGTGATAACACTGGATTTACCAATGTATCTGCTTAATCTTAGCAAATGGCAGTGTAGACATACCCTTGTTCAAAATGACCCTCTTAGGTAGAGTCATTTAAATGGGGGATAGTAAACTAATCTTTCTTTTTATCCTCCCTCATTCCCACCCTGCACTACATCCTCCTCGAATATTGGAGCAGTTCCAGCAGATGTCTTATGAAAATAAGAGCCAGAGGTAAGACATCAGCAGTTTAAGTTAGCAAAATAAAGTTTGAAAATGGGAAGTAATACATAAAAGTGTGAGATTGTCTCCCAGAATTTTGTATTTTCCCTTCACAATATTTGCATTGTATGCAGAGGGTTTGCAAAACAGAAACCAGAATATTTTGATCAATCACACAAAATATAAGAGATGGCAGACTTTGCCAGAGGAAAACTGAATATATGAAACATTCAAAATGTGTGACAAAACCCCCAAATATTGATGTATCCTCAATATTCTCAGCACGTCTAGATTTTGAATGAACATTTTATTTTCTCGTCAGTGATTCAGAATTTCCATCGCTCCTGTTGAGCTACCAGGGAAAATCATGCCAACTGGGAGAAAGCTTTATTTTAAGGTTGAAGGCATGAAATAAGCACTAAGAAGACAATTGTACACCTGTTTTCAAGAGTAAAAAGGCATCTCAAATCTGCTTTGCTTTCGAAAATTTGGCCAAGGAGTGTATTTCAAAGGCCCAATAGCCCATAACATTATTCCCAGGGCTCTGTGCTCTCTGCCTAATTGGGCTTCCACACATTTGCATAAGCATGATACTTCATGATTAATGCATAAGACCCAGCATGGAGCCCTATATCAATTCATCTGTGGAGGCTTTTCCCCCAACTGAAAACAATCACTGTGCCTAAAATATAATCCATCATATTTGTAGGTATGACTGCATTGCAGAATATCAGACTACATAAATGCCATCACAACACCTTTACAGAATTGTAAACCTCTTCTGTGTAAGAAAGTTTCGTTTTAAGATGCCCACAGCACTACTGCCTTGGGATCATTATTGAAGCCAGAAAAGGTTTATTTACAACGTGAAGTGTCAAGGCGGTAGATTCTTCCTGTTTGGCGCGGGCACTGAATAAAAAGGGTAGATTATGAAAATAACCACCTTATGATTATTTGTGAATTAGAAAATAAACTATAGCTCTCCCCGTTGGCAACTTCAAACACCAAACATTGGCAAGCATGACTTCCAGAATAAGGGCTGCACAAAGGTGAAGGAAAGCTTAGTAAAAAATGCTACAAAGTGTTGAACTTCAAAAATGAAATCAGTTCTAGCTGCGATGGGTTGTCACATAATTAAGGAGTGCAACTCTCGGTGAGAGTCCAGGTGTTCCAAATAGTGTCACTTGTACCTTCCCTGCTGGCTGAGATGCTTAATTAGGCAGGAATCCATTCCCCACAGGGGGAGATGAGAACTTGGAGTTCACCAACAGATCTCAATGTGGACATAGATACAGAAGACCCTTTGAGAGATCTCTTTCTGAAAGGATCTAAAATGATTTTTAAATAGTTAAATAAGTAATACATAGCTATAGGAAAAAATTAAACCATCTGTAATTTTTTGAAGTTAGGATGAACATCCTCCCTCCCATACCACTTCCCAGATGTGATCTCTTGAATGAGGTGTATATTCTTCCAGATATTTTGTTATTTTGTAGGTATATGAGTATGTGTGTGTAATCTTCACGAGTTTGAAAAAAGCATACTATGCAAATTGCTGTGACTTGTTTTTCTGTGTCACGTAGTTCATAAATGTTTCCCACAATAGTACATTTATACTTCTCTTATTTTTTTTTAATAATTGTATGATATAATGCTGTATGTATTACCAACACACAGAGATTCTCCTACCACTCAGGGTTTTTTGTTTGTTTGTTTTTTAGTCATTATGAGCAACACTACATTTTAGATTGCACTGTAAGGGCAAGGACTTTGTCTTGGTCACTGCTATATCCCTGGTATTTAACATAGAAAAGGTCACATAGTAAGTGTTCATTAATATTTGTTAAATACATAAATGAGGCCGGGTGCGGTAGCTCACACCTGTAATCCCAGCACTTTGGGAGGCCGAGGCGGGTGGATCACAAGTTCAGGAGTTCCAGACTAGCCTTGCCAAGATGGTGAAACCTGACTCTACTAAAAATACAAAAAAATTAGCTGGGCATGGTGGCACGTGCCTGTAAGCCCAGCTATTCAGGAGGCTTAAGCAGAGAATTTCTTAAACCTGGGAGGCAGATGTTGCAGTGAGCCCAGATTGCGCTACTGCACTCCAGCCTGGGCGATAGACTCAGACTCTGTCTCAAAAATACATACATACTTACATACATGTATGTATGTATGTACATACATACATACATACATACATACATGAAATCTGCAGGGAAAATCCCAGCCGTGGTATTTCTTTATCTGATATCTGTATAGAAATTGCCTCTTTACCTCCAAAAAGGTTGTACTGTTTTATACTCTCTCAAAGTGTAATAGGATTATAGATTTATTTAATTTTTCCCATTGTGATGCATGAGAAAGTGTGTTCCATTATTTAAAATTGAATTTCATTAATTTTGAAGAATGTTGGGAATATCCCTAGGCTATTAGACATTTGTATTTCTTTCCCTTTGACTATTGTTCATATATTTTGCACATTTTCCTGTTGAATTGTTAGTCTTTATCACATTAATTTCAATGTACTTTTCTGAATATTTAGGGTCTCAATCCTTTTGCTTGACATGGGCTTTACAAGTATTTTTTGTTCAGTGTAATATTTATATTTTGACTTTATTTATTTAACGATCTGTCTGTCTTTCCATCCGTTCATCCTTCCACCTATCTTACCTAACAAAAAATTTAAAATATGTTATTATATCAGTTATTTTCTTTTAACATTTTTGGGTTTTATGTTTATTCTTAGAAAAGCTTTCTTCACTCAAAGAATACCAACTAGTTCACCTACGCGCACTTCTAATATTTATAATTTTTATTTGTCTTTTTTTTTTTTTTTTTTACAAATTTGGAGTTTGTTTTGATATGAGAGAGTAGTGTCTGGCATATTTAAGCTTACATCATATGAGTAGCTAATTATCGTATTACTATATATTAAGAAGTACATATTTCAAAGATTTGAAATGTCAACTGTATCATATATTAAATTTTCATGGACACTTGAGTCTATTTTGAGATTTCTGCTCTGTTTCATTGTCAGCAAGTCTATTCTTGCATCATTGCCATACTGTTTTAATTACTATAACATTTATGGTACATTTTATATTTGGATACAGCTAGTCCACCCACATTACTTTTCTTTTTTCTCTTAGTACTTCTCAAATTTATATTCTAGAATTATTTTGTCAGATTCCAAAAACAGAAAATAAAATAAAAACACGCTTGTATTTTGATGGGAAAGTATGTTTTTTGTAGATTAAGTTACAAAGAATTCCTATCTATGCAATGTTGAACCTTCTAACCAACAAGGCAATATATATCTTTTCATATCTTCAGTTATTTTTTATGCCCATTGCCAGTGTTCTCAAGTTTCCTTCATGTAAATTCTGTACATTTTCAAAAGTTTATTTCCAACTTTACTTTTCTCTTTGCTTTTGTTATTGAGATGTTTTCTTTCATACTAGTTATTGTTTTTAAACTAAAAGCTAATTATTTTATAAATTAATTTTGAAACCAGTCACCTTATTAAATATTCATATTGTTTTAAATAACTCTTCAGCTGATTCTTTGGTGCTATAAAAGCACATTATCATAAAAAATAAACTTGTCTCCCCTTTCAAAAATTTACACCTGCTATTTCATTCTCTTGTAGTCCTTTGACATATTCATATGATAAATGATTTTGGGATGAGCCCTAGTTACCCATGATTTATTACTTTGAAAATTATCCATTAAATTCTGTTTTTAATATTTTATATTGCATTTCACTTATACATTTCGCATTGACATTCATTAATAAAACCGGCTTTCAGTTTTATTTTTATGCTGCCTTTGTCAGATTATATGATCAATTTTAGTGGGCTTTATAAACATAACTCAAAAGATTACCTTCTGTATCTGTCAGATTCCAGTAAGAAGAACAAAAACCACTCAGGGTATTACAAGCAAAGAAAGACTTAAAATAGAAAACTGGGTCTCAAAATATTTGGAAGGGATAGCAGGACAAAAGAGAGAAGTTAGTTTCATCATGAGGTTAAGACTGACGGGAAGCAGATGCAACCCGTGAAGGGGAGACCTCCGTGCACTTGTGGCCATCAGAGCCTCTGCAGCCCACATCCCTGCCACTCACGAGCCCTCTCACACCAGAGTTGGACCAGCCACCACTGCCAGAGGCAGAACGTGGCTTCTCCACTGCTTTTCCTTCCTAATCTTGCCCTAGCTCCTCCAATAGGCAAAAATCACCAGGACCCGGCTAACAAAAGTCCTGCTTCTAGACCCTCGATATATAGAGAATGCAGGTGGTCAGATAAGGAGCTGGATACCAATAAACAATAGCGGACACACCCTTTCTTACATTTCTGGGATCATGTAGATAATATTGAAAGTATCTATTGCATCAAGATTTGAAAAAAATATAATTGGGAAAACATTTGAACTGGTGCTTTTGTGGGAAATGTGATATTCTTAATTCCTTTCCATGGATAGATTTTTTTCTGGCTCTTTGCGTCTAATATTTAGCAAATTATGTTTTTCAGAAAATCATCCACTTCAGTCGGTTTTCACATTTATTTGCACAAAGTTGTACTTTATAATTTATTTTCTATTTTTCTGCATTGGTGGATATTTCTCTTTTCTAATTCTTTTATGATAGGTAAAATAGTACCTTCCTCACCGCCCACCACACGCTCCCAAGATACCCAGGCCCTAATCTACAGAGTGTGTGAATATGTTATGTTACACGACAAAGGGACTTGGCAGAAGTGATTACGGCCATAGACCTTGAGAAGGAGAGATTTTCCTGGATCATCTTGGTAGACCCAATCATAATACATGAGCCCTTAAAAGCAGATTATTTTCTCCAGCTGGAATCATAAGGATGTAGCGGGAGGAATGTGGTAGAAGTGAAAGTGAGAGAGACTGAAAGAAGGCAAATGATGTGACACATTGCTACTGGTTTGAAGAGGGAGGTGGAAGGTTGACAAAGAATGCAGGAAACCTTAAAGAGCCGAAGAAGCTGGACTGACAGCCAGCGGGGAAACAGTGACCTTAGCCCTACAACCAAAAGGAGCTCAATTCTGCCAACAGAGCTTGAAAGCAGATTCCTCAGAGCTTCCAGATGAGAGCAGATTGGCAGGCACATTGATTTCATCCTCACAAGACCTGGAGCAGACCAACCAGCTGACCACCTGAACCCCCCGTACATCCGACCTGCAGAATTGTGAGATAATACATTTGTGTTGTTTTAAACCACTTTGTGGTAATTTGTTGCAGCAGCAATAAAAAACTAACACATTTTAATTGTATACACACTTGTGTTCTTTCTACTTTGTTTCTTGATTACTTTAGATGGTTTTATCTAGTTTATGGTTTGGTTTTGATTTTTCAAATCTCCAACTCATATTTGTTCATTGATTCCACCACTATTTTTTCTAGTTTAATAATTATTGAGAAACCATCTTTATATAAATATTATAATATCCTACATATCCTGCTATGACTAGCTTCCCCCCTATATTATTTTTCTAAGATTTATCCAGTTCTTGCAGTAGATGTAGTTTATTCCTTTACACACGTTTCTAGGATTCAGTAGAATGTCTACATCACCAGGCATCCATCCATCCATTCTATTCCTGAATGATATTTGGGTTATTTCCAATGTGTTTGTCTGTTTGTTTTGCTTTTGCAAAATGTACTGCTACAAACATGATTATATGAGTCCCGATAGTCATGCGCATCATTTTCTCTAGAGCGTATTAAAGAAGTGGGGTAGCTTTGCATTTATGAGGTAATGCAAGCTGTTTTCCAATATGACTATACTGATTTATATTCCCACCAGCAATGTCTAAGAGTTCTGATTGCTTCAAACCTTTGCCAACACTTTCTTTAAGATGTCTTTTGATAAACAGAAGTCCCTGGTTTTATTTGAGCCAAATATGTCTATGGTCTCCGTTTTGGTTCTGCCCTTTTTGTGTCATAAGAACTTTTTCTTCACCTAAGATATTAAAATTATTCTTGTTTTCTTTTCAAATTTTATAATTTTGTCACTTTATATTTATGTTTTTAACCCACTTGAGATTTGTTTTTGCATAAGTAAAAGGCTGGAGTCCAATTTCTTTCTTGTGTGTCTAACCAATTATTTAAATACTATGCATTGAAAAGTTCATTCTTCATGACTGCATGTGCAATCCACCCTGTCATAAGTAGAGTTTAGTTGTAATATGTTGATATGTTCAGGGATTACACATGCCAATATCACATGGTCAATATCACATGGTCATAATTACTCTAGCACTGGAAAGGCAAATAATTATTCATCCTTTGTTCTTCAGTGTAATTTTTTTTTTTAAGACAGGCTGGAGTGCAGTGACACAATCATGACTTACTGCAACCTCAAACTCCTGGGCTCAAGTGACCCTCTCACCTCAACCTCCAGCAGAGCTGAGACTATAGGTACACATTACCACACCTGGCTAATTTGTTTATTTATTATTTATTTATTTATTTTAGTTTTTATAGAGACAGAGTCTTGCTACGTTGCCCAGGCTGGTCTCAAACTGCTGACCTCAAGCCATCCTTCCGCCTAGGCCTCCCAAAGTGTTGTGATTACAGGCATGAGCCACCCCTCCGGGATGTTGATGTAAATTTTTAAATTATCTTGTAAAGTTTCACATATACAGGAATATGCACGAATATGCACGTATCTGCATGTACATGAACACATACACATTCACAAAAACTTGAGGTTTGTAATGGAATAACATTAAATATTGAATCCACGATTCAGATTGCTTTTTTATCCTTTAAAAAGATTTTCTAAATCTAAAATCAAAGTTTTTGTTTGTTTATTTGTTTGTTTGTTTTTTGGTGATGAGGGTTGGGGGGAGGGGACTGTTCTTAAAATTTGATCATCTCGCAAGAATGTTTTTGTGCTCTCAGTCAATAGCTTTTATTGGTATAGAGGAAGACTTTTTGATTCACAGAATTGGATTTTCTTTCACTTCATGGGAGTTTTCTATTACATCTTTGGATGCATTCTATTTGAATTATGTTAGTCTACACTTTAGGGAATACCATGTATTGATGGGTTTAATCTCCAATTTCTGGCCTCCATACATATCATAGCCTCTTTACATTTTTTTTTTTTTTTGCTCTATTTGTTATTTTCCTAGGAACTTCCTCCCTGTTACTGATTTGATTGCTACCCTCCTTGTTTCTGTACTGCCCTATTTCTAATTTTTAAATTAAACCAGTAATCATGCTATTTTTACTCCAGTGTTTTTAAATTGACTTACAGATATCCACATTTAATTTGTACAATCTTCCAAATTGCTTATCTTTTTAACCTTTTCTCCCAGGTATTCAATATTCATCTTAAATTTGATAGTTCCCAGCATTTGCTTTGGAATTTTTTTTTTTTTCTGTTTCCTGTAGCACATTGTATGAGTCTGTTCTCATGCTGCTAATAAGGACATACCTGAGACTGGGTAATTTATAAAGAAAAGAGGTTTAATGGACTCACAGTTCCACATGGCTGGGGAATCCCCACAATCATGGCAGAAGGCGAAGGAGGAGCAAAGTCACGTCTTATGTGGCCACAGGCAAGAGAGCTGTGTAGAGGAACTTCCCTTTAAAAAAATATCAGATCTGATGAGACTTATTTATTATCATGAGAACAGAATGGAAAAGACCTGCCCTCATGATTCAATTACCTCCCACTGGGTGCCTCCCACAACATGTGGGAATTATGGGAGCTACAATTCAAGATGAGATTTGGGTGGGGACACAGCAAAATCATATCACACAGGTTCTTCTAGGATAGTCACTCGACCTGCAGTCTTTGCCATTTCTTTCCTTTATAGCTGTATGTTTTGTCTTTCATCATATTTTGCATATGTTTTATTCAGAACTTCTGTAGTAGCTATTGATTATGCTTCTCTAACACCTCTTTCTTTGCTTTTGAAATATGTAGTGTTCTGCACCAGGAGTGGGCTGTTATTCTTTTTAACCAGTCAGAGCATTTCCATTTCATTTTTCAGTTACTGATCAAAGGGTTTGTTCCATTTAACTCAATTTATACCAATTAATTTTGGAAAAATGTTTCCTGGAGATTCCAAATGTAGAATATTTCTTGCAATTCTGAGAAAGCTACAACAGCCCTCTCCTTTATTGTGAAGAGAGTTGTGCACATGAGAATTCTGGAATTCTTGTAGCCACTTTGCTACCGTCAGGGAAGACTTACAGATGACACTGTACAAAGCAGAATTGAGTTTTTGATGACAGAGTTGAACCCCAGAACTAATCCACCCAAAAGCCCAGCCCAGCCCTAGAATGTTCAGTTAATGAACAAATGAATTCTCCATTGTTTTAGTCTGTTAGAATAGGATTTATGTTATTTACAACACAGAGATTCCAACTGATTTAACTGTTTTTAGGAACTATAGGTAAATTATTCTTGCAATTCTCCCCACCTTTTTCTTGGTCCTATATATACCCTCCCATTATTGGTTACACTGAAGGACTCTGGATGATAACAGTTCATTACGGTTCAAGTCTTCTTTTTTTTTTTTTTTTTTTTTTTTTTTGAGATGGAGTCTCGCTCTGTTGCCCAGGCTGGAGTATGATGGCACAACCTCAACCTCAGCTCACTGCAACCTCAGCCTCCCAGGTTCAAGCGATTCTCCTGCCTCAGCCTCCTGAGTAGCTGGGATTACAGGTGCACACCACTATGCCTGGCTAATTTTTTGTATTTTTAGTAGAGACGAGGTTTCACCATGTTGGCCAGGCTAGTCTCCAACTCCTGACCTCGTGTTCCACCCACCTCAGCCTCCCAAACTGCTGGGATTACAGGCATGAGCCACTACACCCGGTCATGGTTCATGCCTTAACACTACTTTCTATTGCCTATTTTTAAAAAAATTCAGACTCTTTGTGTGTGTGTGTGTGTGTGTGTGTGTGTGTGTCTGTGTGTATGTGCATATGCATCTTTTTAAATATCATACATTGTGTTTGAAAATTTGGATAGTCTCCAGACAATATTTTTTGTCATCTTTCCCATTCAGCTAGCGTAAAAAGAGAATGTCTCAGTCTAATCCAAGACAGATTACTTGAGGCTGGATTTCAGGCTTGGTAAACTTCCGTATGCTTCTGTTTCACCTGCCACATACCATCACCAAGGGAATGGCACTAAGACACCATGATCCCACACCTCACACTAGGCCCGACTTCCAACAATGGGGAGCATATTTCAACATGAGGTTTGGAGAGCACATACATCCAAAGACATAGACAAATGTCCACAGAGAACTGTTTCTCTAGCGACCCTGACTAAAAGTCTGGGATATTTACTAGGTTCCTTCTCTTTGACATATCCTGAACTTTATTTTTTCTCTTCATCAGATTATGAGACACTGCCAATAATCCCACTATGTTTCCCAGTATGTTTTTGTTTAAGCTCTAACCTTGAGCAGTTTAAGAATTTTATCATGTGGAAAAACACAGAGGGTCAAGCTTACTTTCCAGTGCTTCTCTTCACTCTAGTAATTAGACTCTCAGATCTTGGTTGCTTTGACAGCCCTGAAATCCAAGTTTTGTTTTTTCAGCGCCAGATTGTTGCCAAAGTTCTACAGGGTCCTTTGTCTTTTAGAAGGAGCTCTCCCCAAGTTGTCAACTGCACACCTAGCACCAAGAGTCACCTAAATTTCAGAAGGCATAAGCAAAGCATATAATGTTTGTTACCATCTGATGTGGTTTGGATATTTGTCCCCTCAAAATCTCATGTTGAAATTGTGATCCTAAGTATTGGAGGTGAGGTCTACTGTGAGCTGTTGGCTCATGGTAGTGGTTCCCCCATGAATGGCTTAGCGCCATCCCCTTGATGACAACGTGAGTTATTGCTCTATTAGTTCACAAAAGAGTAGGTTGTTTAAAAGGAGCCTAGCACCTCCTCTCTTGCTCCCTCTCTTGCCGTCTGATGCACCTGCTCCCCTCTTGCCTTCTGCCATGATTGAAAGCTTCTTGAAGCCTCACCAGGAGCAGATGTCAGTGCCATGCTTCCTGTATAACCTGCAGAAACACAAGCCATAACTTATTTTCTTTATACATTTACCCAGTCTCAGATATTCCTTTATAGCAACTCAAATGAACTAACACACCTTCTTAGTGTGATTATGGCTTTTCAAGTACCGGTTGCCTCCCTCAAATGCCTTCAAACAGTTGTTTATAATATCTTTTTCTGATGTTCTAATTGCTCTCATTGCAAATTTTTGTTTGATTCCAGATACTTTTTCACGGTTACATATGCAAGTCCAAAGTCTGAACTTCTCAGAACCTCCACCTTCTTACATCATTTATTTTTCCAGCGTTATCTCCCACTACTTCTAATATCATATGTAAAAAATGCAGAACACATTTGTCATGTAATTTCAGTACTAAAAGAGCATATCCTCTGACACAAGTGTCTTTTTCTCCAGATGAAGAAACAGAGACTCCAAAAGATCAAGTGTCTTTTCTCAGACCACGTAGCAGAGTTGATACCAGAGCCCAAGTTTACTTCCTCCTGCATACAAGCAAGCAGAACAAGGCAAAGAGCAAAGCAGAAGAACCCAGAATGGCAAACTTATCTTCATGTTTCATGTAAAGAAATATTCCAACTCCTTTTCCCAGTGAATAAGACTTATTGCCTCTAAAATACACTTCTTACTGACACCACATTTCTCTCCTAGCATAAACTATGACATTTTTCCCAAATTATTAATTATAACTGTCATTTCTGAGCCCAGAGCCAGAGATAATCATACTGCTGAAAACCAAGCTGGTTCTTATACTAAAAATGAAGAAATGTGGGAAAACATCTATAAATCACCCTCCAACCTATTTTAGTCAAAAAGAAACCTGTGTATCTCATAGTTGAAAGTCAAACTTATAGGATTACAAGCAGAACCATCATCTAATTTATTGTCTAAATGGGACACCTTTTGAGAGTGATGGAGAAAGCTATTTATAATTACTCTACAACAAGAACCATAAACCGATACTAGTCTGGGCACCCTAGCTATCAGATAATTTATTTCTGAATCACAAAAACAGTCCTTCTCTAATATTTTCTTAAGAATCCAATCACTTTCATATGTGAAAAAATTCATTGCTAGAGAATGCATTTTAAAAAAATTAACAGACTTTAACTTTTAGAGTAATTTTAGGTTTATAGAAAAACTAGCACAAAGTACAGGGTTCCTATATGCCCCCTGATCCACTCCTCCCCATTTTCCCTTATTATTCACACCTTGCACTGGTGTAGTACATCTGTCATTATTGATGAGCTAATATTGATACATTATTATTAACTAAAATCCATAGTTTACATTAGGATTCATTCTGTGGTGTATATTCTATAGGTTTTATCAAATGTGTAATGACAGGTATCCACTGTTACAGTATCATACAGAAGAATGTCACTGCCCTAAATATCCTCTGTGCTCTGCCTATTGGTCCCTCCCTCCCGCCAAACTGCTGGCAATCACTGGTATCTTTAGTGTCTCTATTATAGTTTTGTAAAGAATGGCACATGGTTGAAATCATACAGTATGTATGTAGCCTTTTCATACTGGCTTCTTTCCAGTCATTTGTTTTTTAAATTTCAAATCCTTATTGTTAAGTAAGAACACAACATTATGAAGAAAGAAGTGATTATTTTAAATATACCATACGATTTAAAGACTCCTGTGCAAGAGCCGGGCACGGTGGCTCACGCCTGTAATCCCAGCACTTTGGGAGGCTGAGGCGGGCGGATCACAAGGTCAGGAGTTCGAGACCAGCCTGGCCAACGTGGTGAAACCTCATCTCTACTAAAAACACAAAAATTAGCCAGGTGTGGTGGTGGGCGCCTGTAATCCCAGCTACTCAGGAGGCTGAGGCAGGAGAATTGCTTGAAACCAGAAGGCGGAGGTTGCAGTGAGCCAAAGAGATTGTGCCACTGCACTCCAGCCTGGTCAACAAGAGCGAAACACTGCCTCAAAAAAAAAAAAAAGAAAATAAAAAGAAATTCTTGTGCAATAATATAGGGAGAAAGGAGAGGTTTCTTAAAAAGAAAGTATAAAAACCAAGGCTCCTAGAGGGAAAATTTGATAAATACTACTTTTAAATTAGAAACATTCGTAAGACAAATAAAGTAAAAAGACCAGCCACAAAGTAGAAAATATTTTTAAAACTTATATGTAAAAGAAGATTGTAATCCAGAATATAAAATTGCTTCTATATTTTTAAAAGACAAGTAACCCAATAGAAAAAATATGGCAAAAGTTTAAAGAAACAGAAAAAAAAACCTGACTTGTCAATAAAGCATTAAAACTGCTCAACCTCACAATAATCAAGGAAATAAAAATTAAACAATGAAACACCACTCCATATCCATTAGTTTCGCAGAAATACATAGGCTATTAATACTATGAAAATAAGGGTATTCGAAAATGAAAATTCGGACAAGAATGTAAATTGATACCACCATTTTGGTGAGCAATTTGAAATTATCTTATAATGCTGATGATACACACACCCTAAGACCCAGCAATTTCACATCTTAGATACCTACTTTAAAAGTCTCTCTATTGTATGCCAAAGGAGACAGAGAGAGGATATTTACTGTAGCAATGTTTGTAATAGGGAAAAAGAGTAAATACCCAAGTTGCCCTCAATTAGACAATGCAGTGTAGCTTATTCATACAATGGAATACTACATAGAACTGTAAATAAATTAAATCTTTGCATCATGATATTGAGTTGGAAAAAGCAAATTGCCAATTAAAATATGTAACATAATGCTATACACACACACATTTTTAAATAATAGTATTTGTTATACAAGGTTAATAAGCAGGGTGTAAAAACATGGGAATAATATATTACAAGTTCAGGATAATTATGGGGTGAAAGGAGGGTAAAGGAAAGAGACAGAGAGACTTAGATGAAAATATTAGACAGTACTAATTTACGTATTTAAAGATAGAGATGTGAAATGCAGAATTTCTGCATCAAATGGTAGTTCTGTTTTAAGTTCTTTGAGAAATCTCCACACTGCTTTCCACAGTGGCTGAAATAGTTTACATTCACAACAACAGTGCATAAGAATTCCCTTTTCTCTGCATCCTCACAAGTATCTTGTTTTTGACCTTTTAACAATCATTCTGACTGGTGTGAGATGGTATCCTATTGTAGTGTTGATTTGCATTTCTCTGATAATTAATGGTGTTGAGCATTTTTTTATGTTTGTTGGCCACTTGTATATCTTCTTTTTAGAAGTGTCTGTTCATGTCTTTTGCCCATTTCTTAATGGGGCTATTTGTTTATTGCTCGTTGAATTGCTTAAGTTCCTTATGGATTCTGGATTTTGGACTTTTGTAACATGCAGAGTTTCTGGATAATTTCTCCCGTTCTGTAGGTTGTCTGTTGATAGTTTATTTTTACTGTGCAGAAGCTCTTCAGTTTAATTAGGTCCCATTTGTCAATTTTTGTTTTTGTTGCAATTGCTTTTCAGAACTTATTCATAAATTTTTCCCAAGGCCCATGTCTAGAATGGTGTTTCCAAGATTTTTCTCTAGGATTCTTATAGTTTGAGATCTTATATTTAAATCTTTAATCCATCTTGAGTTAATTTTTGTATATGGTGAATGGCAGGGGTCTAGTTTCATTCTTCTTCTTTTTTTTTTTTTTTTTTTTTTTTTGAGACAAAGTCTCAGTCTGTTATCCAGGCTGGAGTGCAGTAGCACAATCTAAGCTCACTGCAAACTCCACCTCCAAGGTTCAAGTGATTCTCCTGTCTCAGTCTCCCAAGTAGCTGAGACTACAGGTGCACACTACCACACCTAGCTAATTCTTGTATTTTTAGTACAGACAGTGTTTCACTATGTTTGCCCGGCTGGTCTCAAACTCCTGACCTCAAGTGATCTGCCTGCCTCACCCTCCAAAAGTGCTGGGATTATAGGCACAAGCCACCACACCTGGGCTAGTTTCATTCTTCTGTTTATAGCTAACCAGCATTCCCAGTACTATTTATTGACTAGGAAGTCTTTTCCCCATTACTTATTTTTGTTGACTTTGTTGAAGATCAGATGGCTATAAGTGTGTGGCTTTATTTCTGGGTCCTCTATTCTGTTCTGTTGGTCCATATGCCTGTTTTTATACTGATATCATGCTGTTTTGGTTACAGTAGCCTTATATTATAAAGTCAAGTAATGTGATGCCTCCAGTTTTGTTCTTTTTGCTTAGGATTGATTTGGTGATCCAGGACCTTTTTTGGTTCCATATAGATTTTAGAATAGGTTTTTCTAATTCTGTGAAAAATGATATTGGTAGTTATCTGACAGGAATAGTATTGAATCTGTATATTGCCTTGGGCAGTGTGGCCATTTTACTGATATTGATTCCTCCAATCCATGAGCATGGAATGTTTTTGCATTTGTTTTTGTCACAGATTATTTATTTCAGCAATGTTTTGTAGTTCTCCTTGAAAAGAACTGTTACTTCCTTGGTTAGATATATTCCTAGATATTTTATATTGGGGGGCTACTGTAAGTGGGATTGCATTTTTTATTTGGCTCTCAGCTTGAACATTATTGGTGTGTAGAAACGCTACTGATTTTGTACATTGACTTTGTATCCCAAAAATTTACTAAAGTCATTTATCAGTTCCAGGAGCCTTTTGGCAGTCTTTAATGTTTTCTAAGTGTAGAAATGTATTGTCAGTGAAAAGAGATAGTTTGACTTCTTCATTTCCTATTTGAATGCCTTTTATTTCTTTCTCTTGCCTGATTGTTCTGGCAAGTACTTCCCTATGTTAAAAAGGAGCTGTGAGAGTGGGCATCCTTGTCTTGTTCCAACTCTTAAGGAGAATGGCTCCTGCTTTTGTCCATTCATTATGATGTTGGCTGTGGGGTTGTGATAGATGGGTCTTATTATTTTGAGGTATGTTCCTTCGATGCCTAGTTTGTTAAGGGTTTTTATCATGAAGGGATGTTGTATCTTATTGAAGTCTTTTTTCATGTGTATTGAGATCATCATATCATTTTCATTTTAATTGTTTATGTGGTGAATCACATCTATTGATTTGTATATGCTGAACCAACCTTGCATCCCAGAATGACGCCTACTTGACTGCAGTGAGTTAAGTTTTCACTGTACTGCTGGATTTGGTTTGCTAGTATTTTGTTGAGTATTTTTGTGTCTATCTTTAGCAGAGACATGGGCCTGTGGTTTTCTTTTTGTGTTGTGTCTTCACCGGCTTTTGGTATTAAGTGATGCTGGCTTTGTAAAATGACTCAGGGAGGTGTCACTCCTCCTCAATTTTTGGAAATAGTTTCAGTAGAATGGGTACCAGTCAGAACAGATTTGGATTCCCTCATGCTATCTTGCATACATTTCCAAGATTTTTTAACAGATAATTTAGACATTTCTAGATATTTGGAAAACAAACACAAAAGTTTTAAAAATATCTTTCCTGTGTTTAATTAGATTCTTTATATTTTAATTTAAAATAGTGCTACAAAACTTAGTTTTTGACTTTTTGTCAGATATAATTGGATTTTCATTGTTTATGTATCATAATGCATGTCATGGTATAACATTTTGGAAATATAAGTAAAAACAAATAAGAATATTAAAAGAACCTGAAATGACAGCTATACTCTGCAGTACTTCAGATTTAATGTGTGGATAAAAATGAAAGTTATAATAGGATAAATTTTTAGAGAAGAAAACTTAATTGATTCAACAGGAATCATTAAAAGAATATGTCTTTTGGCATGACATCCACTTGATTCTACCTTTTACATTTTTCTTCACCACTCCCATTCTACTGCTTGGTTCTAGTATCCTCTAGGGCAATGACCTCAAAACTAGGTGTGTGAACTCCAGGAGTTTCTATGATGAATCCCTGGGGTATGGGAAGAAAACACTATATTTAAGTTATTTTTACCTTAAAGTTAGAAAACAATTGAGCTATATTTCTATGTAATATACAAATTTGTCTTGTAACTTTTCTTAGTCTGCACTTCAGATGTTCAAATATCATGTCAGGTTGTCAAAGGAATCTTTCAGAAAGAGTGAGAGTTCTACAATATGGAGGACTGATATTATACCACATCTTTATTTACATTCAATTTTTCCTAAGCATCACAGTAATTAGTGAGTAGATTTCCACATTAAATTATTTCATTTTAACAAAATCAGCTCTCACTGGGTGACTCAGGTCACCCAGTTATCTAAGGATAACTGCAAAAAACAAAACAAAACAAAACAAGACAAAAAAAAACAAGACAAAAACCATAAACTAAGGATAATCCTGAAAATGCAAGCACAAGCAAACCTAAGCAAATGGAAGCACAAATCATCCTATGTATAGAGCAAGTTTGTTGTTAGCCACATTATGAAGTATAAACAATGAAAATCTAATCATATCTGACAAAGCTTCAGAAAGTTTTGAAATCATAAAGACCCTTCAAAATAAAGATTTCTACCCATATCTTCCCAAAGTGTGTATTATGCCTTGAAATTCTAGTTAATTATAGTAAAAAGTAGCATAACAGAAAAATATTGGTTTTTTTCAAATTCATGGCATCATTTTCTAATTTCTTTTTTCATGGTTTTATGGTATATATAGTATATTAGTACAATACATGTTCATAATTCATAACAAGCAAACATGTTTTGGGCTATGTTGAGTCAAGAGTTTTATTCTGTTGTGGTACAATCAAAAGTTTTTCAAGATGATTATACTTAATTGTGTCTCCCGCCTTACATTGTTTCAACCAATCTCCTACAGTGCAAAGAGGGTGTTTTCTCAAATCAAAATTTAACCATGTTAACTTGTTCTAAAACCTCTCCATGCTACTTTGCCATCTTCTAGACAACACATACATCTTGGGCCTAATGGGCCTAATGGGCCCTTCATAATCTGACTGCTTTCATTCTTCTAGCTATTCTATCTTCCCCACCCCACCAAGCATTCTTGGCCTTGCCCTTTTCAATTCCTGGCCTCTTCTAAATCACTCCACATTCTCTCACACTACTAAGGCCTTAGACATGAATATTCTCTCTCTTTAAATGCCTAAGAACATATCCTGTAAAACACCAGTTCAAGTATCTCCTTAGTAAAGCCTCCCTAAGTCAGAATGAGGCCTCTCTCCCCTAAGCTTCCCCTGCACTCATGTGTGCCTCTATTGGAGCATCATCACAACACCCACATTCACCATCATTTGTGGGGCACAGTCTAAGGCCAAGCAAACATTGTGCTAGATTATAAAATCTGTTCTCTTATCAAAAACAAAACAAAGACTTAACAAACTCAAGGTTACCCAGGTAATAAATGGTAGAAAACTACTCAAACTCTGATTTCTATGACCCCAAAATTCCATGCACTCCACTGTTTCTTAGCAACATGATTCCTAGTATACTCTTTTATGTTCTCCTATGTGATACCCTGAAGGTATTCATATTTGCATCATCAGTGTTTAACACAGTATCTGGCATGTGATGGGCACTCAACAGTTATTCCATTGATAAATAATTGAATGGAGGAATGAATGACTAGGGCAGTGAGAGAGTATAAGAAGTGAAAAGTGGAAAGACTTTTGAAGACTTGGTAATTTGCCTATCAGTTCTAATTTCTAATGAGTGGAAGTGAGTCTCAATTACATGGGCATAGGGAAAAATAAATATTTATTTTAATTCATATTTTTTCTTTTATTTTTAATTGATAAGAATTCTATACATTTGTGGGTATAATGTAATGTTTTGATATATGTATACATTGTGGAATGATTACATCAAGCTAATAACATATCCTCACATACTTATTTTTTTTGTAGTGAGAACATTTAAAGTCTACTCTTAACAATTTTAAATATATATTTTTAATCTATTAAAACTTTTTTATTGTGGTTTGATGCACATAGTATATTCAACAAGTATTCAGTGTACCACTGGATTAATTTTTTACATATATACACTCACACATACGGTCACTCAGGGACCCATCTTTGAGATGAAGATAATAGAAAATTTCTAATAGCTCAAAAGGCTGCCTTATACCTACTCCAAGGCAATATCCCCAAAGGTCACAAATGCTAAACTTTATTGCCACTGAATGGTTTCACCTGTTCTTGAACTTAGTACAAATGGAAACATACAGTATGTACTATTTGGTGTCTGGCTTCTTTCACTCAACATTATGTCTGTTAAATTCATCTACACTATTGCATATATCAATTGTTTGCTCTTTTTCACCTCCCAATCACCCCATTTCCCCAGCTCTAGGAAACCACTAATCTACTTAGTCCCTATAGATTTGTCTATTCTTAGCATTTGATGTAAATGAAATCACCCAATATGTCGTGCTTATGATTGTCTTCTTTTACTTAGTGTGTTTGCAAGATTCATTCATGCTGTAGCATATATCAATATATTTCTTTTTACTGCTGAAAAATATTTCATTGTTTGAATATACCACATTTTATTTATCCATTCATCAGTTAATGGGCATTTGAGTTGTTTCCACCTTTTGGCCATTAAGAATAATGTTGCAATGGAGATTGATGTAAAAGTTTCTGTTTGGAGAGTAGACATGTTTTCATTTCTCTTGGGTGTATACCTAGGAATAAAATTGCTGGATCATATGGTAAACTTTATGTTTAAGTGTTGGAGAAATTGCCAAACTGTCTTCCAAAGTACCTGCACTATTTTATATTCCCACCAGTGGAGTGTGAGAATTCCAGTTTTTCTACATCTTCACCAATGCTTGTTTTCTGTCTTTTTTATTCTAGCCATCCCAGTACGTGTGAAGTGATATCTCATTGTGTTTTTGATTTACATTTTTATGAAGGTTAATGATATTGAACATCTTTTCATGTGCTGGCTGTTCATTTTGTATCTTCTTTGGAGAAATATCTATTTAGATTACTTGCCTACTTTAAAAAAATGGGTCAACTATAGTCACCACAGCCAAGATATGGAAGCAACCTAAGCATCCATCAATAACAGATGAATGGATTGAGAAAATGTGGTATAAATGCCCACCATAGAATACTATTCAGACTTTTAAAAAGAAGGAAATTCTGTCGTTTGCAACAACATGGATAAACCTGAAGAACAACATGCTAAGTAAAATAAGTTAGGCACAGAAAGACAAACACTGCATTGTCTCACTTATATGGGGAATCTACAAAAGTCAAATTCACAAATGTATAGAGTAGAATGGTGGTTACCGGAGGGTGCTGGGGTGGAAGAAAGCGGGGCACGGGGGAGATGTTGGTGTCACAGTGTACAGTTTGAGTTAGACAGAGGATATAGGTTTTAGTGATCTATTGCATGACATGGTGACTATATTTTAATATATTTTAAATTAAGGCATCATAGAAATTAAAATTGTTGATTTGGGATGAGAATGGAAATCAAATTAAGCAGTCAATAAGTCTTTCTTGGATGCCTGTTGAACAAAAGTGGACCCAAAGCATGAGAGAAGTAATCGTCTAAAATATAGGTTTAAAAGAATTTACTGTACTTTTCTTCCTATGTCCTTCTATTCTTTTTGTATGTGTGTATTCTCTAAACAAAATGTTTGGTCAGACTTTTATAACATTAATGTAGTACTTCCCACTTACCTCGTAATTCACTATTGTTTCTCCTGTTTTTGCCTGCCAGTTCCTTTCTTATTTATTCAATTGTGGTTTGATAAAAAGGAAAACAATATCTCAGCTGTTACTGAGCTTAAAATCCGATGATTTAGTTAGTAGTAATTAAAGATAATAAAATTAAAGCCTAGTATTCTAACTGTCTTGGTCACAAAAAGAAATCTTCTTTGAGTGTTCAGAACTATGTCAATGGAACCTTTATTCTGCAACTGTACATTACTTCCTTTAACCTGATGTTCACTCAGCCACTGATTCAACAAATGTTGACTAAGTACTTATTGTGTATATAAACTACTTAGACACTAGAGAGACATCAGTGACAAAGCCCAGCTTTGCCTTGATAGGCTCTATGTTTTGATGGAAGATAGACAAAGTTTTGTCAGGGAGTCAAAATTGGGAAGTGAGCACTTTTGCCATTACTCTAAGTTTATTTTCTCCTTTTTTAAAAATTGAGTTATTTCTAACCACATTCTATTTTATGTTATTCCCATTTTCTGCTAATTACCTATTAAAAGTTTAGGTGATAACAGTTCTATCTATCCTTAATATATATTTGATTTTTAATAAAGGCGCTTATGAAATGAAAGCTACAAAAATTAGAAATGTATGCACTAATCTCTGGTCCGAGTGGATACTTTAATGTATATAGCTTGTGATTCTGTAGCTCAGATCTAAACGAGGGCTCTGCTGATATTTGTTGCAATGTGAAAGTTGGGAAGTCCCAAAGCAGAGAGGAAAATGGAGCAGAGAGGAAAATATGAAGGCTAAGGGGAAGCATTTAATTTCCCTTCTCCCCAATCCTCCCAGAATAACAATAATAAAATAAATGCTTTGGGGTACTTGGAAGTAGGGGACTCAGGGGAACAGGCCATAAACCCCCACATTTTGGGCTATGTATGTTCTTGCCAAGAGTCCAAAATAAGAATTGGCAGTGACCTAGGCCAGAGTGTAGTCAGTACATGGAGTGAGAAGCTGAGTGGAAAGGACTCCAGGTTCCCTCAAGGTAGGGAGGGTGTCGAGAAAAGGCTAAGGCCTGGCTCGGTGGCTCACTCCTGTATTCCCAGCAATTTGGGAGACCGAGGTGGGTGGATTGCTAGAATCCAGGAGTTCAAGACCAGTCTGGGCAACATGGTGAGAAATCCCGTCTCTACAAAACAATATTAAAATTAGCCAGGAGTGGCGGCATGCGCCTGTAGTCCCAGCTGCTCGGGAGGCGGAGGTGGGAGGATTGTTCGAGCCTGGGAAGTGGATGGAGGTTGCAGTGAGCGAAGATCACACCACTGCGCTTCAGCCTGGGCAACAGCAAACTCCTCTCTCAAAAAAAGAAAATAAAGGCTCAATGGCAAGAGTGGCCCTGGGAAATCACAGCTATAGACATCAGCATGTTCGTGCTGTCCCACCTTTGCTTTGAATACCAGGATCCTCCACCCACCAGCAGCTGTGCTAGCCAGCACCGGACTAAGGTTCTTTAATGAACTCAAGACCCTCCTGTGTGCCGCCGCTCTGCCCAATGAAAATCTATCTGCTCTGCATCTTATTATACCAGAATTTTCCTTAGCTTTCTTCCACATTCAGAGGATCTGGCAAACTGTCCAGAAAAAAATAAACTTGGATGATAACAAGTTATCCCATTCAGGGACATTTTCATTTGTGACGTTACAAAAAAAATCAGTCTCTGCTGAGTCAGTTCACATTAGTGTATAAAGTAAAGCACAGATGAGGGTCTTCCTCAGTTCTCAAAATGCGCTGCATTGGCAAAAATTCAGGCTTCTTATATCAAGCCAACCTTCCTCTGGAATATGATCAGTAGAAAGAGAGGAAGATAAGAGAGCAGTCAGAGTACAACCTGGAAACCAGTTCAGATGATGCCTACTGAATAACAGAGTACAATACACATATTTACAGTGTACCCATCAGAAATATTGTGCACCATCTGAAATGGTTTATCTTTCCATGAAATAAAGGGCAAACTGTACCCATTTGTCAATTTTCTGGACAAAGTTCATATGGAATCTGGTGATTATGAGTTAACTCTGTCAATTGCATTTGTATTCATGAAGGAAATTGCAGCTAAATTGGTTGCTGCAACTCCTAATCCTAAGAGCAAATATTGTTGCTAAGATGCCCACATTACCTCATTCCCACAGTCCAGAATAGATTTGGCGCATTTGCTTAGAAACAAGAACACTGCCTAGGGCAAAATTCTAGCTCAAAAGCAATCAGGTCCAGTAGATGAGGGGATCACTACAACCATAAAATAGAAAGGTCAAATTAAGTAGAACATTTCTAACCCTCACAGGAATCTTATGAAATATTATTATCCCCATTTTTCAGAGGAAGACACGGTGGTTCAAAAAGTCAACTTACTACTAATTGAACATACAACTTATTAGTTGAGTGTGTGAACTCACACATCTCCATGAGGTAGCATCACAACATCTCATCCACCTAGCTCAGGGGATAAAGCAAGATAACACAGGTAAAAACACTTGGAAAATTAAACTGCCTATACCCATGATAAGCATTATTATTATGTACAAACTTTCTTGGATGGGAATAGACATTAAAATCTTGGTCATGTGCAAAATTGTTCTTAATTTGAGAAGTTGTTCAACCCTGTTTTTAGCCCCAGGATTCTCTGCTTCTATGTATGAAGTGGGAAATGAAATATAGTCATGCAAGAGGCTATTTCTTTAATTTTCTGGATTGTCACATTCATTCAGCATGAAATTTTGTACAGAAAGTCAATTTTGGAAAGTTCCAAACTTAATTAGATCTTGCAGTTTTGTGATCTTCATTATAATTATCAAATACTGAAGAGCTAATAAAGGATCAACCTCTGGGCTGCAGAATAACCTAATATATTCATACCTCAATGACATCCTGAATTAGAACTGTGGGCTGATGAACTCCAGTGAACCAACCAGCCAACCATAGTTGGCAAATTCATATTGCAATACACAACTGAGACTTGATCAGACCAAGATGAATACATGATATGTAAAATAACCCAATAAAGTTTATCAATAATACACGGGCAATTCAGATGAGACATACACTGGTGTAGCAAGTCTAATTAAGAGCATTTCTATGATAAACTGAAGCTCTACCTTCTGCTATCATGCAATGATTCATTTGAGTTTATTGTCACAAGAAGAATGAGCAGTGAGCATCTTCCTTATTACTGGTTCTTCTTCCTATACTTGCAATTTAACCAAATAATACATATCACCCTTTTAATATTTCAAAGGATGTTTCAATACCCAGACATTTTTCTTAATGTAGATTCTGTGGAAGACAGAGTGGTGAATTCTGGATTATTTCTTTTGGTTTTTTTGTTTTTTGCTTTTTGTTTGTTTGTTTTATTTTGTCTTTTTAAAAAATTGCTGCAGATACTATTCAGAAGCCTTTCTATAACTTTTTTGGACTAGTAGTATCTTAAAAATAAATGCTACCACAACAGAGCCATGATTTTAGCAATATTAGAAACTCCATTAACTCCTTCAGGTCCTTATCACCTTGATTTAGTATCATCTCTACAATTATCTCCTAGACTTTTGCTGAAATTTAACATTTGAAAGCCAAAGAAATAACCCAGATATTGCATAGGAGAAAAATTCTAATTTAACTAAATATATTGATGTACATTGGTAGTAACTTTGATCCTAATTTTGTGGGGAACTTTAAAGATAGAAGCTGGGGAAAAACCCACAATTATTTAAAAACGTACCTCTTTTCTTTTCGAGGTATAGACTTTACATTTGGAAAAACTGTTTTATTTAAATCCCTTGCATGAGTTTCTGAGTTATGCATGCGCTAAATGCTTTTCTAACTTATTTATTCTAAAATAAGCAAACCGAATTGTTTGTAATACAGGTGAACAAAGGCCAAGCCAGAGCCAACTCCGTATTATTTTAAGCCTTTTAGGGGTAACTGAAAGGAAGAGGTAAAAATTCTTGAGGACAAGGGTCATCTCATGTTCTTTGTCTGTAAATGGATAAAGAAAGCACTGTGCCTGAACTGTTGTTTGATTCTGTGAAACAAACAGGGTTTATTTTGTGTTGCTTGCATTTGTCCATCTGTCTATTTATTGGAAGCATTCAATTTTGTTTGAGAGAATCATTTGAGAGTTGCTTGCATAAGCTAAAGAAAGAAAGAAATATTGAAAGGGCTGCTTTGAGAAACTTTGAGAAACTCCGAGCAACTCCGAGCTTTGAGAAAGTCAGATGCTGAGCACAAGCAGTATTGTTTTGGTTCCAAGAAATAATGTATGCTTCAGAGTCAGGTGGAGGAACGTTCTCCCATCTACACAAAAAATCCAGCTGTGTGTAGCACCTTGATGAGTGGCAATTTTGAAAGAAAATAATAAAGCATTCTTGGCATAGACACTGGTGATCTCATGAAAGCAATATCAGAAATGGCAAAAATAGAACTTTTGCTCTTTTGAGAGAAGATGACTTTGGCCAAGGGCAGATTTGGTAGGAGCAAAAGAACATGGCATACCTCCAAGGTGAAAGTCATAGGCTTATTATTATATAATCATAGACTGGTTTAATTATTGATTTCAAACTGGGTTTTTGGCTAGTCTTCTATTCATTTTTACTTAAATAAAAGAAAATTCTAAAAGAAAGTTAACCTATTAGGTCAAAGTAATTGTTTATCTATTTCTTCCAAAGTGTGACTTTCCAGATGTATTTAAAATGCTTTCCAGAGAATGTGCCTTCCATTTACAGTCATAAGTTGCTTAACTATAGGGATACATTCTGAGAAATGTGCTGTTAGGCTGTTTCATCATTGTGCAAATACCATAGAGTGTACTTACACAAACCTAGATGATATAGCTTACTACACATATAGGTTATGTGGTATAGCCTATTGCTATATCTAGGCTACAAACCTGCACAGAAGGTTACTGTACAGAATACTGTAGGTGATTATAACACAATGGCAAGTATTTGTGTCTCTAAACATATCTAAACATAGAAAAGGTACAGTAAAAATATGGAACTATAGTCCTATGGGACCACTGTCATATGTATAGTCTGCTGTGAACCAAAACATTGTTATTGGGGCATATGACTGTAGTTAAAGGTGTTTCACTTTTTTATGAATAGGCCATAAAAATAGTTGTTTTGTTGTATTCAGGCAAACTGATTAGCTTGCAGTTTCTTGAATTGAACTTATAATTTTGCACTCTTGCTGGAAAGAATGTTCTTCTTTACATCTGTCTATCCAAGCCAATTCTTACTTAAGATTTCAATTTGAAATTCTAACCCATTAAAAAAACTCCCAGGGCCAACTGAGGACAAAGCCCTTCTCTCTCCTCTTAACTCATTCATTTATTTGTTTGGTATATATTTACTGTGGATGACAATGTGCAACTCATCTATTAAGCACTCACTTATGCTTTTGGATTGTCAGTTATCTTGTTACGGGTCTTAACTTTGTCCCCTATGACTAGGATAAACAATCAGGAAATGGACAGCATTTTACATATCTTTTCTCTCTGGTTTAGTGCCTAGTTTCTTAAATGTAGCCGGCATTCAATACATGTATGATGGATTTGATTCAGATTCAAATCTTTAAATAAAAGAAAATGTCAACTGAATTATATTCCTTTAACAAGGGCGGAAAGACAATATCATTGATTGAATACCTGTTGTGTGCCAAGGTGTTTTTATAAATGATCTCTAATCTTTATGATCGTCCACTAAGACAGAATTTCAGTCATCCTCAATGTGTCTATAAGGAAAGAGATACTGTGAGATACTGTTAAAACATTTCTCTGGGATATTCTGCTGGTAAGTTGTAGAACTGGCTCTGAAACTCAGGCTTATCCCCTTGAAAACCAGGAGGGTATTCAAGTGGGAAAAGATTCTGCCTCTGCAGTTGTCACCCTAACAGTTTCCTTTATAGATGAGCCAAGAGACATATATCTTAATATTATTCAGAAAATGTCATATTTGTCCAGCTCCTTTTGTTCTTTCACCTTTGTGTGTTTCCTTAGCTAAGATTCTAATGAGATTTATCTTTTTTAGAAAATTGAAATCGACCAAACAAAAAACATCACTTTCAGGCTGTAATATAAAAGCTACTGGGTTAATTATTTTTATTTTAAAAAGAAAAAAGCTTTATTTAACTGCAATTACATGCTCAATAACGGAGTGTTTTTCTGTGTTGCTTTGGTGTAAATGTACTCAAGACTGCTCAAATGTATCAAAATATTGTATCTGGGTTTTAATGATTGGATTTGTTAGACTTGCTTTGATACTGCAGAAACATAGGAAAACATATGATTAAGAAGTATACATTGAAAAGAAGGAAGACACTAAACTGATTTTCAGAGTGGCTGCTGCTCGTTATATATGATAATACAGTAATAAGAGCGAGATCAAGGATAGCAAGAATCTTATCAATTCAAAATAATTGTTTATTACTTAATGATATTTTTAGTGCAGCATTTGTATAGATTTTAGTGTGTTTCTTTATAAATGATGACTTTTTAAATGATTTCTCAACTATTGCCAACAACTACAAAAGCTCCCTTACAGACTTGTGATGCCTTGAAAGCACCTAGAAGAAATGGGCTGTAACAGGAATAAACTTGGTTTAGTGGGAGAGGGAAAGTTTCTACAGTCGTTTAATCATGACATCTAAGGAGGCACAGAGAACTATGGCTCTATTCAAGTGGGTTTTGTTACTGAAGGACTAAGACTCAGTGGGTAAAACTAGAAAATATGTTTCTCAAGGTCAGTGATTCTTAAATAAGGGAAGAAGAAGGTGGCATGTTGGAATTGCCTGGGGATATTGGGGGCATTTTTCTAGCTATTCTTAGTCCTCTAGAGATTTTGGTACGCCCGCCTCCCTGCCAGTAGCTATTCATCAGTAGCTATTTATTGTCATAGTGATTCACTGTTTTTAGCCCTCTGGTACGTTAGAGATAAAAAAAATATATAGCTAATAATTGCTAGTCTAGTCACTGGGGAAATGTGTAGCAATATGGGCAGTATAGGTAGTAGCATCCACATAGCAAGAGATAATTCTGGTTTGAAGTGGGTGTATATCCTTAGTCCATCCCCTAAAGTGGAAGAATTGGCAAAGATTAATAGGACACTGGGCCAGAATGAGAGGACTCAGGCAAGGATCAGTTTTCAGCAGTTTGTTTCTCAAAAAACAGAGGGTTTTAGAGGAAAAGACCGAGGATCAGAGGCTTATACCACAGGCTTGGGACAATTTAATTTCCAGCTCACCAAGTTCTGGGAATGGCATTATAATATATTTCTGGACTTGGTTGTAGAGAAATAGATATAACTGAATTCTATAAGTTGGGGATAGCCAAGGACTGGAGAAGGCAGAAACAGAGATAAACAACATGTAGACTTCATTATGAATCATTACTATGGCAACACAAAATCTCTGGGCAGTAAAATATTATTGTAAAAATGTGTGTTAGGGAATAAAATAATGTGCGCTGTCATTGCCTCTGTGCAAAACTTCCCTGGAGGTCCCAGCCAATGCAAAAAGATAAGAAAAAAAATGGAATGATATATCAAGATTCAGAAAGAAAAGTGAAATTATTCTTTACAGACAAAATGACTTTCAATATAGAAAATCAGAGATACTCTAGAAATAAATGATTATAAATAATAAGAAAATTCAACAATGATACTAGATACAAGATAACTATACAAAGAACAACTGTGTTTCTGAATGCCAGCAACAGTCAGATAGGAAAGAAACAATAACAAGTATTCGTTCATGAGAGAAACAAAAATAATCAGCTATATAGAGAAAAATATTAACAAATAAGGTGAAAAACATGTATGGAGAAAATTAGAAACTTATATTTAAGGTTGAAAAGATAAATAAGTAAAGTTCTTCACACACATTATCATGAAGAGGTCAATATTTTCCAAACTAACCTCAACATTAACAAAAAATCCAACAAAAAATTCCAAAAAGGAATTCTACATTTCCTGAAGGGCACAGAAAAGCCAAGAAAAGTTTGAAGAAAAATAAGATATGAGACAGTTGAGGACTCTTCTATCATATGTAAAGACTTATCATAAAGTCTTAGTAATGAAGATAAGTTTGTATTGGCACAGATGTGAACAAATAAGCCAATGATACGGAGACAAACTACCCACAAACAAACTCTACTGGTATGAACAGTGCCCCATACCCCCAGCCAAATTCATGCCCACTCAGAACCAGAGAATGTAACCTTGTTCAGAAATAGTGAGCAGATGTAAATATTAATAGTTAAGTCATACTAAATTAGGGTGGGCCCTAATTCAAAGACTGGTATTCTTATCAGAAGGCCACATGAAGACATGGAGACACACAGGAAAATGGTACACGATGATGGAGGCAGACACTACAGTGATACATCTGTAAGCCAAGAATATCAAGATGGCCAGCACGACCAGAGGTTCGGATAAAGCGAGGCTCTGCCAACACCTGAATTTAGAACTTCTCACCTCCAGAACTGTAAGATTCCAGAACTGTAAGACAATTTCTGTTGTTGTAACTCACATAGTCTGTGGTAATTTTTTTTGACAGCCTTGGAAAACAAATACACAAACGCATACATTAGAAATTTATACAGGGCTGCCACATTGCATAGTTCCAAGGGATGCCATTTACATTATATTCTATGTGCTCCAGAATTGTGCCATTCATCTTGAAAATGATGTGAATGGTGCCGCTTGGAATTGTGCAGAGCAGCAGTCTTCTTTACCTAGGAGAAAAGAGGCAGAACAAATTACTGGGTAGAGGACTAATTTTTCAATGAATCATGCTGGAACTAAGGGCTAATCATGGGAAAAAAAGATAAAGTTACAACCTCATCTCGTGTCATACAAGAAAATTAATTCTAGATGGATTGATGGCCTATATAAGGAAGTAAAAACTGAGAATTACTTTTTAAGCAAAACCAACACACACACACACACACACACACACACACACACACACACACAAACCCAAAACAAGGTTTTGGTAAGATTGACTATTTTCAAATGTAAAATTTCTGTATAACAAAGGACACCATAAACAAATTAAATGTACAAGGAGCAGAAGAGGACACATTTCCATTATGTATTCTTTATGAAAAATTGATATCCAAAATATTTAACTCCTACAAATCACAAGAAAAATAAAAATAGTACAAAAGTAAAGGAACCCACAAAGTATATGAACAGGTATATGAGGAAAGCCATCATATTTATGAAAAGATTTTAACTCTGTTTGTATTTAAAGAAACACAGATTTAAATCCATGAGATTCTATTTTATACCCTGAAGATTAGGAGTAATTAAGAAGTCTGATAGGCCAGGCATGGTGGCTCACGCCTGCAATCCCAGCACTTTGGGAGGCTGAGGCGGGCAGATCACAAGGTCAGGAGATTGAGACCATCCTGGAGAACACGGTGAAACCCCATCTCTACTAAAAATACAAAAAATTAGCCGGGCATGGCGGTGTGCACCTGTAGTCCCAGCTACTCAGGAGGCTGAGGCAGAAGGATGGCGTGAACCCAGGAGGCAGAGCTTGCAGTGAGCCGAGATCGCACCACTGCACTCCAGCCTGGGCGACAGAGGGAGACTCTGTCAAAAAAAAAAAAAAAAAAAAAAAAAAGAAGTCTAATAGTAGTAATGGTTTGCAAGAATATGGACACATGAGAATTCTCATGCATTGCTAGTAGAGGTGTATAAACTGCTACCCTTTTGTAAGGCTATTTGGCAATATCTGGTAAAGTTAAAGATATCCATTCCCTATCATCCAGCAAGTCCACTTTCAATTATCAACCTTAGAGGAACTTGGACATGGGCACAAGGAATCACGCAAAGTATGTTGACCACGTGCCATTTTTAATAGGAAAATTCTGTGCATAATCTAAGTGTCTATCAGTAGGAGAATGTATAAATAAATTGCTTTATAATTATATAATTAAATATTTATGTATTCTATATGTAATCATTGTACATCTATAAATAAACTAGAACTACATTTACATTAAAAAATCTCTAAACAATAGCATGTATTTTTAAGATGTGAAAAATACCTGCTGTGTAACATCACCATGTAAAATTTTAAATCTCACAGAATAATAATAAGTATTGCAAAAATATATGTTGTTTTTGAATAAATACGTATGTTGTGATGATATAAATAGGGACTATAAGAATACAGTGGCTGGGTGCAGTGGCTCGCACCTGTAATCCCAGCACTTTGGGAGGCCGAGGCGGGCAGATCACGAAGTCAGGAGATCGAGACCATCCTGGCCAACATGGTGAAACCTCATCTCTACTAAAAATACAAAAAAATTAGCTGGGCGTGGTGGTGCATGCCTGTAATCCCAGCTACTCGGGAGGCTGAGGCAGGAGAATCACTCGAACCAAGGAGTCGGAGGTTGCAGTGAGCCGAGATCGCGCCACTGCCCTCCAGCCTGGGCAACGGAGAGGGAAATTCCATCTCAAAAAAAAAATGCAGTGTATACTAAATTCAGGATAATATTCACTTGTTGGAAGATGAGAAAGGAATGAAATGGGACACCTTAATCAAATATATAATGTTTTGATTATATTTTTAAAATCCAAAGGAAACATGACAAAATGTTAATATTTATGAACTCTGGTTTTGGGCAGTACATGGATATCTTATATATTATTTCCTAATATTTTAGTAGGCTTGAAATATGTGGTAAACAAAATAGAGACAAAGAAAGAAGAAAAAAGGGTCAAAGAGAGAGGAGAAAAGAGTTGGAGATGGGAGAGATGAAGAGGAAGAAAATGAGCATGGTCTTGGAGACAAACCACCTGCATGCTAATTGTGGCAGGCAGTGTGGTTTAGTAGAAGAAGCTTGGCAGTGTGCTCAGGTAAATTTATTTAATTCTAGCTTATTTCAACTTGGACAAGTTAACTATTTTAGGACTCTATTTACCCATCAGTAAAATGGATAGATTAAAATTTAACTGAAAGTGTCCTGTGAAGAATAAGCAGAAGGAAATATGTAAAATGCCCAGTGTTGTGCCTGCTGGGTATTGACTGAGTCTGCCATGAATAGTAAAGCCCTCTCTCTCTTCCTTAAAGCAGTGAGAAACAATAAAGTCTGCAGAAAATGTACTACCTTAACTCGCTGGATGGAATTGAATTCTTCCTTCTCATATAGCTTTTTTTTCTTCATCTCAGTAAAAGTAATTTTGAAAGGAGATTAAATGCCTTTTGCATAGAGAAAGATGCAGACTATGGAGAAAATTGTAGGGCTTCAGTTTCCACCAAAGTATCCATTAAAAGGGTAGGTGAGGAAGTTTCCATGGCTCTGCATGTAAGCCCAAGTTACTTATTTAGGGGATCATGGTTCAGGCCTTCACCCTTAGTTGTTAATGACCTTACATTGAAGTACTGAATGGAATACGCAGTAGGGTCAATTGCAGACTCAATGACAAGAATTAAAGCGCAAAGCTCCCTAATGAGATCTGTGCTTATTCCTTGTGGTTCAAGGAACACTGTGGTTAATAGTTTACAGCCTGCAGGGTCAATCCCCTTGCAGAAGCAGAGTTAACTTAGGCATTCCCTGGGCTGTATAAACAACCCTGTATGTAGCTGGAAGCTTCACCCTCCTTTCATCATGCCAGAAAATTCTTGGCATGCTGCCATGGTCTGATATTTATGGTTCTATAAGCATTTGACTCTGAAAAGTCTCTTATTCTGGAAAATGGCCACTGGTCAGTTGCTAATACACAAGTGGTAGAAGAAAAAGTCACCCTTTAAGGAAGAGAACGAAGAGAAAAGCTCATGAGAATAATAGTGTCATGTCCACCAATAGGGTAAATGTATATGTGTGTTTAATACATATGTATGAAAACCCTATATGTGTATTTCTACACAAAAAAGCTAAAATGGTAAAAGAAGTGCTTTTAAAAATTTAAAATTACCAAAAAAAAAACCCCATTTCCCTTTTATCTCTAGAAAAAGAGAAAAACTGTGGCATATGGTATTTATCAAAGTAGTGGAATAAAAGAGCCAAAACTTGTATAGGCTTCTGTCCCAGTATAAACTCACTTTCTCGAGCTCTATGGGCAGAAAGGAACCTTAAGTAGTTCTTTCATCTATGTATTTCTTCTCTGAACTAAAATGGCTTCTTGGAGCAACCAAACAATTGTTTATCCTATTTGTTAAATGGGGAAAATATTTAATAAACATTTTTAGACATAGTGTCTCCATGTCTAAAAAAAAAATTTCTGCATTTTTAAATCCATTATGACCCTTTCTAAGGATTTTTAAACTAAGTATAGAGAATCACATATCTAATAACTGAATCAGGTGTAGTGGTTACATACATTTTCTAAATGTCCTGTCTCCAAGGTAACCTGTTTTTTCCTGACAGGCTGGAGGGGCTAGAGAGAAGTGAGATGAGGGAGACAAGATGAAGTCGCATCCAAAGATGAGGTGGCCACTGGCTGATGGATCGATTCCGACAAGAATAAAACAATTCATAGAAATCAGTGTCACCGACCCGCAGATGCATCTCAGAATTGATGCCAAACACAAGGGGTGAGTTGCAAACACTGCACTGTTTCAGTAACACTAGCACCTGATAGCCAGATTAGAAACTACCTATTAAAACTGAATCATATCATTAAAAAGTCACCCAGAGACCTTCAGAATGTTCGCCTGATCTACAAAATCCAGGCAGGTGATAGAGAAATCAAAGGCATCTTGCTGGAATTTACTGTATCTTGCTATGAGTTTCTGATGTTATTCAAGGAAGAGATGGAATCTCATTTCTAGAAGCGCTTGAAAATATCCAACTTGCCTGCGCAGGAATGCTCTCACCTGGGTAGTGGCCCAGGCTCAAACAGAGCTGACTGATTATTGCAGGCCCATTCAAGGTGGAACCACCCCAAACCTGGGCCAGCCTTGTGCATTATGTGTTGCAGAGGTTAAAAAATACCAGGCAGAGGCGTCTGAATATCCAGAGCTCACAACAGAATGAAACTCAGTTATTCGCCCGATGGGGCCCAGCAATTAATGAACTTATACTTGTTGGTCCTTTTCTGCTTCTATCTCCTTCACAATGTAACACCTCATTCCTACCTGTATTACCACCAGCAGCATGAAAACACACAGCTCCCAAACTGAAGGAGCTGTAGCATCTTGAAGACATCTGGCCTGCAGAAACAGAATGCTCAATAATACCCGTTCGTGGTTACTGAGAAGTCACTACACGTTGAGCACTAGGCTACATGTTGACATTTAAGAACTATAACATCCTAATGAGTAAGTGTTAATATTCTTATTCTTATTTTAAGGTTAAGGAAACTGAGGTTAAAGAAACTAATTTATTCAAAGATATGCAATGAGTAAATGGCAGAGCTGGAAATCCAATCTTGGGAGTCTTATCTTGAAGTTCATGCTCTTAATGCCATATCCTGCTCTTAATACCATATCCTACTGCCTAAGATTAACTAAGACTTTGCCACTTGCTAGATGCAGAAACTTGGGCCAGTCATAGTCTCTCTGAATGTCAGTTTTCCATAAAATAGTATAACTATCCATTCTTTTCTCCAAAAAAATTTTACTAAGTCTCTTTGAGGCACTAGTCTAATTACTGGGATACATAATTTAACAAAAGAGGGAGGGGGAAAGGTAGAAAGATTTTTTAAAATTAGAAAAAGAAACATACAAAATAATTTTTTGGAGTGTAAAAAACAAACTATGAAGAAAATAACTAAGGGGATAGTGTAACACGGTTGTGCATGACGAGTATCAATTTAAGTGAGGTGGTCAGAGAAGCCCTCTCATGAAGGTGACATTTGACTCACTGAGACCTTAAAAATACAAATGTCCCCTGCATGTGAAGCCCATTTCTAGCAGTGGGGACATCACGTGCAAAAGCCCAAGGAAAAAGAAGAAGCAAATGTGGCAGTGTCTTCAAGCAGGGAAGTGAGGAGAATGAGGTTTGAGGGCTCTGGAGGCTAATCTGGGGAGTTTGGACTCAAGTCTATCCTATTCTATTGATTAAAAAAATATTTATCAGTCGGGTGCAGTGGCTCAGGCCTGTAATCCAAGCACTTTGGAAGGCCGAGACAGGAGGATCACTTGAGCTCAGGAGTTTAAGACCAGCCTGGGCAAGATAGGGAGACTCCATCTCCACAAAAAAAAATAAAAAAAAAAATAGCCTGGAAAGGTGGTGCATGCCTGTGGCCTAAGCTACTTGGGAAGCTGAGGTGGGAGGATTACTTGATCTAGGGAGGTTGAGGCTGCAGTGAGCTGTAATCATGCCAGCACACTGAAGCCTAGGCCTTTCTCTCTCTCTCTCTCTCTCCCCATATATATATTTATATATATGTATGTATATATAGCCTAAATTTATTGATTTGTAAGTGCAAACAAGGAAGACTAGATTCCTGTAAACAATAATGAAAAGTCTCCAATGTAGAAATCTAGCAATGTAGACATTGAGTGACGATGAGGTGTGAAAATGCTTTGGGAAAGCTAACGTTTTAGAACAGTTGTTTTGATAGGGGTGGAGGAGGTATGTGTTGTTGTTTGTTCTTGTCCCTCTCTCTTTCATTGGAGGACATACGCAAACTGAGGTGGTTAATGGTGAGTGTGCATCTTATTCCAAGAAGGAGCCTGGAAGATGTTGTGGAGCTCTAATGTCAGCTCTTAAAACCTTTGTTAATTCATTTAACAAACTTTAATTAAGTGTGTTGCAGTCACTGACACCAATTGCCCTGGTATTTTTTGCTAATGGTACCCCAGCTTTTTTTGTGACACCAAATGCTGAGCCCCAAACAGCGTGCTCAGTTCCACAATTTCCCAGACTCCTTTCCAAGTAAGGAAGATCATATGCCCGGGTTCTGGACAACAAGGTGCCTGGTACAATTTGGATATGTGGCCACCCAAATCTCATGTTGAATTGTAATCTCCAGTATTGGAGGTGGAGCCTGGTGGGAGGCAACCAGATTATGGGGGTGGTTTCTCATGAGTGGTCTAGCACCATCCTCTTGGTGCTGCCCTCACCAGAGTGAGTGAGTGCTCATGAGATTTGACTGTTTAAAACTGTGTGGCACCCTCTCCTCTCTTGCTCCTTCTGCCATGTGATGTGTGTGCTCCCCATTTGCCTTCCACCATGATTGGAAGCTTCCTGAGCCTCCCCAGAAAAAGAGGCCTCTATGCTTCCTGTATAGCCTGGAGAACGGTGAGCCAATTAAACTTATTTTCTTATAAATTATCTAGTCTCACATAATTCTTTACAGCAATGAAAGGATGGCCTAACACAGTGTCAATGGAAAAAACCTCTGAAAACAACATAGGCTTTCTGATATAAAAATGCCTTGCAGACCTTTAACTACAGGGCATGCAACTGATGGAGGCCCACAGCTGCTGTGTTCGGAAATCCATTTAGGACTTTCCTAGGAGTGTATGCATCCTTAGGTTGCTCCCAGCCAATGAACGTGGCAGGAACACTGAGGCACGCTGATTCCTGAGAGATGAGGGATTTCTCTGACAGGTGGCTCTCCTGAGGGCTCCAGGACAGTCTTGTCAAACTGGATTACAGTCTAAGATACATCCACTTGGTAGAGTTTGAATGTTTGTTCCCTCTAAAACTCATCTTAAAGTTTAAGCCCCAATGTGCTGATGTAGGTAAGTGGGGCCTAGTAAGAAGTGTCTAGGTCATTAGGGTTCTGCCTTCATACATGGTTTAATGCCTTAACCAAAGGACTTTCATGAGTGAGCTCTCTCTTGGCTCTCCCGCCCACCCCCGCCACATGAGAAACAATGTGTCTTCCATGCAGAAAATGCAGAGTTCACCAGGCCTTCACCAGACACCAAACTGGTGAATGCCTTGATGTTGGACTTCCCAGCTTCCAGAACTGTGAGCCAAGGCACTCCTGTTTATTATAAATTACACAGTCTCGAGTATTCCATCATAGCCCCACAAAACGAAGCACCACTCAGCCTTCCTCCCTTCTCTTTCGCTCAGAGTCAGATTTGCACTGTGGTCTGACAAGTCTTCCAGCCTCTCATGGTCACTTAGTGTTTTCCCTTACAGACATTTCATACTGTAATTCTTACATGTTGGATACTATCTTGGCCTCCGCTTCTCAGAGCACCTGAACTAACACAAGAAGTGTATCATTTATATAACGTTATTTTAAAACTCCCAAGGTATATTAAGTGAAAAAATCAAGGTTTAGAATAGTATGTAAAATGTGCTACCTGTTGTGCTAAAATGAAAGAAAAATGAGAATATGAATGCATGTTTGTTTTTATATGCAAATGTAATTTGGGTTTATATGTATAGGGGTGAGTTACAACAGAAACTAGAAGACAGGGAGATATATTTTAACTCTATATCTTTGTTTACATTTTTAATTTTATTGAAATGATATTACATATATGATTTTTTTAAATAAAAGATTCAATGTTGTAAGAAACAAATAGAGACTTTCTGGGTTCTGGTTGCTTTGGAACTTGTGACACATATTCTCAATAAGGCAATTTAAGAGTTAGAAAAGATTTTCTGTAAGTCATAATAAGACATCAATTATTCAACTTGGTTACTTGCTAGAGCCCTAGAGCAGCGACACTCCTTATGAAGCCGTGAAAACTATTTAACACCCTTCTAACAGGATTCTACCACCACTCACAGCACACACAGCCACATCCACAGAGACTCCATTCAGAATTCGAAACTAACATCTGAATTGATTCGTACCTAAATTTAAATTTAAAAATAGGGCTATACATCCCGATTCTAATCTACAAATTCTAAAGATGACAGGTTTATATAGCACCACGATGACCCATTGTAACTTCCACTCTAGAAGGTGGTTGTTTAATAAGGCAAAACGCTGTTTCCCATGCTTGGCACATCATTTGGAGCCGAAAGAGGAGCTTTCATCTACCCTAAACCAGCTTGCAAGATTATGATACTTATAAGAATGGAAGCCAAATTATTAATAACACTTTATTAATAGGTTCAATAAAGGCTTTATTAAAGCTTGAAAAATAGAATATATTTCAGAGGTAGACAGTTTGGAGAAAAAAAGACATTTATGATTTTCTGTGCCATTTCACACTAGGATTGATAAAAAAATTATTTGACCATGATTTGGGGAAAACATAATTTGCAGTATTGTCAAGCATAAATGTTTCAAAATTTCAAAATTTTCAGAAATCCATCCATTATATTTGGGAGAACACTGAGATAGTTTTAAGAGCAATGGTGTGGGAAATTGAGATCATACAATTTCCCTGTATTTCAAGTTTCCAAAAGTTATCTGTCATGTCTGTAAACACAAATTCTTATATTACAGAGTATATGTGTTCTGTAATGAAAATGTTATCCTCCAGAGCCCATTTCCCTACTAACTCTCATGAGAACTTGAGAGATATCTCAGGGATAGCACTGGGAGTAAGGACTATTCTTCATTGAGCTCCCATCATGTTCTAGATCTGTGTTAGGGAATTTACATGTATCATCTCTAAATTTCATGACAACCCTATGAACTAGGCATTATTTTTCCTTTTTACAGTTGAAGTTCTGAGATCCATTAACCCAGATGAGGCAGAGCAAGGACTCAGACTCAAGTTGGTCTGCCTGTGAAGCCGATGCCCTTTGCCCTCTGTGAATTCTCACAGCACAGACAAGGGGAAAGAATCTTTCACTGTAGCCTTCGCAGAGCATATGACCTGCTAATCTCGATTTGTTACATGTGTTTTATTCTCTACGTACAGAATTCACTCATCTGTCCTGAAGTTGTCCAAATAATTGTATTTCCATCCGCTCCAAATATGGATATGTGGCAGGTCTAGGAAGCCACACAGGAGAGCATTGCTCTTTCCATGACATTGAGGTCATATTTTCCAGCCAGACTGGGTCCAGTGAAGGTGAGTCTCGCTCGTTGAGGGGAGACTCCACCTTGTAGGCAAGACAGCTGAGCCTGTGTTACTGTCCAATGCTGGCCCCGTGGTACTTAAAGGGTCGGAAGTTACCCTCCAGTGAGTTTTTCTCTGCCGATACCAGGAGACATGCCATAGCAAAGCAGTTCAGCACAGGTGGGCATCACCGTGGTCCAGCTCTGGTTAATGTCCACCAGGCCTTCCAAAGAAAACTCAGTTCATATGAAAGTAATAGGAGCTCCAGAGAATTAAAAACCTCGGAATAAAATATCTTACAATTCTGTGGTCAAGTCAGGACACTGGGTACCACTTTATATTATTTATTTACTGTTTTATTAAACTATACAACACATTGCTATGTAGCAATAAAAAACACAATACCATAATACAGAAGATTTGTTCAATATGAAAAGTAAAAAACATTATTAACAATTTTTTGTATACCCTTCTATCTTGAAATGTGTAATCGTATACAAAGATATATCCTCTTTTGCCCCATGTGTGATTATACTCTTCTCATTATTCTGCATCTTGCTTTTCATGAACTGTATCTTCGAGATTTTGCACTATGTATACATAAAGATTGCACCAGGCAAGGTTGCCAGTTGTAAGCAACAGAAATCTAGCTGACTAAGGCATAATGGCATTTATGTAAAGTACCTGGGGAGCTTTCTGAATGAGATGGCGTGAGAACAACAGCTGGAGACGTCACAATGGGAAGTACTCCCAAACTTCATTCTTGAGCTGCTCTGCTAAAGGCACCACCTCTGGGTGTGGCCACTGCTGCTACTTCCTCAACTGACATGACAGTCACTGACCCCGGATGCTGCTGCCAGAAACATTGCCGCTGCTACCCCTGAAGGAAGAACAAGCTGCCACCTCTGTCACCACCCTGATGGGAATGGATTTTGTGCAGCCCTTGATACTTCACATCACAAGCTTCCAATTTAAAGTTTGTGGCAGTTCACTCTGAGTGGAAAAGTCTAAGACCTATGCCCATGTCACAGTAAAGGGAAGCTTTAAAAGTGAGTTTCCAGAATTTTCTCCTTCTATAGTAAATGTGGGCCTGACAACTAAGGCAGGAATCTTCAAATATAGTTATAGGTTCAATGTTGGGCTTCCAAATAAAAAAGGACAACCATCAAGTAAAGAGATACCATTTTTTTTAATTGGTGCATGTCATGTAGCTTTAATATGAAGTTAATCAATCCCTAATTATGACTCTAAATGGCACTTCAATAGGCATACTTGTAGACAATTTTGCAATTATCTCCACAAAATAAATTCATGGAAGTTACATTCCATGACCATCAAAGAGCATGTGCATTCTAAGTTTGATAATTATTAATAATTATTACTCATATGACTTCTAAAATATTGTTCCAGGCTGGGCATGGTGGCTCACACCTATAATCCCAGTACTTTAAGAGACCAAGGCGGGCAGATCACCTGAGGTCAGGGGTTTGAGGCCAGCATGGCCAACATGGCAAAACCCCATCTATAATAAAAATACAAAAATTAGCTGGTATGGTGGTGTGCATCTGTAATCCCAGCTACTCAGGAGGCTGAGGCAGGGTAATTGCTTGAAACTGGGAGGCAGAGGTTGCAGTGAGCCTAGATCACGCCACTGCACTCCAGCATAGGTGACAGAGTGAGACTCCGTCTCAAAAAGAATAAATAAAAAATAAAAAATAAATACTGTCCCAACACACACTCCCATGTAGCAGTGTGGAAGGGAACCTCACGCAGCATAACCTGGTCAATACTGAATTAAATGGGTTAATTTTTGCCAATCTGATAGACAGAAAGAAACTTGCTGCTCCAAATTCAATTGCTTGAATTATAGAGTAGGATTGAGTATCTGTTTTTCATATCTCCATTATTTTCTATTAACCACTTTGCTATACTTTAATATGAGACTCCATTGCCTATTCCTAAACAGCTGACTTATTATGATGCAGGACAGGAAAGCCTGAAAATTGGGGCCTAGCCCAGGAGGGTTCTCGGATTTACCCAGGAAAACATTCAAGGGCAAGCCGGTGGTATTAGGCAGCAAGTTTTTATTCAACAGTACCGCTCCTTGCAGAGCAGGGCTAACTCACAGGCAGTGCGCCCAGAGTCAGCAACATATGGGTTCTTGGCAATCGCATTTATACTCTAGTAAACCTACTTTCAATTACATGCAAATTAAGGAACAGGTCAGTGCAAATTGAGGGATTGGTCATTTAGCACTATCTTGGAAAGGGATGGCAACTTCTAGGTCATCTTTATGGAAAGGGGTGGTAACTTCTGGGTCATTGCCATGGAAAGGAGTGGTAACTTCTGGGTAGTCGCTGTGGCATTTGTAAACTGTCATGGCACTGGTGGGAGTGTCTCATGCTAATGAGCAATGAGGGCAGGTAGAGATAAACTTCATCACCATCTGCTGGTTCCTGCTGGTTTCTTCACTTTATCCTGCCTGGACAAGATCCTGTTTTGGTCAGCAGAGTCGTGACCAGAAAATATGTCCTGCTGGTCTCCTACCTCAGTTAGACTTAATTTCTATCCTGAAACTGCATTCCATCATTGGGAAGCTGCCAAGTTGCTACCTTCAAGTCCCACAAAAGGACACAGAGCTTTACTGGTGAAGGTCTTTCCCCAGATAATTATTTTAAGTCAGTGTCTCCAAGGACATATTGATTTAACATCAGGGACTATTTGTATATGTTAAAGCCCAGGTAAGTGGAGAATAGTTGGGGAAAGAAGGAACATGATCCTTCTTTTGCTGAGTCCAATATTTAATACTACAATGACAGTAGTCCTGCCCAAAAGGAACGGCCTCTTTCATAGAATCCCTTCATCAACCATCACAATTTTATTTCCTTCCAACCTCCTCTTGAAGTGGGGAGATTTAGAAACCCAAGTCCCAGCCATTCAATAGCAATATCTATAATTTAGCATTTTTCATCATGTGCTTTGGCATCAACAAAACATTTAACGTTGGGCAAATGGGAAGAGATGACTTGGCTTGCTTAAAGTGGAATAGTGTTTGCAACACACATAAAAACATCCAGACTGGATGAGCACAGATCATACATGGGTGTGCCTCAATTTTGCCCCACCCCCCTCTGGCCAGCAACATGAACGTCACCTGACAACTAGACCCCACTCTAGACCTGTGGAGTTCAAACCAACTCAATAGTCCCACAGACAGCTTTTTGTTTTTGTTTTTCGGATAAACATAGAAATTGACCCTTCTGGTCTTAAAGCCTGAATCTCACATTTGTTTATCTAAGTTCCTTCCTCAAGAAAGATCTCTCAAGCTTCACCAAAAAAAGGATCAAAGAACTGAATTTCACCAGATCATGGCATCCAGACAATAAGATGTCAGATCCCTCATTCCTCATGATTGTTTCCTTGTTCCTCCCTAGTTCCTGTTTCCTTACACATTGCTACATTCCTTCCCTCCTATATAAACCCCAGTTTTATTTGGTTAGGGAGATGAATTTGAGACTGAGCTCCCATTGCTTCTGCTGCAACACCCAAGTAAAGCCTTCTTTCTTGGCAAACTGGTCATCTTAGTCATTGGCTTTCTGTGTAGTGAGCAGCTGGAACTAGAAGACCTAGACTTATCCTCTGGTGTTTCTGCAACAGAATCAGAAACTTAGGATGGGGTATGGGTCCTGGCAATCTACTTCGGGGAGGCTTTCAGATAATTCTAATGCAGGTTACAGTTTGAGAACTGGGCAGTGTAAAGAAAGCTGTGACGGTCCAGCTTTTATCCTTTATCTGGCAGTCCCTGTCAACATTTCTTCTCTCAGGAGAAGACATTAGAGGAGAATTTGCTGCCCCACAAAACAGTCACAGGTAATCCTAGATTCCTTAGATAACCTGTCCTATTCAGGAGTCATGGAAAACTGCTAAAGCAAATATCTAGAGCAAATTTTACTTTCAGCCAATCTTTTTAAATTTTTGCTGTGATTTTAACTCTGTCATATCTAATGTAAGAAAGGAGCATTGCGGCCTTCTATGCTTACACATAATAGACACAACTGTGTCCATCAGTAAAATCACCACCTACAGAGCATAGCTGGCCAAGGGAAGTGAAGGATCTGCCTTGATTAAGTTTGCTCACTGTGTTGCCACTATATTTCTGGACTCCCCCTTATCACAGTGTGACATCCATTTGCACACCACATTTTTCCAGTGACTGAAAAGTGATCACTGCAGCTTGGCATCCTGCACTGCAATACAATCATTTATTTCTCACAGCACTTTATCCTGGACATTCCCATTGAGCATAAAGCCTTTGAAGTCTATGGTGCATATAATTCATCTGACAGTGGATTGGATTGGAGTCCTTCTAAATAAAGCCCAAGCCTGAGGAGGCATCAAAATTTCTCTTCCATAATTGGCAAGTGCTATTATGCTACTGGGCTATTAAAAAAAAAAAAAAGACATTTACTTGGCCACATATTTTATTGACTTTTGCTATAATAAATTTTTCTTTACTTTTGAAGATTTTTTTTTATGTCTCAAAATTTCCATCTGCCCTAAGCTCTCAAACTTCGCCTCAGTTTGTATTTAGCAATACGCCCACTGAGAAAACAAGGAAATGTTTGTAAGAATTTCCTTAGGCTTTTTGACCTATGAGGATTGCTTTGGTTTCCCCTGAGCTTTTCTATCTAATTTGTGTAAATCCTTTTTAAATTGGGTTCATTTACTTAATGTTAGATGTTTGCAATGACTTACTAAAGCTAATTTCAGAAGGCGGGTGGTTCTGGGAGAGACTGGCTTCTCCAAATGGACCTATGAGAAAGAGAGGGGACAGGAGGGAAATTTGGAAACACAGAGACCAAGGACTTGAATTTATCACAGCCCTAATGTGGCAAGTACTGAAATAGTTACAATAACAACCCTTAGCTTTCAACTTCTTCCCCTTTATAGACCCTAAGATAAGATATGAAACATTCTGCCTGTGTCACTATTTTTAACTCCGTGTTACAATATAAGTAAATCTGGCTTAAGAAACACCTGGGGTAATTCAATAATAAAGCAGGACACAGAAGATGCTAACAGTTGGCACTAGGGCATAAAAACATAGAGAATATAAAATGTAATAGCGATTGCAAAATGTAATACAATTGCATGAAAATGCAATTAAGTCAGGTTGGATAAATAGCTTCCAGGATATAATAGCAAGAAGAGAGAGTTCATTTCAATGAAGTGAAAATGGCAAAAAACTGAATAAATAATTTAAAGCTGGAAATGAAAAAATTCCGCGTGGAGTTTAGAAGACAATTGAGCTCATCTGACCTTGTGCAAGTCAGTTAACCTCCTGGGGCCTCGCTTTCCTTATTAGGAGAAGGAGGAAACAGGAGGGAGCATTAGAATTAGACTACTAATCTCAAAAGTCTATTCGAGTTCTCTCCCTCTCCCCTCTGTTCCTCCCATTCTCCTCCCAGCCACCTACCCCAGGCTTCCAAGTGAGTGGTAACATAGGGCATCAATACATTAGTGGCTGTAGAAAAGAAAATGCATATACACAAACTGTAAATTTGGGTTTCATGCAAAGCAATGATTTTTATACCCTCAGATTATTTGTCATTCTTTATAAAAACAAAAGATAAGAATAAATGCCTGCAATGGTTGAATTTCCCTGTTTTCATCTTTTTCTGGCTACAGTTTTCCCTTATCTGGGGTTACAAAAAGGCATACTGATAAAACAGCCCATGTGGATAATGCCATGCTGAGGTTCCAGGCTCAATCATTCTCTCCACTTTTCTTCCCATCTGGTGTTTTTCTTTCACCTGATCCTCCAGGGTAGAGAAGTTAGCTGGGTGCTAATCAGTAGGTAGAGAAAAGAGAAGCATGTGTTATTGCAAAATGGATGGATCATGGATCATGGGTCAATCAAGCAAGGACTCTAGTGAGAGCTGTTAGAGAGTTAAGTCATTTAACCATGAAGACATACAGAAAGAAAACAATGCCTTCATGCGACATGTAGACACCAGTCAATCACAGAGACCAAAGGGGAATGTTTTGTTTATCATACTTATTTATAAATTCCTGGGATCTTGAGAAAAACCAAAGAGGTATTTCTAATTTCCATGTTTGGCTTTGGGTTTCTTGGCCTGCAGTATAATATAAGTAGTAAACTCTGTGTTCTTCCTTGTCAGCTGAGGATGCATATCCCACCCTTCTCCACTTCAAGTCATTTATCAGGAAACATGAATGTTAAAAAGGATGATGGGGCCGGGTGTGGTGGCTCACGCCTGTAATTCTAGCACTTCGGGAGGCCGAGGCGGGCAGATCACTTGAGCTCAGGAGTTTGAGACCAGCCTGGCCAACATGGCGAAACCCTGTCTCTACTAAAAATACAAAAATTAGCCAAGTGTGGTGACGCATGTCTGTAATCCCATCTACTCAGGTGGCTGAGGCATGAGAACCTTTGAACCCAGGAAGTAGAGGTGGCAGTGAGCTATCACACCACTGCACTCCAGAGTGACTTTGTCTCAAAAAAAAAACAAAAAAAGGATCTTTGTAAATGAAAATTATTGACCACGACCATTAGTTTAATGATCAAATTTATGATTGGAAATGAATCTGTTAGTTATATGATGATTATAATGGTGGACTGTTTAACAGCATTAATAATTTCTCCTTAGTAGGAGACAAACAGAGGATGCACTGGTAATTTAAGTCACTATAACACTACAGCAAAGAGATTAGATGTTGGACTCTGTAGTGAGACTACCTGGGATCCACCACTTCCCAGATATATGACCTTAGGCAAGGTATCTCTCTGGGTATTAGTGTCCTCAAATGTAAACACTGAGATAGAAATGTCAATAGCAACAGCTATCTCATAGGTTTACCCTGGATTAAATGAGCTACTATAGGTCAAGTATGGGAAACAGTCCTGGAACACAGTAAGTACTGTATGTGAGCAATTACTGTGAGAAAGAGGCTTTAGGAGGAACCACTGACAGCAATAACAATGGTCTTTATCTTAATTTCAAGGCACAGATAGCCTTGAATTATGTGTAAAAGTCAGAATTGCAGAGTGTCTATGTCTAGTATTCTGTTTTCCTACACAAATACTCCCTGCCTCAGTTAGATTATTTGAAAAGGAATTTGAAAAGGATCCCTATGAGTGTATGCTATGTGCTGTAGTTGGTGTTTTTTTTTTTTTTTTTTTTTTTGAGACGGAGTCTCGCTCTGTCGCCCAGGCCGGACTGCGGACTGCAGTGGCGCAATCTCGGCTCACTGCAAGCTCCGCTTCCCGGGTTCACGCCATTCTCCTGCCTCAGCCTCCCCAGTAGCTGGGACTACAGGCGCCCGCCACCGCGCCCGGCTAATTTTTTGTATTTTTAGTAGAGACGGGGTTTCACCTTGTTAGCCAGGATGGTCTCGATCTCCTGACCTCATGATCCACCCGCCTCGGCCTCCCAAAGTGCTGGGATTACAGGCGTGAGCCACCGCGCCCGGCCTGTAGTTGGTGTTTTGTTTGTGGGAGCAAGATAGAGAAGTTATCACATACTTCCAGCAGAGGAAACTTGGGCTTGTTTAATTATTTCAGGATAACATTTTTTTAAAAGTCAGGTTATCAAAAACAATGAGTTAATCTTACAGGAATACATGGCAAAATGTAGCTCCGGAAGCAGTCTAGCTTTAGAAAACCAGAGTGAATAAAGAGTAGAATTCTTATTCAGAATGGAACAGCAGTCCATAAGTCTTTTTTTTCTCATGACTCAGCTCCTCTGACTCCAACATCTCTTTCTACTTTTTCCAACTACTATTTGGTAACCTTAAGTATTTCTTGTACTCAAACTCTTCCAAAAGGATCTAACTGGTTCAGTTAGGTTTTGTTTTTATTTGTTGCTTTGTTTTTGTAGGAATTAATGGATCCACTGAGCAAAAGACCCCAAGCCAATGTCTTCATAAATTCTCATCTAGTCCATTCATAGTCTTCAACTGAAGAAGCAACCCTGGTCTAATCAGTTGTGTTCAGTGTGTTAAGTGTCTTGCAGAATGAAGCATGGTAAGCCATACCCAATAAATGGTTTCTTGGTTGCATTGTTTAGAAACAATGAATTTAAACCAATTGTCCCATCAAATAACCATTTGGACTCACAGCAATTCAGTTAACCTTTGGGGGCTTTAATTTCCTCACCTATGATGTCAGGAGAGTGGCCTGAATAACATGTAATATTCTTTATAACTCTAAAATGTTATGATCCATTTGCTCCCTTAAATTCCCTTTTACTAAATGGTTAATGCTTTGAAAATAAACATTCTTTAGCTTGTGTGCTTTTAACATTTTTTCTCTCTTCAAAGATTTATATTTCCTTTATATTTAGCATATGTAAAAGCAAATATTGTAGTATGAGTTTGCTCAGTATACCCAATAAACTAAAAACCAGGGTCAATCTCAAATCTTACCAGGTAAATATCCAATTGGGTTTCTACTGTCATTGTCCCAATCTTATTATTTCCTTTTCTGTTGTTATCAGAAGGAAAGGGTGGACATTCCAGAAATGGAATCCCCTCTATTTTTCCATTAAGGATTTCCCTAAGAATCTCTTTCATGTCAAGTATTCTCAGGGTTCCATGAAAACAAAAGTATTTCCTCCACTCAAATAGAAGGATTTGACTGAAGTTGACAGGAAAGAGTGCAAGGATCAATCAGAAATGTTTACCATAATAACACTATGAAGGAGTTGTGACATTTCAACTGTATAACTGCTAATGTGACTTTGGGTCATTGAAAATACATTAGTGAGAACAGGCGAGGTCATGCTAAGTTAACAAGCAACACTATGATCAACAACAAAGGTTGATTTCTTGCTCAAGCTACATACCTCATCATAGATCAACAAGGAGGCTTTGCATATCATTATCATTTAGTCACCCAGGCTAACAGAGTAGCTCCCACTGCAAACATCACTGTGTAGTATGCCAAAGAACACAGCAAGACTTGGAGGTCTTGGGCAATCAATTAAATGCTCAGCCCTAAGTTGACACATATCATTTTCCTTTACGATGCCTCGTCCAGAACTAGTCCCATGGCCCCTACATCCACAAGGGAGCCAGGAGGTGAAATAAACTCTGTATTTAGGAAGTCGAGAGCTGGAAATAATCAGAGAGCAGTACTGATGAGTACTCTAGAATATTACCTTAAAGATAATATTTAGATAATACTTTCCTGGAGGTATCTAAAATTTAGGGTCACTGGAAGTCCTATCCTTATGCCTAGGAGACTTTCTTTGTATTAAATAAACCAGTGCTGAAGAGAACAAGGTCTTGGGCTCTAACCCTTTAAAAATCATTTGTGTTTATCTTCATACTATCATGGCCATGGCTAGAAGCCCTCTTTAAACAATCCAGACAACCTGAAAAAGACAGACTGAAGCCAGATGGTGATAGATTGTCTTCAACGAGTATCACGAATAGAAACATGGCACCAACACTTGATCCACAACTGCAAAAGTATTATCCAGTTTGCATTCTTCATACAATGCACAGCACATTTGAATCACCCCACTTTTGGAATAAATCCATGCAAAAATGCATTAGGAATAAAAGGTGTTACCTTAGTAGGCATCATTACTTTGATATTCCACACATTTTATAAGCAAACATTTATATTTTGAAAATGGAAAAGAAATAAGATATGCAACCACTTTTTCTGAGCTATCATCAATTATAAGAAAATACTGAGATTCCCTGCACTTTGGGAGGCCGAGGCAGGCGGATCATGAGGTCAGGAGATCGAGACCATCCTGGCTAACACGGTGAAACCCCGTCTCTACTAAAAATACAAAAAATTAGCTGGGAGCAGTGGCAGGCGCCTGTAGTCCCAGCTACTCGGGAGGCTGAGGCAGGAGAATGGCGTGAACCCAGGAGGCGGAGCTTGCAGTGAGCCGAGATCGCGCCACTGCACTCCAGCCTGGGCGACAGAGCGAGACTCCGTCTCAAAAAAAAAAAAAAAAAAAAGTACTGAAATATTGTTCACCTTCTGTGTTTAACCCACAACTCACAAGCACCCAAATATTTGTTGTTTCATTCAGGGTTGAAAGTGTAGAAAGTGAAGGACACTCATTTTACTGGGGTGAGCAGGTATATGCAACCCTACCTCTCAAGGCTGAGGAAGCTGAGGGGTCAAAGAAAGAGGCTGACAAATCCAGTTTTCTGAGAAAGAAAATATTTAATAGGGACTAATGAACTGAAGCAATGTCTCAAGTGGCTGCGGAGAGTAGATCCCTGCACCCACTCTCCAGAAATATTCTTTATATAGCAAGCTTTTAGGGTAAAGACATGAATAGCTGATTATGTCTCAAACTGTTTTGCTGAAACATGATCACTAGGGATGATAAAGATAAACATCTTTATGAGGGTATCTGTGTTAAGGGTATTGTTTCTTTATGAGGGGTAATCTGTGCTATAGGCATTATTTAAAGACCTTGCTGCAAGAACATCTATCCAGGAGTCAAACATCAGTCATCATGGTGATTTTGTTTCAAGATGGCATTACTCTTGCCATGCAACATGCTGTTTTCCTATGCCCAAGAAAGATATTCAATTAACATGATCAATATAGACATTCATAGCAGATATTTCACATTTTTAAAATCTACATTGTGATCTCAATTATCTGGATTAATTTTCCTAATTAATTGCAACTATAGATTAATTGCTCTTTTTTTTTCATTTTGTATGGCCTTAATGAAATGTGAGTCTAGTTAAAGTGCAAATTTCTTTTCTTTGTAAGGAAATGGTCCAGGCTAGAAGGGAAACACATTTGTAGCTAACTTCAATGGCTTGTCTTTAGAATTCCCTATACTTTATCTGGAAAGTCCTCCTTTCCTTGAATTCTAGTGGGACACTTGGCATTCCAACTGGCTGCAGGGAGAGGTGGTTTCTGATAGGGAGTATTGAGCTCTTTACACTCTCTTGTCATCTTCAACTCCAACTTCAACTTCAACTCTTGTCAACTCCAACATGCAGCTGGAGACAGAAACTAAAGGTCTCTTCCAAGGTTGAAAGCAACCTTGCTCTTTGCTCCAAAAAGGGATACTACTTCTATTTTCCAATGATGTTCACTATACAAACATCCTTGAAAGTATAATTCAGAAAAAGGCAGTGTACCTCTGCTCACAAGTCATGCAGACATGTGAGAGATTTATGGATAATTATCTCTCAATACTATTTCTTAGAAGAATTTAGATCTAAATATCCTTGGAGAAAGACGACATCAACTTATCTGCATCAAGCTACTGTTGTCCAATTTTAAACGGGCATTTACATTTTATTCTTTTTCTAAATCCTCTCTGTCTTAGGAAAATCTAGATTATGCTGCAATAATGAACAACCTCTAAAATCTCAGAAGTTTAATGAAAAACATTTTAGTTTCACTCACACCATTCTATATAAGGCTATTTTATACTGTCGCTCAAATAGATAGAATTTTACTTTCTTATAGATGCACTATGTACAGCACTGTCTCCTCAATGGCCCTGGCATCAGAAGACAGAAAGACTCATACATGGACTTTTCACTGCCTTATCCTGAAAATGACATAGGTCATATTTTATTAGCCAGTGCTGGTTACATGGTCAGATCTAATGTAAAGGTGCTGGGAATATAGGAAGGCTAATGGAATACTGAGTAAGCATTCCTCTCTCAGACACACTTTATTTGGACTTCCCACCATTCTTCCATTTTGTGTTTTTAGGAACAATGCTAATCCACTTCTTGACTTAGATTACCAGATCTGTTTTGTCTAGATTCAAAGGAATCTTTCTGATGATATATTCCCTCAGTCCTCTAGAACGTGAAATCAGAAACCTATAGCCCTGCCTTTATAACATTAAGTGGGCTTTGTCATTCTTTGCACAGGCAAAACGTACTTTCCACCAAGGTGAAAGAAAGGTTGCCCATTCGATATCTAAGTTGCTTATTGGTTTAATTGATTGTGGCTGTTATTGGGCTTCAGAAATAGATTACAAAAGAAACATACCAGGACTTTGGGAGTCCTTAGAGTGATGGAGGGAGAGGACACAGGTAAGCCAAAACCTGTAAAACAACGGTGTATGGTATTTGCTGTGATTTAGGTATGCACAGGGTATTTGGAAAGCTCAGAGGAAGAGGCACTTAATCTAGATCAGGGGCTTCCGAGAAAACTTTCTGATTTTTTAGGGAATACTTGAATTGACATTTGAAGGACACATAATAGCTAAACTTATTTTTTTAAGTGAAAGTGGCTGGAAAATCGTTCTAGAAATAGATAACAATTTGCCCAAGGACAGAAACATGAAAGATCATGGCTCTGTTTTTAAAACAATGTGAACTATTAAAGGATTTTAAGTACAATGAGATTTTTGTATTATAAAGATCATTCTGACAGCAAATTAAGGGATTGGAAGGAAGTGAGACTGAGTCTGTAGCAGTGTCAGGAGGCTTTCACAATATCCCAGACAATAGTGCAAGTATAGATAGAAAGGAGGAAATTGATGTGTATGATGGTAAGTAGATAGAATATCAGAATGTGATAATTAAGTGGACATTGGGAATGAGAAAGAGAGAAGGCTCAAGTGTAACTCCAAAACTTCATAGTTATATGGAAAAATATAAATTTTAGGATGAAAATAAAGTTTATCCTTTGATTGGCAGCTGCGGAACATAATGGTATACATTCTGATCTGAAGTTCAGCGGAAGCCATGGATACAGACAGAGGAAATTACCCTGGGAAAGGGAGATGAAAGGAGAGAGGGGAGAGGTCAGCAACATGACAACATCCTGAGAAGAGCCACAACATAAGTGTGCCTCTGTTAATAGGATATGCAAGCTTTGTGTCTACCTATGTGTTGAACAATGTGAGCTTTAAAGAGAAAACAAAATCACCAGAACAATTTCAAAATGCTTTGCCTCACCGACTTTCACCTTCTAAGCACATTCAACATAAATTCAGTGATGAAGAAAATCACAGATTTAAAGTAAGTGGCAAATTGAAAGCATGTGTTAGTCACCAGCAAACACTAAATATGTTTTACACTTCCAAATCTCTTGTCTTCACTGGTGCACTGCTGAAATAATCATGATAAACCTCACAAAACTCCCAGGAGGTAGGAAATGAACGTGGCAGTACTTGGTGGCATCCTTGTAAATAAGAACAGATGCTCATCCATCCACAAAACCATTTTGTGCCAGACTGCCTTAGGTCATGGGGTGGTTGAACAAAGGAAATCCCAGTCTTCTACCTGTCCCAGCTCAATGAGATTGGCATTAGATGTAACTGCTGTTGAACCAACTGGAGTCAGGAAATCTTTCACATAGAGCAACACTTTGGAATATTAGAAACTTGCCAAGGAGCTCAAAGCACATCTGAGTCATTGATTCACTAACTCCCAGGCAGTCCTTGTGGAACAGGAAATGGCTTTGCATACAATTTTAGAAGAGCTGAAACCTTAAAGTCAGCAAATTAGTGGCCAAGCCCAAATCCCAGTAAAGTCCTTTTTTTACTAAACCCAAACACTTGGCACTATCGCCTAAGTACATAAGGAGGTCTTGGAGGATGCATCCCTTGGAAACTCCCTCAGTGAGCTCAGTTATATCTCCAGTTTGCTTGGTACAGAGCCATTTTGACTCACCACCTAAAAGCTGTAGGGAGGAGAGGTGGCCCAGCCTCCACTCTACTCCTGTTTCTTGTCATCCTCTCAAGAACTGCTGCTACTCCTTTCAGCCTGGTTCCAAGCCAGAGACCCTGCTGTTTTTATTGGAGGCAGAAAATGAGTAAGGAAGAGTGATAATTCCCTTCAACAAGTACCCTGGGACATTCACTTGTTGCTTTGGCATGGTACCTCATGACATTTTGAGCTGCTACTTCATTAAAACGGGAATTTTGATTACACTGCCCTGCCTCCTAGGCATATTATGTGCTTCTTTAAAGACTAATCTAAAGGCATTTGGGCTCAATGGCTTCATATAGTTTACAAGTTTTGATAAAAGTTTGATAAAAATATGTCTTTCAAAAAAAAATCACTTCTCCTTTAAAAACAGGAGAGTGGAAATCACAGCAGTCATTATCTGTTTCTACTCAGGGCTGAATTGTTCTTCTGAGAATCTCTTCCATTGTGCTTTTAAATATTGTATTATGCGACATCAAATCCTGTTTTAATGCAACATATTGATTCTCTTATAGGCTAGGGTATTATCGTCTTAAACAGATTCAAAGTAAATGATTAAACATAGCTTATGCCATTGCAGTCGCCAGCAATTTAACATCCTCTTCTGACTGGCATGTTTAGTGGCTGGCTGCTCAAGTGGTGAAGGATAGAACCTTTTACACTGATGGCTGTGAAATGAAAGTCAAAGACAATGTAAAGCCTCTCATTGCCCCCTTTCCATAAAATAACTAACACATATTAATTGTAAAAATACAGTAGGCTTAGTTCCTTTAGGACAGGAGGCTTATTTCTCCACTATTGGTATAGCTAGAAAAGAAAAGAGGAGAAGGTAAAAACACTCTGCTTTATTCATTGAACTTTTGAACAATAGCTAGGGCTAAGCTGGTGTCTGGCAACCTGCAACATGTTTGTGCTCAAAGCATACCTTTTCAGTTGTTTTAGAAAGCACAGCTCTGTGGGAAAGCATTTTGGTAAGAATCAAATTTCCTTACCAGTGTCATAAATGTGTAAAATTGAGCCAGTGTTTGTATCATAGAAAAATGCTAAATGGAGAAGATTTGGGAGGGAAGAAGAGATCAGAGTGCTGCTCAGTTGCTTATATGGAAAGTATGACCTAAACCAGCCCTTGTGTGAATGACACTGTCACCTGTCCTACAAAATCCAAAATGAGCTCCCTAAGGTACTGGGATAATTGGAGACTACTTACCCAAGATAGATCCTTGGGAGCCAGCTGTGCAATGGGGCTGGGTTTCAGCTCTCTTCAAGCTGGTCACTCCTGGGACATGAATGTCTCTCAGATTTCCAAGGAGGTGAATAGTGGAGGAAGGAGTAGGATCAAGGGCATACAGGTTTTAAAACTTGAAAGCCAGAAGACATCACTACATAGAAGGCAAAGAGCATGTTGGAAAGAGACTTTTTACTCATGGCAGAAAGATGCATCTTTTTTACCCTTTCAGAATTATCCTAAAGTGGGTATCCTAGGAGGGGCTGCTCCCAAAGGGTGCACAGTGTCCCTTCTATTAATGACTCTTGATATGTCCTCTGACTTGTTTTCTCAGTTTACATTTGAAAACATAATGTATTGATTAGTTGTGACTTGGCCACAGTAACTCATTTTGTCCTTGGTAGTGCTAAGGTCAGACTCCAAGCTGAACTTCCAGTGAGCTTCCCATTTCACTGACATTTCCATTTCAGCCCTTTACTCTTTGGCTGAAAGCCAATCTCTTTTTATCAAAATACACAGCCCATTTTAGATATTTCAAAACAAACATGATCACAAAGTAACCTGAAAGGTGAAGTGAAAGAGGTAATAAATAGTTCCAAAAGGGTTATTTCTGAATTAGCAGGAGATTAAGAATTGGGGGAAGAGAAGAAAGCAGCCAAACATCTCTAAGAAAAGGGATATGCCCTTCCGTGGACAGAGTGAGGTGGGATGGAGGAGTTGTCCATCCTTGAGAGTAGAATATCCCCCTAGGTGGTCAGAGGTGGGGTTTGTGACAGAGGGAGGAGAACAGCCAGAAAGGAGCTGACAAGTGTCAGCCCAACACAATTGATTTTCTGATGAAATGAGGCTTTCCTACTGTAAGATGTGTATATTTTTGTTTAGTGGGCATTTGGGATGAGAGCTCTAAGGAAGAAAGAGGAAGTGATATCCTGGAATAAGCATTCTGGAGAAGCATGGCTAGGTTTAGACAAAGGCTATCGGCTTTAAAAAATAGATTGTATTATTATTCAGGGACAGTGAGGCCAACAGATCAGAGGACTACTGCCATTGAAAAGATTATTACTCCAAGTTCCTATGGGGGGTGGGGCACATCATGCCACCCAGGGTCGCACTGGGAAGCACCGGGGTCAGTCAGGAGGCAGAGGAAATGAAGGCCAAGTATGGGCACAAGCCTCAACTGTCGTTTCCCTAGGAAGGAATGGGCCGAGCGGGGTAAGCTGGTTTAGGATTGCATAGCCTGAATAATTTGCATGGGCTCTGGAGCATAGGGACTTCTCCAGTGTTCTTGTTGGCTCTGGGATGATTAAAGGAAGGGAATAGTGGCAAGAGTATAAAAGCCTGATAAAGTAGGCGGTGGGCTGCTGGGTCCTAGATTGGTTAGTTTGCATATGAAAGGCGGCTAAGGAGTGAGTTTTTTGCTATGTCTAGAAATTGACTTGCCCTAGGAGGGTCAATCTCTCCAGGATCCACAAGTCCCAGGAGTCAAAGCCTCAGAGATACAGAAAATAAAAGTGTGATTAATACACTATCCAAGGGTGATGTCCCCACATTAGAGAAGGAAAGAGACTCCTTCCTTGGTATGATATTGATATCATACCAATAAGTGGTATCCTTGTGAAAAGAAAGTGCTGTATCTAATTAGATATGTTTTGAGAGGTGATAGTGTCCAGGAGAGTGAGGACAATCCTGGGAGTGAAGATGTTGTCCTGGGTAGGGTAGGAGTGGTCATCTGCAGGAGAATGTCCCACAAAGAAGTGGCATGGACACTCTGCTGAGGGCTCCAAATGCAGAGGGAAATTGACCCAAAATAGGAAATGATAAATGGCATGACAGATGAAATCATAGCTCTTTCAAATGGAAAGTAGCCTCCTCCTACAAATAATATTCTTGAATCTGTGGCCTGAAACAACTGGAGGATCACCATTCCTTTTTTTTTTTTTTTTTTTTTTTTTTTTTGTCTGGTGTTACAACCAGAGAAACAGTGGTTTCAATTGGTTGGGAAAGGCAGCATCTACACGGAGAGCACAGCAGGCCTGTTTACCTCTCAGCTTGTGCTGTTGGGTTTACAGCAATATTTTCTGCATCTTAGTCAAAGAATTTTACTTGTCCAGTGTTGAGCTGTTAGAGGAAAATTGATTTGTCTATTTATTTTTAGCAATATTATAAAAACAAGCTGGGGAGAGGGCTGTTCATTCTCTCAACCCCACCTTTCTCAATACATTTCTCAAATAGCACACTCCCTGGGAGGGTCTATGACAACAGAATCCCTCCAGATTTAAATCTAGACCTGAACACTTGAAACCAGGCATGTGATATTGGAAAAGTGGCTTTCAACCACCTTGTGAATGAGAAGCGGCAGCCAGCAAAATGCAACCATGAATCTACTCCCAAATCATGAAAGCTGTTGACTTCCTCATTTATTATGTTAGTGGCTCAGGGGAAAATAAAAACTGCACAGTGATTTGCAGTCAAATTTCTACTGCACTACTGGAAGTTACAATGGTGTAAGGTGGGGGGAGTTTTCAGCTCTGATGTTCTAGTAGAGCTGAGTGAAGGGAGAGGCAGGCTGAAGGACTTTGAGTCCTGGTCCATTCATCTCAATTTTCCTAACTGAACAACCCACTCCCCGACTAGAAAAGTCCTCTCCTTAACTGGGCTATAGCTACAGTCTACAGATAATGCAGCCACTGGATACTAAAAGCCACTAGGTGGCATTTGTGATTTATTACTTTGGAAGCTGAGATTTTTAAAATATCTCTGCTGATCCTTTGCTTAGACTGAACAAGACATTTAACATTCCTAAGCATTTCATTCAAGAAATGCATAGTTGGTTCTCTTTATCAAGCTCAAAAGGGATGGGGGAGGCGCAGTGACTGGCTTGAGAAGTTGAATTTCAGATCATCTACATTCTTTTGCAGGTCCTCTGTGACCTCACACCATCAGCTTACATAAGTAATTACTTGTCTACAATTAAGCTGTAAATAATGCAATCACTCCATTCTTGTCCCATCACTCCAGTCCCAACCACAACAAATAGTGCTAATCACATACTTATTCAAGTGTGTAATTATTCACAGTTAAACTTCTGTCACTTTCACCCTGTTTGGAAACAGCAGAACACAACCTGTAATTAGCAAATGTGGCTCCAGGCACTTTTGCTTGGGAGTACGCCAGGGATTCAGCACCTAGGCACTCCTTTGATCTGGAAGCTGGCAAGGCGCCTCACCCTGAGGCCAGAGTGCTATCAGCACTCTGCAAGTCACTGAGATCAATGAATATGTCAAAGGCATCTATCCCAAATCACATATTACTTCCCTCTCTCACTGTGGTTTCTGCCTTCGGTATATATTTCATAGACTTTCCTTTTCTTTTTGAACCCTTTGACTTCAGTTTAAAGGGTTACCAGAAAGGTCTCCAAGCCCCTGTGTTTTCAACTCTGGTTAAAAATGAAAGTCCCAGAAGTCCTGATTGATGATCCTTGTTCTTTCTTAACTCTGCAGTTTTCTTGAACACAGCACAATGGAGGAGGAATGGCCTTTGCTACCTCACCTGGACCACAAGGAAGAAGGAAACCAAAGACTTTAGCCCAACCCTGTGTGAACCACTTCCCCTCAGTCCCCAGCTAAACCACCCTGCATGAGTACTCTAGTTGCAAAGGAGACCAGGTAAACTTCTGATGTTTTGTAGTACATCCGTTATATTTCATCAGAGCAACAACTCAGCAGCACACATCCTTCCCGGGGAGAGGTAATAGTGTCCTCCTGGGTGGAAAGCAGGATTCAGTAGCCAACTTCTTTCCACAGAGGAAGGCCATAGTCCTTGAGCTATGAGGTAGTTCTTTTCATAAAAATATATTGGGCCCACAGAAAAGAATAGTGAGCCATAAAGGCCCAGTATGTACAACCATGAATTAGATTTTTATTTGCATGTCATATTAAGAATTACAATTTGTTTGTTTGAGGAAAGGTTATTCTACCTTCATTAAGACCTCCGACGGCAATTACCTAATGAAAACAAGTTCTCATATCTAGCTAGTTTAATGTCTTCCTTTTCTGATATATCCAATTAAGACAGAGCTTTTTCACTTCAACCAAATGTGAATATGCCTCACAGTAGAAGGGTAAACAGAACTGTTCTTTGTATATAAACATTAGTTAGCTTTTGGTTCTAACCATAACAAAACCAGTTTTTGAAATAATATTTAGAGGTCTCGAAGAGAAGAACAGCTATGCAAGCTTCTCCATCAAAGAAGATTGTCCTCAGAATAGAAAGCTTCCCAGGGTAGAAGGTAAAGTGTGAGCAATATAGGGATGCTCCCTGGCCAACTAACTTAACCAAATGAGCCAAATTAGCCCTGGCAAACAGTGCAGTGACAGATGTGTGAGCCAGATTGCCAAGATGTTTTTATTTTATAATTTTTTAAGATGAAATGCTATGACTGCTTCTATGTGAGCAAAGTGGAGCAGTGCTGAGTAGTATCTGGTGATTTTGATTAATACAGACTGACAAGCAATCTGGAGGATTAGTTAAAAAACAAACCAAAACAGACTTCTATTTTCTCCAACAGCAATGATCTTCAACACAGTTTCACTGATAATAATACTGATGATTTTTTAATTTTTTTAATTGACAGATAAAACTGTCTGTATTTACCAGGTACAATATGATGTTCTGATTTTTAAATCTCCACTTAATTTAGCCCATTTGAACAAGCAGGACTCTGTTTTTTAAAACTAATTTTTGAAAGATCTTAATATGCAGTCCACTAACATAACAAGATGGCAAAAACCACCTGCACTGCTGGCTTGGAAGATGGGTGAAAAGTTGCTTCACCTGCACTGCCCTGTCTGCCTTCCCGAGACTGAAAAACTTTTAAAAAACTCCTTTCCCTCCTGACTTCAGGGCACAATATGACATTTAGTCAGAAACTGCATGTAGATCTATATGTGTATATAATCTATATTTATATATTTATATCTATATCTGTCTACCTACTTACCTACCTGTATATCGTTGGACAACTAGAACCCAAAAAGTCATATTCAGCCCCAAATATAACACAGTGTTAATCAATCCACTTCCTGCCATGCCCAATCTCGCCACCTTGGCCAGGGCTACTGTCATTTGTCATCTGGCACTGGTCTCTCTAACTCTCATTGAACTCTCGCATTCCTTTTTTTTTTTTTAGACTGAGTTTTGCTCTTGTTGCCCAGGCTGGAGTGCAATGGCATGAACCTCAGCTCACTGTAACCTCTGCCTCCCAGGTTCAAGCAATTCTCCTGCCTCAGCCTCCCAAGTAGCTGGGATTACAGGCGTGCACCACCATGCCTGGCTAATTTTTTGTATTTTTAGAAGAGATAGGATTTCACCACATTGGTCAGGCTGGTCTCGAACTCCTGACCTCAGGTGATCCAGCCGCCTTGGCCTCCCAAAGTTCTGGCATTATAGGCATGAGCCACTGCACCCAGCTTCACGTTCCTTTCAGGGCATTCTCCTCACAGCAGGGACACTGATTTTAAAATATAAATCTGATCATGTCACACTTTGGTTTAAATGTCTCCAGTGCTTTCCATTGCACTTAGAATACACCTTGCCATGACTTACAAGGCCCACCTGATCTTGTATCTGCCAGTTCGGTTCCCCATTCCTGGGCCAGCTTCACTAGTCTTTCCGTTGTTGAGGTATGCCCAGAATTGTACACACCTTGTGTCTTCACCTTGGGTTGCTCTTCCCTGAGCTCTACCAACAGCCTCAGCTTACATGTCTGGCCCTTTGTGGCTGCCCTACCTAGAATAGGTGGTCCCTTCTATACCTTCAGTCTCAGCCGTGTGACTGATTCTTTTATGACACAAATCACCATTGGTAACCAGTCTATTTGCTCATTATATATTGGTACCTACTAGAATGTAAGTTCCTTCTAGCAAAGTAATGATCTTATTCACTACTGGATCTCCAGTGCCCATTCCAATACCCACTCTATAGCTGATGCCCCCAAAATTATTTGTTAAACAAATGAATAAATAGAATATAATCAATCAAAAGGCTAAAGAATGCAATGTGGAAACTGCCTTGTGAGAGTTCTTTGAGTAATTGCAAGTAAATAAAGGCAGTGAGTAACACTTTTCCCGTACATTTTATTTTGAAAAATTTCGAACATACTCATGAAATAATTTTATATGAATACCCTTCAGATTCAGCCATTAGCATTTTATTGTGCTTGCTTTATCACATATCTGTCTATCCATCCCTCTTTCTATATTTTAATCTGCCTGATTTGGGGTGCCTTTCAAAGCAAATTGCAGACAGTTGCATATTATTAACTAGAATTTAGTATTTGTTAAATTTTTTCTTTTGATTTATAGTTTACATATAATGAAATGCATAAATTTGTGCATAAAGAAAATTTTCACTAATTTTTTCTGAATGCACACAGCTTTGTAGCCCAAATTTCTATCCAGATCAGAACAGTATCTATGCCCTTTAATAGTTGATCTTCAACTCCAACCGTTATAATTTTTTTCTACCAGAAATTAGCTTTACTTACTCTAGAATTTCATATGAATGGAATCATGCAGTATATATTCTTTTGTTTATGGCTTCTTTCACATAAATATAATGTTTCTGAGATTCATTTGTGTTGCTGCATATATTAGCTATTAATTTATTTTTACTGCTGAGTAGTATTTCATGTGTGAATATACTATAGTTTGTTTATTCATTCTTCTTTTGACAGATGTCTAATTTATTCCCACTTTTGAGCTATTATGAATAAAGCTTCCATGATCACTCATAAACAAGAATTTTTGTGAAGATAGTTTTCCTTTCTTTTGCATGAATACCTAAGAAAGGAATCATGAGTTATAGGTAATATTCAGTTATAAGGCATATGCTTAGTTTTATAAGAAACTTCCAAAAATTTTTCCAAAGTGATTGCACAATTTTATTTTCCCATCAACAATGTATGAGTTCCATTACAATCTTGATAACACTTAGTGTTATCGATCTTTTTAATTTTAGCCATATTCATGGATGTTAAAGTGGTATCTCATTGTGGCTTTAATTTGCATTTCCCTGATGACTAATGATATTAAGTACTTTTTAATGTGCTTATTGGCCACTTGCTATGTTTCATTTTGCAAAATGTTTGTTCAAATATTTTCTTTATTTTCTATTGAGTTGTTGGTGTTTTTATTATTGAGTTGTGTGATTTCTCTTTTCTTCTGTTGCCCAGGCTGGAATGCAGTGGCAAGCATAGCTCCTGGTAACCTCAAACTCCTGGGCTCCAGCCATCCTCCTCCAGCTTCAGCCTGCCAAGTAGCTGGGACTACAGATGCACCACCACACTCAGCAAATTTTTAAATTTTTTGTAGAGACAGGGTCTCACTGTGTTGCCCAGGCTGATCTCAAACTCCTGGCCTCAAGCAATCCTCACACCTTGGCATCCCAAAGTGTTGGGATTGTAGGTGTGAACCACCACACTCAGCCTGATTCCCTTATATACCCTGTCTCTGGTATATTTTTCCCCAGTCTGTGGCTTACCTTTCGTTTTCCTAAGTGAGCTTTTTGATGAACAGAAGTTTTTAATTTTGTTGTAGTCAAATTAATCAACTTCTTGTGGTTATTGCTTTATATGACCTAAGAAACCTTCCCATATCCCCAATTCCTGAAGATAGTCTTCTGTATTTTTCTCTAAATGATCTTATCTTTAGATACACTCCACCTTGAATTAATTTTTGTATATGGTGTAATGTAGGCATGGAGGTTTTTGTTTATTTGTTTTGTTTTATATGGATATCTAATTGTTCCAGCAACATTTGTTAAAAAGACTTTCCTTTCCCAGATGCCTTATTTTGGCATCTTCATCAAAAATCAAATGACTAAGTGTGGTTTGATTTCTAGGCTGTCTATTACATTCTTTTGATTTATATGTTGATCCTGATGTCAGTACTATTCTTGACTAATATAGCTTTATAGTAAATCTTAAAATCAGACAATTTAAGTCCTTTGACTTTGCTCTTTTTTTCCAAGACTGCTTTGATTATTACAGGTGGTTTGCATTTCCATATCAATTCTGGAGTCAGCTTGTCAATTTCTACAAAAATTCTGCAGGGATTTTGATTGGGATTACATTAAATTGGGGATAGCACTTTGATGCAATTTTAAGTGTTCTGAAAGGCATCCCCTAACCAGTCCTCTCTTGCTCATTGAAGGGTCCCATCAGATTCCCCTTAAAAGGTTATTTGGATTAAAATGTGTAATTGGGTTTCTCCTACTATAAACAATAACTGGTATTTTAAAATGTACTTAAAGGGCTTTACATTCATAATATTATTTAATCCACATGCAAAACCAAACCCTATGAGTGATAATTTATTTCTTCCAAATTACACATGAGATGCCTGAGGCCCAAGGAGTTTAAATAATTTGCCCAAGTTCAGACAGCTAGGAGGGAGAATTTGAATTCAGATGCCTCCTACCCTGAAGATTAAATGTCCCAGGAAACGGATTTTATTATCCTTTATTGTCCATTATCATATGAGTGCGGGGGTTTGTATCACCTGGGATCCATATACTAAAGGACAGGTAAATGAAACAAGGTCCTTCTGTGACATTGAAAGAAGCAATGACCTTCACAGAGGGAGCCTGTGCGAATTTACCTTTGGATACCCAGGGTCAGAGGACACCACTGAGGACCAGAAACTAGAGTGATAGGGACACTGAAGGCAAAGAGCCTCTCTCCCAATTTGGCCTGCAGAGGCCCTGACTGGAGGATGACCGTCTAAAAACAGCTTGTTCTAATGCCTTTAGCTGCCTGAGAATATTTCTGTCTTGAGAAACTCACATGCGATACACTTGGCAATAGCTTCAGGGCACTGATTCCTCCTCCTTCCCTCAGATGAGCTCAGGGCAGCAAAGAGAACATAGAGATTCACAAATGAGCTTTCTTTGTAGGGCACTGTCTGCTTTGAGATTCTTCATTAAATCTTTTTCACAAATAAATTGCCCAAAGTCCATGGGGAATATTTCCATCTTTTAATCATATACAGTTTGAATTGACTCTAGAATTGCAGTGTATGTGGCAGGGCTGGTTGGAGGGCCTGGACAGGGGCTGGGGAGCTTCAGAAGCCCAGCCCTTGCAATCTCTTTTGAATGTAAGTAACAAAAGGAGGCCCCAAAGGGAGCAATTGGAGTGAGCCTATATTTTGTAATGTGTTTAGCACCCATTGTGGCTGGATTTTTAAAACCGTGAAAGTTAATTATGCATCTTACCTATTGGTTTAATATTGATTCCAGAAGTGAAATCTTGGGGTTCAACTTTCCTCACACTGGCTGGTGAGCCATGCTAGATTAATAGTTTAAATAAAATGTCAAGTATCGGATTGCCATGGAAACATTAATACAAAGTGGACCCAGTGGCACTTTGTGCTGTAGAATTACAATGATATGAATTACCTCGGTCTCCAGACACCTTCCGAAATGGCCAGGGCTGCATCCCTGAAATATGGGTCATTCAAGCACAAAGGAAGAAATGGTATGGACTGCTCCTACTCAGTCATGTTCCCATGCACACAGCTATAAGCTGGGCAAATGCCAGTTTCTTTTAAAAGACAGACGCAGGTAATGCAGGCAGATGTTGCTGTGATATGGTTCTCCCTTCTCGTGGAAAAACCAGTGAGAATGGGATGCCAGCTTTAGTGGTCTTCAGTCCTGGGGGAGGGGAGAGTGTGTCAAGAGTGTGTCAGTCACCCAGGGGTTAGAGCTCAGGAAGGCGCAGCATGCACTTTGGGGCGTGCTCCAGGACCTCTCTATGAAACACGTGTTCCAACTGCCTCCCCCAGCCTGATTAGCAGAGCACTGCTGATTATGTTATGCAAATGATAGGAGATGGATTTCACATTTCCCCCAGCCAGGCTTTGCACAGCTTTGCATTTATTATTCCCCTTTAAAAATACGGAGTCCTCAGAGAAGGGGAACGGCTCGTTTTTATTTGATCGCCAGCAGAGTTGGCACAGACCTGTCAAGCAATCATCCTGGGCTGTGATCTGCAAAGCTGCCCTTTGTTGTTCAATTCCCCCCACCCCCCAGATTGTTTACAAGACACGCAGAGACATCTGCATGCCTCAAAACAAGTTATTTCCTGATTCGGCACAACTTGTCAGCCTGGGTGATGAAAATGTTACAGCATTTGCTGACAAGCCATCAGATAAACCTGGAGTTACGTCCCCAGCACCTTGTCCTCATTCACAGCTCAGGATGGTAAACATTAGCAGGTCCTGGTTCTAGATGATTGTGCAATCAGCCATCTGCCCCTTAGCACTTCTAATAGTGCTTTCTACTCAATGGTGTTTGTCCATCACCAGAAAAACAGTGACTAGATTTCTCTCTGTTTGGAAATAGGAGGATTATGCTTGTGTTTGCTGCATTCCCAATAAGGTCTAGAAATCAAGGTTGGGTCTCTTGAATTTTAGATAAAAGTCTTGAGTGTCTTCAATTTAAATATTTCTATGCCCCATGTCGTAGTAAGATGTTTCCTTCCATTCCTTCTGTATATGTGAAAGTCAAGAAAACATAGTATAGCTTTCTATTAGCCTTTCTTCTCTCCACCTCTCTTCCTCCCCATTGATTCTGCCCCCACCTCCCACCCCAGGGAGGAAGTAATATAATTTGTATAAAATGATCCACTGGAAATTAATGTGGCAGAGATTAGCTGACATATCCAACTCCCCCTCCAGAAGAATTTATATGATGATTTCTCCTGATTTACAAGACACAGCCTAGCAACAGTATGAGCTCATCGAAGTGGGGAAAAATGGCTGCTTGTCACAACTTGGTAAGAGCTCCACAGATCTTTGTCAAATGGAAATAAAACTCTGTAGCTCTAGAAAGGTGTATTAAATCAGAGATTCATAATTCAGCTTTGCAAATAGCTACTCGCCACCTACCTCTGGTGAATCACAACTCTTTCCAGACATGTGGCATAGAATACCGACATATATATATATATATATATATATATATATATATATATATATACACACACACATACACATCATATATATATAGGCACACATGCACATCATATATATATATATATACACATACACATATATACTTGCACATACATGAGAAGTGGATGTTATCTTCATTTTTTAGATGGAAAAAACAAGACAGAGAAAGTTTGTATGACTGTTTGGGTTGTAATGTAATGTAACGTAGTCGGAATTCAAATACAGGTTTATGTTGATTCAGTCCATGGTTTATACACCAGTGAGAAAACTTGTAGTTTCCAGTGGCAGCGAACCCAATGCAAGTTGATGTATACAATAGAGGGAATTGGTTGTCTCCCATAACTGAAAAAGCCAGAGGTTGGCTTCACTGGAAGCTTGCTCCAGCAGTTTAAATGATAGTGCAAAGGCATAATTTCTTAGTCTATCTACACTTATGTTTCTTAAAGGAGGTTTATCCTCAGGTTCCACACTGTGGCAAAGCAGCTCTTTCTCTCCCAGCAGGATGCCACAGTGCTTCCCCGGTGGTTCTGAATGGTACATCTTCAACATGCCAACCAGAAAAGAAAGACTGATTTTTAACTCCCAGAGAAGAGGAAGCTCCTCTTTCTTAGAAATATCTTCTATTAAGTCGTAGAATCTGATACAATTACATTCCCATCCTTGAACCAGTCCCTTGGTTAGAGGAAATGGGCCAATCAAGGCTGACATCTAAAATTAGAGGTGAGAATGCCACAGAAACCAAATGGCTAAGAATGAAGAAGAGAGATACTGTCCCTCAATGCTTGTCCAAAACAACAATAGAAAGACAAAAAAACAAGTGTTTCCTCTTTACCCTTCTAATATGTGATAGAGACAATGAAGCAAAAGACATCTATACAATGGACTTAAGAGCACATATAAAGCACATTCAAACATGGAAAGTAAAAAAGAGCAGAGAAAGACCACTGAAGGAGTTCTTTTGGTTAGATAAGAAACAAACAAAGGCAAAGTTCCAATATAGAAAGTTTAAGTAGTTTTATTGTTGTCGGTAGTGGGTGGTTGTTTTGTTTTTCGCAGGAAATAGCTAAGAGCTGTAAGGAAAAGCTGAAGTGCAAAAGTGGAGAAATCAATCATCTCAGGGATAGAATATACATGCTCTTTGCTGTTAGAGAAGTAAGAGAAATGATTTTGATGAGGCTAAGTGATATATTCTGAAAAGCTGAACAATCTAGGCTTTCTAATTATATGAAATATCAAACTGCTGCAGATTTTGAACTGAAAATTAACATGTTAAAAATGTTCTGGTTGAGGAAGTTTTTCTATTCTATTCTGCATTACATGGCTAGAGTGGAGAAGTGATCAATTGTAAGGAGAAGGTAAGTGGAAGGAAGGCGAGTCAGTGCCTGGGAGGTGAGGTCATTCTCTGCAAAAACACGTGTTAGGCACATTCCACACCACGAGTCAGGCTGTATGCTAGGCTCAATACTAGGAGAGAGACACAAAGATGAATTAGAAATAGACTCTCCTCACAGAGCTCACAGTCTGTAAGTGGAGGTAAATGTGTAGATATCAATCACAATCCAACATTGTAGGTAGTATATGAAGAGAAGGGAAAAATACCATGGGGTTCACATGAACAACAGACTCAACTAGAGAAATTAAAGGAGTCTCCACTTGAGCTCGGTCATATAGAAGTACAATAGCCTAAATTAGCATGACGGTCTTGGAATATAAATAGTGGGTCATAGCTCAGCTGTTATGTTGCAGGGGATGCAAGTTGATGAAAGACAGAAAGGGACAGAGAGAAAGGAAAGAAAGAAGGAAGCAAAAAAGGAAGGAAGGATAGAAGGAAGGAAGGAGAGTGAGGAGGAATGGAGGAAGGATGGATGGAAGGAAAGGAAGGAAGAAAATACAATTGCCTTCTTACTTGGTTGCATTTGTTTGTTCTGTGGTTAAATAGTCCAGGCCTTCCACTTTTCCTTTTTCAAACTTTCAGTAGACCTGGCCTTAAAATGTCATCAATGATAGCAGAAAATGAGAATAAATGAACTAACATTTTCATTTAAAGTTAGCAAGAGAATGTGGTTGGTTAGGGTTAATGTAATGGAATTAGTTTGTACACATTTCCTATCTTTCTGCCCTTAACCTATGTTATATGGTAATTTTTAATATAATTTATGATATCACCTAGAATAAAGGGACGTTTTTTAAAAACTGAAACATTGAGTTGGGACTAGAGATGAAAAACACAAACCAATTAATAATATTATTTTTCCACTAATTGATACTTTGGCAGGACATGAATGTATGCATGTTAGAGAAAGGGAAGATGACAGGCTGTTGTTTTAACCTTGTAGAATAAAATCATTATAAAGAAACAACTTCAGACATTAGTGATTTCAACTGAGAATTTTTCTCTGCTGTGATTGAGAAACGTTACCCTGTCAGAAATTTCAGAAAGTGAATGAGAGGTGAGGACTAGAGGACCAGTAACAATTTTGCCTAAACCGGAGATGTGTCATTCCCTAGCTCTGGAGTTTCTTGTATTCCTATAAATATTCACTCACTGTGAGGTGTAACTAAGCGACATATACACTGTATTTATGTCCTACTCAACCCGTCACTTACTAATATAGCAGTCAAGCAGTGCCAGATTATACTGTTTCCTCTTGCACTTTATGGCTGGCATCGCAAACTTTCTGTTCTCTTCCGTCCACAACTCGTTTTTGTTCAATTGTTCATTGAAGTAGGCTCCCCTTGAAATTTGGAAGAAATTAAATGTTATATTTGCATTCATACCCAATTAATTAATCATGATTAATGTTCCTACAATGAATACAAAATGAATTAATCATGATTAGTAACATACTGAAATGTGAAGCTTAGAATCTGATTTTTCCCACTTGGTATGTAATGTACAAACCTTGGAAGGGTGTCCATAGATTTCAGCTTCTTTGTCCTTTCTTCTGTTTTTGTGACTGTTCTAGGTCATTGACCAAGGTTTGTGGATAAGAGTGTTCATAAATAAAAGTGGATAGTGATCATACTCCTCCTGGGATTCAGGAGCAAAACCCTTATACAGATGGTAATCATAAGCCTTTAGACCAAGAATTGGTGTACTCTGGCCCATGAGTCAGGTATAGCCTGCTGCCTTTCTTTGTTTGTCATTTGTGTATTGTCTATGGCTGCTTAGATGCTACTATTGCAGAGTAGAATAGTTGTAACAGAGAGATACCATATGGCACAAAGCCAAAAATACTTATCTGGTTCTTTACCAGCTACATATTGGCCAATCCCTGCTTTATTTAAATGGGCATAGTAGAACAGATATCTCATTTATGATTTTTTAAATTACCTTAACTCTTTGAGGGTAAGGACACTTAAGTGGTTCTAAATGAAATGTCCTAGAAGACAGTGATTCTAAATTTGCCTACCGTGCCAGGCACAGTGTCCAGCACAGTGCTTGGCACTTAACACACCCCTTCTAGGGGAGTGAATGAATAAATGAATGGATAAATGTATACTCCATAGTGCTTGAGCATGGACTTTATCCCACTTTAATGCCTAATTTTATACCTATGAAATAGGGAGAATTTGTTGTTGTTATGTAAAACATTTTTTGAGATTAGACACAATTATATAAAATATTATACAGTTCTACAGGATTTACTTTTGCATTTTAGTTATTCAGCAAACGCATGTAGGGACAATAATGTGCTAAGCATATGTGCTTTGCAAATATTAATTTATTTAATTCTCATGCAACCCTTGGCTATAGAGTTTCAGATGAGAATAATAAAGCACAGAGAAGGGAAGTGGCTGGGTCAAGGTCACACAGGTACTAAGTTTGGACCTCATTGCAAATGGCCCCATCAAGAATGATATGTTAGTGTTTTGTGTCTCCAAGTCTCCAAAAGTACATATGAATCCAGCATGTCCTTTTTATAACATGGCCTAAACTGGTCAACAGATATCCTTTGGAAAAATATATGTAATCCTTCAAGAAATATATTATATCCTATTAATTCTTGAGATGAAGATTTCAAGATTAAATAAGTAGAATTTCAGACGCTTATTCAATCTATCCATTTGATTCACTTTTAAATCAGTTCGAAGGGCATAAATAAATGAAGGAAACATAAAAATATGGGATTCCCTATATCAGCCAGTTCTCAATTTCAAGCAGCAGTAAGCAACAAAATTAATGAGGAAAAACAATTTCCTAGAAGGATAGTAGGTGGTTCACAGACTTGACCCCTGAAAAACCAGGCTCCAATAATGAGTGGGAACAAAGGGAGTCTGAGCATCAGGGGATGAACTAATCTCTGAGCATGATAGCTGTCCAGGTGGGGAACACTACTCAGGATTCTATGATTACTGGCCATGTTCCATTTCCCTAATTCACTTATAGGAAGGTAGCCATTTGTTATAAATATTTTCTGAATTGTCTATGTATTTTTGCATCACTACCTCAAGATTTAAAGACCTAGATAGGTGAAAGTTGCATTTCTTAGCTGCCCAGCGGGTGAAGAGCAAACATAACTGCTTTTCTATCACCAAGCTTCACTGAGGATATCTCAAAAACGAGAAGTATTTAGATACTGGGGAGCCAGCACATACACACAGGCACATGCATATATGTACATATACAGACACATATACAACCATATAGATAGGGATATCACTAACAAGCCTCACCCCTACTATTTGGCTGTCTGTATTTTTCTCTATTAATACAATAATTTTCAAAAGAATGTTCCTTTCTCTAGTTCTCTTGTCAATAACTAAAAAATGAAATTTTTAAAATGATGATTACAATTTCAACAAGTTTTTTTTGTTTGTTTGTTTATGTGGCAGGAAGTTGGGATTTTGGAATAAACTTTAAGCCATTATTTTTAACACAGAGAAAGTATGTTAACTTTATATGGGTTAATCATAAGTTAATGGGAATCTACAATTACTCCTAAAGTGGTTCTTTATATGCAGAGAAAAAATCTGCACTTATCACTTACTTTACTGGGAGCAAATGTTCAATCAGTATCAAATATTTAAAAGCAAGGAGCTAAACAAGGGAACTCATGGATGTGCTAAAAGTATAATTCATACTGTTGGTGAAGAATTAAAACCTGCAGTTCAAATTTGCATCTCGTTCAACTTTTTGTGTTTGTAATTGGATTATATGTCATTATTTCTTCTTTCATTCATTCAAGAAAAATTCATTGAGCTTATTCTAAGTGCCAAGTAATGTGCATATAGGGGACCTACTAACGGCCACATTCTGGAAGCAGAAAGCACTGTCCTTTGGGAAATTATAATCTACCTAACTTTGGTAGACTCTCATCTGTCAAGATTTTTATTCTACTTCTTAAGTGAGTACAATGAAAGATTTTCTAAATCAAACAAAGTGTTTTATAGAACGCTATCTTGTTTCATTCAAATAACCCCAAAATATGATAGATTGATAGAATAATGGTTGCTAATAAATCACGCCCTTTGCAATGTTTGTTGTCACTCCTCTCATCAAGAATGTTATCATTTTCCCACCTATTAAATTTGGGCTGGACATGTGAGTTTTGTTGACCTGAAAGTGGCAGAAATGATGATGTACAAATTCTGAAATCTAGGTCTTAACAAGCCTTGCTGCTTCCTCGTTCATTATCTTGGAACTCTGAGATGATACCAGATGACAAGGTGGCCCAGTTTACCCCATTGGAGAATGGATAGCCACTTGGAGGACAATTGGGTGGCCCAGCAACAGCCAGGGGCCAACTGAAAGACTTGTGAGGGATGTCATCTGGGACCTCCATCCCCGGCCAAGCTGTCAGATGATTGTAGCAATGTGAGTGATCCCAGGTATGATCAGCAGAATGGCTCACCCAAACCTCAGAATTGTGTAAAATAATAAAACGTTGATGCTTTAAGTTACTAAGTATATAGACGGTTTGTTTGCTAAGCAGCAGTGGACAATTGGAATAGGAGGTATTTATTAAATATCCGTTTCCACTAAATTCACTATTCTTGGATTCAGCTTCTCTAATCAGATCCAATTTCTTTATATTCATCTATAATTGGCCATTTCCTCAAGTTGGTTAGAATTTACTTACCTGATGAAATTAAATATTTCCGATGAGGATTATACTGGAAACACTTTGGTTTTCTCTTTGTATGTTTACCCTTTTTTCTTGGAAAATAATCATGAATTTTTACATAGTCACAATAATGGAAATTTAGAGAAAAAATTACACATTCATTTTTCATAATTACCTAGAGTCGTAATTCCAGGGAAGTAAGGATACAGGCAGAAAGAAATGTCAACAACACCTTTGGATGGCATGACTGTAACTTCAAATGTGACTTGAACACTTGGGAGTCTCTGTGCCATGCCCTGTTTTTAATGACATGAAGGCTGCTTGTGTATTCCATGTTTATACCTTCCACAGCATAGATTACAAATACCCACAAAGAACTCAGATTTTAATAAAAGGCACAAAGCTTTGTTTAACAAAGAAGTGGTTTTATGACCTGCTAAATGAGTTGCATAATAATCACACACTTATAAAAACAAAAGAAAAAATTAAAAATACACAAACACAAAAACACTTTCTACATGTAAGCCCCCCTTATCCCCCCATATATATGCAACAAAATTAATCATATTATATATATGATATATTATATGATATATATGATATAATATATATGATATATATCATATATATGATATAATATATATGATATATATCATATATATGATATAATATATATGATATATATCATATATATGATATATATCATATATATCATATATATGATATTATATATGATATATATCATATATGATATAATATATGATATATGTGATATATCATATATCATATATATGATATATATATCATATATCATATGATATATATGATATAATATATATGTTATATATATATACTCATGCTCAGGAAATCCCAGTTAACGCTGTCCTGGTCTTCAAAACAGCCAAACAAAACTGGTTTCTGGGACAGTATCTCCAGCCCTTTCCCACCCGAGTTTGCACCTGAAGTAAATCTGTGCATTCCGGACTACTTGGAAGAGTGGGCATGAGCATAAGAAATCACTATGATTATCTTTTTCCATGCTGAAGGAAAGACTATTTTGCTCTCTGTAGGTAAACCATTGGAGGCTTATTTCCTGAAATGCTCCTTATGTCCTCTTTTCGTTTTGGAGCAGAACCACTGTCACCTTCTGATCTGCATTGGAACATCTACACAAACTCCAGTACCATGAGACAGCGAACATGTTAAGTGTGTTCCTTCCTGTCATCTACATGAGGGAAGCCAAAAATAGCAATTTTTCCCCTGCACTCTTGTCTGACAGGTAAAAGCTTATTAAACAGTGCCTCAAATTGTCTCATGGAAATTAGGCTCATTTTTCTAAAATTGAAAAGATCCACCCAATCTTGCCTTATTACACAGCAAGTTGATAGGCATATTGAGATCACACTTTGTCTTTTCCAGCAAGAGGAAAACTCAAGGTTTATCACTTTTTCAGCTAGAGATTATTAGAAATATGCAGAACAGTTAAAATAATTTTAAAGTTATGATATAAAAAAAGAATATAAATTTCAAGCATGATCTTCTAGAATTCAAATTGTTGACTTGAACTGCATCTCAGCATTTAATACATCCAGCTTCAAGGTAAATACTGTTAAGCAAGCTTGAACTAAGCTTAGCAGAGTTTAACATGCTCAGTTATATTTGCTTAAGAAGAATTATTTCTAGCTCTTCTTACAGATATATATTTGCTACAACTCTTTAGAGCTTTGCTTCTCAGTGCAAGTCCTATGCCTCAAATAAAGTGCTCATTATCTGGATAGGCAGGAGTTGCTGGGGCCTTTACTATCAGGATAACTGGGCAAATATTTTATCTCAGTAATCTGCATGAATCACATTTAATAGGATGAGTTCATCTTTCAAAATCCACTGTATTTGTGATAAACAATAGCTTGCTGAATGTATCCAAGCAACAGCAACATATTCACCATATGTATCAAAATGACCAGAAGGAAATATTTAAGCTATCTTCAAGTACATAATACTTCATTTTATAGATACCATTGACCAGATATTTTCCATCTTCTCTATGAGTAGTGTAGCATGCAATGGGCTTATACTCTAGTAAAGGAATTCAAGTTAGACTTTCCTCTTGATAACAAGTTGCTGGGGATTAGAAATAGCCAATAAGGGAAACTGTATGCAATGGGATGTAAAATGTTGTCTTTCTCTTTCTGTCTCTTTCTCATCTGTCTGTGTCTATCATGTACTTATTTGTTTATTTAACCTTATTGCTCAACATTTATCAAAAATTCAGAGAAAGACATTACTTAGGAAGAACTGCTTGTAGAATGTGAAGTTCATTATGAAAAAATTATTCATTCCTCCAGATTATCCAGTTTTTCTTTCTGGTCAAACATGACCTGGAAAGAGCTAGGTACTGGAGCATGTGCAGTTGCCACCACCTCCACCTCCGTAGAATGTTTTAACTAAATTATACTTTGATGTGGTGCTATCACACTGCATAAGAAATTGGTCTCATAGCAATCCCTACTGCAAGGATGCTATTGAGATTGTTTTCTACTGTACACATTCTACTCTTTATGAGGACCCATGAGAGGAATGAATTCCAGGTCTTACTAAACATGATAGTTCTACCTTCTACAGTGATTGGTATTTGTTGACTGGACATAGTGATTGTGTAATTGAAAGGTTTCCCATTTTATGGTGATGCCTGGAAAACTTAGATCCAATTTTGTGATACATGTGTGTGTATATATTATAAATACATTTAAGCAAACTTTCCAGCTTATTTTATTATCTCCATCCATGTTATTCTTTATTTTTCCTCCATGGTTTTAAGTTGTGCCATTTTGTTATAATAATATTAAATAAAATAATAACAACTTTTACTTATTGTGTGCTTATTACCTGCCAGAATACCTGCTAAGAGCTCTTTATATAACACCTAATTTATTAATAATTCTTATAAAATGCTCATAATAATTACCTATTTGTTATATATTAGGGGATAAAAAGCACATTTTAGTATTTCCTTGATCTGTTAGTGGATAAATTGAGATTTCTTTAAATATATTCTCTCAATAACAGAAAACCTGTGAAAAACAGAGTCTAGGTGCCAATCACTGCAATTGTGCTTTATGTGTGTTATCTTAATTAAAATCAGGAAACGTGTATGTCATAGTTACTATGATAAGTACTATTAAGTGTCAGTACTACTTATTTATGATATGGACTATTATTATCCTTGTTATACTGATGAGGAAACATGCACAGAGATGTTAAGTTGCTGTTGATGAAGAGTCAAACTCTGTAAAATATTTGAAGAGATTTATTCTGAGCCAAATAAGAGTGAACATGGCCTGTGACACATCCCCAGGAGATCATGAGAACACGTGACCAAGGTGGTTGGGCTACAGCTTGGTTTTATACATTTTAGGGAGACATAATACATCAATCAATACATGTAAGATGTACATTGGTTTGGTCAGGAAAGCCAGGGCAGGAAAGGTTCGGGGTCTTCCAGGTCATAAGTGAATTCAAAGATTTTCTGATTGGTAATTGGTTGAAAGAGTTTCTCTTAAGACCTGGAATCAACAGAAGGGAGTATATGGTTTAAGATAAGGGGTTGTGGAAACCAAAGCTCTTATTATGCAGATGAAGCCTCTCGGTAGCAGGCTTCAGAGATAATAGGTTGTAAATGTTTCTTATCAAACTTAAAAAGGTGTCAGACTCAATTAATTCTCCACTGGATCAGGAAAAAGACCTGGTAAAGGAAGGAGATTCTCTACAGAATGTAGATTTTCCCCACAAGAGACAGCTTTGCTTGGCCATTTCAAAATATGTCAAAGAAGTATATTTTGAAGTAAAATACTTTGATATTTTTTAGGGCCTGCCCTCTGTCATGTGATGCTACACTAGAATTAGGTTGGAATTTGGTATCTTCTTGCTACCAAGAGTCTGCTTTGTTTTAATGTTAGTGCTGGTCAGTGGTGGCTAACCAGGTTGAATTCCAAAGGGAAGTGAGTATAATGAGGCACGTCGGTGGCCCCCTTCCCGTCAGGGCCTGCACTAGTGTTTCAGGTTGACTTTGGAATGCTCTTGGCTAAGAGGAGTGGTCCATCCAGTTGGTTGGGGGACTTAGAATTTTATTTTGGTTTACACTTTCCAAGATCCAAAGCCAGTGTAGAGCTGAAATGTGAACCCAGGTAGTTTAACTCCAGACTCCAGGAAGGTAAACATGACATCATCCTGCTAGAATTTTATAAATCCATGTGAGCCACCTTAAACTCATCCTGGAACAGGTAGGGGGTAATCATATCTCCATGCCTACATACCGACATCTACATACATATACCTATCTGCCATTTTTATCTCTTCTTATATGGAAGTGATCTTGTTCAGTGCTAAGGTGAAAAGAGTTTCTCTACATAAAGGAATAGGTAGTTCTGCCTGAAGTCTGGGTAAAGAGCTAGATGACTCTTAAAAGTTCTTTTCTGCCCCAATTCAACTGGGTTAAATGCTCCTTCAGGACGGAGACTATACAGATGCGATTTGAGCAGTAATAAGCCTGAACTGCTCTTTTCTGACTCGTTAGTGTCCCTCCGCTTTTCATGAGTCCCAGAGCTGGACAACTTTCGTGTTCCTGGTGTGCCTCTTCGTTAAACAAGAATGACTTCATTTCCTTTATAATGAACTCTGCTCTGCTCTTAGACCACACCCACTGGTGGCTTAACCATGTAATGGCGGCTGGCTGTGAACAGCTCTGTTGTCAGGTTCTGAACTTTTACACTAGGGATGGGGCTTTTAGCCCAATAATGCACTGAGGCACGGAGCCTAGTTCTTGTTAACCTGCTAGAGAATGGCGTGTGTAGGATTCTGTGCTTCAAATCTAGGCCATGTCAACAGGGTGACGCAAATTAATAAAAGGTGAATTAATGAGTACTTTTGGTTGCAAGTAAGCCCCAACTAGGTTAAGACAAAAATAAAAATAAATAAATAAATCCACCAATATCATAGAATGCCCAAATAAATGAACTTGGGTTTTTGGTGATTCCATGCCAGGACTCTTCTGCCTTTCTTACAAACTTACCAGATACTCAGCAAACCACAATGAGTCCAGAGTCTCTTATCAAAAGATGGAGACAGGCTTTTGTTTTGTGTTGCTTTATTTTGTTTATTTGTATGAGAAATAAAATGGAAATTAATTTATCAAGACAATAGTTGAACTTTGAGGATGCAAATACTTACTAGACTAGAAATAGATTCTTTAGAGGTACACAATTATAATTTTATTCTAGTAGTATAGAATTTGCCATATCCCAAATAAACTGTTTAATTAGCTTTTGGTGGATATTTCCTTTCTATCATCTACATGAGATACAGTCAGGAAATGTCTTTGAAGTGGTCAGTATTTCAAATTATTGGAGAGGTGGCTCTTCTGGAAAATCAGTAATTCTCTTCAAGCATTGGCTTCTCCATTACATGGGAAAGTCAAGGAGTGCATGTCCTGCCAGCACCCAGGCTGCATTCTTTCCAAGGCACTGATGTAGGACTATATTAACTGGGGCCACGTGCTTTACAATAGTAAGGACAAAGTATTGTTCCTTCTCACACTGTCCTTTGTGAGTAATTGATAACTGCCTTGTTTTATGCAGTTATGCACCACATAAAAGCTTACAGGATCATATTGGGATAACTATTTACCATGAAGGGCAATACAGTATATGTTATGTGCTAGGTAAACACAGGGACTATGGACACAGACTGCCTGAGTTCCTCTCTTAGTTCTACTGCTAACTGTGATCTTGGCAAGTTTTGTAAGCCCTCTATGCTTCTATTTTCTCCTAAGTACTCACCCCCAAAGATAAAACACTTAAATCTGTGTAACATGCATAAATTATTTATAAGTGTAATAAGTGCCACATACATATTAGCTGTCACTACCACCAGTAAGTCTTTACACAAATACCCTTTGAACATTGGCCTCATTCCCATTCTCACTGCTTTTACCTCCTGCAGATCCTCATCACCTCACCCAACAGTCTATGATAATTGACTCCAAACTGGTCTCTCCATTCCTCCTCCTTTTGAATCAGTCTTCCATACAGATTTCTTCTTAATACTTCTAACATACCACTTTCCACTGCTTTCAATCAAAAATCATTTTCTCCAGGGTAAAGTTTGCTTTTCTTTACCTGACATTTAAGATCCTCTACAATATCCCCCTGCCCCTTTGCCAACTTATATTTGCAACAATTTCTTCATGTCACTGCACCATGTGGGTGGCTGTGTCTTTTGTGGTAGAGATAGAGTGGAGATACAGGGGGACTACCTGAAAGGAAGAGGTACAATGGATATTCATAATTTCTACTTAATAAGTCAAGGCTTCTGAGGTTGCTCTAAGCAAGACCTGGATTAATGTTGAAACTTAAGGCTGGACCACTCCTGTGGAATCCAGGAAGTCTCTGTGGATGGTGAGGTCACAGTCATTTCTGTGACTTGTACACTGCTCTTGAACTACCTTGGATTGTAAAATGCTGGACTGAATGGCATGTGATCAGTCAGCAGCTTTACCAAATGCTTTCTTACTCAGTAAAAGGGAACCACATTAGCTGCCATTGTAACTGTCCTGTACATAACCTTAACATCATACAATGCATAGTTTTAAGAAATATTAAACAGGAATGAAAGCAAGCAATGCATTCTTAATGGGTTTACAATATCTCTCATCCTTACTCCTTTTTCACTTTGGCTATCTGAAGACGAATTTTTTTTTTGTCTTCTAGTTAAGCAGAATGGATTCATTTCTAACTCTGCACTCTGCTATATCTTCTGATGGAATTTGTGCATTGCAAGAGGCAAAGTTATTGATACTATATTGATCTCATTTCTCATCTGCAAAGTGTATATATGAGTGTTGTGTATTGAATCTCTGTGTGTGTTTTGGTTACGTTTTAGAAATTTTTATAGTTGGCAGGGGCTCCTCTCTATGCTTCTTGCTTGTCTTATTCTGCTCCCCATGAAACTGATCAGGTTGCCAAGTTCTTCCTGACATCAAAGCAGGCTCCAGGCTCAGATGATCTCTGTGGGATGCAGAGGAAGAGGAGAAATAGCTTTTTTCCCACTCTTTCCCGGAGAACACTTCTCTGACCGAGTTCTGAGTAAATTCTAGGGCTTATTTGACAGATTTTTTTTTTCTTTCTCTTGCTGGGCAAGCTCCTAGTGAAGTCAAATATTGCAGCTGACGTCAATCGGCTTGTGTCCAGGTGCTGGACTATGCTGGGCAGAATCTCAGGGCAACAGATCCATCCCCCTTGGATCTTGATTTTTATAGTTCCGTTTTGCATGATGTTCTTTCAAATAGCAATAAAAATGGTAAACAGATTACAAAACACAAGCCACCCATGCGTACATTCCTTTCTCCTGAACTGAAATGAATACAACGCCAACCCTAACAAAGGTTAATTAATAGCACAGCAGAGATTCTTATTTAAAAAAAAATTCCTTCTTCCCACAGGCTGCAGAACTAGGCTCTTGCCAGTCCTGTGTGTTCCTTAGCCACAAATTTATTTGTACTTATTCTTCACATCTGTGCCAAGACTCTTGATTCCCTACAAACTTTCCATGTGGAGACACACGTAAGTGTGAGGCTGATAAAACTGTGAAGTGGGTATCCTTAACTTTCAGGTGCAGGATTTCTCCACATTTTGATACATTCTTACGTGTTTTGGATTTCTCCATTATTTTGCCCTAGAACCCACTGGGACCATGCTGTTTCCTGGTTTTACAGGCTCACCAGTGAAAAACAACAAGGCTTTATGCCTTGTTTTTTGTGAAGAGATGTTTTCTGTGAAGAGATGTTGTTTATCACATCTCTTCACAATCACCAAAATATGTACTACTTATCATTCCCACAGATCCTCACAAACTGATGTGTCATCATTGGTGATGAGTTTGTGTTTAAGGAGAGTTACCTAGGGAAATGTCTATATATGAGGCAGTTTATGGACTGGAGAGACATTTCTGGCTCCTAGTGTTGAGTAGGGGACACACTTAAACATACACAGACAGAAAGGTGAGGTTTGGGCTTAACGTAATCCATGTACATACACATACACACACAGTGAGCAAGGTAACCTAGACCCTTGCAGGATTTTGACTCCCTGAGAGAGCAATCAGCATTTATGTGAAGTGCAGGCATGACCTTTGTGTGTTTTCATATTTCAAGTGGAAATAGGGAGCCCACTATTTTTGGAAACTCTGCTTAGAATCTCCATCATGGACCTTCTCCTGGACTACACTGTTGTGATGACTTGACCCTGAAATAGAAATGTGACCTTTATACTCAGCAGACTCTCTGGTGTCTATTTCTTGATATTAACAGTTGCTGGTCAATGATGCTTTACAATATAGTAAATGCCTTTAAGTGATATCATCACATGGTTTTAGAATTTTAAAGGATCTCAAGGACCACCGATTCAGCCTGTTTATTCTATAGCTGAGAGACCTACGACCCAGTTCGTGGGAAATCTGAGCCTGGAACCAAGACCTCTTTACTCCTCATACCACAATCATTTATTTAAAAAAATTATTGAATGCAACCCAGAATTTTTATAAGACCCTCCAATTATTTTTTAATCCTGTGATAAGAAAGTTCTGGGCAATTTAATGTTGCAAAATTCACTAATTTATTTCTCTTAAATGTTTTGAAACATATTAGAATATAGTATGAGTGAAATAAAGCAAAGCAATGAAGTAAATTACTGCAGTTGACAACAGGAGTGTAATCATGCCCATTACAAATTCATTGTTAATGCTTTACCCTTGCTCTTTCAGATGTGCCATTGCCAGCACATGCATAAAACTGAAAAACTGCCTTAATCTTTCCAACATGAACTGAATGTGTAAAACTAACTAGACACTATGCAATGCAGTTCAACTTTTATGGGAGAAATAACGTACATAATTACCATTAGTCCTAAAAGCTTAAGATCTTCCTCTTTGCTAACTTTATATTGTACCCTATCCCCAAACCAATTCTGCTCCCATTAGGCTACTTTCCTCACTGTACTATATCCATGTCTAGTGCTGAGATCTGGGTGTGTGGTTTTGCTCAAACTGTTGTTTTTCTAACCCTAAGTTCCATGTTCCACCAAGTTCAAGCTCAAATCGTACTTCCCCCCATTAATTCTTTTCTCTGACAATTAAGCCTTCCTTTCATTTAACTCACACTCTTGAGAACATACAATTTATACCTTGACATTTTATCCATAATTATATCCAATCTAATATAATTTGCTTATTTATGTTCATGTTCATTTAGCTAAAATTTGCACTTAGATTGTGAAAATTTTCATGCAGAGATTATGTGTCTTCTCTTTTCTCATAATACCCAACACTATGGTGCAAAAAAGCGTACCCAAAACTAGTTGTTTTTGATTAGCCTATGATTAAATAAGGGCTTATGTGACAGGATGCACAAACTTTGCTACTCAAAGTGTGGTCCATGGGCCAGCAGTTCCCTAGGAACTTCTTAGAAATGCAGAATCTCAGGTTCTATTCTAGGCCTGCTGATTAAAAAAAATCCAGTGATGTGTAAAGTTTGACAGGCAATAGCTTGAGGGAGAGGGACTTTGGTGCGTCCAGACGCTGAGTTCTGGCCTACATGATGTGAGCATCAAGTTTTCCTGTGCAAAGAGGAAGGTGTTTCCTTGACATTTGTAATCATCAACTCCGTAGAGAATTTGGTGAAAGCTTTGAACCTTCTTTCAAAAAAATGAACGTAAAGTCATAATATTTTACACATAATTTATGAGCTTAAAGGATACTTTAAGCCTATAAAGAGATCATTTATTTTTCTCCTGGAGTACCTTGTTATGTGTTGTGTATTTACCATTGAAAAACAAGAGAGATCTAATTGGCCTTTCTGCAAGAGGATAGTCTTTGGTTTTTGTATTATGTTTTGGATGGGTAATAATAACCACATGTAATGTTGCTCCTGTAGGTGAGGTGGCAGGTATTGTGTGTATAAGCTAATTTATCCATGAAAGAGGCCTTCATATGGTAGATTTTATTCATCTCAGTAACACAGTATGCTTTGATTTAAGCAATCACGACTGTCTTTCTAGCTAATTGTGTACTTAATTTAAAAAAAAGTATCTCTTTCTTTCTCTTTCTTTTAATCCAAGCAAATAATCATACTTTCTTTTCATGTATTTTTAAAAAGTCCTTGGGGTGATGATCTGAATTGCTCTTAATTATCAATTAAATTTTCCCCAAGTAGATTGTTAAAAGTTTAGATGATCCCAATTAGTGAGAACCTCACTCTAACAGCAAGAGTGAAGTTGGTTATTTAAAGTTTTCTTTATCATGTGAAAAGAAAGGCTCAGATAGCTCAGATCAATGTTAAATGGGAATGATGGAAATAAATGCTAAAAATAACAGACATAAAAAAGTATGACCAGTGAAGTCAAAGAAGTGGACCTTCAGTTTAAGTTTTTCCAGATACTAACAATATTCATTTGAAAATATTATGCCCCTGTTTATCCTAAAGGGAGTTCCAAATTAATGTCTGCATTGGTATTTTAAAACTGTATTATTTTATATTCTTTACTAGTGCTTTTTTTCTTGGAAAAGATACCCACACCTGTATTTAAAGGCAACTTATATTTGCCAAAGCAGCAACACGTGAAATTGAGGTTATGCTATTATAACTATTTGGACAAGGTATCTGTGAGCACACTCAGAAGACACACAGCCCAATACTCCTCTATCAGTGAAATCTTAAAAGCAGTGTGCAAGAAAACGTGGATAACTTAAAAGTACTCAGAACTCCTTAGAATAGATTATGACTCAGGAACAAACCAATAGTTTAGTAGTTCAAAAAAGAGAGCTCTCACTAGCGTGAATCAAGTATTGGAGAGAAGAGTTATACGCTGGCACCAAGAGCTGGCTCATAACAATGAGGTATACCAGATCACCTCTTTTGTTATGAATCTCCAAAGCAAGTTTTAGGCCATTTCACATTCTTTGTTACAGAGATACTGGGTGTGCATCAGGGCTGAAAGGAATCAGGACTGAATTCCACTACATTTGATTCAATGTATAGTGATAGGTACACTTCCTGGTCAATGAGGAAAAGGAGAGTTAAGAAAAGAAAGGGTCAGGAGTTGGTACAATGAAAAAACATTCTCTATCCTTAAGAATTTTGCTCTCTAGTTGGGGAAACAAACACATCCACATTGCGATTAAATAACTGGTAGCATTTAAAGATGGTAATCCTTGGTAGACTGATGAAAGCAAAGAAAGGAAGTTGCATTTTTTTTTTAAATCATGTATGCCTTTATTTCTTATTCTCACCCTATTGCACTAGCTAGAGGTCTATATTTTGATAAGGATAAAAATCTTATTAAAGAAGTGAATCTCTATACCGTATCACTCATAGGTTAGCAGGGGCTAAGATATAATTGGAACAGCTGATTTTCATGGAGCCCCTGAAATCATGTCACTCAGGCAATCACCTCTTCAGTAGTGGAGGCCTTGGTAAAACGATCAAGACTGAAAGTCAGATCGGCAACTTGGGATATGAATGTCCATAGTGATTTTTGAGATAATTTTGAAAAAGCTCAACCAACACTGGCCTTGGTGAAATACAGAATCAGATGAAGTTTAAATTTGGTGTGTTCTCAAAGACAGTCCTGCTTTAAAATATGGTTAGAACAATTGGAAGGAGAGGTGAAGAAAGATATGTGTTGAAAACCTTCTTTTTGTTATTTTTATTCTTTCTTCTTAATTTTCTCATCCTCTTTGTGGATCAGGAAGGACTTTTATATGTGAAATCTAAGACAGACAAACCTCATTTTTGTTACTTTTTCCTTAGTGGAAAGAGTTGCAGAGTGTCACGTTCGGGTGCTTAGGAAAACATCTGGATTTAGTCTCAGGAGTGGCATATTCATGGACACATAGAGGGGAACAAGACACACTAGGGCCTATCAGAGGGTGGAGGGTGGGAGAAGAGAGAGATCAGGAAAAATAGCTAATGGGGTATTAGGCTTAGTATCTGGTTGATGAAATAATCTGCACAACAAACTCCTACAACACAGGTTTACTCATGTAACAAACCTTCGCAGATACCCTTATACTTAACGTAAAAGTTAAAAAAAAAAAGAGAGAGAGAAAATTTAAAAAAGAGTGGGATAATGTGACATGACTTGTTTGAGACAAGGTCATTTTTCCTCATTTGTATCATAGCAGCTTGAAGGTAGTTCTAGGACAAAATCAAAAGAATATGATCACTTGATTTCCCACTCAGTCTTCAGTGGACCCTTAGACTCCCAAAACAGAATTATGTTTCAAGAAAAAAAAAGCCCTCACTTTCTCTAATCTGCACAATAACTTTCTAAACATCATGGAAAATAAAGTGAGATTTGCAGAGAGTAATGACAACAGTGATGATGGTGATGATAATTACTATGATGACAATAATGCTTAGTACTTTAAGGTCAACATCAGATAAGATAGCGCTCATTCAGATGTATTTGTTCCTATTCAAACAGCCAAGCCAGGCACAGTGGCTCATGCCTGTAATTCCAGCATTTTGGGAGGCTGAGATGAGAGAATTGCTTGAGCTCAGGAGTTCAAAACTAGCCTGGGCAAAACAGTGAGACCCTGTCTCTACAAAAAAATGAAAAAAATAAAAATTAGCTGAGCTTGGTGGCACACTCCTGCTGTCCCAGCTACTCAGGAGGCTGAGGTAGGAGAAACGCTTGAGCCCAGGAAGTTGAGGTTCAGTGAGCCGTGATCCTGCCACTGCACTCCAGCCTGGGTGACAATGAGACTTGGTCTCTTAAAAAAACAAAAACACCAAACAAAAAACAACCAAAATACAACTGTTATTTGAGAAAGTAAAAGCCCAGGAGGTTAGAGGAATCATTCCTCTATCTTGTATTTGAGAAAGAAAGCAAATTAAAAAAAAAAAAGTCACCATCAGTGAAACAGAATTATAATAGTTATAGTCTCTATCATATGAATCCTAAATTGTTTATGTCTGCGTGACGTGTTGTTATCAAAAGCAGCAATTATCACATGAGCAGAAGTCCTGATATGTACTGGAGCAAATTTAGTAAAAAATTGCTGGTAAGAATTCGGTATATTCCAGCTGTTTTAAAAATATCTCCTCGGAAAACTAGGCTTAGAATCAGGGAAGGAGGGGAAATTTGAAGGTAAATTAAATCAATAATAGGCTACTTTATCTAGGGTAAGAAAACCAGGAAAAGAGGTGGGAATGGTAAGTCTGGACTACAGATGAAGAAATGACAAATTTTCTTAGTGAAATCTCAAATGAAGAGAAAGGACAGATCATGTTTGGTTAACTATTTGTAAATCTGTAAGTAGGTATCATGGCCTTTAAATTAATTTCTGTAACTAAAACATAAAATACTATCTAGAGCTGGAGGGCTTCTTAGAGATCATTTAAACTCTATAGAGACCAGACGTTAAAGCTCAGAGAAGTTAAATAATTTAATGACTGTCGTACAGTAGGTTATCAGTAGAATTGGGGCAGGAATACCTGCACGCTGATTCCCCTTTGACAGCTCTGAGAGAAAAGTGATTTTCAGAGGCTTCAACTCTGTGAACAGCTTAAGCAGAATGTGACAGATGGACTGTGTGTATTGCTGCTCCCACCAATATGTACAATTATTGGGATGTAACATAGTGCTGGGGTTTAACATTTACTTGTCAACATCTATTTTTTTACTCACTGTTTATTGTGCTGCTTGAAGAAAACTAAACATTTTGTAAACAATACAGTTCATTTTTCTGAAAGGCTATATACAAGTAAAGCCACTAACTGGAGTTAAAAATTGTAAACTTTATTTTTACAGTGAATTGCTTCCTCTTTTTTGGCGCCTTGCTTTCTATCAGCCACATAGAGAAATGGAAAAAGGTCTGCATGTCCCAGTGTGGCTTTTGTTTGTATCAAGTCACTCCAGCATGAATTCTAAAACCTGGACCTATTTGCCTCCCCCACACTGGAAGATTCTCATGTAGTTGTGAATGTGAAAGGATTCATCTGTCTTTTACAATGACAATTGGTTTCAATGCCCTTGAACATGTTTTTGTTTCTAGGTTTGTGTTTTTGTTTCTAAACATCCTAGTTCTTTTACTTGTGTCTCCATGCTCTTGGCCTCAGAACAAAATAACTCACACTGTTTTCAGACCAATTATCCATCTGGGCTAGATTCTGTAAAAATTTTTTATTCTTATTCACAGAATAAACCTCTGTGAATAAGTTTTACTTTTTTGTTAATTCCCTCATTTCTTCATTTGTTTAACTGATAATGTAAGCATTGGCTCTGTTAGGACCAGTGTTATCTGGAGCTGTGAAGATGAGTAAGACAGAGTATCCTACCTGGGGAGGTTGAAAATGCAGTGGAACAGAAGGTCATTTTAAGGGAGTGTGTAATTGCTCTCTGTGTGATTTACCAGACATGTAGTATATGTGTGGTCTGACATATACTATAAGCACCCTTAGTATCCTTTATCAATAGGATTTATCAATCATGATTTTTTTTGACAACTTCTTAACCTATTTTTACTTCTGTAATACTTCAAAATAGAGGATCTTCTATGAGTTTACTATCTCCTTAATATACCTAGTCCCAGAAAAATATATATTTGCCTCCCTTAGGTCAGGTTCCCTAAGTCCAAACAGCATGATCCTGGTTATTTAATGCATGAACATGATATTGATTTGATTACACTGTGAAGGTCTCATTTGATGAGCTCCCCTTAGCTCCCTTTTGCTCCAGAGTCTTACTGTATTTATGATGTTTTTTTTTTTTTTTTTTTTTTGAGACGGAGTCTCGCTCTGTCGCCCAGGCCGGAATGCAGTGGCATGATCTCGGCTCACTGCAACCTCCGCCTCCCGGGTTCCAGCGATTCTCTTGCCTCAGCCTCCCGAGTAGCTGGGACTACAGGCATGCGCCACTATGCCTCGCTAATTTTTGTATTTTTAGTAGAGACAGGGTTTTACCATGTTGGCTAGGCTGGTCTCAAACTCCTGACCTCAGGTGATCCGCCTGCCTCAGCCTCCCAAAGTCCTGGGATTACAGGCATGGGCTACCGTGACAGGCCACATAATGTATTTTAGATAAGAAATCCCTTATGCTAAGAAAGAGGAGCTTAAGAATAATAATTTCTTATAAATTTTATTCTTTATATTAGATATTAACTCACAATCAGTGCTGCTGCTTTGTAAGTTTCTACTTCCTCTGTGAAATGTGCAATATCAGCAATGTATGTACACTGAAAAGAGGGAGTTTTTAATTTATTGAAATATGGTAGCAGGCTGGGCGCGGTGGGTCATGCCTGTAATCCCAGCACTTTGGGAGGCCGAGGCGGGTGGATCATGAGGTCAGGAGCTCGAGAACAGCCTGATCAACATGGTGAAACCCCATCTCTACTAAAAATACAAAAATTAGCTGGGTGTGGTGGCACGTGCCTGTAGTCCCAGCTACTCAGGAGGCTGAGGCAGGGGAATCGCTTGAACATGGAAGGTGGAGGTTGCAGTGAGCTGAGATCACGCCACTGCACTCCAGGCTGGGTGACAGAGCAAGACTCTATCTCAAAAAAAAAAACACAAAACAAACAAACAAAAAAACAAAAAAACAAAACACACACACACAAAAACGAATGATATATGGTAGCAACTGAACATTTACAAATAGACAATTAACCAGATATATTAGTTGTTATCCACAATGAGAACTGCATTTCTTTTTGCATTCATGAAAGAAAAGAAAAAATAAAGAAAAACAAAACATATGGCCATTTACAAGTATTTGTAAGGAGGGAGACTCTAAATAATTAAATTCAGAATAAAAAGGATAAAAACAGATGAAGAAAAAGAAATAAAACATTAAGGGGAATTTAGTAAGATTTAATAATAATTTATATTCAAAAGAAGATTGGGGAGGTTGGGAAAACAAGATGTTGAGGAAAGAAACCTGTTATAAAGGGATTTATAATTTTAAGGGGGCAGGGAATGAAGTGAGAGATATGTATTTCTTTATCAAAAATGCAGGTTTTAGTTTGAAATTCAACTACAAAAGCAGTTTGAACATACGATTGTTATGTGTTATTCCCAAGCAAAGAAGTCCTTCCTTCTTTCCTTCTTTCTTTTCCTCCCTCCCTCCCTCTCTCTGTTCCCCTCCCTTCCTTCCTTCCATCCTTCCTTCCTTCCTTCCTTCCCTTCTCCCTCCCTCAATTCCTTCTTTCTCTTTATATCTTTCTTCCTATTCCACGTTGATCAAAGCTCAGATACTGCATTGTGCACCATGCATTCCAAACAAGGCAGGAAAACTGAAGAGAAATGAACTACATTACCAAGAAGTGAAATCTCTCTTGGGAAGCAAAAATGCATCAGGAGACCTCTTAGTTTCATGTCTTAGCAAAATAAAACCTCTAAGTGGTCTTTGGCAGGATTTTACATAACCTAATGAATAAGAAAGATGAAAACTTATGCTTAATTAGGCTTGACAAGAAATCAATCATATTTGAAGAACAAGTAAGTCTGATTTAAATACCAGGGAGGTCTCTAAGAGTACCCAAATCTGATCCGCTCCTGTGCATAAGTCACACAGGTAACTGTAGCTGCTACCCACAATGTCAGAGCCTTGGAGTTCATTGAAAAAGCACGTTCAGAAGAAGGCTATTCATTCTTAAAAATCACTCTTACTACATCTTGGCCATGCTTTGAATTATTTGCAGCAGCATTCTAATTGCTGCTTCTTGGGTTTTGTTACTATCGGGTGCAAGAAAACATTATCAGCCAAAACGCAATATAAAGAGAAATATAACGTGTTGTGGAAAACAAGCACAGCATTATACAATATTGGATTGAGCATTGTTTTGTCTCTCTGACCTTCTTACCATTATTATGGATTACATATTTTTATTTCTACCTCACTTATTTTACTAATATCACTGAGAGGTAGAGAGATTGTATATATTATCTCTCATTTTAAGATAAGTAATACATTAGGTAAGTTCTCCAGTAAAATTTCAAAAAAGGCAGTCTGAAGCTTTCCTTAGTTCTGTGACCCAAGTCACCGAATAGAAACAGAAACACAACCACCAGACTATGTATCAGCCTCTATTCTGCATGAAATCTGCCTTTATTCTGCTTCCAGAACAAACCATGTCACCTTGGGCAAATTATATAATCACAATCTCTTATCAGTTTCCTCATCTACAAAGTCATTCACTCTTTCAACATCTGTTTTTCTAACAATATGTTGTAAAATGTTCTTTTCTAAGATTCTACAAACCTATGTCATTATATACTTTTTCCAATTAAAAGTTATTTAATAAAAAATAACAATTTAGTGACTCTCACAGAGTGAGAGTATACATGTTAGCAATACTAGAATAGTGAGCCTGAAATTATTCCTTAATATTTGCCAAGAATCTTAAGATTTTGTAATTAGAACATTAAAAACTCTTTTAACTCTGACTTCTGTAGAAAACCCCAGTAATACCTGATTTTAGGATAATTTTTGCTTTAAGTAGAGGATTTGCTATGAATATAAATGAATTATTATAATAAGAGGTATAAAACAGCAAGAAATGTCATCTGTAGAATATTCTCACCTGTATAAACTTAGTCCAAGATTATAAAATACACAATAGACACTAATCCCTCCTAGGATGAATATCCTTTCTTCAACTTTCTAGGGACATCTTCAAGCTGCTTATGACTTTACTCATTAATATTAATAGAATTCTTACTATGCTCAAAGCTCAGAGACAGGGCTATTGTCTTTTAGGAGAAATATTACTATATTATGGTTTTAATAGATTTTGTTACCAACAGGCTGATAGTTAGAACCTCTTTGAAAGTGACCTCCTGCTGATACTTTAATTTCTTAACTTTGTAATGAATTCAATATTAGGAGACTTTGAAAAATTATTAGGGTGCCAGAAAATCCTCTTGGGAATAAAATTTAGAAAGCCACTACATTTTACTGCCATGGAAAATCCATTCTTATGAAAACAGAAGAAAATATGACTGCTATACTGTTAAAATATTCTAAGAAAAGTCACTCATGTAAAAATGGTATTGCATATTTCCGACAGTTAATCAGTCCCCTCCACTAGGAGACGTTTTCAAAATTTAATTTAAGACTATTCCAACTTTTTCTGTTATAGTAGAAATAGAATACAGTAACTCACCTGACACTGCCCTCTAAAGTTAGAGCTGGTTATTGAGTTATTATCGGCCATCTCGTCTCCACACTAAGTCCCATTTCCTTTCCTATTGGGATTTTAGTTCTGAATTATTAGCCAGTTTTGATTAAAAAACTTTTTGGAAGTTCTCTGTCACATTTTAATGCTAATGAATTTTAAAAATATGTCATGTAAAGGTAAAATAAGTACTTACAACAAATAACAGGGGGTGGGGGAGTAGGACAGTAAAAGAAAGGCGATTAACTCACAAGATACTTCAGAGATAAGTACTAGAAGAGATACTGGGTGTTATCACTGGAAAAGGCTGGACCCGCCAACGTTCAAGAAGGCAACTGGAACTATTGGGCCCACGTGTTAGAAATTTGGCCTAGACTCCAGAAGCTGTGTGCAAGCTGATCATTATGAGTAAATTCCTTAGGGATTTGTCACCATCACAGTTACGATAGAAACTGTTATATTAAGTACCATATCCCCACCATGTAGGAGGTGGGGATCTGTTTCTACAGAGGCTTTCCTCATCAATTGTTCCAAAAGCAACAGGAATGCAGTAAAATGAAACATGGCAGAATTCCAACCTAATTTCCTTTTACTCCCAGATACGAATATTCACTGCAACTTAAGCCAAAGCCAAATGGATGCTGGAAGGGAGTTTCTTAATTTAGGACTTATCTATTAAAACAATAAACATAATTTCTAAAACTCAGAACCTCACAGTGCTTGCAGTTAGGGATATTTTTATGACATAGCCATATCTTCTTATCAGTATCTTCAAAACTTACTTGTTCAAATCTTTATATGAGCATAAAATACTGTCTTCAGAAAGGCCAATTTTCGTCACTATAATAAAGACCACACACACATTTTGTTCCATTCTTTTCCTTGTCCTCAATGGTCTGTTTCATACTCTTGGGACTTCACTTTGGTGATTAGATGATTGTTTGTATTGTCATTGAGTGTACGATTCAGAGCTGATTCTTGGCAGATACTAGCTAGTGTGGCCAGATATACCAGTTTTCTTGGGAAATCCAGGGTACATGTTTTATGCCATTGTTGTTATTCACAGAGCACCCTTTGAGTTGTGGAAGTGGCCTGGTTTGGACAATCCATTACACATTCACTCTACTATTGTTTGTTTCGTTCCTCCTCCCTATTGTGATGGCCTCCTAGATCTATGATTGAGGCCCAAGGTGAAGGGTCATTATAGGTGGTGTGGTTATTTGACTAGGTTCTGTCTGGCAATCAGCACCCTTCTCCTCTTTGCCAGTCATCATGCTAAGTTGAGTTCTGATACAAGACACACACTTGGGAATGGATCTTGTCTTGGTGACATTCTTGATTAAAGAGTATGGAAAGAGACAGATAAACTCAAGATGGAATTTGGTAAGCAGAAAATACAGAAAGTATGACTGAGGCAGATGATGGAAAGATTTGGAAAAAAAGGAAATAAAGTAAGGACAAAGCAGGCAAGAAATATAGTAGCAGGCACTTCACAAAGAAAGTTAACAGTATGGCTCCTTTTCCAATATTTCTTTTGATACAATTTTTCTAATGACACATTCCTCACACTTCCCCATTCAGATAAAAGCAGGTATCACCTGCGGCAGCATTTCATATTTCTCTGCAAGGTCTTTCTTCTGGAGCTAGTGTTCTTATTTACTTTTTGGTCCTTTCTCTTGTTGAAATTCTTCTTCAGATTCTATTTATTCAAATCTCTGCCTTTATTAGGTCAATAGAATAAATTAATTTGCATAAAGATGAGAATGGCTTAATGTGACTTTTCCAATAAACTTAGATTTTAACAGAGAATTTCAATGTATTCTTAACCTACCCAAGAGTGTCTTATGTTGGGGGCTGTGACAGTGATAAAAGGGGAAAATATATTTTGAGTCAGTGGGCTATCACCTTTAATTTATACCCGAAGGCCTCTGCTTACTCCACATACTAATAAGCTGATCCTCAAGGCCCCTGCCAGCCCTGAGTCTGTGTTTACTAGTTCTCAGTGTTGTGGCTGACACTTCATGTTGTTGTTGGCTTTCGAAAGTAGGACATTTCTACCTTCAGTACAGATAACTCAAATTATTATTATCTGCTTCAGTGTGTAAAAGTCATCCTCACTCTGTCCAGCTTTAGAAAATGCAGCTACTCTTCTCAATGTGTACCTAGGTTTCATGACTATTGGAAGAGAGTACAGCTCAATTTGTGCCATTGTAATTATAATTGTGAAATTAATGTAGGACCTTACATAGTAATTTTCATAAACTTTCTCTTTAAATTCCGGCTTCTGAACATAAGAATGCTGAATGCAGATTTTTCTTTTCAGACTTTTCCAGTCATTTCTTTTCTGGATTATAAATGTGCTATAATGAGCATTCAAAACAGGCTTTTTAAAATAAAAGCATTTTATCAAAATGAACATTTCCACAATTAGATTTATGAGAGTGGTATGGATTACTGGAAAGCAAACTTGTGAGGATCAGGAGGTGTGATTTCCAGTCACAACTCTATCATGTCTTTGTCATGTAATCACTAACTGACCTGCCCCCAACCAAAAAAATCACAAGCCTACTTAGCCTGATGGCTTTCCCCTCTGCTAGTGTTCTAGTGTGGTGTTACCTCCTTTGCATCTTCCTATGTGTTTTGTGATTATCCTACAGAAAACCTCTATTATATCAAATACCAAGTATAATATAATCCTTGGTCTCCTTTCACATTTCCTTCAAAGTTCAGACAAGACCTTTTTCTTGTCCATCTTAATAAACCCAGGGTTTATTACAATGTCTAGCATATTGCAGACATGTAATGTTTATTGAATTAAAAAATAAAAATCACAGACAAAATGATCAGACTCTGCTATGCATACTGTCCTTATCTACAGATAGGGACTAACTAACCATCTCTGGCTCTTCCGCACTCACAAGACGGAGAGAGTGACTCCCTGGAAGAGGCCTTGCCTTTTTCAAGTAGTCTTCCCTAACTCCCCTGTGCAAAGTTAACTCTCTCTACCTCTGTCCTATGTCATTTCCTCTTACTTTATGCTGTTTTATTCTCTTCATAGTCTATTTTTTGACATCCCCACTCAAATATTAGCTCTATCAGGTAGGTGTTTTGTCTGTCTTGTTCTATCCAGAATCTGTTGTGCACTTTAGAGAGATATGCACACATAACAGGTACTCAGTAAATGCCTCAGCGAATAATGGACTTCTATATGTGACACTGAAGAGACTCTAAATAAATGCAAATATTTTTATGTGGCAAAATTACTATGAAAATTCAACGCATTTTTATCATCACTAAATTACACTGAGATGTCTCCTTTGCTTAATAATAAGAGAATACGTTAAATAAGAAAGAAAAGGTCTTGTTTACTGATTTTTTTTCTTATTTAGTTTTGTAACTATCCTTTCTTTAGAAGGATTACAACCATCTGAGCCTTTTAAAATGCAATTTCTTATTTTCCTGAAATTTTTCTGATTCTTTCTGAAAAGACTAAGGTGCGTTTCTTTTTTTTTTTTTCTTTTTTTTTGAGACGGAGTCTCGCTGTTGCCCAGGCTGGAGCGCAGTGGTGCGATCTCGGCTCTCTGCAGGCTCCACCCCCCAGGGTTCACGCCATTCTCCTGCCTCAGCCTCCTGAGTAGCTGGGACTACAGGCGTCCGCCACCACGCCCGGCTAATTTTTTGTATTTTTAGTAGAGATGGGGTTTCACCGTGTTAGCCAGGATGGTCTCGATTTCCTGACCTCGTGATCCGCCTGCCTCGGCCTTCCAAAGTGCTGGGATTACAGGCATGAGCCACCGTGCCCGGCCTAAGGTGCATTTCTTGAATTTTTTTTTCAAAGTTGGAAGATACTATTTTATATGAGAAAAATACAAGCTTGTGTTTCAAGAATTAAACATATATTCATTTTTATTCAGTGTGAAGATCTCGACTTGATACTTAATTATAGTATTAGATTATGGCATGAAGGTAGTTTAGGGAATAACACTCAGATGTAGGTGATTTCCTTTATTTTAGGGATGACGTTTTGTGGATCCGAATGTGGACACCCATATAATTTGTAAAATCAGAATTTCATAGTCTGATTCTAAAAGGAGATTTTTGGTATTGGGCCTTCTGTGCCCTCTGTGTTTTAAGGACATTCATGTAAAAACTTACCATCGTAGATGTGTGCTGATTTGAGACTGCCATCGAGTAAGTAGTGTTTCACCCAGTCATTTGTCATGTTTATTTTCACTTTGATCAATGAGGATGTTGTTCAGAAACATTCATGAGAATATGAATATCACAATTATATACACACGGTATTTGAACATATTCATACTTAGGAATGGAACTATCATATCTGTTCATGCATAATGAGGACTGCAAGCAATGTTTATAGGAGGCGAGAGTTTTGTATTTTGTGGTATTATTTAATTTTAATATGGTCATTTTACAGGCTACTAACAATAAGCAACCTCTGCTATCTCCTCCCCCACAGAAATAAAGAGCTGTTAGAAAGCTTTTAACTATGGATTCAATCAGGAACCAGTTGTTTAAATTCAACCAGGAGATTTTATCCTACCACGCTTCACCATTATTCAGCAGAAATAATCATTTAAGACCAAATTGGAGCCAGGCCTCAATCAGTCATACTTCTTGGAATCAGCTGAAATGTCATCAAATGTGGGCTTGTTTAATACAAAAAGCAAAAAGAAATGAAATAGATAATATATGATTCTACAATTGGTCCTACATAGTGCAAGTTTACCATTGTCTATGTCTTAATTTGAGCCAAGGGAATATCTGATAGCTATTTAAAATTTTATTAAGCCAATGGTGGATATTTACTCACTGCTTGAGAGTCGGGTCTCTATAATATATTTTAGAACATAAAGATTGTAATCCAAACATATTTTAACTTACCTTCTCAGGTTCTGGATTATTTCTGAGAACAGCTGATCTGGGTAGGCAGCAAACAGGTTAAAAATTTAAATACATCACACATGTAAATATTATTATTGCCATTGTTGCTGAATCATGGTATATTCTTCATACAAACTAAAAGCTAAGTGACCCTCATACATTTGGCATTAAATATTGATATTAAGCATATGTGTTATCTGAATTTTAGGTAGAATATAAAGATTCATATTTAAAATTAACCCCTTTTTTTAACCTTTTAAAAATAAGAGGAAAATTATTTTTTAAGTATACTATATAGTACAGTGTTGGGGGTATATCTAGGTATTGGTATATTTTAAACTGATTGATATTCATATTACGAATATACACAATATAATTTTCATTTTTTCAATTCAAAGTAAATAAAAACATAATTAGTTTTATTATTTATTATCTTTCTTGGTTATGCTGAAAGCCAGGATGCAATAATTCCAGATGTTCAGAACCTGAGATTAATTTATCAAGTTAGAAATGAAATTTGTGACTAGGTAAGAAATATTCTGACTCTAAATCTGTTTGTTCTAAATGTCCTAAGTTTGGGAGTGATAAAAATAAAACAAAGTTATCAATTATCTCTTAAATTTCATTAATTTGCATCCCATTCTAGCTTAAATGTTGGCAGAAAAATGGAATATATGGGATTATGTGCATTTATTTTTCAGAAACTTCACTCAATCTTTATACCAAGGGACGAGACTGCTCTACATAAAGCATTCCTGTCTGCTAATTTTGTTTTCCTGTTATTTTAAGTTCAGTTGTGCAAGTTCAGTCATATTATTAAACAAAAGAAAACTTTACTCTTCTTTAATTTCAGGTTTTTTTTTTTTTCTCTTTAGGCTTCTATAAAAAGTTTAATACTTATAGCAATGCATATTTTAGAGAAACAAACTTATAGGATAAATTTATTTAAAAGTATAATATTGATATTTTTTGTTTAATGCATAGAAATCTATGATATATATTTTAAATTTTAATGCTGAATTTAAGTGCATTTTAAGTGCAATAAAGGGGTGTTATGAGAAATTAAATGAGACAACTACTTGAGAGTGTTTTGAAATTTGTACTACAGCAAAAGGCAAATGTAAGTTGATATTGTCATCTTCATCTTTGTTCTATGTATCCCGCAGAACAATTTTTCAGCTTTCTTACTGCCCTAACAGTGTAGAGCTGCTGTTTCTCTCAATAGGCCTTGCCCATGTTTCAGTCTTACATGTGTCTAACATTGTTCCTAATGAACGTTCACATCATTTCTGGACAGAAAACTAGACAGCAAAAATAATAATAATAATAATAAAGTTGGGTCATTTTTTCACATACATTTTTTCTATGCTATGACTTTTTTATTAATATAACAAAAGATATTTTCTTATGCTGTATGGTAATGAACTTCACATATATGGCAAATTAAAAGTCTGAATAAAGATTAAAATGATATTAACCTCCCAAGCCTTAGATGTAAAAAATACGTTTCTGATGAACCAAAGTGGCTCTAGACTTTACATTGGGAATTTCAATTTAAACACCCAAAGACGGAGATAGAAAAGTTTTTTGAAGTACAATTTCATCAAAAACATCAAAATCGCCCTCTCCCTCTTTTAAAGCATATTGAAAACTTCAGTAGGGTTATAAAAAAAATCTATCTTTCCTTTTCACGTTGGTTCTTAAAAAATATTTATTATAATTCTCTGACATTTGGTAAATGCTGTATAGACTGTTGATCGATTCTGATAAAATAAGCCTTCTTTTATTTAGGATCAGTATCTGCTATTTATCTTGACTATATTTATTACAGATTGTTTGGAATTCCATATCTATTATGTAATTCATGTTTTGAAACTACATTATGTTTCAGATCTATATTTGTTGTTAATGGTAACAAAACTTGGTCACTAAATTAAAATGCATATCATTAAGAAATAATTTTAAAGTGTTGATTGTAAATATCTAGGATATACAATATTCATTTTTTATTCTATCTTCTTAATGAATATAATTATCTATCAAAAGCAATTAAGATGATTTTCACTGCTTATTACATACCAGAATTAGTAATAAGCACAAAATAAACTAGGTTTCATAGTTCAACTTAAAAATGATTCTTTTTTTATTCAGAAAATCTTTACCACTTAAAAAGCAGTGTTTTGAACATTAATTACAATATTCAACTTAATGCTTTCAAGACCATAGCAAACCAAATTTTCACATTTCTATGTATTGCAATCAAATGAAAAGAAAGGGTATTTATTAAAATCCTCTTGTTTTCAAATATCAATAGCTAATAATGTCTCAGTTTACATTTGGATATACATCTTGTCCTTTCCCCATGTTTCTACTATTTGATTTTTTCCATATTATTGACCTTAGAAAACATTTTAATGGCAGAAAATATACTTTTATCTCAGAATGCAAAGCTCCTGTGTATACTGAACTTCATTTTGATTAACCTCTATATAGTGCTTAAGTACATATATCCTTTAGATGAGTAACTCTTGCCCAGAGTGAAAAAGAAACTCTGTATCTTTCCATTTCGTATACCTTTCAAAAAATCTTCAGACCATGTAAGATTTTGCAATCAGATTTCTATGCAACTACAAATCCATTATGCCCATAATAAAATTAAACATATTTTAGCAGAAAGAAGCATTGAACCATGTTTTAAATTTTCACCTTGTATATCAGATCATATGCATGATGTTGATTGCTTCTTAGTAAAATAAGGGAGCTATGCTTGACAGTCAATTTCAGCAAAGGTATTGATTGATCAAACTAGTAGAGGAATGAGTGTTTTAAAAGTATATTCTCGTTTAGGTTTTAAATGTTCCATAACCAGTAGTGATCACTAATATTTTGAAGACTCATAGGCACACAAAATATTAATGGAAGTGCCAGTGTTTCTTGTGGGATTGTCCAAGTTACTTCTTATTCTATTTTTATTCCAGTGAAGAAATCCCAGTGAAGAAACTGAACTTTTTAATTCTAACATGAAGTATTTAACTACCCAAAAGCTATGTTTTGAAGACATCAACAATACAATGTGGTGTGTATTAAAAGGATGTCTGCCTTGCCCTTTTCTCTAATATTGAAATTGGGTGAATCATTATCAGGCTGAAAAAAAGAACATTAAATTTGATACTGGTTCTACCATGTTCAAGGGTTAGTAAAGAAAAAAATACAAATTGATGATACGTCAAAGCACTCTGACAACTTTAAGGTATAGTTATGATCATGTTGTAAGAGTTTTGGGCTGTGCTGAATTATTTAAATTTTTTTTTTCAGACTTGCAGAAAACCAGTGAAGGGGTAAGGATGTGCTTATAATTTCTCTTACCTTCTTTTTATAATTATTATACTTTAAGTTTTAGGGTACATGTGCACAACGTGCAGGTTTGTTACATATGTATACATGTGCCATGTTGGTGTGCTGCATTAGCCATATGAGCAGAAAACACACTCTGTGGAATGGAGTATAGCTGAAATTATTCACAAAATGTGCCCTACGAAGACTGCCAAAATTTAGCTCTCATTTTTCTTATTGTGTAAACTTACCTCTGATCATTTACAACACTTTAATGATGAGAATATTTATCTGTTGTCCTACAATTCTTCAATGAAGAAATAAATACAGACATACCTCAGAATCTCTTCATTAGCTTTTAAGAGTTCTTTCTAAGAAGATATTTCTTACCTTTAAAATTTTCAAACCAAATTTCCTTTATCTTTTAATAAAGCGTGTGCACTAGATATTTAAAATATAAAATTCTGTGGTGTTTAAAAAATATTTTATTCTATATTAACATTATTAAAAATGAGTTTACAGGAAAATTACTTATATGAAATATACAACACTACGTGGTTAAACACAAAAGTTACTGAGATATTAGTTTTTATTAATATTTAACATAGTATAATACCAGTATCAATGCATTTCCAGTTCTTTATTATTTATTCTTGTATTTATATAAAAAAGCAGTAGGTTTTTATGTAGGGGTTTATGAAAGATTTAAATTGAAATATGATTAGTTTATGGGCACTCTGACGAACCTGTTGGCTTGCTGAACTTATTATCACAAATAAGAGCAATTAATTGCCAGATATTCAGTTAATTTCAGCAAGTATTTTAATTAATTGCAAATTTTTCTGTTATTAATCTTTAGAATATTAGAAGTTTTCATTTTTTCCCATTATTCATTGAAGTTTATGGACACAGAAAAATATATATATTTTTATTTTTTTTATTTTTTTGAGACGGAGTCTTGCTCTGTCACCCAGGCTGGAGTGCAGTGGCACAATCTTGGCTCACTGCAAGCTCTGCCTCCTGGGTTTACACCATTCTCCTGCCTCAGCCTTCTGAGTAGCTGGGACTACAGGCTCCCACCACCACACCCGGCTAATTTTTTGTATTTTCAGTAGAGATGGGGTTTCACTGTGTTAGCCAGGATGGTCTTGATCTCCTGACCTCATGATCCGCCCGCCTCGACCTCCCAAAGTGCTGGGATTACAGGCACAAGCCACCACGCCTAGCCTGAAAAATACATTTAAAAAGTTTTCCTGGCCAGGTGCGGTGGCTCACGCCTGTAATCCCAGCACTTTGGGAGGCTAAGGTGGGCGGATCACAAGGTCAGGAGTTCGAGACCAGCCTGACCAACATGGTGGAACCCCGTCTCTACTAAAAATACAAAATGAGCCAGGCGTGGTGGCAGGCGCCTGTGATCCCAGTTACTCGGGAGGCTGAAGCAGGAGAATCGCTTGAACCCAGGAGGCGGAGGTTGCAGTGAGCCAAGATCACGCCATTGCACTCCAGCATGGGCGACAGAGCGAGACTCCATGTAAAAAAAAAAAAAAAATTTTCCTTAAGTGTTCATAAACATCTTCTTGTGCCTGTAATAAGAATTTTCATATTATCAATTAATAAACCAGTATTAATTACATATCTTTGTATGATCATTTATATTCTACTCTTCAATTAATTTAGGGAATTGTTACCATTTGTTTTTAGTTGATATGAAGAATTCTACTGATTTTTAAATAAAATCTGTTGTAATAACTTTATGGGAGCCTCTATGTGTAGCTGTAATAGAAACGAGTAAGACGAAATACTTATTTAATGCTTATTTTGTGTATTTATATGTAGACATTTGTCTATGCAATCGAAACTTTTTCAAATTTAAGACTTTATCTTACATTCTATTAAGCTTATATATTTTGTAAAGTACTTTCACAAATATTACTATGCTCTTGTTCGACATATTTTATAAATTCATTTCCCTTAATTTGTAGAGGAAATTAGTATTTATTGAAAAACCTCTTGCTTCCTTGTGGTTGAATTCAGGTACTGAAATGTAGGTATACTTAAAACAAATATAATGTAATTTAATCCTTATATGCTGAGGGAATTGTGATCCCCATATTCTATACAGGGTATCTGAATCTACAAAATGTTCAGTATCAGAGGAGTGAGACTGAGATTCAAATCTGTATTTGTCTATTTCAAGACCCACTTTTCCTCTATAACATGCTGGGTATGTGGGATTTATGTCTTCTAGCTGATGTTCTTTGGTTAAAATTTCTGGTAATAAACATAATTCCTTAAGAGAAGTCACACAGTTTCTTTTGCTAATAATAAAAATAGCACCCTGACATTTATTCTTTTGAGATGATAGAAACCATATCTATAACTCTTAAGTTCTTATCATGCATCATTTTAGATATTATTTTTCTTAGATAATTCACTTCAATCTATTTTAGGCTAGATATATTTGTTGCCTAGACTCTGCCTTAGGGTAGAATAAAACTCTGAAAACCCAATAAAATCAAGTGATTTATATCCTTCTTCATTTGGACAAGGCACAGGCAATTACTTGAAACACTTGAGATTAAGGTAATTGTATTTTTTCCTGCTAAAATATTCTGTTGATTATTATTTTAGAGAAAATAATAATTCTCCTATTATGGAATGGCCACACTAATTCTAATTTTTTTCTGTTGCTCTAAAGTGTAAGGCAAACAGAATATCTTATAAAGATCATTGTCAGTGATTATGTACTTTCATTTTTTATGAAGACCTATGTAAACAAAAATGACTATACTATTAACAGTGGATATGCAAGGGCTACTTCACAATTAGAAAATAGCATAATTTGATGAAATATTAGGAAATATTTTACCTTTAATAATATATTTTTGGCTGTGAAATATATAGAAAATTTATGTTAAAAATAATCCTTGTAAAACAATTGAGATATTTTTAGAACTTACTTTGTTATATTTATTCTACAAAGAAATAACCTCTGAATATGTTGAATGTGATGATAGAATTGGATATGGTACAGTTAATTTGATTCTCACAACTATTTTGATAATCAAATAAAAAAGATGAGGAATATAAATAGTGCACTTGATTACTAGGAGACTGAAAAAAAATCCTATAAACTATATCAATATATGTCAGATATGGAGTTTGCCCACATCTTTTTTATTTTCTTGCCTTTCAGAAAAGAGAATAACAAATTACAGATGAAGAATTATTTTTGCAGAATTTAAAAACATTCTATTACATGTTACTCATATTTTAATATGATTTCTAATAAAATATCACCCCTGAACTTTTTATAACATATGACCTTTTGATTTATAAGAACACATTGGTTATATCTTGATAATTCTATAAAATTTAGTACATTTCAGAATGTAATAAATTTAAAAAATCCAATGAATACTTTAAAATTTAGAGTCCCAACAGAATTTTCAAGAAACAATGTATTGATTAGTACCATATATCATATAACCTCTATATGAGAGCATTTATTTCCATTTAAAATTGATGTTGATTACTTTTATATTGGTTTTAAAATATAAAATTCTTAAATAAATTGTAATCGTTTTCTGAGTGTGTATTACTAACTCACTTTTTGTTTTCACAGGATTGACCCAATCCATGTAATATTACCAAACTTTCCACCATTTGATTCCTCTACAGTATGTACATCCTTTGATAGTTTGAGAAAATGCTTATATTTTAAGGACAAACTATCAAGTGACAAAACATTTCTTAATGTAATAGCTTTATGAAACAGATTTAAACTTATGTAATACACTGCATCTTGTGTGCACTCAAAATGAAATAAAATGAATTTTCTCTAGGGCCACACAACTAATGCACTGGACAGATGAGATACACATTTATTTCAAGTAATTCCATATATCCCTACCACGCTATTCCAGTTGCTTGCATGTTTATTCCCATAAGACGCTTTAGTTGTTATAAAAGTTATTGTTTTATTTCTACAGTTTTCAAGGTATCTCTCAAAAGGTAACATGCACTGTGACAGGCCTAGAGGTATAAATTAAATGGTAATGTAATTACTTGTGTACAGCTATGATTCTGAGAGCTTTAGACTATTTCAACTTTTTAGAAACAGAACCCATTAACTTGCATTAAAGTTGCTTACTGCTTAAAATATTCTAATGCATTTATCATTTTAATTTTAAAATCTTAGCTCTCAGTAAAGTGGGATCCTCAATTTATTAATTTTATCTTAGTGACTTGAGACTCAGTGGTTGTATTTCATTTTCTGTAAAATGGAAATCAAATTAATATCTATACTTTATAATATGAGAATTAAAGAATAAAAGTACATTCTGCATATGGCAGAAGATAATATAAATATTAGTTATTTTATTCTATTCACACATTGGGGAATTATTTGTGAAAATACTTTTCCCAATATTATGTGAGAAAATTTCTTATTTACTTTCGTATTTTCAAAAGCCCCAGAAAAACTGTAGAAGTTCAACTTTTAAAATATATTTAAGGTCAACAGCAATAAAACTTAAGCTAATGAGAAGAAAAATATTATAATGCCTATTTTAACATCATCATTGTAACTTTGTTTTTCCTAAACATTTGAAGTTATATAAAAAGAGGTGTGATTAGCTTAATTATACTCCTTTTAGTGTTTTACCATAAATAAGTGATGACATTGTCATTGTTGGTGAAACTAATTTACTCTACGTTCAAAATCAGAATCAGCATATACATAGAATACATGAATACATGATCTCAATTGAGTGTTAAGTCCTACTATTCAGAAAAAGAGGATTTTGTATATGCACTTTTATTATTTACTTTTGTCCTTGGGTATAACACTATGCTTAAAATTTAAAAATAAATTGGTGAAAGTTCCTCCTTGATTTCTTCATGTCAGGATAGAAAGTAATTTATGTCTGAGTGAGAAATAAAATAACAAAAAAGTGTGTATCAATCTGTAGCTATGTGATGTATGGAAGAAACCAGAGCAGAATTAGTGACATTAATAATAACATGTTTTTGTAGCATCATTACGTTCTACATGCCACTTAACTGGTACTTTAATTAGTGTACAACTTCGGTTATTGTTATAGGAGACCCAATGATGAGATAGTATTGATTTTAAAATAATACTCAAGACTTGAAAAACTCACTAAATATAAAAATTCACAACAGAGATAATATTACATTGTCATCAACCTCTGTATGCTTACAGAAGGTCAAGGGCTTATAATGAATTATCTTGGTTGGCTTAGATCACTAGACTTGGTTGTCCAGTCACTCTTCAAACGATTGATTCTCTAGTGCTTTGCCTTCTTGTCCTATCTTTCTTCCTTTTTTGTCCAAGCTATGTATTTAGAATATCCGATTTTGTTCATAATTGAAAAATCCACATGCAAACGAATGCCAAACAGATTCCAAGTTTGTACATCATGCATACTGATGATGACTGGATCCATCAGCATACAAAACTCTTTTCAGAAAGTTAAAAAAAGGGAGAAAACCCATCATTACCATTAGTCTATAAAACCTTAAAATACCTTTAATATTTAAAGAAAAATCATTACAAAATAAAAACTGATGCATACTATTAAAAAAATAAGCTGTCAACTAAAAAAATGGGTATAATTTCAAGCTACCTTTTAATGGCTTTAAATGAGATAGGTCCTAAAGGGGGCAGATAACAAGAAAATCTTTTTAAAAACCCCCATCTCCCCCCCTTTTTTTTTTTTTTTGAGACAGAGTTTTGCTCTTGTTGCCCAGGCTGGAGTGCAATGGCATGATCTCGGCTCACTGCAACCTCCACTTCCCAGATTCAAGTGATTCTCCTGCCTCAGCCTCCCAAGTAGCTGGGATTACAGGTGTGCACCACCAACCCGGCTAATTTGGTATTTTTTTAGTAGAGGTGGGGTTTCACCATGGTGACCAGGCTGGTATCGAACGCTTGAACTCAGGTGATCCACCTGCCTCGGCCTCCCAAAGTGCTGGGATTACAGGCATGAGCCACCATGTCTGGCCCCCAATTTTTAAAAGTTCATTGAAAGTAAGAATTTTTATGTTCAGAAGTATCTGCATTGGCAATTATTTAAAGATTTCAAATGACAAGCCTGTTTGTAAAGACAATGGACAATGATTCTGTTTAGTTATTTGCTAGAATGTATAAAAATCAGTTTTATAGATTTGAAGATTAAAAAATGATTTTTTCAAAGTTTCTGATTCAGATTAAGCCTCTGTAGTGCATATGGAAGTAACATTGTTTTGGGAGTCATGCAGTCAATCTTCACAGGAAGTTTAACCTCAGAGGTTTTCCCTGTACTGGCAAAGTGATGCAAAAATTCAATAATTGAAACTAGCCAATTGAGTATTTGGCCTTCTGAATCATTTTTTATACAATCGGTAGTTGCCTGAGTGCAAATAGTTTTGATAATTGCTTCTATTCTCTATCATCACCCCCCAACAAAAAAACAAAACAAGACACACACACACAAACCTAAAACAAAACACCCATAATCTTGATGCAAGATTGAAATGTTAAAAATCTTGAGTTGTATCTCCTAAGTGATAAACTACTAGCCAATGCTTTCTTCTGGGGAATGGAACCTCACAAAATATATTCTGTACAGAATTGAGTGAAGAATGTTTTTCCTAAGATACTTTGAAAAATATAACTTTTTCTTTTATTAAAAAAGATTTATAAGTTAATGTGTATTATGCCAATATTTTAAAAATTACAATATATTTTTTTCTGTGCTGAAACCTTAAAAGTAATGGTTTATTTTCAATACAATTTCAGCATAAATTGGTCTCACTATAGGTCTACAGGCTTCCTCTTATCAGAGCCTTTTTCAACATTTATCTCCTAAAATAGACAACATAAAATATAGAAATGCTATATATCAAGTCCATCAAAGATTATTTCTTAGTATACTACAATAATTTAATATAGTATGTTAATCTACTAAGGACTTGAACTATCTTAAGATTCACAGAAAAAGATATAACATTAAAAGTGTGGAAATTTTGATGTCATAATTTTGAAATTTAAATTATAGAAATTCTGTTAAAGGAAAAATTTGATACAATTACCCATTATCTAAAATACTGACAAGAACAGTATTTTTTATTGATCAAAAGCTGTAAAATTGATAAGCCAATAAACTATACTCTTGGAAATGCTTAAAGTTTTCATAAGCCAGATCCTCTGAAATATTTTACTAGCTTAAAAAAATGGCAAATACAAATACTTCATTAAAATTTGAGTGCCCTTCATAGTTCAATAGGATTGGAATACTCAATTGAGTCCTTAACCAAAAGGTTAGCATCTCTGCTCTAGCAGAATGACAACTTAAAAAAGATACACACATTAGTATTTATTCTAGTATATCTATTGATGTATTGTGTACAAAGCATTTTTTATGAAATGGAGACTCTACACTAACAACAGAAATAGATGACTATATGTTATCCTAAAACAGTTTCAAATGCATGAGCATAAATCAGAATTCAAGAAAAATATATGTATTTTTAGATATCAACTTTAATCATAACGCATAAATGACATTAGAGAAGACTGAGGAGGCACCATGGTTCAGAAAAGTCTATATTCCTTCATGGATACATGTAAAGAAACTGATTAACTGCATCAAATAATCTTTTGATTATCAACTGTTTGAACACATGATTTCACTTAATTTGCTCTTTCATTTGGTACCGAGTTAAAGCAAATGCAAACTGGTCCTTTGTTTTGGGCAGTGGCTAAATTCATGAAATTTGGGTTGGGGGAGAAGTGTTGTTTTTTCATAAAAATTCTTCAATCATTTCATAGAGGTAAACATACTTAAATGCTAAATACCTGACCTTTTTGAATAAATGCAGACCTACCTTGATTTCCACAATAAGCCTCTATTCATTTCCATGAGACAATGTTTTCACAAAATGTAAGGCAAAACAGGTGTTAAATTACTTAAGAGAACTCATAATTTAAATAATTAAAACTAATTTGTGTTTAAAGCTATTTGCAGATTTATTAGAGAAACAAATACAAATATGCATTTCTACAGAACTGTTTTAATTTTCCAAAATGAGCTTAAAACGTGTTCCACAGTTTTTGCTTGTTTATATATCTATGGTAACCCAAGTATTGGCTTCTGTACCACTTTGTAATGAGACAATTGCCTTTCCATTGCAATTATAAAAAACTATTTAAAAAAAATTCGGCACATACACGTTAAATATTTTTCCTTAAAAAAATAATCTAATCAAAATATTGAATACTTTAGAATTAAACAATATTTTATTTACAAATCTGATTTGATGTACTTTATTATACAAGGTAATGCTTCAATTTTCAAGAACAGTTTTTTTTGTTTATATAGACCAGTGGAATGACATCCTGTCTAGTACTATACCTCAATATTTTTCAAAATTAACATGACAAGTTCTCTAATACTTTCATTTTTTGAAAGAAAAGTTATTTATTTGGGGCACATATCTGATGAAACAAAAAATAACATGCAGATTTCCAAATATAATCTGTTAAAGTAATATGATACTTACCCTTTATGTAAAAAGACATCTATGAACAACAGTGCATAACAATATTATGTATTCATGTTTATGAGAAACCAAGCAGAAGGCAAAATGAGTTCATCCTGTTTTCTAATCATGTGCAATTTTGTATGGCTGTTTGCCTCAGTTAAGTAACGTGTGTACATTAAATTTATGACTGTATTGCACTCAAAATTATTGTGTATAGCCATGCTTGCCCTGTATTTAATGAGTGATGAATATTTCTCCTACTAACAGAGTAACTAGTCTCAAATAGTGCCTGTGATGTAAGGGGTATTAAATTATATTTTCATCTCTCAATTGCTGCCTTCGAAAGCAAGAATTCCCTTCTTGGAGAAGACTTACAGTAAATAAAATTATTAAGTAAATAAACTTTACTTAAGGACTCAGTGAGGAATCAGCATATAAATCAAGACTGAAATATAAGAATGGATTAAAAGGAATATGATTATCAGTACCTTTGTTGAAATCTATTACCACCATTAAAATTTCCAAGGAAACATAGGGCCTGTAACGTAGGGATTCCATTCATTGTTAAATTACTAAAATCTACCAATTTAATGCTTTCATACTGTTTATTTTTTTCCAATAAAAAAATAAATCTCATACATTAGAAGTGGTACACAAAAAACGGGGATAAAATTTATCAGATTCTTGATAGCACCATTTACACATTCTTAAAGTAAACATTAATATGCACTTTCTTAGAAAGCGATATAAATATATAATACAGGACTTGCTAACCTCTGTTAACCATCTGAATGCGATGGAATAATCTATCTCTACTGTGCAGGTAGGCTTGTGCATGGTGGTGTGGCAATATCATTTTAAAAGTTTGTTACAGATGTGATGGGAAGCTGGAAGGAGTCGAATAAGCAGAAAAAAGAGCTTAGATCTATTGTAAGCAATGAGTCGAAATGAGCCGTTACAGGTTAGAATTTATCTTTGTTTCTAATCATTCAATGAGAAAATGACTTCCACAGAAATAGATACATTTAACTGTTTCAGGAGTGGGGTGGGTGAAGTGAAGTAGGATTGAAAGTCCTACAGGTAATAGCAATAACTGGAAGTGCAGACGAAATTGGTCTTCAGTGCAAAGAGGAAGGCAGCCGTTTAAAAAGTCTAGGTGCAATGTTGTGGTGCTGAAAGAAAAGCTCCCAGTGATAAAGAAAAAAACAAAAAAACAAACAAACAAACAAACAAAAAAAAAACAAAAAAACTGCAATGCAACTTCAAGCAGTAATTTTGTGGTGCTGAAAGGACAGCTCCCAGTGTTGAGGAAAAGATCTTGGATCTAGAATGAGGTGTCCAATCTGTATGATAAACAGCACACTGTGTCTCAGAGCGCCCATTCAATCTCAGTAAGTAAATGAAATATTGATTGAAAGTGACCCTGAAACAGAATGCATTAAAAAGACATAGAAAGCTGCAGAACTGAGGTAATTCGTATTCAGCGTGTTCACCAGCCTCCCTATAGCAAAACAAGTCTATAAATAGTTGCATTTCATAAGATGTTTGGCCCTTGTATCATCAGTTTTCTCCATTTTGGATCAGTACAGCTGAACAGCCATTGTTACATGCCTACCTGTGGCAGTTTGAAGCCATACTAATTTTCTTGCAATAAATTAAAGCATCACATCACAAATCAATTCTACATGGTCTATAAATTTCAGAGAATAAATTTTTAAACAGCATGAAGCTGATTTACACATAATGCATACAAACCCTTATCTGTCACCATAAATTAAAATGTAATATCTTCAATTTAGCTTTCAGTTTTAACTAACATATAACCATGCTAACTAGGAAAAGTTTAAAATTCCCATTTACAATTAAAATTGAACTAAGTGCATTTTCAGCAACACTAGCTAATAAAACACACATAATTGTTTAAATGGTTTGGCTTCAAAGTAACATTAAATTCCAGATGAAATGCATGGGCTCCACAGTGGACTACTGGAATTTTGAAATAAAAGATCGAAGATTTGCTAAGACTGAACAAAACATTTTAAAGACCCAACATTTGAAATGCTTCTAGTACACATCCTAGATCACTTCCTTTCCCTTTTTCAAACTAAGTGGGGCCCCAATCTTTGCCTTTGTTCACTGCTGACTCTGAGACAGCATGGTGAAAGAAATTTACATAGATATTATTTACTGTTAATGTATTATAAATGATCTGAGACTTGTGACATGCAAGGAAAAAATGAGACGGGAGACAAGTGATGCTACATGATGAACTAAGCACATTTATAATGATAAAATGAGTAAATATAATAGCGGCAATGCTAACCACTGATTCCACGAGATACACTATTTGTCAAAACTTACACAGCTACAGAGTATCGACGATAAATAGTCATTACCAATTAACACAGTTTACTACAGCTTTTCTCTTTCATTTAAACAAGCATATCATTCCCTTTTAAAATCATTCTCTAAATAAATATTTAGAGATAGAGAACTCTAAATGAAATAACAGTCCAATGTTAAAAACTAAAAAAAAAAAAATGAGTCTACTCTTACAGTTTGACAGAAATGAATTATTAATAGTGGAAGGGGAAGGGATCAGGAAATAATTTCAAGTTCTCAATGTCCAAAAGTAAATTGCACAGTAAATCAATATGAAATGAAGAGTCCATATAGTTCAATGAACAAAAGGGAAAGTTCATGAGGACAAAGATCACAGTTCAGAGAGAGGCTGGACGAAATTCAGACATGGAGCATCACACTCATTGTTCTTTAATTGGTTGCACAGAAAGGAGCAGCTGGGATGCCATTTAGCTTGCTAGGATGGACGTAATCAATGGGTTGAAGTTGAGATGGAAGTAATTCTCTTTTGTAATTCAGTTGCTCAGCCAGATGATCCAGAGGTAGCCAGCATTTTATTTTTGTCCATTGAATTTAAGACTGCATGCACAGCATGAGGAGGTGCTTGGGGATGGATGCCCCTATGAGTGGCCTTGAGTGGGCAAACTCAGAGGTTAACAGATGGTGTGTCAAATGGCCTGGACAGTTGGCACTCAGGAGAGGTACAGAAGAGGGTGACAGTTGTTGGGTCTTGGGAACAAAGGCTTACTCTGAAATGACCTGTCAAAAAGCCTGACAAAGGTAGATAACACTACCTCTCAAGATAAGCTGCCTCTTCTAAATAAGCATGCAGGAAATACTGTCTGGTTGGTGACATAAAAATGCTCCACAAAACATGCAAATTACCGAGTATTAGAAACTGCATTGGCTGCTAGCGCCATGCTGCAAAGACTCCATCATGGGAGCAAACAGCTAAATCACAGATAGCTTCACAGTAAAATCTACATTCACAATACTAATAGGTTTCTAGTGTTAACAAATTATACACAATTATAAGCTCTTAAAATGCAACATACTTATCAAGCAGTTGCAGATAATGAAACATTATCAGCTATCAATAATTTGTTGGCACTTTCACTTTTGTTTATAAAATTTCCAATACACTGTACCACAGTTATGTGTCTAAACAGTGAGGATGTTAATGGAGTAATGACTGTTCTACTGGCCAGGCGATGGGATCAGTAGTGAATTCAGTGCTTAAAAACAAATGTACAAACCTCTGAAGAGGTGGGACTCCATGTGAGAACTTTTGTTGAACTTACAAATGATGAAGAATGGGCCATGGCCAGCATGCAGCATTATTTCCATTGTCTAGTTCAGATGGAGAACAGGTGCTTTTATTGATCTGTAAACTTACCAATATAATTTTCCACAGTTTTAACCTTTTAAATATTTTACAGTGCTTTTATGCAACTATATTGCTTTTTGATCATTTTAAATTTAAAACTTATTTTCAAAATATTGTTTCCTACTTCACTGTGCCCTAAGCAGGAAGTAAGACTTACAGGACAGTGCTTTGGCCTCACTCCATTTTAGGTCACTGACCCCACCATACTCAACCTAACAGTAGTTAATTTAGTGTTATCTAGAACTAATACTGAAAACTATACGCATATCCCTGTCTACATTCAATCATTAAACTACAATAATGCTGGTAAAATGGCAGGCTTAAATCTTACACTAGAAACACCTCTGACAAATATACACAAGCAAAGTATAGAGAACAAAACAGATCAAGAAAAAATTCTTTCTATGAAACATCTGGTAAAACACATATTATTTACATATACACATTGTCAACATAGTCGCATTCATTTGCATAATTATATATTAATAACAGAAAAACTTCACTTCTGCAAAGTACAGTACATCCTTCTTGAAAATGGGGTAAAGGAGGGGTTAAAACAATCTGATGTGTAACTGGGGCACTCAACCCACTTTCTGAGGATTGGCAGCCCGAACTCCTTGCTCATATGTGATCCTTTGTGTAATTAAATATTGAGCAGCCTGTGTTGCAGCTGGTGTTCCAGTAATGGTTACCTTCCGATTCCTTGTGCCAGGTACGAATTCTCCTTTTTTGGAGATCTGTATCCTTGCACCAGTCAACTCCTGGTATTCCACTAATGTTTTCCCTCCTTTGCCAAGTATTGCACCAACTAAGTTTTCTGGCACTGCTATTTCAACTACATCCTTGGATCCATCTGTGGACTTTTCTGTTCCTAGAATGGCACTGGCAGCTAGGGGAGAAGCAGCTCCAAAATATCCATTGGTTGCAGCAGTAGCAGCAGCCAGGCTACCTAATGCAAATGTCCCCGCCGTACCACCAGCTGTGCTGCCACTGGCTGAGGCTTCACTGGCATAGGTGGCCAATAAATTGGCTGCTGCTGCTGCTGGGTTGGCACTGGCAGCTGCTGCAGCCAAAGCCCCTGTTGCTGCTGCTTGACTGAGACCTAAACCTAAAGTGTTGAGATTATATCCATAGCTGGCTAATGTATTAAGTGCAGAGGTGATGGCCACCAGGTCATTGCCTGTGAAGCCAGATAAAACTGCTGGAAAGGCTGCAACGCCAGCAAGGTTAGCATGTCCTAATAGCCCTGCAGCTGCTGCAGCAGTTGGTAACACTTCAGCAGTGTTTGCATAAGGAGATCCGGTTGGATTGGAATTTGCCACTGGACCTGTCACATTGGCATAACTGATATTGAGACAGCTGCCACTTTGTGGATCCTCTTGTATCTTCTGGATGATAAGTTCAACAGCTTTTCGGTTTTGTTCAGGTTCTCCACTCACAGTGACAACCCTCTCTTGCAAGTTGATCCCATCAGGTTTCTGGGAAAGCTGCACCCAAGCCCCTGACTGCTCCATTACAGCCTTCACAGTAGCACCTCCCTTCCCTATTATCAGACCTGCTGTGCTGTTGGGAACTATAATCTTTACCTGTAATTAAAAAAAATACGTATAAATAATACTTCTGTTTTGTGCATATACATTATATTACTTTGCTATCCTAGAAAAGTAAAATAATAAACTGAAAATTAAACATAATTTATGAAACAGAAATATCACAACTTTAAAGTGACTTTTATCACACTTTAATATAACTATCTTGTAAAATTAGAATTTTCAAAGGAAAAACTCAATTTTCAGGTCAAAATTATTAAATAAAATTTTTCCTTGAGTCACTGTGAATTTTGCAACAGAATTTATAAGAAATCAGTATCTTAACAAGAGGGGATCATAACTATACACCAAAGGTAACATTTTTATATAGCTCCAAAAATCACATGCTGTTGATGATTCTTCACCTATTGTAACTTTAAGAAAATGCTTTGTTCTAAAACATTTAAAAAACAAAGAATGCAGAATTAAAAAGCAAAGTTAATAAAGATAACAGTAGGAAAGTTCAAGCCTGAGTCCCTTCAAAACATTAATTTCATGTTCCTTATCACCCAGTAATTTTTTTGTTATTAAAGATAGCTTACTTGTTTCATGACTGTCTTCAGAGATAAAGGTCAGTAAAATTATTAGCATTTTCATTTAAACTCACATATGAAATATAACTTCATAATAGTTATTTCTAAATAATTAATAATTTTTAATTTTTCAATGGCTTGGGGTAGATTAACCCTATTTAAGAATTATATTACCTAGCTGCACTATCTATATTTGTAAAATAATTAGTCTAATTATTCGCTTTTTTGGCTATCATTGCTACATTTTTAAAATTAGGGCTTACTACCATCTTACCAAATGGTACTACCATATTTTCAGAGGATACTGAAAAATTACTGCAGTGACATGAATATTCAATCCAATATGACCACACATAGACATCTTTATTTGTATTGAAACATCCAGCCACAAAAATCAGCATATTTTGACTTAATCACAATAAAAATTATTATAAGAAATATCAAATCAATATGACATTTTCTATCATCCCTAAAATTAAAATGTAAATAGTAACATTTAAAATTATATTATGGAAGCATAATGACACATATGACAATGTTTTATGTCTCACTGGGTAGGTCAAAACTTGTGATTGTTGTGTTACTGACAAAGCACTGAAGTAATTGCTTTCCTTGTTCCAGACATTAAAATGGGCAGGCTAAAAAAAGTGCTAAAATTTGAGCAGGACATTTAGTTGTTTGAGGTATTCTATGAGGGATTTCATTAGCTAATTTTTAGCAAGCATCTCTAATGCTATCTTTCAAACACAAATGTGGATAAGAATATTTTAAAGAAATACAGCCATGCATTTCAGGCAATTTTGTTCTGGAAGGTAGCAAGCAGAGAAAGTATAAATGCAAATTCTAAACCAAGTCACCTCACAAATATATTTACACATATAATACACACACACACACACACACAAACCTCATTTTATTTCCATGCACACAATTTACAGTAATAAAAGAAATTTAATTTTGTTTCATTACAATTTATTAATACAATCATTTCATTTTATGGAAAATAGTCTAAGTTTTCAAGAACTTAGAAAGTTTGAGAAATAGTCTAAGTTTTCTTGGGAATGTTAAACATAAACTTCATATTCCCTGATTAAGTGGATTCAGTTTCAAGAAACAGACCAAGAAGTGTTTTTATAACATTTGTTAGTTTTGCTCACAGACATCTTTTTGTACAAAATTATTTGTCTGAAAAGTTAATGTGTTACAATTAGAAAGTTAAACTATGATTATATACTATACCAATTATAAAGATGAATTACAATCATCTTTATTTTTATCCCATACACATGAAATACTGAGAAAATGCACTTTTAAGGATTTAAGTATCTGAATGTTAAATATGATTGTATTTTTATGGATAAGCAATTCTTTTCAAAATGATAACCTTTTTGTAACACTATTGAAAACATCACGGACTGGCAAACTGCAGTGCTTTAACATATTTTTAATGAAGAAAAATGTATTAATCGGCCAAGACTTTTAAAAGAGCTAGTCTTATGTTATTTTAAATTATAAGTAATCATTTTTGTTTTGTTCAGTGTAATGGTTTCCTGCATGATAACCACAAGAAAAGTACAGAAAAGGATAATTATAGGCTGTTAATAAAAGGTAATGAAATTTTATTATTTTATAACATTCACTCTATGAAATGTGTGAAGATATTAATTTCTACTATATGGCACATCAGTCTCACATTATATATGTTTTTTCACAGTTTTTTTCTTTTTAACTCTAAAACTATTATCTAAAACAACTTGCACATGTGGGCATTGCACTTACATTATTGAACATTAGCCTGTCTTTTTTAACAATAAAAAAACAATATATTTTTCCTTCTTTTCAATACTCAACATTTTATTTTTATTTATTTATTTATTTATTTTTGAGAGACGGAGTCTTGCTCTGTTGCCCAGGCTGGAGCGCAGTGGTGCAATCTCGACTCACTGCAACCTCCGCCTCCCGGGTTCAAGCGATTCTCCTGCCTCAGTTTCGCAAGTAGCTGGGACTACAAGGCATGCGCCACCATGCCCAGATAATTTTTGTATTCTTTTAGTAGAGATGGGGTTTCACCATATGTTGTCCAGGCTGGTCTCAAACTCCTGACCTCAGGTGATCCGCCTGCCTCGGCCACCCAAAATGCTGGGATTACAACCACGCCCGGCCAATACTCAAAAACTTTGAAATAATATATAATTTAAAATAGTGTTAACTTTTAATGACAGTAAACATCTTCCAAAAATATCCATATTTTTGAAAATTGAAGAATTATATGACAATGTCTATCTTTATATTAAAGGTGCTTTTATGTAGTTAATACTCATCTTCTGAATTTTAGTGTTTAACCATTTCAAAGAATCTTAAATAACAAATCTGTCAACCACAATCAATGTTTAATCAAATATTGATGTGGCCCCAAGTTTTGTTGGCAAGATTAAAAAACTAAAGATGTGTTATGACTTAAGACCAGACTTAATGTTTGCATCTTAGTAATTATAATATATAGCATTTTCTAACTTTAGACAATAGGCTATTCTGTGTAAGACTACCAAATTTAGAAAATTAATGGAAACATAAATATAAAAAGTTTCAAAATTTAATAAAAGTAAATACTTAATAGCTTACACAAGGCATTTATCACCCAATTTTTATTTTTGACAAAAGAACATGAGAATCCTCTTTGCCTTACACTGTCTTTTTTCTCTGAATAATTAAAAAATATATCCATACCTATTTGCACACAGTATTAATCTAATATGGGCAGAGAGAAGAAACAGACTCTCTGAAAAGAAGTTGAGACAAAAAACTGAAATTCAGTTAAATAACATTACAAGGACAGTAGTTTTATATTTACATTTTAAGTGTCGGGCCAGAGTTAAGGAAAAGTGAGAGAGAAAAACATGGAAGCTTTGAGATGGTGGACAACTGAATACTGGTGGGAAAAAACAGAGGAGAAGCAAAGAGAATTATGTAAGATAGATTATTTTCTCTTACTTCTTAGATAAAGGCATTTACCAAAGCAAATGTCTGTATACTGATAGTATTTAAATTCCAACTGAAACGACAAATAGCAAATTCTAACTGTATACATGGATTCATTTTCACTGGTGAAGTCTGCTAATGCTCTGGCTGAGAAAAATACACATATTCTTATTTCTAAAGAATCGGGAGAAAAGAACTGATCTTCAACGGCATACCAATTATTTGGTATAACATGTATAAAACTAAGTCAGATATGTTCTTGACAGTTACAAATCAGATTGCCCTTCAGAGTTATGATTATATTTGCTAGCATCTACCTAATCATTTATAAACGCTTACTGAATGGCCCAAGCCCTGTGTTGAAAGCTGGAGATAAAGGATATATATGACATTGTTCCTGCCTTTAAAGAGGTTATAGATAGTTGTAGAAAATGAGTGTGTATCAGTGCAGGAGTCTTAAGGGTGCTGCACAGAAGTATATAAGGTTATAAAGGAGACACAAAGTTTAACTGGAAAAAGAAAGAATAGGTAAGAAAATCCTCTAGAGATGAAGATATTTCCCTAATGGTCTTTACACTCTTTTTTCACAACCAAGTATTTCCATAAATTTGGTCACTATTGTTTCGGTGTTGGACAGTTCCTGTTTCAAATCTAAACCCATTTTAGCAGTGATGAACTGCTTCAATTATGTATGTATGTATGTATGTATGTATGTATGTATGTATGTATGTATTTATTTATTTTTAGAGAGGGGGGTCTCCCTTTGCCACCCAGGCTGGAGTACAGTGACACAATCATAGCTCACTGCAGCCTCGAACTCCTGGGCTGAAGCGATCCACCTGGTTCAGCCTCCTGAGTAGCTGGGATTATAGGTGTGAGCCACTGTACCCAGCTTAATACTACTACTTTTAAATTAAAAGAATCTTTACTTAAACCTTCCTTATTCTAGACTCACAAGTTATTTATCCAAAAAAAGATAAGATTAACAATATAATTATACTAATTATGCTAGCATCAACTGTTATCAGAAAAAAGTAATAAATTTACAATTTCTCTATTTGCAATCACAAAAGAACTTCTATAACAATCCTATGAGTTTTAAAAATACCACATAAACTGATTTTAATATTGATATGTTTCTAATTAAAAACAGACATTAAGATATATTTACTCTTTCAACAAATAAGAACTCCAACTCATGATGGTTTTATGGCTATAAAGGAATGAGACTACCTATAGGCATCATATTTCTTCATTATCATGGCAGAAAAATCATAAACTATTTAATAAAACCACATATTGAAGTAAATGCAAAACAACTTCCATTATAATTTGAGAGCTCCCAATTAATAGTATGAATTATTTTATTTAGGGCTGCCATATTTACTACACACATATGACATTACACTTACAAAGCAATTCCTATCAACAGTGGATACCTGTTATTTTACTCAGTCATTCAGTTGGTATCCAATCATTCTTCTTCTGGCAACAGAGCCCCTGTTTTCCTCTGGAAAACACCCTTTCTCATTCTTAGTGTATGTGCCTCAGATAAGGCTGACAATCTTTCAATATCTCTAGAACAGGGGTGTCCAATTTTTTGGCTTCCCTGGGCCACACTGGAAGAATTGTCTCAAGCTACACATAAAATACACTAATGATAGCTGAAGAACTTTAAAAAATGCAAAGAAAAAAAAAACAGAAAAGTTTTAAGAAAGTTTACGAATTTGTGTTGGGCCACATTCAAAGCCATCCTGGGGCACAGGTTGCACAAGCTTGCTTTAGAAGTAAAAACATGACCCAGGTCTGACCTATTGCTATACTCACACCCATAACCTTTACTGGTTTGGGTTTGAGCACATGACGCAGGATGGCCAAACAAGAGCATGAGAAGTTGGGAAACTTGTCGATAAAGAGATATTTGTGTTTCAAATCTAGTAGAACACCAGCCTGGCATTGCTAGTGGCTATCTTACCACTATTATGAGAAGAGGAAGAACCTGACTGAAAATGAAGTTAACTCAGATAAAAATGAGACTGCATTTTTTGGCATCTGAATCTAACCCTGTCTAAAGCCATCACAGAGGAAATACAACTCCCTTTTTTGCTTAAAGAAATTTGAATTGAATTATGATAATTTCTATAATTTTGAGGGCTTCTATAATTTGTAACTGACCAAAAAGTACCTTTGAAAATATTTTTACATTCTTTTTATATCATGCATTATTTGCCTATCAAAATACTGACATTTCATTTTATCTCTTAAACTTAATAGTCAAGATATCATAGTTCTGGTAAGGAAAGACATGTAGATTAATTTACTTTTTACCATGATATACACTATATAATCTAACCAGAAAAATGCCTTTTATTTTCCCAATGTATTACAATTTAGGATACTGAGGCTCCACTTAGTAGCATCCAGTGGAGATACATGTGCCATTTTGGGGAATCTACATTGAATTGTTGAACAAAGCAAATTGAAAAATGGTATCCTTTCGATTACAGACTTCAAATAAATAAAAATCTGCCTGTGTGAATGACTGATTTGATAAAATATGTACAACAGATTTACATGAATAGAAGTATCCAAAAGAATTTAAAAAGCAGTTCTTCCAACTTCCACTAGTTTGTTTAATCTACTTTTGATAACCAAATCCAAGGCAGAACAGTTTTCATAGCATTGTCTAATATCTCTCATAAAATACCATGCCACCTTGTCTCATGTATTTTTACCTTTCACCCATTGCTCACTCAGATTTTAAACCTAGGAGCTATCTGTGACTTCTCCTGCTCCCTACATCTATATGTTCTATTATGTGCTGTTCTCCAGTCTTACTACTTTATCCTATCTAAAGCATAGTGTAGTATAATACAAATATAGAATTGGCCATTAATAGATACGTGGTCTTACCCTGGCTCTGCTATGTGACCTTTCTCAAATGACTTTAGTTTCATCATCTATAAAATCAGGCAACTTAGTGAGACTGAGGATAAGGAGTCTTTATTTTAGCATTATGAGAAAATTCTGTTCAAAATTCTTCAATGAACCCTTCCTTCAACTCCCCACTGAATTACCCAGACAATTTTCTAAAGACAAAATTTAACTTACTTATTTTTCCATTTAACACATTATTTCACTTTGCTCCTGAAACATTATTCAAAATTTAAAGATATACAACACTATATCCCAGGGAGGGATATAACTTAGGAATAAGAAAAATAGAAAAAAAAAATCTATGCTTTCTAGGTGAAGGAGGAACAGAAGAGAAGCACTTCAAACTATTCCTGTTGAGATGATGAGCACTCTAGACATAATTACTTCACAAAAGAAAACTACTAGAAGTTAAATAACTATGAAAAAACTATGAAGGTCATATAATAATAAACTATTGCAGGAAAGCCCATTATTTAAAAATGAAAATAATTTGGGGTATTGTCTTCTTAATGCTTACTAAACCAGATTTTACTAAATTGAGGTTATACTGATGAAAGGCTTATAAGCCTTCATCATCCATGTGTCAAGTTAACAAAAAGCTCTTTGAAATCATTATTATTTTAAATCACCTCTTTTTAGCCCAGCTCTTTCAGGGCACATATAGTAAGACATATGTTCAGAGTTCTTAATTTTGATTAGCAAAAAATGTATTCAACATATTTGAATATTTGAAATGAAAACTAATGTTTTCAATTTAATGTTGTAAATTAAACATTAAAATTAAAAAGTAAAAAATACCTACGAAGATAAACATAGGGCTGTGTTCATTGAAGTAGATGGTGGAAAAGGGGTGAAAGATGAAGATGGAAGAATTTCTATTTTATCCATTTTAAGCTTAAAATGCCTATCAGTCATCCAAGTGAAGATGCCAAATAAGTGGCTGATTATGGGTCTGGAGGCCAGGGGAAACGTGGGAGTTAACATACAAATTGTATTTAAAGTCACAGGAAGAGATGAAATTATTTAGGGGGAAGTAAAAGTGAAGCAAATTGTTAAATAATGAAAATTAAAGAATTAAGTATGAAAATATTTAATTTCTAAAATGGTGAAAGATATTCAAGGTAGAGCAGCAAAACTGATCATCAAGTAAAAAATAAACCAAATATAAATCAGGGAGGGGGTAAACTATTATCTTTTTCTTTTTTAAAACATTGGTGTCCGTATATATTGTCTTTTGCAAATCATATTGTAGTATTCATCAAATTTTGAAATGGGTATCATCTTTCACTTTGTTTCTGTCCTTATGCAATTCTTCTGGGGAAATTTCCAAAACAGAGGACATTGTACAATGTATTAGTACACTGTACAATGAACACTAGTACACTGCATAATGTATTAGTGTTTTAAGGTAAGTGTTTATAAGTCAAAACACTAAATGTCATATACAAAGGACAGTATGCAGGCACTACACTATATGAAATTATAAAATGATGTAGAAAATAGCAATGCAAAGTTGAATGTATATATATACACACACACACAAATATATACACACACACACACATATATATATATGTAGTTTGGGTTAAATAATGTAAAAGTATATAATTATATTCAGGTAAAACAGAAAGGGAGGAATAGAGATTGCATTTCAGATGAGCTTTTTTCTCTTACCATATACACTTTGTCTTATTTTTTAAAAGCAGTGTAACAAAAGGAAATGGAACAATTGTCCAAAATTAGGCTGCAGAATAAATGAATCCTCCAAAAGTAGAACAATTAAAAAATAATTTTGGCACATTTCTGGAATTTATTGCACAATTATTTATTGAGTGGCTACTACGTGCCAGGTATAATTCCAAATGTTGGGGATGTAGGGGTAAATAAAAAGGATAAGATCTCTGTTTTCATAGGTTTTACAGTCCAGTGGTATAATAAAAATAACAAAATATTTAAATGTATACACAGTCATGCACCAAATAACAAAGTTTGGTTCAACCACAGACCATGTATTCAATGGTGATCTTACAGGATTATAATGGAGCTGAAAAATTTCTGTCACCTAGCGACATTGTAACCGTTGTTAATGTCCTATCACAAGGCATTTCTCATATGTTTGTGGTGATGCTGGTGTAAACAAACCTACTGCTCTGCTAGTTGTACACAAAGTATTGCACATACAATTGTGTACAGTACATAAAACCTGATAATGATGATAAATGACTGTTACTGGCTTATATATTTACTACACTATACTTCTTATCATTATTCTAGACTGTACTCCATTTACTTATTAAAAAAGAAAAGTTAAAGATAACACAGCCTCAGGCAGGTCCTTCAGGAAGTAATCCAGAAGAACACATTGTCATCACAGGAGAGGATAGCTCCATGTGTATTAGTGCCCCCAAAGATCTTTCAGTAGGACAAGATGTGGACAGGGAAGACAGTGGCACTGATGATACCATCCCTGTATAGGAGTAGGCTAATGTGTGTCTTAGTTTTTGTGTCTTAGCTTTTAATTAAAAAGTTTTAAAACTAAAACAAAATGAAAAGAAACTAAATAGAAAAAAAGCAACAAACAACCCCATTAAAAATGGGCAAAGGACATGAACAGACATGCCTCAAAAGAAGACATACATGTGGCCAACATACATATGAAAAAATGTTCAACATCACTAATCGTTAGAGAAATGCAAATCAAATCCACAATGAGATATCATCTGACACCACTCAGAATGGTTATTAAAAAGCCAGAAAATTACAGATATTGGAGAGGTTACAGAGAAAAGGGAACATTTATATATTACTGGTGGGAATGTAAATTAGTTCAGCCACTGTGGAAAGCAGTGTGGAGATTTCTCAAAGAACTTAAAACAGAGCTACTATTTGACCCAGCAATCTCACCACTGGGTATATATATACAAAGGAAAATAAATCACTTTACATAAAAGACACATGTACTAGTATGTTCATCACAACACTATTCAAAATAGCAAAGACATGGGATCAACCTATATGCCCATCAATGGTGGACTGGATAAGTAAAATGTGGTATATATACACTATGGAATACTATACAGTTGTAAAAAGGAAGAAAATTATGTCCATTGCAGCAACATGGATGTAGCTGGAGGCCAAATTAATGCAGAAACAGAAAGCCAAATACTGCTTGTTCTCCCTTATGAGAGGGAACTAAACACTGAGTAAACATGGACATAAAGATGGCAACAATAGACACTGGGACTCCCAGAAGGGAGAGGTTGGGAGGGGGAATGGGTTGAAAAACTACCTATCGGGCACTATGCTCACTATTTGGGATCATTCATACACCAAACCTCAACGACATGCAAATTACCCATGCAAAAAACCTGTACACATACCCCCAAATCTAAAATAAATGCTGAAAGGAAACAAAATTAAGAAAACAGTGTACAGAATAAGGAAAAAGAACATATTTTTGGACAACATGTTAGTGTTTTAAGCTAAGTGTTTAGAAGTCAAAAGAGCCAAAAAGTAAAAACATTAAAAAATATACGAAGCAAAAAGTTATACTAACCTAAGGCTAATTATTAAAGAAAGTTTATTTTTATACAATTAGTGTGCCCTAAGTGTACAGTGTTGATAAAGTCTACAGCAGTGTACAGTAATGTCCCAGACCTTCACATTCACTCACTACTGAATCACTGACTCACCCAGAGCAATTTCCAGCTCTGGGTGAATGAACAGAATTCAGCAAATTCTATTCATGGTTAGTTCCCTATACAGGAGTATATTATATTATATTACATGTTATACACGTATCATATATACAGGAGTATCATTTTTTATCTTTTATTCTGTATTTTTAATACTTTTAATGTGCTTTTTGTTTTGATACATTTAGATATACAAATAGTTAACATTGTGTTACAACTGCCTACAGTATTTAGTAAGGTAACATGCTGTACAGATTTGTAACTTAGAAGCAATAGGTTACACCAAGGGCCTAGGTGTGTATTAGGCTATACCTTCCAGGTTTGTGTAAGTACATTCCATGATGTATGCACAATGACAGAAACACCTAATGCTGCATTTTTCTGAATATATTCCCATCATTAAGCAAATGACTGTAAAATATGCATGACTGTAAATAGTGAGTTGATAAATGACAGAAAAGAACATTTAGAAAATATTTTAAAATTTTTAAGTAGGAAAATTCAAAATCATAGTTTTAAATGAAAATCATGCATTTAACCTGAATGCCCATTTATAAAAAACACTTTATGTAAGAAAATAAAGTTAATCTAGGAATAAAGAACTTTTTAAAATTTTGAGTTGTTTATGGATTAATACTCTATGACATAACCAAACTAAGTAACATTGGAAGTAAATGTCTCAACTATGTTTGAAAATCCATCTCCATTTAAACTTATGTAACTAGGGAATTAAGTTATAAGGAAAACTTTCACAATTTGGATTTTTATTGTACCTTTATACATTTTTTATTGTCATTTTTACCATTAAAATTAAATATTATTAGTTAAAAGTCTGATGTGCCATATTTTTGAAATGATTTATTAAATTGTAGTTGCTTATGGGTATTTTATATTTACTGATTAGGTGAATTATATATTTCTTATTATTTTAATTTCACCAACAGTTTTCCTAAAGGCAATACTTATTTTAAAAAATAAGTTCCCTCTCATTAGGGAGAACAAGCAGTATTTGGCTTTCTGTTTCTGCATTAATTTGGCCTCCAGCTACATCCATTTTAAAAAATAAAATAAAGATATTTCAGTATCTTACTAGTAATGGGAGGTTGATTATTTACTATCCCAAATGACTGTCATTAAGAAAATGAAAATGTTATACATTAGTATTTCATTAATACTTGACATAAATAACCATATAAACATTAACATTTAAAAGATTACTGAAACACATCTGCCATTTAACAAACTGTACTATTAGTCACAAAACTATATTCTTTTCATATATATGGGTGAAATAGTTCATTTATAATATTTCATAAATCATATATAAAATATACTAATTTTTAAACTTCTGTTACTTGGCTAAAAGCAATTTGAAGCCAGGTAATAAAAAGGAACGTTTTCTTTTTCAAAAATATTTTTAAAGAGTAATTGAATAAGAAATATGAGCTAAACCAAACACCAATAAAATGAATTATATGGCATTAGGTTCAGAATAAACAAAAATGATCAATTTATTGTCTCCGGAAAAATTCAATGATAAAAAATTAGAAAAACTAATAACCAAAAAGGGCAATTATAGATTTCTGAGGTCAAAACAAGGAAAAACACTTTTTTTAATTCCAAAACGAGAAGGTATCAAACTCCCCAGTTTTGCAAAATTACTTTTATCTGAGAGAATAATGTGAAGACATTCATGTATCTAAGCATTCTTTAAAAAAATTAAAATGTTTAAAATAAACTTGATAACTATCCAATTCTACTATTTTAGATATTTTCAATTTTATATGGCTTTGCTTGAAAAATGAAAAATTCTATTGAACTGTATACACACACACACAAAGCAAGAAGATAACTACACATTGTGGAATAAGGAGACATTAAGTGGTTTGGTTATATAAAGGCATGCATAATGTTCTGTCTTGAGAACATGTTGTGTGCAAGAATTACTGCAGCTATGGCTGCAGGGAAAACTTTGATGAAACAGAGAAACCACCTTTGCCTACCAAGTGGTCCAGAGAATCTTGCAAATCTACCTAGTATGAGCCAATACTAGACACAGGATTCTATGCATTTTACCAATGCCTGAGCCATATATGGGATGTAAAAAAAGGAATGTTACAGAGCGACTATTTCATTAACTCTTTCCCCTGATGTGTACCACTTTCTTCAATCTTAAAGTCTTAGGCGTTTCATAAACTTAAAAACGTCTTCATATAAAATCACACATTTAAAAGGGATTTTGGGAGGTCACATAACCTGATATTTACCAAATATTGTGTTAAAATACTAACCTGAAAACATTACTGGTGTGCTGCTTTCAGTGGTATTTTAAATAGCTTCACCACATACTATTTAACTTGCCCTAAGGGAGATCCGATTCCCGTCACTGGTGTGGATAATAGACTACCTACACTACAGCACACTAGCAAACTCAGAAGTCTGCAATGGAATGAGTATGGGCAGGAAGCACTTATTTAATCATATCCATAATTTTTGGCAAGAATATTGCTAAACGACCTTAAAAACTCCTAATGTAGGCTGGGCTTGGTGGCTCATGCCTGTAATCCGAGCACTTTGGGAGGCTGAGGCGGGCAGATCACCTGAGGTCGAGAGTTCAAGACCAGCCTGACCAACATGGAGAAAGCCCATCTTTACTAAAAAAAAAAAAAAAAAAAATTTGCCAGGCATGCATGGTGGCTCATGCCTGTCATCCCAGCTACTCAGGAGGCTGAGGCAGGAGAATCTCTTGAACCTGGGAGTGGGAGGTTCAGGTGAGCCGAGATCGCATCATTGCACTCCAGCCTGGGCAACAAGAGTGAAACTCCGTCTCAAAAAACAAAAACAAAAACATCCCACAAAACTCCTAATGTAATCTGCATATAAAAATCTCTAAGAGAACCTCTAACTGTATTTAATAATAGTCAAAAGTATTAAGCTAAGGTAAATTTATTATTGACAAAAAGATTTTTTTTTTGTAAATTCAGTGTGCCCTAAGCGTATAGTGTTTATAGTCTACAGCAGTATACAATAACGTCCCAGGCCTTCACATTCACTAATTATATCTAAAAGGATAATCATCCTTTGTATAATAACCCTTCATAGATTTAAGTTGTATTAATTAGTAAACACCAACTATTCTCAATGCTGAAACTAATACCTACCCTTCAACTTTTGTACAAATTTAGTATTTTTCAAATCACAAAGTATGTATATTGTTTCATGGTAAAGTCTCAATGAATTAACACTTGAAAAAAAAGAGACAGTGTCATATAGTACACAATTATCAATTTATTATAAACTAATGTGCTCTTATCATGTGATAGTGTTTCTCAAACATTTCAAGAGGCGTCATGAAATATTTTATCCGACTGTTCAAATATAGATGCAAAATCTCATAATAGGTCTATTAATTAAGAATCTACATAGGTAATTTTGATATAAAGCTAGAGTTGAGTATTTTTCATGTTTTAACTCAAAAGGATAAATAAAAATATTACATATGTTACACAATCATTTAATTCGGCATAACTTTAAAATATGAAGCAATTGCCACTCCCTTTGCCAGTCAGTAAGTGCTTCCTCTAGGCCTGAAGCCTCTCCCCAGTGAGTCTTCTTGACCTCAATAAAGCATCAAAAAAGTAGGAAATCAAGACGCCAAGTAGCTTTAAAGCATATGTAATGTCAAAGACAACCAATTTTCCACTTGGGAAATTACCTTCTTTCCCTTAAAACATTGCATATACCACAACTGAAATAAGGATTTGTTTTCCATTATCTTTTGTATCCTCTGTTATATTTTAAAAACAAAGTAGAGATATAAGAAGGGAAATGTAGTGATTTTCATATTCCTTGTCATCACTCTAATAATACATGAACAAAGTTCTTTGACTATTAAAGATAGGGCCAAATGTTTCTTAGCAACTTAATTTTCTTCATATTGTATGACAATATTCTAGGCTAGTTTATGCAGATCTAACTCAGCATTTTAAATAGCTTCACCAGATACTATTCTGCAATATCAGAATTTATTTAATCACTCTCCTGTGATTAAGGGTGAAATTGGTTTCCAACTTTTATCATACATACGTTCTTTTATTTGTTTCTAAGTATTGGTGCAGTAAGTTTTACAGGATAGATCTCAAAAGCTGTAATGTAGCATTTCTTGTATCAACATTGTATGAGCATGTTTATTTCTTGTATCTTTGCCAGCACTTTAGATTTATAAACACACACACGTCTTGAATTTCTGATATGTGTATTATACACAAACATAAAGTTTTGTCTATCTGATATAAAGTAGTGCAACTGTGTGATGTTGATTCCAATTTCCCTGATGACTGGTGAGTTAAACATGTTTTTATATCTGTATTGGACATTTCCACTCCCTCCTCTGTAAATTGTCTTTTCATTTTTATATTGGGTTTTCATATGAACCTAGGAGTTCTTTGTATAGCCGTGATACGAATTAACTGTCATGTGTTCAAGATATTTTTTCCAAATGTACTGTTTTCTTTTGCTTATTAATGGCATATTCTGCTATACCAAAAATAATAAATGTTTATATACTCAAATCTGGTAACTTTTTATGTTTTGGATTTCTTCCTTGCTTAAGTCATCCTTGATTTCGTACACCATAATTTCAAATAGTCTTACAGTTTCAATCTTGAATGCATTGGGATTTATTTCTGCATATCGTCTGAGGTGGAAATTTATTTTCTTTCAGGTGGACAGTCAATATACCAGCACCATTCATAAAATAAAACATCCTTTTTAATAATGAATTAAAATTACACTTATACATTACTCTGGACCAGGCAGTGTTCTAAATACTTCTCATGTATTTGTTCATTTAAAAGTCATGACAACTCTGCGAGGTAGGTAGTCACATTTTACAATGAGAAAACACGCATGGCAAAATAAAAAAATGTGGCCTCACACATTATAAAATTCGGATGTAACAAAGATTTGATTGGAAGCCAGGTATTATGGCTCAAGACCACAGTTCTCCAAATCCCTAGATCACACTTTTTCTTTATCATACATTAAGTTCCCATATATAGTCATGTGCTGCATTGTGACATTTTCATCAATGACAGGCCACATATATGGTGGTCCCATGAGATTATAATGGAGCTGCAAAGTTCCTACTGCCTAGTGATGTAGCAGCCAAAGCATTACCTTTTCTGTTTAGATATCTTTAGATATACAAATACCACTGTTACAGTTGCCTGCAGCATTCAGTACAGTAACATGCTGTATAGGTTTGTAGCCTAGGAGCAACAGGTTGTGTATTGTAATGGGCTATACCATCTAGGTTCATGTAAATACACTCTATGATGTTCACACAACAATATCGTTTAGGATACTTTTCTCAGAACATATCCGTGATACATGACCTTACTTGGATCTATTTCAGAAATATCTATTTACTTCATTTACCAATTGCATCTATTTGTACGCCACTTTTATTGTGACACATTTATAGTAAATTTTAATGCTGGCTGATCTCAATATTACTAGTTTCTTGATATTTCTTTTATTAGCTGATTGATGGTAATTATCAGGGATTTGTTTCTATATGAATATTAAAATCATTTTACCTCAGAAACCAGAAAAATGGGAATATGATGAAAATTGTAATATATTTATATTTTAATTTAAAAAGGATTGATATTCCTATATTAAATCTTCCCCACGAAAATTATAGTAAGTCTATCCATTAAGGGAGTGTTTCAGGCCTTTATATAAAAATTGTATATTACTTAATATGAATTCAGTGTTTTTGGTTCAATTTATTCCTAAGAATGTTTGCAATTTTGATATGTATATGATACATACTAGGTTGAGCCACAGGAAATTACAATCAAATATCAGCAATTTCATAACTCTCATCCTAGTGATAAGCAAAACACATAAAATCTAATAGACATAACAAAATAAATAAGTTCATTAAAAAATGGATGTCACGATATTTCTAGGACCTTCTTATATATTTCTGATGAACATTATCTTGATATCACACAAACACAATACACTACTCACACATATGCTGAAAGAAATACAAATTAATTTTTCTTTTTTTGAGATGGAGTCTTGCTCTGTTGCCCAGGCTGGAGTGCAATGGCGTGATCTCAGCTCACTGGAACCTCCGCCTCCCGGGTTCAAGCAATTCTCCTCCCTCAGCCTCCTGAGCAGCTGGGATTAAAGGCGTGCACCACCACACCCAGCTAATTTTTGTATTTTTAGTAGAAGGTTTCACCATGTTGGCCAGGCTGGTCTTGAACTCCTGACTTCAAGTGATCCACTCGCCTCGGCCTCCCAAAGTGCTGGGATTACAGGCGTGAGCCACTGCACCCGGCCCTAATTTTTATATTTTGTTGGAGAATTATGATAATATTCGTATTTGAGACAAGTGCCCAGCTGGTTTTCAAATTGTGCTCTGAATACTGTAAGGCATAAAATAGACATCAAGCCAAGAAGGCTATGTTCTTTTAGCTTAATCTCTTCATTCAACTATAAGTATTCTTTTCTAGTTGGTTTATATTGTTAGAGAGAATTCTATGCAAAATTTCATTTCAAATATTGTAAAAAAAAAGAATTTTAGAGCATATAGACTTGTAAGCCTATTCTTTCAACTAACGCTAGTCATTCAACAAATATTTACTGAGGACCTATTATGCTCCAGGCTAGTGCTTCACATACATCAGAGAATAAAACAGAAAAAAACCCTATCCTCATGCAATTTACTTTACTCAGAGAGTAAGAAACACAATACACAATACACATGATAATAAGCCAAGTATACAGTATTCATGAGGCAATGGAAAAAAGCTTAAAAAACAGCACGATAAAGGGAATCAGGAGTACAGGGGGGGAAGGGGGAGGCCAGGTTGCCATATAAGGAGGTCAGGTAAGCCTTATGGAGAAGGTGAATTTTGAATAGACTAGAAAGCGATGAAGATGTTAGCCAAGCAGATCTCTATGGTAAGAGAATTTCATGCAGAGAAAAGCAAGAGAAAAATACTGAGGTGAGGGTATGCCTGATGTCTGCAAGGGGCAACAAATGTCAATGTGGTTGGGCCAACATGAGTGAGGAGGCCAGTGGCAGGAAATAAAGAGATTATGTGGCAAAGGCCTTTTCTTATAAGTTAACTAAGGCCATTTTTGACATGTTGGCTTTTACTCAGCGAAACGGTAAACTATTTCAGGTGGCAGCAAAGAAATAAAAAACTGAGTTATTTTAAAAGGAACAGGTTAGGGGTAGTTTTTGGACTTACTGTATTTAAGATGTCAATTAGGTATGTAAGTGGAAAGCCTGAGTGGGGAACTGGACATAGTCTGGAGTTTTACTGTGAGAACTGGACCAGAGATAAAGGTGAACACAAGTTATGTGGGGCCTGAAGCATATACAATTTTAGAGGACATCTTTGGGAAAACAAAATTTAAAATTGTGAACATAAAATTAGGTAATAATTCTGCACATGTGAGGAATAATAAAGATTAAGCTTCTTTAGTTCATGGTTGCTATGGTTAAAATGTTTTTGTCCATTCCAAAATTCATGTGTTGGAAACTTAATCCTCAATGCAACAGTTTTGGGAGGTGGGGCCTTTTGGGAGGTGTTTAATTCATGAGGACTTGATTAATAACACTACAAAATGAGCTTTCAGGAGTTGAGTTTTCTCTCTTCTCCTCTTCTGCCATGTAGGAACACAGCATTCATCCCCATTTTGTACTTCTGTCTTCTGCGATTTCAAGACACAGCAAGAAAGCCCTCATCAGATGCCAGTGCCTTGATCTTGGACTTCCCAGCCTTCAGAGCTGTGAGAAAAAATGTTCTGTTCTTTATAAATTACCATCACAGGTATTCTGTTACAGCAGCACAAAATGGACCAAAATGGACTAAGATAACAGTACATTTGTCCCACAGTGGAGACACAAATTTCACAGATGTCAGCATATAAAAGCCAAGGTAATGGAGAAAGAAGACTCAGAAGAATTCCCAAGTATTGAGACCTGGAGCACTTCACCATTAAGTAGATAAAAATAAGAGAATAAACTAGCAAAGGATTCTGAGAAGAAGCAAAATGGAACCAGGCAGGAGGAAAATCAAACGTGGGTAGTATCCTGGAAGCCAAGTAAACAAAGTATGCCAAGGAGGTGGAAGTGATAAATTTTAACAAATACTGTTGGTAGATAAAGTAATATGTAGACTAAGAACAGACTACTGGAATTAGCAAAGTGCTCATCATTGATGTCCTTGGCAAAGAGTTTTGGTGGAATGGCGGAGGCAAAAATTTGACTGAAGTGGATTTAAGAATGGGAATACAGACACTGGGAAATAGAGAGTAGAGATAATACTTTGTAAGTTTTACTACAAAGGAGTAGAAGAAATAGGGCATTAGCTGGTGGGGGAAGTGACATTAAGAAAGTTTTGTTTGGTTTTCTAAGATGAGAGAAAAAACAGTTGCACACTGATGGGAATGATTCTGTAGAGAGCAAAAACTTGACAGAAAAAGGAGAGAGAAGGTAGAATTGCTGCAGGAATGTTCTTGAGTAAAGGAAGAATGAAGTTTAATGGACAACTGAAATGAATGGTTTTAGACAAGAGCAGGGAAAATTTACCTATAGTAATTGATGAGAAGGCAGACTATGTGGGTACAAATGCTGCTTCATTAAGTATGTGTTGGTATGAGTTTGTGGAAGTTACTTTTGATTGCTTCAATCTTCTCAGTGAAGTAGGAAAGGAAGTAAGGTCATTAGCCGGGAGAGAATAAGAAGCAAGAAACATTGTGGGGGTTGTGGTAGGGACAATTCTTTGAAAACTTCCATGATCTCTACCCACTGGTGTTACAACCTGTACAATCTTCTCCCCTTGAGTGTGAGTGGGACACATGACTTACTTCTCACTACAAGAATATGGCAAAAGTGATGCAATGTCATTAGCATGATTAAATTATGTTGTAGGGTAGAGGTGGTGAGAACGTTACTCCTGTGATTTGGTTCAATATATAAGACTCCATTTTTGCTGGCACACAATGTGGAGAGATTCTCCTACTGGCCTTGCAAGAAGCAAACAGCCAAGTTTTGAAGGTCCTGTGGAGAGGGACGTGTGGCAGGCAACTGTGGGTGGCCTCTAGAATCTGAGAGTTGCCTGTAGCCAATAGCCAGTTATAAGTTGTGGCCCTCAGTCAAACAGGTTAAAAAAAAAAAAAACCCTCACAAAAATTGAATGCTGCCAACAACCTGGATGAACAGGGACGCATATTAGTCAAACCTACAGGTGAGAATGCAGCCCAGCCAACACTGATTGCAGCCCTGTGAGGTCACAAGCAAAGGGCTCAGCCTGCCTGGCTTAAGTCATGCATGGGCTCTTGACCTACAGAAATTATAAGAAAATAAATGTGTGTTGCTTAAGCCACTAAGTTTGTGGTAATTTGTTATACAGCAATAGAAAACTAATACAGGATTGAAAAGAGAGGAGAGGTTGTGAAATAGTCATCTAGAGAATAAGAGAATAAGAAAGTCAATGAGCTTACAAATGACAGAATTAAGAATCCATTTGTGACTTGTGGTCATGAATTTAAAGTGAGACCAATTATTTTTATTTTTATTTTTCTGCAACCATAGTAAGGGTACTATATATGAGCTACCTATTTTCATGTGTTTTATACAATTTGATAAATGCTTATAATTTCAAACTTATCAGTAAATAAACAAATGTTTATAAACACATATTTCTGAAATCATTCTTTTATTCTTTTCATGAAATTTCAGAAAAATTCCAGGAGAGCTAACAAGGACTAAGGTTAAAACCAAAATTTAATTTTTGGTACCACTGATTAACAAAACCATTTTGTTGAATCTTAATGGAGTGACTGAGTAACTTAGTATTAATAACTTAGAACTGATTGAACGCTACTGATTCTGTTTAAGTTTTATTTGAAAGTTAAAACATGTTGCTTTAAATAATTTGATCTATTTGCTATATCTTTATATCTGCTTCATATTTAAAACTCCACGTGTAGAAGAATATCAAACTTGTACCTTACAATATGAAACACATGCACAGAAATACAAGTTGTAAAACTGTTAGTTCTTATAACGTTTCTTCTTCAGTAGGGGAAGAAGAGCAATTTTATGTATTTTTAGGCAACAAGTAACTGAGTATTCTTACTAGAAAATAATTGTAAAGTAGTTTAAAGCAGACAGGCTTTAATTACAGAAATATTTTAGAGTTGAAAAAACAGCCAATACTAATACTAGAATCTTTCCAAAGGCAAAACTCAAAAGCTTTAATAAGCCATTTGCTTTATTATTTACTACGTTAAAGAATAATCTTTTTCATTAGCACTTGACAGATAAGAAATTAAATAAACATAACCTAACATTTATATGATGTTTATTACATTCAAGACACTGTTCTAGGAAGAGGTAACTGTTCTTCATTTCTTATGTCAATCCTATGAGGCAATATTATTTGAATTTCACAGACGGGAAAACTGAGACTTAAGGTAACACACAAGACTGGAGAGCAGTGGCATGATCATGGCTCACTGCAGCCTCGAACTCCTGGCCTCAGGCACTCCTTCCGCCTCAGCCTCCAGGTAGCTAGGATTATAGGCAAGTGCCACCATGCCCAGTTAATTTTCAAAATGTATACATTTTTAGAGACAGGGTCTTGGCTATGTTATGTTGCCCAGGATGGTCTCAAACTCCTGGCCTCAAGTGATTCTCCTGCCTCGGCCTTCCAAAGTGTTGAAATTACAGGTGTGAGCCACCATGCCATCATTTTATAAGGCTTCTCATATAGTCTTTCAGTTTTAAGAAGGAAATTATTATAGGACAACACTGTAGTCAGAGTCTGTCAGTCTGACCTACGGAAACGTGTTAAGGGGTCTCAAGGTTAATAAAGTAAAATTCGGTATGTACTGAAACATGTCATCATTTTTAAAATAATAAAAAGTATTTTTAAATATTGGAAATGCAGATCAAACTTACTCTTTGAATAGTTTTCTGTATTTTTTATTTTTGGTTTTCTGAATATTGACAGTCCATTAGTTCTTTTCATTACAATTAGCTTAAGATGATCATATTAAAACCTATTTTCTTATCTTGGTTATATACTTCCAGATATAAGTCAGTATAGCAAAGCTAAATTAATCAGGACTATTGACAAGAAACAAATGAACAACAAAAAACACATTTCCTTCTGCCCTACCACATGATTAGAATCTACTGGAAAATACTGTTGGGGAGAAAATAATTACAAAGTATTAATAATATGAAAGATTGATGATTACAATTCTTTCAATGAATTACGGATTTTGTTTTGTTCTTCTCTTATATCTTGCTTCATGATATCCAGGAGATATTATGCTTCTTTGTACAAGAACAGAAGAAAACAGAGTATAAGTAACAATATAACAGAGTATAGTGGACAGAATATAAAATTACAAATGACTTATTATTTCAAAATAGCAAAATTTAGATTTGGCAAGGGTAAATGTAGCACTTTATCTAGAGGGTGAAAATACAACATTAGTAAACTAAAATATATAATTTGCCTTTTAAAGAAACCATTTTATAAAGATTCACAAGTTCATATAAGAATAAATGAAAGAAAATACAAATTTAGCTTCAAAGGCAAAATTATTAAGGAGGTTTTCTTTTCTAGATCCAAGGTTTTTTACCTTGAGAAAAATCATTCGTTTTATTTGTATTGTGGTTGTGTTTGTCACGTTTACATTTGGAAAAGACTGAACAATAAAGTACAAAAGAAATATTAAAAACACAAAATCAGTTGTTTTCCTAAAAGGTTTTTATACCATATAATTAAAACTCAGTAAAAGACAAGGTATGTAGAGTAAAAATGTAAGTATACTTTTAAACTTCATGCATTTGTAATACAAGCTTGGTTGTCACTTTATGTAGTACCATTTCCTTCAAAGAGAAGTGTTGGGTTTTACAACACTGCAGATGTGTATTTACTAACCACTTTACTGGGCCTAAAAATGTTTGCATTATAAAATGCTTTTGTTTGAAGGGAACGCTATTGCATAAAATGAAAATCAAACCTGTAGTATAAAATATCATCCTAAATGTTAGTTTTGCTTCCAGTTATTATATTTAAATCTTTCTTCAGGTTGCAAAAGTATTAGGATAAAAAAATCAGCAAAATAGTTCTGATAGTCTTATATTAGATAATACGCAAAAGCCACATTTAATATATTTAGCAAATATAGTTCAAAGTTAATAATTTGTTAGTCAACTATATGAAAAATATATTAAACAGATAAGCTTATATTTAATATTTAAATAACCCCATAAAGCCTTTTATTATTAAAAAAAGCAAAAATATTAAAGAAAATAACATTTCTCACCTAAATGAAGCTCAACTCACACAAAATAAAAATGTGTTTAATAATTTTAATAAATATATTATTCAACATTGTCAAATTAAAGTACAGTATGGCTCTGAATTACACAAATATTTTAGATAATCTTCTTATATTTGTCAAAAATAACTACATTTTTGAAGAATGACCTACAAATAGTACCAAAACAATCATAAATCAAACTAATAAAATATATTCTACTTGCAAAGTTTGTCAGCAGAGCAATGAAAATGCTTAGAATTTTTTAAAATACTAAGAAAACACCATCTCCTGAGTTGTTAAACATTAAAATTACCACAAATACCAATTTTCAGTTTCTTTTAGATTGCTAGAAATGCTTTTCATCAATAGTTGAAAGTTGTTTACATCATAAGGCATGTCTCAAATAAAAAGCAAATAAAATTGCATTCACTTTTAAAGATATACCTTTGCTCAATTTATACATTTTTTTTTTTACATATATGATATCCTTAACTTACATATGAAAAATTCTAGGAAGATACAATAAGGGAGATTAAAAATACCAATTCAATAAATAGGCTTCAGTGCTCCATTAGGTAGTCAAATTTTAAGGAAAAATAATAAAAAATTAGAGTAGTTTAATATCTGAATATAGTATTTGTTATCTAAAATTAAAAATGCATATAAAATTTTAGAAATAATTGATATTTCTTTCTTAGGTTATTTGGAATCTGACTATGGTGCATATATGTGAATGAACGAATAAATCCTTAACCCACCATTATCTTTTTCTCCAGTTTGCAGGCAATCACCCGTGAAAAGTATGGTGTAGATGACAGGATGATACTGTACCTGATTAGCTCTGGAGGTGGTCATGGGATCAGATGGAGAGGACTTGGTGGTAGTTGGGGAAGATGGCAATGTCTGGGAAACAAAGCAGTTCAGGAGCAAATCAACCTTTATAAGCCTTAAACTGATTATTTAAATAAAACAAAATAAAATAAAATGTAATATAACGAGAACAAAATCCTATGAACAAATTTTTCTCCTATTCATTTGAATTTAATGGATTTTAACATCAATTAAGTAACTAATGCATGTAAAGATGCATGCATAAGCATGTAAAAATAAATTCATGACTTGAAATCATGATGGTGACTGATAAAAATTCACATGAGTACTAAAAGTATCCTGACCATATTCATGAATAGTAGTTTCATTTCTTTCCCTCTTGTTTTCTTGGGGAAAAGAGATGTAAAAAAAAAAAAAATTCAAGAAGTTCAATGAATAAAACCAAAAGAGTCACTTTCCTATCGATGAATACAGTCGGAGATTTGAAGAAGTGGTGAAATGAAGTTTACTTTGGCATAAAATTATCCACCTACTTAATATGTTGAACATCACCAACAAGTTGATTCCACATGAATTTAGGGATCCATACTTAAAAGCAATTAAATTTGAAGTTCTGAGTTCTTAATATCACATTATCTTCTAAAATATTAATTTTTAATAAATTTAAGGCCCGTCTGAAAATGTAAACATTAACCTCATATTAATAAACAGGTAACTAATAGCATTCTAACAAATCATCATAATATTTTTATTATTTATCTTAAAGAGTAAATTTAATATAGATGAAGAGTATAATATAGCATCATCAGCTGTGTTAAAAATAAACACAAAAATATTAGGAATCATATTTATTGTTCACTTCTAAACATATACACTTACTATATATATATAATATGTTGTATAAGGCCATCTACACATGTTGAACAATTCATTAAGATTTTTAAAAAAGTTCTTATGTCTAACAGAAATACCTTAAAAGTGTAAGATGTTTAGAATTTTTTTAAGTGTCATATGCTCACTAAGCAAAATAGCATTGCTTATGTTACGTCCTCAATAGATAATATTTCTAAACAGGTGAAATGGGATAGGTTTTTATATTGAAGATACACTTGTATATGGACATTATGTTTTATATTATATTAATATCTATTTGTCAAAATTACTCAGATATGAGCAAAAGCATAACTTTAAAGGTTCAGCAGTGTCAGGAAAAGCAGATGAAATTACTTGAAGTCATATTTTTGCATTTGACATTTCAAAAGTTGTAATTTGCGTACAATAAAGCCATTAAGAGTTAAAAATAAAAAAAAAGAATAAGAAATTTCCAGGCTTCTGGTTAATTCACTGCCCTCCAGTAACAAAATACTACTGTTTCTAACATCATACCATGTTTTACATAGTCCACTCCTCAAATAATTCCTGATTCTTCTAAAGTTAAAACCTAAGTACTTCTAGGAAACCTACAATAGTGAGTCAAACCAAGATTTTTACCAAATCATACAAAAAAGGGGTAGGACAGCTATAGTAATCAGTAAATCCTCAAAATTCTAAAAAAGTTTTAAATCTTTTGTTTTCTATTTTTGTTTTTTATAATTAATTCTTGCTATTTCTCAAGAGAGACTTCATTTCCAATCATTAAAAATTTCCCTAATATTTTATTTTCCATGCAATACTTTGCTGAGACATATGCTAATGACTCCATGCTATGATTGTTCTATGAATTGAACAGTAAAGGTTTTATTTTTCTACCATTGGTTACAACTGTTACTACAGAGGATACCTGGGAGGAGTTAACATACATGTAAAAATCTATTCAGTACTAATCTCAGATTAATAATGAGTCTGGTGACTAAGTATGTGTTAAATCTAGAGATCATTTCTCCCAATACAGGTTAGAATCCATGTTGATTAACCTACAGAAGCACGATTCTATGTGTGTTGAGCTCTTCTATTTCCATTAGAAGTACTATCTAATGGAAAATAATTCTGAAGTACTACAGGTTTAATATGACATCCACCTTGTCTTGGATACAAATTCTCAACAAGGTCTTAACTGCAAAGAACCATGTAGAAAAAGTTTAATTGCAAATTGAACTTTTAATTAAAATTAAAATTTAATATCGAATGGCTCAGAATTTGTAATCACTTAGATTAATACAATCTGTCGATTTTTATTGCCTTTCTTTTTGCTTGGCATATATATAAAATATTGGACATGTATTAATAATTGATAGAACTTACATTCATCAAAATTATCCCTAATAATTGTGATGCTGTTTCTTTCCTACAGGAATAAAATCAATGATTTTAAATTTCTAGACAATATCAATGTGCCTAAGATAATTAAACTTTTGGTTGGTAAACATCATAATCTGTTAAGAGGTTACATTTTAATATATTTAATAAACAAGTAAAAATTATGTAAGTTTGGGTTTCAAGTTGTAAGAGTGTTGAAATGTTACAGTAAGTTGTCTCTATATTTTCTTAGTTTAAATTATTAAAATAATGAAAATGTAATGAAATAAAGATGTGACAAGTTTTGCAGCTATTATTCATATAAATACTTTTAAGCACAAAAAGACCCCTGCTTTATAAATTCAATTTATAACAATAAAAATACCCTCGAAAGTTTCCTTTCAGTTGATTGTTTTTTAAATACTAGGAGAAAAAGTGTTCTCATAAACAGCTAAATGTAAATATACTAAAGTAATACTTGTAAAAGATTATTAAATTAATGGAACAGGTGTGATAGTTGTTCTCAACCATACAGATAAAGCCATACAGATTTCTTATAAAACAAAAATCCGTAAGAAATATTTCAATGTGCAATATAAATGTACAAGTTGTTTATTTCCTTAATATTTTATTATATTATTATTATCATCATTATTTTATACAGACAGGGTCTCGCTTTGTTGCCCAGGCTGGTCTCAAACTCCTGGCTTCAAGCAATCCTCTGTCTTGGCCTCCTAAAAGTGCTCAGATTACTGGCAAGAGCCACTGCACCTGGCCTGTTGCCTTAACATTTTATAAGCAAACTGTTTACATCCATTTACTGTACAGAGTTAAAGTTTAGTGGTTTCATGTTAAATATCCTTTAGTAAAATTTCTGATATACATCATGAAGATGTAATTAACTGAATATCCACATAACATTATATACTGATATATTAGTTAGAACAAAGCACACAGTCCTACAAAAATTTTTTTCTACATTTTTCAAATAATGAATGTGAAGGACAGACTCAGTTTTCAGTGCCATTTTTTCTTTCAAACGGAAAAGCATAATATATATTTTATCTACATTACTTGAATGGCTGTTTAATAATTCTTTAGACGCTGAAGGGTGAAAATACTTAATGCAGAATAATTATTAACAATTTTAAAACAGTGGATCTTTTGGAATATAGTTTTTTAAAAAATCAAGAATTTAACAGTAGGTAATTAAATGTAGACATAACTAGGCTTTTGGAAATAAGTGTGACTATTACAAATTATGAGATGAATTCTTGTTAACAAATGACAGTTTTGCTGGGCCAGAGAATATTATTATTAATAAACACTGTAATAAACAGAGCTTGCTTTCAAGCAAGTCTGCAGTAATAGACTGTCAAGAACCTCTGGTATTTATAGGCAAAGTGAAAACAGCGACGAACAACAAATCTCAATTGTAATTCAAAATCTATTACTAGTGAAGTAACATTACTGAAGTAATCACCTTCCCAATCCCCTATTTTGAGTTCTGTTAAATAAATCTGTGTACTGTAACATTTGTATACATACTGTACCAAAATGAATAAAATATTTAAATATTTAACTGTCATCTTTAGTTTTTAATTTCTGACAAATATCTTCCTCTTTCCAACATGTGAACTGTCTTCCAGCATCTGAACTAGTCAATTCACAGTTCTCTTTTCCTATGAATAGCTGTACCTACAAGCACCCTAAGAGTCTGTCTGGATTTTTAATGCAAGAGAGAACAAACAGCATAAGTGACTTCTTTTTTTTCCCCCCCAAAATCTTCCAGATAAATTAAAAGGGCTCTTTAGGAAAATGTTTGGCAAATCTGTATTCCATAGGATGTCCTTTGATTAGACATCCAAGGTTTTTCATTATCTGGCTCCCTAACATCTATCTAACATTAATTCCCTCTCGACTGCAACATAAATGTCCCACTTCTGCCAATACAGTCTCCTTACTATTCAACAAATATGATACCCTTCTCCCCAAATTCACATCATTTCACCTTCCTAAAATAAGTGTTTTTCTTTCTTCTACTCTAATTAGGCTATTCCTATACATTCTTCAAGGTCCAGTCAAGTTTTCATCTATTTACAAGACTATTAACTGTCACTCTGACCTGTATTTCTTTTACACGCCTCTGAATTTTTTTCTTTTCTTTTTTTTTTTTTTTGAGACAGAGCTTCGCTCTTGTTGCCCAGGCTGGAGTACAATGGCGCGATCTTGGCTCACTGCAACCTCCACAACCAGGGTTCAAGCGATTCTCCTGCCTCAGCCTCCCAGCAGCTGTGACTACAGGCATGCGCCACCACACCCGGCTAATTTTGTATTTTTAGTAGAGATGGGGTTTCTCTATGTTGGTCAGGCTGGTCTCAAACTCCCGACCTCAGGTGCTCTGCTCGCCTCAGTCTCCCAAAGTGCTGGGATTACAGGCGTGAGCCACAGTGCCTGGCCACGCCTCTGAATTTTTATAGCATATTGTTTACATTGTAGTTTTGGTATATAAATACAATTTTAATTTTTATAAGTTATTTTAAGTACTTATCTCACAAACTGGTCTGCAAGGGCTACAGTTTAGTATATTTTGCTACTTACTAAGAAGGCATTTAGTAAATTCATAATTATTCATGCCCATGAATAATGAACAAACAAATTAACAAGTGCTATTTTTGTCAATTTATCATGACGACAGTAAAACTCTTAGGGTTAAATGAAATATTTTTGATATCTTACTTTGATTTTTTTTAAATACAAGAGAATTCTTTAAATGTCCATAACTACTTCTTCCCTGATGTAGCTTTTAGAAAAAATACATATATGAATTAAGAATTAAATATTCCACAAGATCTAATATATCAAGTTATATATAAGGCCATTGTGCTAAATTTCATTATTCTACTATATGAAAGACCTGAGAGACCAGCAGGCACTACTTTCCCAAGAAATTATACTTGTCTGAGAACCCACTCAGTCAATAAGGGCAGTTTTCAATTGGATAAAATACCTGGTTCATTCAATTTACTTAGTTTAAAACATACATAAGAAACATACAAAATGTATTTTAATCTATTCTATTGCAAAATGATTTTAGACATAACTATTTTATACTGAATAACAGCATAATTTTTCAGAAGTAAAATTAAGGTCATTTAAATTTATATATTTATTATTTAGAGAATAATCCAGCAAAGAGTACTACGTTGGTAAAATTGGATACCTAGAAAGTCAGAGAATCCCAAACTTAGAGCAAAAGGTCTGACTGATTTATAATATTTTGGAAATACATTTCACTGCTTTACTAGATTTTTCAAGTAAAATTTTCAACTTTTATAATATAAAGAAAATATGTAAGTGTTAAATACAATGTCTTATTAGATTTAGTGTTGTCTTTTTAATAAATCCTTTTAAATGATACACTGTCACATACATTATTGATTACATGAAAATATTAAATAACCAACAATACTTCTAATTCCATGAATACCTACAAGTCTTACAAATGGATGCAAATACACAAAAGTCAATAAATCACTATTATTTTTTATACTTATCTTGAAGTTAAATAACATCCAAAAAGGCAAATAAAAATAAAGCAAATATTTTAAAATTCTAGTCTTCATAAATCTATACTGGCACTGGATATATGATAGCCTGTAAATCTCATACTGCCATATAGCAAATTAGAATTTTAACAATGATTCATAGACCATTATTTGGTGGTATGAGATATTTATTCTTATAAAAAATAATAATAATTCATATCACCGTCCTGAACATATTGTCAATGGTATCATACTACTAAATTTTATGTTTTACTTAAAAAAAAATCAAGATATTGGCTTCTATCCCTAAATGTTTGAATTTTCTCACAGAAATTACAAAAGAAAAGGAGGAACTTATAGGCTGGATTAAGGCAGAAAGCCAATAGACCTTATACTTCAGTGCTTATTCTGTAAACTCTTAGCCCCAGGTGATTTTAACCTAAGTCTTTAACTACACTTCTACTTTTAAACTCTGATTAAAGTCACAGTATTACTTTCAAGAATTCAGTCTTCAAACTACTCTTTGTATTCACTGAGGGTAAAAAAAATAAACACAACTATAAATGACTGTGAAAAATAAAATATCCACTGATTTTACAGCTTTAAAATATTTATATTCTCCCATGTATACATTAAGGGATACTTCTTTTAAGACTTATGAAGGGTATAAACTGAACCATTTGACACTGACAAAGATTATAATATGAACATTTTTGTATAGAATAACAACTACCTACTCATGATTTAAACATAAAGGGATTTTTTTAAAAAAGTAATTAGTATAAAATTAGACATTAGTCTATAATTTGAAAATATATTGCCTAATTATCAATTTCTATGTTTATATTTCATTATTCAACATTATATTTATCTATATATTGGTAAAATTATAGGATTCATAACACTGTTCAGTATAATACTTTTTAAATTCAGAAACATGAAATTAATAAGACTTTGAGCTACATTTCAAATTTATTACAATGAACATGAGTATTCTGTAAATTAAATATTCTGTGAATTACTGAAGAATAATACATTTCTTTTGAAGCCATAGTCTGTGATAGTAAAATTACGTCACAAATTAAGACGCTAATTATAAAAAGGCAAAGGCAGAAACAATAATTATGAACATAATAAATTTATAGACGTAAAAGAGTTTACGGTGGAAGAATCCACCTTATTTAACATGAAATAATGTCATTTTCCCCCTACATCATGTCACCCATTATTCAATCTTAAAAACTCACATCAGTTTTTCCCAAGTAAAATTTTTTACAAAAAATCTCGTACATTAAAAATGAACATTGGCCCTTTATGACATATGTTTAAATACTACATAAGTTACACAAAACACAGTAACTGATTTGTAACAAAGGACTGTATGGTAGGTACATAAATTTACTATACATTTTTTTGATAAAAAATGAGAACATGACAACAAAATTAACAAAACAGGAGCCTCTATGCATAATAACTATCCTGAAAACTACAAATATCACTAAAAATAGGGTATTGGAAATTTTGAATGTATCATTGAAATACTTATACTTTATTTAAAAAGTGATATAATTTTAAACAGATTCAATTCCTATAAATTAAATTTGTGTCTATAAATTTAAAAAGGGCAATCACTAAGAGTCACATAAGTGCTCCTCAATGTAACACTAATAAATGAATAATTCAATTGATCAATAAATTAACTGATCAATCTAAGGATGAGACCTTGATAGTCTTTAAATAACTAAATGACAACTCTGGTATGTTTTATGTGTGCTTAAAATAAAAGTTTTATGCTAACACTTTAAGGCTTCTTTTGTAAGGAACTTATACTATGCTGTGGATATTTCTCTTTGATTTCTCAACTAAACACTCACTTGTTTGATGCGATCTGGATTAACGGTGGTCTGGGGTTGTAGAATGCTGACTGGTTCTGTCTTGGCCACATTTTGGGGCATTTCTCGAATTTTTTCTGCAATGAATCCATGAACTGCATTCAGTGCTTCAACCGTTCCCTGGATCAAGCACACTCGCTCAGTAGTACCTGTGGATAAAACATTGATTTTCAGAAAATATTCCACACTTTGCATTAAAAAAATTATGAAAAAGGATGATATCATAACGCCAAAAAAATGTAAAATGCAGAACTCTAACGTAAAACATTTAATTGAACCACACGTAATATATACATGTCTCTTCTCATGATTCCTTTTATAAATTCCGTTCTAGTTGTTTTGGTCTCAAAAAGGGCATTTGGATTGCAGCTCAATCAGAGATCCAGAGAAGTTGTGAACATATCACTGATTCATTGACATAACAAATACTTATTGAGTACTTATAAAAGAACTTAGGGTTAGAAACTGGTAACATGCCAGTAAAGATCTATAAACCCAGTTTTCAAAGAGCTTACTCTTCAGGGGGAAAAAAACCGACATAAAACCAGAGAATTGTAGGACATTACAGTCTGAAAATAATGGTGGTAACAACATAGATGGTACAAGTTGTTCCATCACTTACCACGCTCTTCCTTTAATCATAGCAACACTTGTTACCCGATATTTTACATTGTTTTTTTTTTTACTTTTTCACTAGAATATAAGCTCTACGTGGAGTGTAAATTTGTTTTGTTTTGTGCTGTAGTATCCTCAAAGTTTAGAATAGCTTCTGGCACACAATAGGTACACTGTAAACATTTGTTGGATAAATGAATCAGTGCTGTCTTTATTGATGATATAATTTTAATAAAAAGAATATTAGGACTAAACATGAAATTTAAATAGTTTATGAAACTTGAAATTCACAAATATTTGTTAAAGATATTATTAATAGTATTTATTTAATATCTTGTGAATAAAATGTAAATATATGATGCAAGACAAGACTAAGGTGAAACTGTGTCTAACACACAGGTCGTATCACCTATTTTATACTTTACAGATATACATTAAGGCAATAAAAATAAATTAGTTTTTCAGATTATTCTCAGGCTTATTGTAGAAGCCTGGTATTCCACTGTAATCTTCTCAGTGACCCAACATAACACATGAACTTGCTTCTAAGAAATAAGTATTTCTTTTCTAAACAGTTGTTAAAATTTTCCAAAAAATGGGATTTTAAAATTTATAAAAGAGTTTTTGAATTAATGGAAATATTTTCAATTACCTAACATATTTCCTTTTGGTGCTACTGTTTCAAAATTTCAAGGTACTTTGTAAAATGTTTTAAAATACATTCTGAAGGACAAATTTGTGAAACTACAAATATTTAAAAAGTCATAAGGAGTTTATACTGCTTTAAAGATTCTGACACACAGACCAATTTTCTAGTAGTTTTGAAATTAAAATAATAGTAAAAGAATATCATTAATACTTCTAGAAGACAGAATTAGATTACAGGAATTAGAAGCAGAAATAAAAGAAAAACTTAGAGATATACCTAAATAAAATTGTCATATTTTAAACAATGAAAATTCAGATCTATAAAAATCTAAGTTTCCTGGATTTTACAAAACATTTCAATAGACCATGTATATGGCTTTCATTTGTAAGGGTGGATAAAGCCTGAAAAACATAATGTGAGTCTGTGGGTTTAATTTTTCCAGTTTCTCTTAATCAGCTTTTCTCATTCTTGTCTATCTTGATATACATATTGTGGTTCCTGCATAAAATGATCTAGTTTATGGGGATACTCTAGGGAGTCTTTACAAGGTTGTATTAAGTGTCCAATAAATGACTAGAAAGGATAGGAACTGATCAATGTAGCTAATACAAAGTGTTCTTATCCAGGTCAGCAGACAATATGAAAACAGATCAGATTACATTCTTGTTTTTGGAGACAACTACAGAGTGCTCTTTTGTGGATGCCAAAACAGTCTAACTTAGATAGAGATAAAAAAAAAAAAAAAAAAAAAAAAAACATGGCTCTAAATAACTAAAGAGATTATAAATCTATGCTGTCAATAAAATTCTGATAATACAAACCATGTCAGACCACACAGTAGCCCCTATACTTTTCAGATTGCAGAGACTAACAGATAGTGAGTGGAAATTACTGAGCCATAAAGAATTATGACTGTCTAAAGCTAAATTTCACATATTAGCATCTGTGGGACAATTGAAAATAGTTCACAGGTTCACAATTGCAGTACATACTGTTTGAAAATTAAATTACATAATTTGCATTAGAACTATTAACATAAAAAAAGGAAAGAAAAAAGGAGATTCTATATCTACCACTCAGAAATGCTACAATCCTCAGAAGAGATGCTATCATATTCTTCTACTGAACTTATGGCCTTTTCACTCAGAAAACACAAAACCGTAATTTTTAGGAGAAAGTCACAAAAAAGGGAGACTGTCAGGTGTATGATCAAACTGTGTTAAAAAAAATGAGCCTATAAATCATAAAAGTTGCTGGTTTTGTCATTTTAAAGGATTTAGGCTCAATTAGTATCTAAACTAAACTGCCTGTTATTTATCATTTTATTTAACAGTAGCATTTATTTCTCTTTGAAACACACTAGCAACGAGAGGTGAAAACCAGTTACATAAAAGTACATGCCCATATTTTGTATAAGATAGAGGTATATAAGATACCATTAATTAATTAATTTTTTTGAGACAGAGTCTCACTTTATCACTCAGGCTGGAGTGCAGTGGTGAGATCTTGGCTCACTGCAGCCTCGACCACCTGGGCTCAAGAGTGATCCTCATGCCTTGGCCCTCCAAGCAGCTGGGACTACAGGAAGGCACCACCATGCCTGGCTAATTTTTTGGATTTTTTTGTAGAGACAGAGTTTCGACATGTGGCATAGGCTGCTCTTCTGAGCTCAAGTGATCTGCCCACCTCAGCCTCCCAAAGTGCTAGGATTACAGGTGTGAGCCACCACGCCCGGCTTAAGAGACCATTAATTTAAAACTGCACTTTTAAGAAAGAAATCACAAAAAGTATAATAAGAAGGGGCAATGTCAAATACAGGCATTGACATTTACAATGACTTTAAGTTTTGATTTAACATACAGTATTAAATGCTAAAAATGCACAGGTTTCTAAAATTACATACAATTATCAGTTTTAATAGAAAAGTTTTCACAGAAATTTAATAAAATATATTCAGTGCTACTATAAGTTTAGGTAAGTCAGTTACACAGTTCCTGTTTCTACCTAAGGTGATCCATCACTTATGCACTGGGCCCTGTGCCCCCTTACCTACCAAGTCCACTGCTTCTCCAGTTAGAGTTATTTCTTACATCATAATTTTTTTCTATTGAATATTCCCATCAGTAGGAAATATGTTGTAATTTCTACAATTTTTAAAGACATTGATAGAGTTAGAAAATTACTCTTTTGCAAACCTAATGACAAAATTAAGTTTGGTAAAGATCATAAATGGATAAAATCATCAGATGAAAGGTTAATATAAAATTTTCAATAAAAACATCAGGTATTACCAACTGATTTCAATGATCAACATTAGCATGACGAGTATGAAAACCAAACATTATATGCTTCTTGATGTGATGTAATAAAAAACACACAGAACCAATTATGATGTACCTAAAAGTAGTTGAACCTAAATCTAATCAAACATTTAGCACTATAGATTAATACTGAAAACAGAACAATAAACGATACCATAAGGAAGCAAAGACACAAAAATAGTTTATAAGACAACTGATGCAGCTTCGTCAATAAAGAAGAGATTACTCTCCAGACAAAAGAAGACTTAAAATATGTTATGACTAAATGTAAGGCAGAATTTGGTTGGGTCCCAAATTAAACAATTTTCACTTGAAACAAAATTGAGGCAATGACAAGGACAGAGTTTTGGCACCAAATAATTACTGTTAACTTCAACATGTGAGATTATGGCATCAGTTTACAGAAAGTGTCATTTTTTTTTCTTTTCTGAGATGAATACTGAAATATGTACAGGTAAAATGTAACTGAACTTGCATCAAAATATTTCTGCAACAACAAAAAATGAGTAAACTTTTTAGGCATGACAAATCTTGATACTGTTGATATAGATGAAGGGTATAAAGAAATTAATTGGCCGGGTGCGGTGGCTCACACCTGTAATCCCAGCACTTTGGGAGACCGAGGCAGGCGGATCATGAGGCCAGAAGATCGAGGCCATCCTGGCTAACACGGTGAAACCCCATCTCTACTAAAAATACAAAAAAAAATAGCCGGGCATGGTGGCGGGCACCTGTAGTCCCAGCTACTCAGGAGGCTGAGGCAGGAGAATGACGCGAACCCGTGAGGCGGAGCTTGCAGTGAGCCAAGATCGCGCCACTGCACTCCAGCCTGGGCGAGACTCCGTCTCGAAAAAAAAAAAAAAAAAAAAAAAAAAAAAAAAAAGAAATTAATTGTTCTATTTTATACATGCTTACAATTTTCATTTAAAAACATTTAAAAAATCTCATTGACCTCATACCCCTCTTCTAGTTGCAGCTCAATTTCCTTATCCCTCAAAATTCCTTGAATGAGTTTTATAGATACTCTCTTTCTACTTCCTCATCACCCAATCCTGAATATACTCCAATATGGCTTTTTTTCTCCTTGAATCTAGTAGATTCTACAACTCTACTGAAAGCATTCATCACAGCTGTACCTGGATAAATCTAATCTTCAAGTCTTCATGTTGTTTGCCTCGTCAGCAGCATTTTATGCTGTCAGTAGGTGACCATTCTGTTCTAAAAACACTTCACTTGGCTTTCAGAATGCCACATGCTCCTAGCTCATGGTTTTTACTCAGTTCATTAACTCATTTGATAAAAATGTATTGAGTCCCTACTAAATAAGTATCATATTAGAAGCTGAAGGTACAGCAATGACCAAACAGGAAAAAAAAAACGAACAAACCCTGCCTTCATGGAGCTCATATTCTAGTTCATGTGGACAGACACTATACATAAGAGAAATAAAACACAGAGAAAGAATAGTAAAAGAAAATAACTGTTATGAAAAACACTGAGAGACAATGACAGGCTCAGCAGAGACAAAAACAACAGTATGAAAGGGACTTTGTCATGTTTACCACTGTATCTCCAGTGCCCAGAAGAGTGCCTGGCACACTACAGATACTCAACAAGTATTTTTTTTTTAAATAAACAACTTCCTGAGTCTAAAATTTCTTGTCTGTATTTTGAAACATATATGTGATTGATTTCTAAGGCCTTTTTTATCTACAAAATATCTATAAAGCCAGTAAATCTCTCGGTTTATAAGATCATTCAACGAACATAAAAAGCAGATATATTTCGGAAAATGATTTAAAAACTATAATAAGTTATAATTTATCATTTAAAAAGGGCACGTGGTAAAAGTTTTTTGAGACAGGTACTAGGAGAAATAATGGATAATTTAACAATTTTTTTCTTTTTCCTAGGGTAGAAAAAAATAGACAAACTCTGAAAATGAACTCTACCTAAAATAATATTGTTAGGGAGAAAAATATTTTTTGTTGTGGTCTAAAGTGCTATAAAAAACTGTTTAGATACCTGAGACATTATTCAAACCAGAGTAAGACTATTCTAGAATAACGAACATATGCTAATGATTTGATCCACATAGTTTCAATTGTCATCTATAATGAAAATTAGTGAACATTCTGTTCATATAAAAGAAAATGCATCAGTTTATATTCCTACTGGAAATATAACTCAGTATCTTATGAAAGAATACAGACATAATTATTTAGGAAATATTAATGTTAGTGTAGAGTAAGTCATTTGGTTGGATGAGTGACACTGAAACATCACAAAATAAAACAATAATACAAAAATGTAGTAGAAAATTTATTAACACTTCTATGACAATCTATAGCAATAATTTTGGCCTCCAAAATAACTTAAGAAAATGTAAATACCAATTAACTCTAACAGGCAAAAGCTGATATTTAAAACAACATGATATACAGATAATTTATAGAGATAACTGCTACTTATTATGCAGAGAAATTACTAATTTTGGATAGCTAATATTGTGATCAACATGTTTTTATTTCATGCAAGTAAACATTTAGTTTCTATCATATCAAGAAATATCTTGCAATATATATTTTCAAATACATTTAAATTTCCTTGCTATTTGGAGGTATGTCTGTCTGTTTACTCTTACACAAACAGTGCTTTGTGAGTGGTATCTATTCTTTTAGTTTTCATATTTTTCCTCTTTTTGCCACTTATTTTTGCTGTTTGCTAAAATATCTGATTATAACAGGCTCTTCTCTTATAATTTGCTGTTTCTAGTCCTCAGCAACCTAATAATATACAGTTAAATAAGACTGTTAAAATTATATAAACTATTAACAAGTAGGTTCCGGGCCGGGCATGGTGGCTCACGCTTGTAATCCCAACACTTTGGGAGGCTGAGGCGGGCGGATCATGAGGTCAGGAGATCAAGACCATCCTGGCTAACACGGTGAAACCCCGTCTCCACTAAAAATACAAAAAATTAGCCAGGCGTGGTGGTGGGCACCTGTAGTCCTAGCTACTTGGGAGGCTGAGGCAGGAGAATGGCATGAACCTGGGAGGCAGAGCTTGCAGTGAGCCGAGATCACACCACTGCACTCCAGCCTGGGTGACAGACTCAAAAAAAAAAAAAAAAAAAAAAAAAGCCAAACAAACAAAAAAAAAACCAAGTAGTTTTCTTGTTCCTAGTGACAACCATAGGGAATATGTGGCCTTTATGAAATCATTTTTGATTTCATTTTTCTTTATTTCCAAGTTTGGGGTCAGTGTAAATAGATAAAATATTACTTTAATGCTTTCTTCTTAAAAGATTTAAAATTCTATACAAGCATCTTAATTTTTAAAACTAAAACACAAAGTATCCTTTCAACAGACTATGTTACCATTTATTTAATAAAAATCACCCATAATAGTCTATATATGATAATCACTTTTCATATTGTCTTTATAAATAGATGATTTACATTCATTTCTTAGGTTACCAAATTTATTGCTATAATTACATAAGCAAAAGTCTCATTTATGAGTATTTAAGATAATGAGTCAGCAAAAGCTCCACTGAAGGACATTGAAGGGTTTTCTAGTCGCAGCAATGTAGTAGTACATTCTTTCAGGGGAAAGTATATACTTAACCAATTTCAAGAAATGAAGCAATTCAAAGGTCTTCTCTGAAGCTCACAACTACAGACCTTTTGTTTCCTTTCTATGTCCCTATACGCATACGGAATAACTTAAAATTTGAAGCAATTTAACAATATGCATCTCAGAATATTCTTTTAAGTGACTTTTAACAGTAATCATCCTTCCTTATCTTCATAAGCCAATTTGTGATTTACAGAAGATATATAAATATGAATTATAATACATATATTTATATATTGTTAGTATAATTGATTGACACACATAAAATCTCATTTAATGTTCACAATAATCAGGACAGATATCTCCAACTTACATGTATGGAAATGGAAGCAACTGTGCAAAGACATATAGCAAACACAGAGAACAGTAAAAGTCTTGTCAAAAACAATTTTTTATCATTATACCACATACCTCCTAAGAATGTAATATTAGGCCAGATAGCAAATTTAACACATTTAAGAAAATCGCATATGTTTCAGTTGATTGTGGAAAAATTATTTTCATGTAACTTTGATGTTTCTTTAAAAAGCATTGTCTTAATACCATTAACATTTCTCCAAGATTTATTCCAAATCTGTCATAAAAAGAAATGATTGACCCTTCTTGCAGAGAACAGACCACCACAGGAGATGGTTAATAACTATGTGGGCTATTAGTAAGATTTTTTAGGACAAGTTTTCAGATCAACAAAAGTACTTGATAAAATTGCCATTAAAAGTAAGTTCAATTTGTAATTGCAGCTTTTATACCACTGTACAGTTACGCACATTTGATAATACTTCCTCCTACCCTACAATTACTGAGGAGAAAATACACTATTTCAAGAAAAGGTCTTTTAAAAAAAGAAATCATAGGAATTGACATCTTATGATGTAAAGTAATAATTGGGTTTCTTCTCTAGGTGATTAACTCTACACAATTATCTCTCTACTTTTAAACTGCAAAAATTTGCAAAAGGCCATATAACATGCTTAATCCAAAGTCAACATAGTGAAGGCCTGATTCTGTTTATACAACATGTTTTCACATTAAAATATCACAAATCAAGTCAAAGGATGAGAGTATATTTTTCAGAAAAATCTAAAAATATTCATTCTTCAGAGACCTTAGGAAGAGAGAATGAATGGCAAAGTAGATGTTGTCCAGCTTGTCGTTCATTCATTCTCTGTCTCATCATGCAAATGGAATACTAATTTACTTAACTAGCTATTCCCATAAAGTAGCATCTGCACAGCTGAGGAATCTAACTTCTGAAGAACCCTGAAAACAGATATATCTGAAAATTTTATATAACAACTGCAATTATTCTCAAATATATTGCAATTTATTTCTAGTTTTTAAATTTTGAGGCCATGCAAAAAACAGTTAAGATGATGACGATTCATTCATCCTCAGCATAGGTTTATGCTAAATTTAGGATCACTATAGCAATCCTAGTTATGTCAATAGTATAACCTTTTAATTTCCACAATTACAGAAATATAAAACTGCCATAACAAATTTTTATTAAAGTGCAATTACATTTTATATGTACATAATAAATAGAGATTTGCTGACTTGTCTCCACTCCCCCTCAATATCACCATTTTTGACAGTAATTTGTACTTTTAAATTTTTGCTATGAGAAAAATGGCACTTGAAATTCTTCTATCTATCCTTTATGTATTAATAGGAATTCACTTTTGCAAAGCTTGATTTGATATCACATGTCCCAGCTGGGAAAACAGTTTGCACCAAACATGTGATACCAACTCAAGCTAAGAAACTCAGAAGTGTGACCAGTGGTGGAATGCATAGCTAATCAGAGTCATGTAAAGGTAAGGGGAGCAGCATTGCAATGGACATGCAGCATGGTAACGAATCAGAGATTGCTTACGAGATGAGAGCAAGAAAATTAATGTCTCTTACATTAATTTCTGACATGTAACAAAGTTGTCAACTTTGAGACCTAATATAGATTAATGCATTAGACAAAATTAAGCAGTAACTTTATGTCATATTTTTTAAAAATATAGAGTTTATAGAATGATCCATTTTTTAATCATAAGCCTACAAATTCAACTGAAGACAAGGCCTGCATTTGTTGAAATTTCAAGGACTGAATTATTTAAATCAGTGAATAATCAATGAATATCATATCACTGACTACATGCACTATATCAAATAAATGTAGAGGTAGGATAAAGAATTTTGACTGTTTAACTTGGTGGGAGAAGTAATATAGGAGAGTAGACTATAGTCGGAAAAACAACAGAAATTTAAGCGTATATGTAATCTATTATTTAAAAGTATTATATTATTATTAATATTAAAATGTATTAATTTTTTATAGTTTTAGGATGCTAAGATAATAGAAAAATGGCAATTTAAAAACTGTACATATACCAAGGCGAGTGGATGACCTGAAGTCAGGAGTTTGAGACCAGCCTGGTCTACACAGTGAGAACTCCATCTCTACTAAAAAAATTTTGTTATTTTTTAGTGGTGCACGCCTGTAGTCCCAGCTACTTGGGAGGCTGAGGGTGGAGAATCACTTGAATTTGCGAGGCACAGGTTACAGTGACCAGAGATCATGCCACTGCACTCCAGCCTGGGCAACAGAGTGATACTCTGTCTCAATAAATAAATAAAAAATAAAAATTGTGCTACATACAAAACTGGTCCTTTTACCCATCTTTAGGTGTACAATTCAGTGGTATTAATTAAATTCAAATGTTGTACATATACTCTCACTATCTCTTTCCAAAAGTTTTTCATTATCACAAACTGTAACTCTAACCATTAAGAAATAAATTTCCATCCCTTCCTTCCTATATCCCCCAGTTACCTCTAATCTACTTTTTGTCTCTATGTCAAAATTCTAGATATTTCGTATAAATGGAATCACACAATATCTGTCTGGTGTCTGGCTTATTTTACTTAGGATAATATTTTCAAGATGCACTGATGTAGCATATCTCAAAAATTCATTCCCTTATTACAGCGTAACAATATTCCATTGCATGTTACATACCATATTTTATTTATCCATTTACCTGTTGGTGGACACGTGGGTTGTTTACACCTTTTGGCTATTGTGAATACTGCTGCAATGAACACTGGTAGCATCTGCTTCAGTGCTTGTTCTCAATTATTCTGTGTACAAACCTAGGAGTGGAATTGTTGACTAATATGGTAATTCTAGCCTTTTGAGGAACAGATAAACTGTCCCAAGCCGCGGCACCATTTTACATCCCCAACAACAGTGTAAAAGGGTTCCAATTTCTGTAAGTCTTAGCCAACATTTATTATTATTTTTTAGTAATAGCCATCCTAATAGGTGTGAAGAGCTATCTTGGAGTTTCGATTTGCACTTTACTAATGACTAATAATGTCGAACATTTTTGCACGTGCTTACTGTTCATTTGTATATTTTCTTTAGAGAAATATCTGTTCACATCATTTGCACACTTTTCAAATGGTGTCTTTTTGTGTGTATGAGACAGGGTCTCACTGTGTTGCCCAACTGTGAGTGCAGTAGCGTGATCATTGCTTACTGCAGCCACAAACTCCTGGACTCAAGCAATCCTCCCAGCTCAGCCCCAAGTAGGTGAACTACAGGTGCGCACCATCACATCTGGCTAGTTTTTTTTTTTTTTTTTTTTTTTTTGAGACGGAGTCTCGCTCTGTCGCCCAGGCTGGAGTGCAGTGGCGCAATCTCGGCTCACTGCAAGCTCCACCTCCTGGGTTCCCGCCATTCTCCTGCCTCAGCCTCCCAAGTAGCTGGGACTACAGGCGCCCGCCACCACGCCCGGATAATTTTTTTGTATTTTTAGTAGAGACGGGGTTTCACCGTGTTAGCCAGGATGGCCTCGATCTCCTGGCCTCATGATCCGCCTGCCTCGGCCTCCCAAAGTGCTGGGATTACAGGCGTGAGCCACCGTGCCCGGCCACATCTGGCTAATTTTTTTTTAATTAAAAAAATTTTTTTTGAGATGGGGTCTCGCAATGTTACCCAAGCTGGTCTCCAAATTCTGGACTCAAGTGATCCCACTGCCTTGACCTCCCAATGTGCTGGGATTACAGGCATGAGCCACTGGGGTTTTATTCGTTGAGTTTTAGGAGTTGTTTATATATTCTGGATATTAAAGTTATTGTATAAATTATTTTCAAACATTTTCTCTCATTCTGTAGGTTGTCTTTGTTAATGTCCTTTGGTAATGGACGTTAATAATGTCCTTTGATGCACAGAAGTTTTAAAATTTTGATGAAGTCCAATTTATTTTTTGTTCCCATTTTTGTTACTGAATAATCCATTCCCAAATCCAAGGTCATGGAGAACTATTTCTACATTTCCTTCTACAGTTTTATGGTTTTAGCTCTTATATTTAGGTTGTTGATCTATTTTGAATTAATTTTGATATTTTAATATGATATGAGGAGGGTTCTAACTCCACTCTTGCATGTGGAAATCCAGGTGTCCCAACAACACTTGTTGAAGAGATTGTTCTCTTCCCATTGAATGAACTTGATACCCTTGTCAAAAATCAATTGGCTATAGTTATGTGGAATTATTTCTAGACTCCATTAATTATTGTCTTTCCTAATGACAGTACCAGACTCTTTTGGTTACTGTATCTTTACAGTAAGTTTTGAAGTCAGGAAGTGTGAATCCTCAACTCTGTAATTTTTCAATATTGTTTTATCTATTCTAGGAACCTTGCAATTCCGTATGCATTTTCAGAATCAGGCTTCCCATTTCTGTAAAAAAAAAAAAACATTTAGAATTTTGATAGCAATTAAGTCGAGTCTGTATACTTTGGGTAGTACTGATATTTTAACAACATTAAGTGTACTCACCCATTAAATGGGATGCCTTTCCTTAGGTCTTCAGTTTTGTACCTCCTTGGTTAAATTTATTTGCAGGCATTTTACTATTTTAGATGCTACTGTAAACGAAATTTATTTCTTAATTTCCTTTTTGGACTGTTCACTGTGGTGTATAGGAACTGATTTTTGTTTGTTCTAAAACTTTGCTTAATTTATTAGCTCTAGTGGCTTGCTTGATTCTCTGGAGTTTTGTATATACAGGAAGATGTCATCCGCAAATAGAGATAGTGGTACTTCTTCCTTTCCAATTTGGATACCATTTTTGTTTTCTTGTCCAATTATTCTGGCTACAAGTACCAGAAAAATGTTTAATAACAGTGGTGAAAGCAGGCATCCATGTCTTGTTTCTTATCATGGGAAAAGCTTTCAGTCTTCACTATTGAGTGTGATGTTAGCTGCGGCTTTTCCATAAATTCCTTTTACCATTTTAACAAAAAATGTGTAATGTTTTATCACGAAAAAAATTACAAACCTATCATTAATACACTGTGGTAATCTATATTTTTCCTGGTAATCTATATTTTTCCAGCGCATTAAAGCTATCCTATGACTATAATGCTGAGAACAAATAACAAAACACTTAGTTAAAATAAATAGCGGCTGGGCACGGTGGTTCACGCCTGTAATCCCAACACTTGGGAGGCCGAGGTAGGCGGATCACTTGAAGTCAGGAGTTCAAGACCAGCCTGGCCAACATGGTGAAACCCCATCTCTACTAAACATAAAAATTAGCCAGGCATGGGGGTGTGCACCTGTAATCCCAGTTACTCGAGAGGTGGAGGTTTCAGTGAGCTGGGATTGTGCCACTGCACTCCAGCCTGGGCTACAGAGTGAGGCTCTGTCTCAAAAAAAAAATTAAAATTAAAATTAAAAATAAGTAAATAGCTTCAGCATACCACAACATATTTAGAAAAAAAATGTGACTTTGGGTATGAAGGCAAAGCTCAGAAATTCTGCTCAGAAATTCTGCAACTCAACTCATTTGCTAAAAATTATTTTTGTATGCCCTGATGTGAAACACAATGGAGTATCTTATTACCTATTTTTTCAACATTAATTATTATAGAATTATAAATTAAAGAATATCAGAATATCTTAAGAGTTATAGGGGCTAATAGTGACATGTGAAAATAGATAATACATCTGTCAGACACCTGTTTGAGTACAGGTCAAAATAGGTAACTACAATTCAGGTAAGTTTCTGTGACACTATGAACAAAATCTGACTTAGCCATTACAAACAGTTTTAAAAATACAAGTCTCAGAATATTACAGATCTATGTTTCCATAATGTATTTCTGTTAATTCCAATTCTTCTTTCATATAAGTCTCTCTCCTATCCTTGTCTCTTTTATTCTGAATTATTAAAATGCTATAGATAAGGCCTGACAACTGGCAGAATCCCAGAGTAGATATTACCTGGATGTAACAGAGTGTGATCCCTGTCAGGTATATTCATGCACTATCACAGGAATACACAATCATCCACAGTGTCAAACCCAGTCTTCCTCTGGACTGTCTTCTGACTTCTAATACACTTGAAGACAGATCCTTGGACTCCTGGTCACTCACTAGCCTCTAATCCAAGTGAGGACAGATGACTGGCTCTCTGTCACCATCTGGCCTTTCCTTTAGAGGGGAATCTCTGAGTCTGGTTTCCTGTATACTCTCCCTGCAGTTTTTGATCTCCTGCCCCTACTCATTAATCTGCCCCCTGTGAACAAGTTCTTGGGTATCCTTCAGTTAGTTCATTTGAGCCAACTCTTCCCCTAACCTTTAGTGACTTCAGTATTTCACTACCCCTGCTCCTCCCCCATCAAAACTCACCACATAATTACAAGGAGCAGAAAAGAAAGGTCAGTGGTATCATACCCTTAAAATAACAAGCTGGATTATAACTCTAACTGCCCATCTTCCTCTAAGAGACTGCTATTCCTCATATTTCTACATATCGAAGTTACCAGAAGTCTGTTTCTTCAGCCATCATCAGACTCTTATCCTCATAGTAATCCATATATCTCTGAATCTCACCCAATTCTGTATCCTTCCCTGTCCCTCTAAATTTCTTCATAGTGCTCTTGGTTACCTCAAGTTTGAGCATATGCCTCATATCCAAAACCTCTTTTATGAATGTTTCTTTTAGCTTTGTCTCTTAGGCAAAATTAGACTGTGTCCTTAGCTCTTTATGTCCTATGGAGCAGGTAGGGAAGCTGTTGTCTTTCTCTTCTCTCTCAAATCCCAGGTTTTGGGGGAGGGGCATGAAATTTTGGCTATTTTCCTTGGTCCACTTTGCCACTTCTTTGTTAAAGTTGTCATAGCCTTTCCTCTTTTCTTCAAAGTGTTTGGAAGCAAAGGCTGAACAGATGTATAGGTGTAGAGGCAGACATTAAATCAGTTTTCAGTCAATAAGGCAAAATGACAGAGATACTGGTAAACTGTAGCCATGAGGAAAAATATCAAGTGCTATAGTATTATGGCATTTTACCTTTCCTTTTCATGTAGTGACTTCCATTAACCACTTCCTCCTTATGGAAATAGTTTCCTCTTCTGGCTTCTGTGTTGCTACTCTCTTCCCAGGATGATGTTCATTTAGTCCCCATGGTTGTAAATACCATAAAATATAATCTGACTTCATTCTCTCTCTCTCTTTCTCTCTCTACCAACACCTCCCTAGTCGGAGACACTATTTGCTCTAAACATGTTCATTACAATGGTCTGCTAATTACTGTCCATCTTGGTTCACTATTTGCTCCACTACAATCCACTCCTCTCTCAGAATAATAGTTTGAACCTGTAAATATTATGTAATTTACCTGTTTAAAAACTTAACGGCTTCTCATCTCATATTAAGAGTTAAGTCTAAACCCTTTACTATGGCTTTCAAAACCCATCAAGATCTGACCTCTGCTGAGCTCTCGTCAGTCCCCATCTCATATTACTCTTTCTCTCTTTTTCTTCACTCCAGGGAGTTAGGTCTTTTTTAGTTCCTGGGACATGCCACACTTATTCTCTCTTAGGCCTTTTTTTTCCCACTGATCTCCATCCTGGGAACACTGTTCCACTGGCTTTTCCCATAGCAGCCCCTTTCTCATCATAAAAGACTTAGCTCAATAATACCTTATCAGAGAAGACTTTCTTAACAGCCATAAACAGCCTCTTTCAAATCACTATCACTTTATGCTTCTTTATGACCCTTACAATTTTCTGAAATTCTTGTTTGTTGTAATTTGCTTACTTCATTGTTTGCCTCTCTCTGGTGGAACAAAAGGTCCAAATGAACAGGAACTTGGACTGTTTTGTTCACATGTGTATCCCCAGCCTACTACTTAGCAAGTTGTTAACAAATAACTATTCATTTAATGAAATAAAACTATGACCTTGGATGAGCCCTATTATAACAAGCTTTTTTTTGTTGTTGTTTATTATACTTTAAGTTTTAGGGTAGATGTGCACAATGTGCAGGTTAGTTACATATGTATACATGTGACATGCTGGTGCGCTGCACCCACTAACTCATCATCTAGCATTAGGTATATCACCCAATGCTATCCCTACCCCCTCCCCCCACCCCACAACAGTCCCCAGAGTGTGACGTTCCCCTTCCTGTGTCCATGTATTCTCATTGTTCAACTCCCACCTATGAGTGAGAATATGCGGTGTTTGGTTTTTTGTTCTTGTGATAGTTTACTGAGAATGATGATTTCCAATTTCATCCATGTCCCTACAAAGGACATGAACTCATCATTTTTTATGGCTGCATAGTATTCCATGGTGTATATGTGCCACATTTTCTTAATCCAGTCTATCATTGTTGGACATTTGGGTTGGTTCCAAGTCTTTGCTATTGTGAATAGTGCCGCAATAAACATACGTGTGCATGTGTCTTTATAGCAGCATTATTTATAGTCCTTTGGGTATATACCCAGTAATGGGATGGCTGGGTCAAATGGTATTTCTAGTTCTAGATCCCTGAGGAATCGCCACACTGACTTCCACAATGGTTGAACTAGTTTACAGTCCCACCAACAGTGTCAAAGTGTTCCTATTTCTCCACATCCTCTCCAGCACCTGTTGTTTCCTGACTTTTTAATGATTGCCATTCTAACTGGTGTGAGATGATATCTCATTGTGGTTTTGATTTGCATTTCTCTGACGACCAGTGATGGTGAGCATTTTTTCATGTGTTTTTTGGCTGCATAAATGTCTTCTTTTGAGAAGTGGCTGTTCATGTCCTTCGCCCACTTTTTGATGGGGTTGTTTTTTTCTTGTAAATTTGTTTCAGTTCATTATAGATTCTGGATATTAGCCCTTTGTCAGATGCGTAGGTTGCAAAAATTTTCTCCCATTCTGTAGGTTGCCTGTTCACTCTGATGGTAGTTTCTTTTGCTGTGCAGAAGCTCTTTAGTTTAATTAGATCCCATTTGTCAATTTTGGCTTTTGTTGCCATTGCTTTTGGTGTTTTAGACATGAAGTCCTTGCCCATGCCTATGTCCTGAATGGTAATGCCTAGGTTTTCTTCCAGGCTGTTTATGGTTTTAGGTCTAACGTTTAAGTCTTTAATCCATCTTGAATTGATTTTTGTATAAGGTATAAGGATGGGATCCAGTTTCAGCTTTCTACATATGGCTAGCCAGTTTTCCCAGCACCATTTATTAAATAGGAAACCCTTTCCCCATTGCTTGTTTTTCTCAGGTTTGTCAAAGATCAGATAGTTGTAGATATGCGGCGTTATTTCTGAGGGCTCTGTTCTGTTCCATTGATCTATATCTCTGTTTTGGTACCAGTACCATGCTGTTTTGGTTACTGTAGCCTTGTAGTATAGTTTAAAGTCAGGTAGCGTGATGCCTCCAGCTTTGTTCTTTTGGCTTAGGATTGACTTGGCGATGCGGGCTCTTTTTTGGTTCCAAATGAACTTTGAAGTAGTTTTTTCCAATTCTGTGAAGAAAGTCATTGGTAGCTTGATGGGGATGGCACTGAATCTATATAAGCTGATAAGCAACTTCTGCAAAGTCTCAGGATACAAAATCAATGTACAAAAATCACAAGCATTCTTATACACCAATAACAGACAAACAGAGAGCCAAATCATGAGTGAACTCCCATTCACAATTGCTTCTAAGAGAATAAAATACCTAGGAATCCACCTTACAAGGGACGTGAAGGACCTCTTCAAGGAGAACTACAAACCACTGCTCAATGAAATAAAAGAGGATACAAACAAATGGAAGAACATTCCATGCTCATGGGTAGGAAGAATCAATATCATGAAAATGGCCATACTGCCCAAGGTAATTTATAACAAGCTTTTTAAATCCAGAATTACTGCATTAAAATCCAACGTAAATGTCAAAAGAAGAGGGAAAATGTATATGAAATATCAATGGCCTGAGGTAAAGCAAAGATCATGATTAGACCTTTCTATTTACTAAGGATTATCACATAATGCTCCCTTACTGAAATGTATTAATGAATATACCTACCATACATTTCTATTCCAAAAGATTCTGTCTATCCATCCTTTTAGAAACACCCAAGGACTGAGGATCAGCTCAATGCCTCCTTATTCAATTATCTTCTGACTATATTTTCTATCACATACCCAAATCCAGAGAATAATTATGCATGGAAAAAGATTCAAATGAACTGATTTCCTGAACTAGTCAAGTAAGGAGTACAAATCAAACTTCCTAATTAAACTTAGTCACCGTAATAAAAAAATATTAAATCTGACCACAAACTGAGGCTTTCTTAGAATACTGCTGCATATCAAACCCAGACATACCAGGAATGGCATCTACTAGAATGCTAGTAACTATATACTGTTAAGAAAAGAAATAAATATCTTTATCAATTAAATTATCAGACCAAATTATACTACCTTATACTAGAACTGTTACTATATTGATCATGACTTTTTAATGTAGAAATTCTGAAATACATGATGTTGAATAAAAATTCTACTAATAGATTAAAAAATAAAGTGCTAATATGGGATATAGTCTTGCTCTGTCACCCAGGCTGGAGTGTAGTGGTGCGATCTCAGCTCACTGCAAGCTCTGCCTCCTGGGTTCACGCCTTTCTCCTGCCTCAGCCTCCCGAGTAGCTGGGACTACAGGCGCCCGCCACCACGCCCAGTTAATTTTTTTTTTTTTGTATTTTTAGTAGAAAGGGGGTTTCACTGTGTTAGCCAGGATGGTCTCGATCTCCTAACCTCGTGATCCGCCCGCCTCGGCCTCCCAAAGTGCTGGAATTACAGGCGTGAGCCACCGTGCCTGGCTGTTAATATGGGATATTTCTAAGTAAATTAAAAAACATATTAATTATTTACTGAGTATTAATCCTTATATCATTTATCTACTCAGTAAATCTCTAATAAGCCCGTTATTTTATAAACATCTATAATCAACTGACAAGAATATTCAGAAAATGCCATATTACCATAATATTAAAATAATTATATTTAGAGTAAAACTATTTCTAGTCTTTTCCTACTGTTAAGCCATGATTACAGACATTTGTATATGTAGTATCAGGTGTAATATATTACCTAACTTACCTATCACAGAAACAAACAAACACAACCCAATTTGACATTAAAAGTGAATTTGTCTGACTACTTCACAAAGAGACTTATTTCTGAGGGAGACCTACAAAAGTGTACTGAAGCATTGGTTCTGAGAATATTAAAGAACATTTTCTTTGATTGATTGGAAAGGAATTAACATTTTGAAAATTTACCTCCAGTCTCCTTATAAACATTTTAAAGCAGATTTAAAAGGAAGGCATCCTGCCATTTGCCACAACTTGGGTGGAATTGGAGAATATTATGCTAAGTGAAATAAGCCAGCCACAGGAAGGCAAATACTGCATATTCTTACTTAGATATGTAGAATCTACCAAAAAAAGAAAGGTCAAATATATAGAGATAGAGAATAAAACAGTAGTTTCCAGGGTGGGAGTACATGAGGGCAAATGATACAAAGTAGCAAATATGTAGGATGAACTATCTAATGTGCTACATAAAACTATAGCTAATAATAGTGTATTGTTTTCAGGACTTTTGCTAAATGAGATTACAGCTGCTCTTGCCACAGGGGGCGAAATGAGTAACTATGAGAAATGACAGATATGTTAATTTGCTCTATTATAGTAACCATTTCACTGTTTAAAAACCTTTATATATGTCTCATAACATTATGTCGTATACCTTAACTATACATAGTAAAATTTATTTAAATAAACACAAATAAGGGTAAGAAAAAATAAAATTAGAGACCAACAGTCTAAAAGTATACATAAAACAATGTGAATTTGTATGATGCAGCAAATTGGTTTTCCTTCTGTGTCTAATACTTAATAATGCAGGGAGGTATCCATATTGAAAAGAAACTTTTATGCTATAGGCTACTGTTCTTTATGTGTAATTCAAGGAAAACAGGAAAGTGATATAGAAACTCTATGGGTAACATCAGTGTGTAGCCTGTAAAAAATTTTACAAGGACTTTGACCACTCAGTCTGGAGAAAATATATATGGACTTTAAGCACTTCCACATTTCTCTGATATGGAAGAGAGGGACACAACTAATCTATCCAACCTTGTTGGGAATTTACTCTCTTATGGCAATTTAGGTAGGGCTTTCTTTCCATTGTAGTGTTATATGGCTATGGCATGAAAAAACAAACTCAATCTGTGTGACTTATAAAGTGTTTTGTACATAGCAGAAAGCCTTCTTATTAGCCACAGTCAATTCCAGCGTGGTCTCAAAGTCCAGACTTAGAGTTCTTAAAGCCGTGATGTTTGTTAATACTATAAATACTATAAAACTTCTCCTAACACATATTATCAGTGTCTTCCTGGCTAGTTTCCTAGTAATTACACTGGTTTTCATTTATGTCTATCCAAGTTTTTTACACTTTTCTTAGGTGTTCTGATTGCACATTCATCCTTTTACCTCGCTAACTCCCATTTATCTTTCCAATCTTTGGCCAGTTATCAGTTTACCAGAGAAGTGTTACCTGGTTTCCACAGTCTAGATTATGTGTTCTTTCTGTGTACCCACTATGCTATACTGTCCCATAACAGCAATTATTGCCTGTTCACTAGCCTGTAGAGCTCACAAGAATGTGAGCTGTTTACATATTCATATTCTTATCTTTACACTCACAGCAGCCTAGCACACATGTGCATATGTGTCAAATACTTACTAAATATTTGTGATTTAGTAACAGATTAAATGAAAGAATAAATAGATGGCAGGAAAAGCTTACTGCTCGGCTTACTGAGTGGGTCACACTTAACCAGAGTTCTAAATCACAAAAGCTCTTGAGGTAAGGGGCCATCCCAGGAAAAGAGAACTACATGTGTAAAGGTCACTTTAAAACATATTTAAAAGAAGAGTATCCTACCTCCCAGGAGAAAAAAAAAAGAGAAACAAAAAGGATTGTCAGAACTATGATGTCTCTTTTAAGAAGAGTGTAGCTGAGTAAAAAGTTCAAGGGGAATATGAAAAGAAATGGAGATACACAGGCAATACACAGTATGCAGAAGAAAAACAGATAAAAGTTGGAAAAATATGACCATATTCATAAAATTCTGAACTTATCACTTCAAGAAAATTTAGAAATTGCAGAAAGTATTGTTTACAGTAAGAAATATAATTGTGTTATATAATCATTTTGTTTTAAGATAAGTTGAAGATACAAGATTTTTTAAAGTATTAAAGCTCCCAAATATTTGCCTAACAGTTCTCTAAGTATGTTCTATACAATATTTGTCATATAATATGATTTATGAAAAAAATATATCTCTGGTCAAATACTTTTGAGGGAAAAAAAGTGCATTTATGTCCTCAGCTCTAAATGATTCACAGTGCTCATCAGCAGATTAAAAAATAAAGTGCTACAATAAACATATTTAGTTTTTTATCAACAAACTTATGTATGCCACATTTTTGCATGTCAAACCTCTTAATACCCTTACCAAGTATTATTTTATAGAGCATCTTCTCCAAAACTAAAACATCACAAATCAAATGTACTTGAGGTACTCACTTCATAATTTTACGAAGGTAGCAATTCAGTGCTATTTGTAGAACTAAACAAGATGTTAAAAAGAAAAAGAAGATAAAATATCACCTTAAGGTTAGGCAGGATCCTTATTACTTGAGATTTTGACATTGCTAAGATAATATCATTCTTAGTTTACTAGTACATCAGGGGCCACAGAAGATAAAGGGAACATAGTGGCATACAGTTGCATAGGTGCTAGGGAAGACGAGTTAGATGTGGATTCGACTGCCTATGAACACATATACAAACTCATCTTCAAATATATGTGTGCAACAAGCAAAATTAATAGCTGGTATACAGACAAGCTATTATTTCTTTTTAAGGAAAAAAATCACTGGAAGTGTGTTTATTTGAAGCAATCAACAGATTTGTTTTGAATGTTGGCAATACATATGAAGTATAAAGAAATAATATATTATTTTATCTTCTCATTAATACATCTATAAAGGTAATTTAAAAATTGTTATATTATTTGAAAAAAACACAGGCATTATTGGTAAGGAATCAAGGTATTGTCCTTTTTGTTTTGAAAGTTCCGCTTTGGCAAACTTCCAGGAAGACTGAAATTATATTTGGTACAAAAGATTTTAAACATTAATAACTATTTTGAGGAGAAAAAAATTTACTATGCTCTTCTAAGACTTTTCAGCTATTAAAATAATCAATCATAAATCAAAGTGCCCATTTACTATGAATCAAAGTATTCTACTATTCTTTTCTCAAGTTTCTCATTTATGGAAATAAAGATAAGGAATAAACTAATATGTCTGAGGATTTTCTATCATTAAGTGCTACAAGAGAAATAGTTTCAGCAAGGACTATGTATAAATACTTCAGATTAAACAAAATGAGAAATTTAAAATAATCACATTAGCAACTAAGAGAAACAGAATCAACTAAACAAATCCATTTCTTAAATACCGCAGATAAAAATGAATTGTTTGGGATATTATTGAAACTGTAAGAGGAACTAACTAGTTCCTTCTTTTTTTTCTCAGCTCTCATCATTTTATTTTCTTTACAGACCCTGATGTTGGACTGAATTTTATTTGCTTTACTAATCATGGATATTATATGGATCATGTTCTGTCTTAGAACATGAGCCTTTCTATATTTGTAAGTTTCTTGCTAACATGTCATGCAATGTAAAACCTATGGGACTTTGGGATCTTAATTTAAGCCTGTGGTGCTAAAGATGCAGCTGTTCTTTTGCAATTAATTCCAGCTATTAAAGCCATAGTAAATTTAAAAATATAAATCCATTTTTTACTGTTTTTCATTGTATTTAAATATACAACAGTTAGAATTAAATAGTATTAGCATTTTCGTTAACTTGCTAAGACTATATTTTAAAGAGAAGGCAGATACTTAGGATACAGCTTTCATGAAAAATGTAAATCTAATTACAGGTTATGCATATAACTGAGTTTCAACATAACATGTTTCCAGAAAAAAAAAAAAAAGCCTACTTATAGTTAACTATATTGCAGAAACTGGAGAGTTAACGATGTGCTAGTTCACTTTTAAAAATTCACTTGGCAGCAAAGTTCAAACATAAACAATTGGATTTTGTAAATAAAATATTTTGACAATTATAATTTTTCCTAAGTAAACTCAAAAAATAAAAATGTGCCATTGTTTTCTCACCTTATTTGAAATATGATACATACAATGATAACACTAGTTTCATGTTTTTTGCTACAGTTCTCAAGATGACATTTTAGGATAAGATAAATCTTTTATTTCTACATAAAGTGCTATGTTAAACAATGTTCTTCATAGTTGTTTTTTCTCCTAATTGAGGATCAATCAAGGATCATAAATCATATTTCTTTCAATGTCTGTTTGTTTTCCTTTAGTCTCCTACCAGCAATGTGTTAAGAGGATTCTTTTCCACATAGGTTCTCCACACAGCACTTAACAAACACATACTTTATAATTTCTGTAGATCCAAAACAAAGGGAGAAAGCGACGATGAAACTGGGGAAACTTGCAACATATGTAATAAATGTTAGATTGAATCTAGTATTTATTCCTTAATATATGAAATGTTTTTAAAAATCCTTAAGAAAAAGGTAAACATCAACCCCAAAAGAAAATGAGCTAGGTATATGAACAATTTCACTGAATCTCACGCACACACCCACATGCACACATACCCTGGCACAATCACACCAAAGGAAGAATGAAAGCCAAAGGAAGTGGAAGAAGGGAAAGGACTGGGAAAAGACTAATGTAATCATCCAATGCAAAAATATTCATTTTCAATTGTATTAAAAAATCAAACCAAACTTCCATCAAATATCACCATATAGCTCTGATTGGCAAATAATTATAAAAGTTTGGGATGGAAATGTAGGAATGGATACTCTAGTACAATTCTATTGGAATGGTAAGTTAGCATGCTCTTTCTAGAGGGCAACTTAGCAATTAAGTACCAAACGTTTTTTGACCCAGTAATCATTTTTTTTTAAAAATTAAAATTCACAAGCAAACAATTAGAAAAGTATACAGTTGGAAATACTGAGTTATTCATAACTATTTTTTCTAATAGCAAAAAATATAAAAATTAAACTTAGGGTTCAACATCCAGAGGTTAGCTAAATAAACTGATTCATCATGATAAACCAAAATTAAATTTATAACGTAGCCCTTTACTTATCAGCATGGAAAGAGGTTCATGATGAATGAAATGAAAAAATTTACATAACAGAACAACAGGCACAAACCGAAAAATGAAGTGCCCTGGTATGTTTGGTGCTTCTTTAACAACATCTCTTAAATATTTGCTCAATGTTTAATAATGTAAAGAAAAGCTGATTTTTCTTTAATAAAATCATAAATCTCTCTTTATACTCAAAATATGACATTGTAAAACATGACATTTTCTGAATCAAAACTTCCTAGAAGGTATATATACCATTTAAAATTTAGATAAAAGTATAAGTCATTCATAATTTATAAATAGCACCCTATCAAGTACCATTCGCTTGTAGAATTTCAACTGGCTTTTCTGATGTCAAGTAAAAACCAATGAGCCACATGGTCCACAACACAGCCTACAACTTTACTATGTAGCGTACATCTGGACACCATAAAATTATTCAACAGATGGTTTTTCCCATGAAATGTATACTTAACGTGTCTATTTCAGCAATGGGACCACTTTGTATTTTCAATATACACACTTTTAATATGTAAATATAGAAACCTCAATTAATCAAATTTCCAATATATTTAGCATATTAAAAGTACATGTAGCTCAAGAGAGTAAAGGTATTTCAACATCCTTATCTCTTCCCTTTTTGTCTCAAAACCTGAGAAAGCTATCTCATTAGAACAAAACCTATAAAAACATTCCTAAATAAGAAAGATGGGTGTTCTGCTAAAGCAGGTAGTCCTCTGTTATATGAGCCTCCCTTTTGATCTAGAGAACACCTATATTATGCTTTTGTAAAATCTTACCTATGCTATACATTATTTATTGAATTATTTCACTTCCCTTCAGGTCAGTGACCTTGTATGACTTTTTACTGTGATATCTTCAGTGCTTTGAAGTATGCCCAATACACAGTAGGTGTCCAATACGTAACTGCTGAATGAACAAACGACAGTAAGTTAAAAAAAAAAAATGGCACCAAACTCACAGAAAACAAGCTAGTTCATGCTCTTACAAAATATAACTGAGAGAGGGTTTCTAGAGGAAGAGATAGGGTGGTTCTTTGAAATGTGTGTACAAAGGGAAAAGGGAATTAATTTTTTGCACTCTCTCTTCCTTAACTTGTGCTAAGTAAGCAGAGGGCATGGGCCTTTGATCTCAGGTGGTGGCAGTGACGGCAGAAATTTTGTCTTGAGCTAGCTAGCCATACTCAGGTAAAACAGATGAGTTAAAAGCATACCAGAGAGAGGCCTGTAGTAAATCACATTCAGATAGGTAAAAAATGAGCTCAAATATAAAAATAAACACAGAACCAAAACATTATTACATATGTAAAGGAAGCAACATGAACGCTGCACAATGTTTACCTATTTATAATTTTTGAATGAGCTAAACGGTAAATTGAAGATGGCTGATATGGTTTGGTACTGTGGCCCGACCCAAATCTCACCTCGAATTATAAACCCCATGTGTCAGAGGAGGGACCTCATGGGAGGTGCTTGGATCATGGGGGCAGTTTCCCCCATGCTGTTCTGACAGTGGAGTTCTTGTGAGATCTGGTTGTTTTCTAAGTGTGTGGCTCTTCCCACTTCTCTCTCTCTCCTGTCACCATGTAAAGATGTGCCTTGCTTCCCTTTAGCCTCCCACCATGACTGTAAGTTTCCGGAAGTCTCCCCAGCCATGTGGAACTGTGAGTCAATTAAACCGATTTTTTAATAAATTACCCAGTCTCAGGTAGTTGTTTATAGCAGTGTGAAAATGCACTAACACAACACCTTTCCTTGATTTACTTCTACCAAACACAGTCCCATTTTATTAAAATAATACACATAATACACACATATATGCCTGATAATATATACACTATGTAGGAAAATGTTAAAATTATCTCTGAATGGTATGATCTAATTTTTCTTATTTTTGCTAAGCTGCATTTAAAAATATTCCTATTATAATCATGTGTTACTTGAGATTCATTAACACATGTTAACAAATAAAACGGTAACACTGTAAATAATTAAAACATAGTGTTTGAAATATTTTATTCCATTTTGTAATTTACAACCCATTTAGAAAAACAGGATTGAAATTTAAACAGCCTTTAACAAATCTCATTTTCCTTATTTCATTTGTATTAAAATATTTAGAAACCTTAAAAATGATACATTTAGTGAAATTTAAAGAAATTAATTTAAAAACCAGTTGTACATAAAAATAGATGCTTATCTAAAACACTAGTATTACCAAATATTACAACCAAATAGCACCATCAGTTAAAAATATGTTAAAAGAGACAGAATATAGTAATTAGAGCCTTCTAATAATGCAATGTTACTTATCATGTCTTAGAAAATAAATCTCATTCTTAGGCCCATGCTAAATTACCAACACTTGTTAAACTATTCTTTCTTTAGCTACAGGTATTTTCCCAAGTTAAGAATTTATAGAATTTTAAAATTAGGCTAGGTAATCTTCCAGGGCGTAAAATTACTCCAGCATACCTTAGTGGTATTGCTTGGATCTGGAGTTAATAAAGAGAAGTAAATTCAACCCTAGTAAGACACTAAGACAAACTTGGGGAACAGATTTGCTTCAGGAAGCTCAAAATCTTTTCATGCTTAGTCAAAGTAAGGCCACATTGCCAGAGTAAAAGAGTAAAATCATAGTCTTCTTCTTTCATGAGTGTTGTCTTCGCCAATCAAGAAAATCTTAATCAGTGCAGACCTTAAATCTGAATGGCCTCTGCAGATAGAAAGACCAACAACTGTTCTTTTTTTTTGAGATGGAGTTTAACTCTTTGTTACCCAGGCTGGAGTGCAGTGGCATGAACTCGGCTCACTGCAACCTCTGCCTCTCGGGTTCAAGGGATTCTCCTGTATCAGCCTCCCAAGTAGCTGGGACTACAGGCACCTGCCACCACGCCCAGCTAATTTTTGTATTTTTAGTAGAGACGGGGATTCATCATGTTGGCCAGGCTGGTCTCAAACTCCTGACCTCAGGTGATCCACCCGCCTCTGCCTCCCAAAGTGCTGGGATTACAGGCATGAGCCACCGCGCCAGGCCAACAACTGTTCTTTAAGGACTATCAACACATGATTGGTATCAGATATTTGATACCAAATAAAATAAAATTCCAGAATGATTTTATTTAATCATTCAATAGTTATTTGAAATTTCCTGAATTTAATTTTCACAGTTAAATCCAAACCATATTATTTTATTTTTAAACTGGATTGTATCCTGGTTGCTATGTGCTAAGGTGAACAGCAGCAGAAATGTAAAATTCCTCAAGTACTAATTTATCATAAATTAGCATTTGTTTTATGCTATAACAAACAAGCACTTAGCACAATTCTCGAACATTAAGAAATCCACTTAACGCTCAGATAAAGGGCACACCTACTTAATTGGGATGATTGCTAAAGCATACTGCAGTGTAATACATTCAACTCATTGTAAAAAAAAAAAATAATGTCAAAACTAGGTTTTAAATGGCATGGCTGATTTCTGAAAATCTTATCATAGTAGTTTATAGATGAGAATTGATAATTGAGGCATGTTTCCTGCTAGCAGTCGATAAAGCTGCTACTTTATATATTAATGTGGCCAAACAAATCCATCCCAGCTTTGTTGAGGGTTTTATAAAGAGTGTTTTTTATGAAGTTGTCCAAAACAAATTTTGAAAGTCAGTAAAATAGATGCTGAAAAAGTTTTGATTAATCAGTATATTTCATTATTTTTATTGTGTTTCATGAATTCTACCCTTTGGAAACAGATATTTTCAAATAGCCTTAGTTTACTTCATATAAAATCACTGTGTTCTTTAGTTTGTTAGATCAAGTAAGTATCTAAATAATCATGCAACAGACTGAGCAAGAGTACAAGTTTCCTACTGTTTTTCCACCTTACTATAGCCATGTGTTCATCATGTTAACCTTTACACCAGAAAATCCATAAACAAAATCAAAACATAAATGTGTATGACTTTAATTATAAATTCATCTTAAAAAACCACTCAAAACATCCTTGATAAATATCCACTCCTTTCACCAAAACAAAAACATACAACAAAAACAAAAACAAAACAAAACAAAAAAACAGGCTGCTGAAAAGAATAAACAAATTCTGTCCTAAACAAGACCATAAGAGTTATATCAATAGAAGAGGAAAAAAAGCAAAAGCTTCTAGTAAAAAAAGTGATCTCTAAAGTTTTTCTATTACTTACAAAGAAACCATGTATTATATTTGAGAGTTCTGCACTTTTTGAATAGACATAGCAACTGCTGTTGTTCATACTACTTTCATTACTAACACATTAGTTTATTAATAACTAATATGGCACTGATTGCAAGAGATAAGGTTATTGATTTCTCCCTCAAAGATGAATACACCATTCTTGTATTAACTTCTTTATAACATTTTTGATTTTTTAGATTGAGCATAAAGTAAAATGTTCTTATAGAATTAGGATATAATTTTCCTAAGTGTTGTAAAAAATAGTTTGGTATTTCTTGAAAAGTGAAAGAGTAAGTATGTTCTTGCTTTCAGTAGCTTCTTGAAGAAAGAAAAGGAACTGGGATTGAGGTCACAAATTTCTATAAATATTCATGATATTGAATAATAATGTTTATAATTAGGAAGGCTCTAATTGATGATTTTATGTAGGAATAGAACAACCCTATATCCTACGATTTGATAAATACCAACATTAAACCAAGAGAAATTTTTCACATGTACATACACACACACACACACACACACCATTTATCCGCATACACTTAAGCATACTTCACACTAGACAATGTAAACATTATACACACTTAAGCACACATAGCATATTCCATGTAATGGAAAGAACTGTCATAGAGTTGATGAAAACTATAAGGCAATAAAGGATTAGTAGAGTATTCTGTGCTTAAAAATCACTTGTATTTCATACAAAACAGAAGAACCCTAAAAATTTAATTAATAAATAAATGGAGTAACATATGATTTTAAAAAATCTTTATATTTTAAAAATGAATTTTAAATTTTAAAATAAAAGAAAAAATTTAATAGAAGTGTATATGTTTAAATATATGAAAGATGAATAGATAAGCAAACTAGCCCATCTAGGATAAAATGAACTTGTAGTAAATATTAAATAAAGGAAAGAAAAAAAGCAAAGAGAGTTAAAATTAAATTGAATGTGGCAAAGAATATGTCTAAGGTGGCTTGCTAACTGCAGTAGTGTTTCTCTACCTTGAAAGAATTTCACCTCTTTCAAAGTAAGACATCTCAAGAAACAATTCATACAGAATATCGCCTTATATTAGGCTGGTTCTTCAAAGATGAGTACATTTTTAGATATTTGTAGATGTATTTTTTAAGAGAATAGTAAGCAGAAAGCCTGAAATACTACATTAATGTGTGTGAGTTTAATGCTAGACAATGAAAGAAATGTTTTAAACCAGAGTATGGAATAATCACAGTTATATAGGATACATGGAGGAATGAGATTGGTGATAAGATTATGAAATATTGAATATCCTAAGTAAGACTCATTGAAAATGAGAGTAGTGGTAGTGGGAGTGAAAAGATTGAAATACATTTTAAAGATAAAATTGTCAAAAGTTAGCAATTAAGTATGAGAAGCAATGAAAAGGAAGATTAAAAGTTACCTCCAAAGTTCTCAAGCTTCATGATTAGATCATTGTAATGCGATTGACAGAGCAAGACAGAAGAGAGATTTTATAGATAAAATTTATAAAATTTACAATGTGCCTAGGTTTAATTAGGCACACTGCACATTTGATACATTCTCTAGATGTAAAGATGGAGGAGACATTGTTTTAGTGCTGGCAGTTGAAGGCTTTTATTCATGCATATGGGGTTTTTTCTTGAGACAGTGTTTTGCTCTTATTACCTAGGCTGGAGTGCAATGGCATGATCTGGGCTCACTGCAACCTCTGCCTCCTGGGTTCAAGTGATTCTCCTGCCTCAGCCTCCTGAGTAGCTGAGATTACAGGCATATGCCACCAGGCCCATCTAATTTTGTCTTTTTAGTAGAGATGGGGTTTCACCATGTTGGTTAGGTTGGTCTCAAACTCCTGACCTCGGGTGATATGCCCGCCTCAGCCTCCCAAAGTGTCGGGATTATAGGCATGAGCCACCGCGCCTGGCCAATATGGTCTTTCATTCAGAGTACACAGTACAGACATAAGAGAATAGAGTCAAGGCTAGATCTTGAGAAAACATGTACCAATAGAAGGCAGGAAAAATATTGGAGAAATGGAAAAAAGGGGACTTCAGAAATACTCACTGAAAGAAGAGGAATACAGGAAAAATACATCATTTTGGCTTTACGGTGGATTCATTAAGTCATTATTTATTTTATTGACTTCCTTCTATACAGCACACACAAGAAATATAAGCTAAGCACATAATGGCCCCTGCCTTCAAGTAGCTCATGATCCATTTATAATCTAGTTAGCCTCCCTCAGTGGTCTTGGTTATTGTTTATAGAATGTTAAACGGTAAAACAATAGAAGATAAAACTATCTATTGTTTCCAAACATAATGTCCTGGGTACAAATAAACTTCAGAAGGGTCTGGGTTAATAAGTAATAATAAACAACATGCATAAAATAAAAGGGGAAGATTAAAATGAAATTCTTGATAAAGGAAACTTAAAAGTTGCAAAGGTCAAGGATACATACTCTCTTTTAAAAGGCTCCCACATACTTTGTAGAGAGAAAATGAGAAGTACTGAGGGTTGGGGATGGTGGATGGCATTAAAAGACAAATAAAGATTATGGAGAAGGTGAAAAAATCTAAACGAAGAGTCATGGTAGAGAAAGTGTTTCACTGCTTTATCTGAACAACATTAACAACAAACTAAAGGCAAAATGGGCATGTGGACAAAAGGCTTTAAACACTGTAGTTCATCACAAAAACTTTTTGGTTTCTCCTCTTCACTCAAACATAAAATTAAAGACTACCTGTCAGAGTTATTATAAATCTATTTTATATTTTCATTAATAAGATGGTAAAAATTTAGATAAAATTACATTTTTAAAATTAACATAATATTCAAATAATATTTCTCATTGGTGGATAATGATAAATGGACAAACCAGACTGGTTACTGTTGGTTTAACAATTCAATAAACAGATTATTTAAGAAAATCTTTCCAAAGTAAACAAGTCGAAAAGTAATTACCATACTATGCTGCAAATACACATTCAGTTAACTGTACTGTGTCCTCCATAAGAACGTAGCCCCATGAAACTACCATTTAGCACAGTATCTGGCACATTTGAGATGATCGATATTGTTGAATAATTGGGAAAATTCTTTTTAAGGTTCACTTTTATCTTCTAACAAAATGGTTGCTAATACATACAAGGCTGTGCAACAGGCATGGCTAAGTTCCCCACATGTACATGAGGTCAAATTAATATTTTTTATACTAAAAAAAATTATTTCAGATTATTTGATGAAGTAGTTAAATATACTAACATAGAGAAAAAATACCTATTTGAATATTTTTCATATTAACCTAAAATTCAATCAATAGCCAAAACATACAATGCATCTATTCTCATTATATCGTTAAACACTCCTTAGATTTTAGTTTAATCATCTAAAAATTTGCAGATAGGGTATTAATTTAAAGAAGAGCTTCCTGGCCGGGCGCGGTGACTCATGCCTGTAATCCCAGCACTATGGGAGGCTGAGGCGGGCAGATCACAAGGTCATCCTGGCCAACATGGTGAAACCCTGTCTCTACTAAAAATACAAAAATTAGCTGGGCGTGGTGGTGCATGCCTGCAGTCCCAGCTACTCGGGAGGCTGAGGCAGGAGAATCGCTTGAACCTGGGAGGCAGAGGTTGCACTAAGCCGAGATAGCGCCACTGCACTCCAGCCTGGTGACAGAGTGAGACTGTGTCTCAAAAGAAAAAAAAAAAGAAGAGTTTCCCAAAGTTTTAAGGTGTGTTGGGTAGGCAGGGAGACGAAGAGTGGGAGGGAGAGAGGAAATTGAGATTTTGATTGAAAGACCCTTTCATAGTCTAGGTAGTCTAGTAAATACTGACCGAAATATCATTAAACAAAAGTGTTTATTGACCCTCTGAACATTTAGTACAATAATATACATCATGGATTCTTGGGAAAACTATTATGTTAAGCATTTTTCAAATTTCAAACTTGCTAAACTAGATAGAACACTTTTTCATGGAAGATTTCATTCCAACTATGATTCCACAGACCATATTCTGGGAAATACTGCTATATAATGTAAAGAAACCTTTAAAAAGAATACATTAATGCTTGAATAAGAGTATATATTTTGCTTTAAATCTGTCTCACTGAAAAGCTATATATTTATTCCTGAATTACTCAAAAATATTTAATTAAGACTTCTTTTAAACTGCTTTTAAAATCAAGTTTATGAGCTAAGCAAAACTGGTCCTATTACTTGAATTGTTGAAGAATGCTTTTCATACTTTTTCACATTAGTACTTCTAACTACAAAGGAGTAAGTAAAACTTGGGATAAGGGAGGTGATTCTGAGGGAATAGTTTAAAGCAGGGGTCAGTCAACTAAAGGCTGCAGGCCAAATACAACTCACCACCTGTTTTTGTGAATACAGTTTTATTAAAACACAACCACACACATTTCTAGTTAGCTTCAACAATTGTAATATAATATTAAAACATCTGTGACTTCAATTAAACTCTTAAATTGCAATGTTTTAAATTATGTAATGTTAATTACAAAAAAGACACTAGTCAAACCATCTCATTGCTTGAATATATTACCCACACTAAAAGCTTTAGATATTATAAATAGTTGTAGTATGCACGCAAAGATTATGACATAATAATAAATAAATTTTGCAATAGCAAATTAGTTCTTCAAATTGTGGCTTCACTGGCTATACATGTGGCATAATTTGAAAAGTAGAAAAATATATGCAAATATTATAAAACTTTACTTGAAGTGCTACAAAACGCACAACTTCCAATTTACATATCATAAGAGGTAATCAATACATTTTTAAATATAGTCACCTCATGTTCAAGAGAACTATAATATAAAAGGATCTATTGTTTCTCCTTTCAGGTTACTGTTACCTGCAATTAATTTTCAAGTGTATAAAAAATACTTTTTAAATGTCTTAATATTAAATGTCTACTGCCTTCAACATCTAGAAATGTATATACATACTTTGCCAACTGCTAAACATTATAGATTGGTGTAAACTTTTCATCCACAAAACCATTAAAAGACATTGGGAAATTTACAACAATGCTTTATGCACTTTGCCTTCTATATTTTAACAATTAACACAAAATGATCCTATAATGTTCTTATAAAAGCGATTCAGCATTTAGCAGAAAGGGCATTTTATTATTTTGTTTTAAAATGAATGTAATAGGCTCAAATTAATTCTGTAAGCTTGAATGAAAGATATTCAATTTATGGATTTTCATTAAATTTCTTAGAAAAATTATGCAAAATTAGTAATTTTCTAGAAATAAGAGTATGAAAAAGATATGTCTGAAATGCTACAACTGGCATTACATGCAATGCTTTGAAATTAAGTAGGGATACCTGATAAACAATTGGCAATATGTTAAAAAATTATTAACATAATTAAAATAATCTGATTTTCTAAATCATCTGGAAGTATGCAAGAGAAAATCTGCTGTCATGGAAACAGTTGTGCAAATGGCAATAAATCCAGAAGAAAATGTCAGTGCTTCTGAACAATGAATGAATATAAAATAAATGCTACTTATAAAATTTTTAAAAATACAATGAAAGAAAGTACAATATTTTAAAAATGTTTTAAAATTCTAAATTACCTCCTGTAAATTTTATTTAATAAAAAAACAGATAAAAATACTGATAAATATTAATACTAAAACAAATGAAAAGTATTCTCAACCGAACATTAATTGGGAACTAGAAATGAAACTATTATTAAAAGTAACTTTAATTTCACCAGCTATTGTTCTAAAAATTACAAATCCAAACAAATTATGTGTAATATGCTAATACTATTTATACTTTAAAAATACACAATAGGTAGCATTTGCACATAGTAACTCTTTTCGAATAGCTAACATTCATTAATAAAATAGTGTATTATAATATTGTTGCATTGCTTTTAGCCAAGTTATTTTAATAATTTATGAATGTAACATTCAAAAAGAGAATTAAATGTTAAAAGATATCTCTAAGTTAATATGAATGTCAATAACTTATTTTTAAAGTGCAAGAAAATTGTTTTACATTTGAAAGTTCATGGAATCAGGATTGATCACATTTAACATTAGATAAATACTTAACCAAATTATATCAAAATCATATAGTTAAAAATTTATGTCAATGTAAGTATAGGCACAATATATAGATTTGACTCTCACATTATCTTTTATCTTGTCATTTTTAAAAAAGCTTCAGACAAAAAAATCAACTCTATTAAATGTATCTACCATCCATGTGTACCTCCTATCCTTGAGGAAAAACTGATCTACATGTTCATAGTTATGGTAAATCTGTATTCTCACAGAATACCAAATATTAATATGAATGTTAATATTTCATATAATTATAACAAAGTGTTCAGATTAAAGGGAGGAATGGAATTCCTCAACATAGAGGCATTAACTTGTTAATATAATATAAAGATGTTAAACATTTTAAAATAAGACATTACATATTTTTAAGTACGTAATGCTTAAGGTTCATTCTTCTCAGTAAAGGAATGTGTGCAGTTCTTCAGACAGTTGACAGAAGTAGTACTTTGCCTTTTTCTCCTCCTAAAGGAACACTGGATCAAATTCAAACTGCCAGAGAAATATATAAACTGGTATTATACCAGTACGGCCTTGCTACATAAAAACAGCCTTGATTTATTTCATTTTTTCTTCAAAGTTTAAATATTTCAAATGAGCTTTTACTGATGAAAATGTATTCCTTTAATTAAAAATACATATGAATTGAGACAAACACACTAAAAACTATATACATTTGTTTTATATATCAATTTGCTATTATATTTGTCCTTACCTTCAAAGTAAACCCACATCCCAATAGTATATTTCTTTCATTTTCTTCTATCATTCTACCTACCTTAATATACAATTTCATTATTTTAATATTTATCTTTTTACCTACATCTAATAACTTTCCTGCTTTATCTTATCCACTATATACTTATTCTTTCTTCCAGTGTCTCTACAAACTTCTAAAGTGTAGTCCAAAAATGGCCAACAAAGAACAAAAGTGGACAATAATTATGACATTTACTATATTGAACCATGAAAACTATTTCAAGAGAAATTCTCATTTTATTCCTTATTCCATTATTAGGTTGATTACTTTTGAAAATTCGCAGGTTCACAGGGCCTCTGTTTAGGGTTCCAGTTAACAATGACTGTAATGTGTAACCTGGAATTGTGCAATATGATTGCTCTGAGCTTGTATTTATATAAAGAAAAAAAATTACCTAAGTTTAAAATTTTCAAAAATGGGTTCTATACAGGAAATTTTCTAAAACACTTATTATATGTGCATTACTCAAAGTTGATAACAATTGCACAATATAAACTTTATTTTCTTACATTCACTAGTAGTCGTCAATTGTCAGGCACATAATACATACTATACTAATCAATTTGTTCATAATATATGCAAACAGAGACTCCAAATACTTTGTTTAATAAAAGACCAGACTCAAAGATTACTGTGCAAACTTTTAACTTACAAAACTTATCAGTATCTATAGTCTATCATGGTTACTTTACATTTTTACAAAAATACAAGATTTTGGACATGTATCCTATGCCTACTAAAAAGCATGGTAAAGAAAAAGGATGAAAGGAAAAGCAAGTACTGGTTACGTTATTGACTTTTCAACTACAATTATTGTATTACTTTATCTGTAAAGAAAAATAGATCATAGTGATCTACGCTTGAAATATTTTAGAATGCCTATACATTTCCATTCTTACATTCATACATTTCTACAAATTATGTTATTTGCTATTTTAACACTTACTGAGGTATGTATACATGTATACATAAAAAAGTACAAAATCATAAGTGTATATCTTAAATTTTCAAGAACACAAACGTATGTTCAACTTTATAGGATGCTCCAAAATGATTAGTTTCTAAAGTTATTTTATCCACTTCCAATCCTTCCACCTGTTTATGAGAGTTAATCCACATTCTTGCCAACAAAGTATTGTCAGTCTTTTTCACTTTAGTTATTCAGGTGGATGAACAGTGGTATCATGTTATGGTTTTAATCTGCATTTCCCTAATGAATAATATATTTGTAACGGTATTGAGTGTTTATCGGCCATTAGGATATCCTCTTTTGTGAAATTCCTGTTCAGTTGTTTGGCCAATTTTTTATTGGGTTATATTTTTTCCTTATTGATTTGAAGGCATTCTATGCATACTGTATTGCAAGTATATGCTCTCACTTTGTGACTTGTCTATTCACTGTTAATGGTGTCTTGATGAGCAGAAGTTCTGGATTTTCATGTGGCCCAATTTATTGTTTTTTTTCCCCTTTATGGTTAGAGCTTTTATGTACCACTTTAATGTTTGCCTAATTTAAGATCATAAAGATATTCTATGTGGTTTTTCTTTTCCCCAACAGCTATGTTTTCTTTCCATTGGCATTTAGATCTGCAATCCATCTGTGACTGATTTTTGAGAACAGTGTCAGGTAGGAGCCAAGATACAAATTTGTTTACATATTTCCTATTTGGCTACTCAATTAACTCAGACTATGCTTTCACAACTACAGTATAAGGTAACATTTGGCCTAAAGGAACTGACTATATATATTTTTGTTTGTATTTAGGCTCTATTGAACAGTGTTTTTTCTTTCCATTGGTCTACTTATTTATCCTTGCAGCAACAGCACACTGTCTCAATGGGACTTTGTAATGTAAATCATCTAGCTGTGGTTGTCTTTAATTATGTGTTAAAGAAATGAAGAAGAATAAAGTCCAAATTCCTTATTATGGCCTACAATGGCCTTCATGTTCTGGCCACTGCCTAGCTCTCTGACTTTGCCTCTTTTTTTTTTTTTTTTGGAGATGGAGTCTCGCTCTGTTGCCCAGGCTAAAGTGCAGTGGCACGATCTTGGCTCACTGCAACCTCCACCTTCCAGGTTCAAGCGATTCTCCTGCCTCAGCCTTCCGAGTAGCTGGGACTACAGGTATGTGCCACCATGCCCGACTAATTTTTTGTATTTTTAGTAGAGACGGGGTTTCACTGTGTTAGCCAGGATAGCCTCGATCTCCTGACCTTGTGATCCGCCTGCCTCGGCCTCCCAAAATGCTGGGATTACAGGTGTGAGCCACCACACCCAGCCAACTTTGCCTCTTAATACTCTTCCCTTGCTCATTCTGCTGCTGCTACACCAGCCTTCTTGAAGTACCTGGCTCTTTTTGCTAGAATGCTCTTTTCCACCTAACACCATGACTTATTTCCTCACAAAATACCGCTCCTCGGACAGGCCTTTACTGACCAATCTGCCTACAAAGCTTCTTTTCCTCCTGAAATAATGCTAGTAATTGCTTGCTTATTACTTTTCTTGGCCACTAGAATGTAAACTGATAGAGGCAGGAACTTTCACAGATTCTGTTTTACTGTTTTATTTCAGGTACCTGAACATGTAATAAGAGTTCATTAAATATTTGTTGAAATAAGTATTAATTAAGAGAGTCTGTATAATATAGTAGATAGAATACAAACTATATGTTGAGAAGACTAAATGGACTATGTACTTTAAGAATGTTAAGATACTTTAACAATTTTATTAATTTTATTATAAATAACAATTTTGCCATTTGCCACTTTCCAGATAAAATTTAAAAATTAATCTTATCACAAACAGTAAATATCTGAAGAATATATCCATAAATGAATTATATATACCATGCCATGGCATAGTCATATGTAAATCACCATTTCCAACAAGGACATCCTTTGAACCACAAGAGGTTTACAAACTATCAGTTTCCTCTTCCTGAATTTCAGAATAAAGATAATATGAAATTGTTTTAAATTCTGAAGAAATATACTTGTTGGAAGAAGTATACAAAATCTGGGCTGGAAGCAGAATTGGAAAAACACCAACTATTCTGATGAAATGCAAACTACAAATGAGACTACAGTTAATTGGACTTCCAAATTTTAATCTCTATCATAAACATGATATAAGTACAGGTCCAATACTTTATTTATGCCATATAATTCATTTCAAAGGGAAGATAAATCATAGAGTTATTTTGTAATAAAATATTTAAGGATATTATATTATCCTTAAATGTCCCTGTTCAAGATGAAGAAAGTATTTTAAATATAAATTGCTTACTCTACTTCTGAAAAAGTATTTCATTTTCACAAACACTGTGTTGGGATAATGAGTAATGTTTCTTTTCCATAGTTTTCTATGTTATCTAAGTTTTCTGTAGTTTAGTACACTTATATATAAATACAATAATTATGGTAAAAGCATTTTAAAAGTATTGCCATTATTATTATAAATTAGACCAAAGATATTAGCTTGTTTTACGTAGCCCTCTTTTATCAATAACACCTTATCACTTTAATGCTACGACAAATCATTTGAAATTTCACATTTCTTGCTTTAAAAAGTCTAAATCTTATTTTTAAGTTTCACTCTGAATTGACACATACTAATTGTACATATTAATGAGGTATAGTGTGATGCTTCAATACATATACACACTATATAAAAACCAAATGAGGGTATTTAGCATATCACTTCACACATTTATCATTTCTTTGTAGTGAGAATATTCGAAATCCTCTATTCCAGTTATTTTGAAATATACAATATTGTTAACCATAGTAACCCTATTCTGCAATAGAACACCAGAACTTATTCCTCATTTTAGTTTCAACTTTTATTTTAGATTCAGGGGGTACATATGCAGGTTTGTTACATGGCTATATTTGCATGACTCTGATGTTTGGGATACAAATGATCTCTAGTTTTTAAATTGTATTTGGCAATAAGGAACTATTACGACGATTTTTCATGTGTAAAATGTGATTACTAAATTATATACTTTTTCATTTTTGTTCCAAATCTAACATTCTATGGTACTATAGAGTTGCTTCAGAAGGAAATACCTGGGTTCAAAACTGAAATAATCTTTATCAAAATTTTGTACTGGATAAATTAACCTATAAAAAACATTTTCCCCTTTGAGATTCTATTTTAAATGGAAAACATTTACTCAAATCTCTTCTCGTGAAATTAGTATTTTTGAAATGTATTTCAAATTTATATTTCCTCCAATATAACTATATAATGTATAATTTTAGAAATATTTTGTCAATGCCTTTAATAATGATCTGACAATAATGTATTAAGTTACACTCACAAATGAAACAATCACAGTACAACCTGTGAACTAAACTGAGTTAGATTATTAAAGTTATTGGGAGGCACTGTGAGCAATGGGAAAGGTGAGTATGTACAGAGCAAGTGAGGATACACAGTAAGGGTATAATCACTGTAATGGCAAGATATGCATTAGAGAATCAACAGCACAAACTAAGAATAGGTAGAGTAGGGCCAGATTATAAAGGGCTTTGAAATTCATAAAAAGGATTCCGGATTTGATGTAGTGGTTCTTAGGTTAGTGATGCCATGTAAATTTGTTTTCGTAGAATTAGACTGTTAACACCTATGCAAAAGAAGTAGAAAAAACAAGGTAAAATAATTGAAAGAGAAACAGGAATCATAAGTAACTCTTGAAATGATAAACTAAAATAGAATGTATCTTCCTAACATGTACTTTGAATTGTTTTTTTGGTAATTATAATGGATTTGCATGACAATTTCTCTTCCTGTGTATTCTTTATAATCCTATGACTGGGAAAAACAAAAGCTGCATGACTTTGAGAGGACCAGATAATTAGTGAAAATATAAGAGAGAAAAATAAATTTTCTACAAGTAGAAGAAATTTTTTTCTTAATTTATATTCCTATCAGTGTGATCACAGAAAAAAGTTATGTTAAATAATGCAAGAAATAATGAAGAATGGGGTACATTTTCTGTTGATATACACGTGCAGTTGGTTTGCATTATTCAAGGTAGTTATGATCTATTAAGTTGCCACAAACACTGAATTAACAAATAGTGAACATTATTTCTAGGGGAAATACAGGGTTAGGTCCCTATGAACTTCTGGTTACATTTAAAAACACCTTATTTAACATATATTGTTGATACATTAACATTTAACTCATGGCCAACGGCCTTGTAAATATGCCTGTGTGAGGATCACCTAATTCATGTAAAGTTGACCTTTCAATAACATATTTAAACTGAATAGATTCACTTATGGTGCATTTCTTTCTACATAAACACAGATGAAAACACAGTATTCACAGGATGCAAAACCCATATATGGAGGGCCAGCTATTCCTACATGCAGGCTCCCCAGGGTGGACTGGGGGACTTCAGTATGCTTAGATTTTGGTATCCACGAAGGTGCTGAAACCAATCCCTGATGTATACTGAGAAATTACTATATTTTCTCCATAGGGCACATCATTTCCTTCTGGCACTTAGAAACACCAATTTAGACAGCACTTCAGCACTGCACTTGGGGGCCATTTTAAGCAACGAAGTCAACAACAAAAAGCACAAAATTAAGCCGTGGCACTAATAAACTGAAAAGGACACTTGTCAAAACAAGATGGCAGGACATCGCATTGCCGGACCTAAGCTATGAAAATATGTCAGGTGACTCAAATTCTTTTTATCACTATGCACATGCTTGTTAATGATTGCAAAGCACTTGTGAGTACTAATTTTGGGGTTTTAAATAAATTTTAGTGAGGGGACAAATTTGCAATTATGGAATCCAAGAATAATGAAGATCGACTGAATTTAATGGAATGAGACTTACATGGCCAGAGTTTTAATTCTCATTTTAAAAATAATTAGCTAGATAATCAGGACCAAGGCACAAAATTTCTTATCTGAAAAACTGAAATGCTATATAAGTTTATCAACTTTTCTAGCTCAAACACTGTATAACGCCATAATGTACAACTCTTAATCCCCTGTCATCCAATCCTCAAGCATATTTGACAATGTTGATGTTAGAGCTCTCTGGTAGAGAACACCAAAGTCTAACATCAGATTTGGTAAATTCTATCCATATCAAAAAATAAAATAAAAGTATGGTCCTAAAGTAGATTTGATAAATCAGTCAAAAATAATAACTTTCCAAAGAGTACAATTTGAAAATCAATGCTCATTTGAGGTAGTTCAGCATGACTATTTTAGGTCACAAGCAGAAAAGGTGTAAAGAAAAAGTGACATGCTTTGTAAATTTCCCAGCAGAATTAGGTTGAAAACTGACATGTTAATATATTTCATACCTTACAATGAGTTTACTGGACATATTACTCTAACAATACATGAAAATTATGCATTATCAGTAAACTCAAAGTAAAAATTCAAGTTAATTTAAAAAGTGACATGCAGTTTTAAAAAATTTTAGATCGTTTAATTGCTATTACAAAACAGAAAGAAACAAAACAGACTCACGAACTCTATTACAATATTGTTTGCCTTTGTGTTTTTTAACTGAGCATTAGGTTTTGTTTGTTTTTAAATGGTATGAGAAAACTAATAGACTGGTGCTTTTCCTTTTATAACAGATTTGTCTTTGTTTAGGATTTGGTTAATTGATCATCGTATAAATATATTTCATTCTTTGTAAACTTAGTTCTTAAAATTTACTCTTTATCTTTTTATTGTAAAAGATAAGTAATCAAAGATATAATAGTATGAAAATATCGAACAATTTAGTTGTAAAAGTAGATATGTTAGAACAGAGGTCAGCAAACTTTTCCTATTAATATATAGGTTCAGAAAGTAAATATTTTATGTTTTGCAGGCCAAGAGGTTAAATCAAGGGTATTATGTAGGAGTTTATACAAGAGAAAATAAATTTCTGCAATTTTTATATTGACAAAATTCAAATAATACTGCTACTAACAACCAAGAACAGCAAACAGATCTACTAAGGAGAAAGATGAAGTATAACATTTTCCTTAATTAGAGTTCAAAGTCAGTGTTCCTTATCATTAAATCTATTGCAATTGTTCACCTGTTAATACTGATCTAGAATGAAATCTTATGTATTTTATTTTTGAAAATGAAATGTCTTTCACAAGATAGTTACTGCCAAATATTGATATCAATATTCATATCAATGTGCATATAATATTTTAGGGTCATGTCCATCACTTGGGAGGCATCTATAGAATTATAATAGATTTTTCTCTTAATATTTGCTTTTAGCAGGCCATTATATTGCAGAGTAATCACTGTCAATTGAAGATTAGGCAGAAGCTCAACTGCACAGATAAATGGATTTTGAAATATGGAAATTTCTTTTGAACTGCACTGAGGTCTGAAATATGCTGCTGGAACTATAGTTTGAACTCATAAAATACATCTGCTGCAAATTTGTGTAGGGTTGGAGATTTTGTTTTAATTTTTGAGACAACAGGAAGTGTAACCTGTGATTCAAAAACTATTGTTAACATGACTTCACTGAAGTTTAAGTTTTGCAAGTAAATGCTGTTGGCCTGGTAACACTGGGTTGAATTCATTGTAAACGTTATCAAGTCTACACAAAAAGCTAATTTTCGTAGCCATTTAATGTTGATAAATGTGGGTTAGAGTCAGATTCGTTATTTTCATTCAGAAAAAAAAATCCATCTTGGTCTTAGCTACATTGCAATAGGCTTTATTATGGTTAAATTATTGAACTGCTATATAGTAGGGCAAGTCAGAATATTCATCTTCTATTTCTGACAAAAATTCACAGAACTGACACTCTGTGAAATTGAGTGAAGTTTACTATTGATACTACTGGTTCAATAACATGATAGACTCAAATATATTCCACAAGGTACTTGGTGAATAATATTACTATGAATAACCACAGATTTCACAAGTTTCATAAATTTCTGTAACTAATTACACAAATTATTATGCTCCTAATATCACAAATATTTTTGCCACCATTAGCTTCAACTCATCTCATTAGATTCTACTTCTAGTTGTCCTAAATTAGTGTTTTCTTAACTCAGCTGAAAATATTCTCATCCGTAGTTGTTCCAAGCAGACTATTCATAGAAGTTTTCCCTCAGTCACATTAGTTCTTTGAATAAACAACCTGGCATTAGCTCCTTCAGTAAAGTTTATTTTCTCTGGATAGGTTTTAACTTACTCACCACTGGGAAATGACTTTCCTTACTTGGCCAACAAATTAGTTACTCAGAAACTCACTGTGGTTGCAGCCTCATTTTTTATTTTTGTGAATAAGATGTTTTATTTAAAATGCTTCTGACCATTGCTTTCTCGTGTGTTGGTAATGCTGCAATGAGTGTGTAATCTGGTAATGTCAACATTTATTATTTTAGTGCAGCTATAGTGTTACTGCATAACACAATACTGTGCCACCTTATTTATAACAAAGTAATTCACACTGCATGGTTCCTTAAAACCATAACATTAGAAGCTCACATTCTCTTCTCTTCTTGTTTTGACATGATGAATATGTACTGCTAATAACACGTAAGTACAATTCCATGGTATGGCAAACATTGCCGAGACATTACAGTGTCACTAAGATTGAGAAGCAATGTAAAGTAGTAAGACCTCCATATGCGATCTCTGTTGCAACTACTCAACTGCCATTGTAATGTAAAAACAGTCATAAACAATCAGTATGGTTGTATACTAATACATTTTTATTTATGGGCAGAGAAATTTGAATTGCATATAATTTTCACATTCCTTGATATATCATTCTTTTTTTTTTCTTTTTTTTCCCTATCCACTTGAAGATTTTTTTTTTTTTTTTTTTTGAGACGGACTCTCGCTCTGTCGCCCAGGCTGGTGTGCAGTGGCACAATCTCAGCTCACTGCAAGCTCCGCCTCCCGGGTTCACGCCATTCTCCTGCCTCAGCCTCCTGAGTAGCTGGGACTACAGGCGCCCGACACCATGCCCAGCTAATTTTTTTGTATTTTTAGTAGTGACGGGGTTTCACCGTGTTAGCCGGGATGGCCTCGATCTCCTGACCTCGTGATCTGCCCGCCTTGGCCTCCCAAAGTGCTCCAATTATAGGCGGGAGCCACCACGCCTGGCCCACTTGAAGATTTTAAAACAATTTTTAGCTTTGTGGGCTGGGCAAAATCAGGCAGTGGTAAGATTTGGCTTACTGAACAAAATTCACCAACCCCTGTGTTTGAGTATGGATACAACTAATTACCCCAAAAATAACGAAGGAGGTTTTCTAAAACCTAGCTATAACAGTTTGATTAGCTAGAACAGGATGGAAGCCAACCTGTTTGTGGATCTGGTGCCTGCGGGATCAAATATCTTTGGAGAGTAAGACCAATTAACTTCTTAAATGATGACTGTAAGTCACACTGCAGGAAGACCTTTACTTGTATTTGTGGATGCAGGCAAAAGAGTTTTCTTGTAAGTTCACATAGAACAATGTAATCCACAAGACAAATGGCTCAAATGATATGTTCCACTAATGCTTTAATATTATTATAAATAATTATATAGTAATAATATGAATTCTACTCAACATTAAAATGTCCGCATATTTTAGATCTGTCACATCATAGGGAGATACAGAGGGCTTTCTTCAATCACCTTATCAAAAGTAGCCAACATGACCTAGCAGTCTATATTAGGTCATCTTCCAGGATTAATAACAAAGAATGTCAGAATATTCAGTAAGTTCTTCAAGTTGTATTTGGAACTCTTTTCTTCCCATGCAAAATGTGAAGGAGTCAATGATGTGAAGATTTTCTCTTTAATGTGGTTTTCCATATATGGTAGAGTCAAGAAGAGCCCCCAAGGGCATAACTCAAGTAATCACTTCATAAAAGGTAAAAATTTGAATATGGAGGAAGTATTAAAACAACATAAAATTTTTTAAAGGTATCAATATTTTACAATGTGGAACAGGGTATTACAATCTGGGTAGCAGTTTTGTAATTATCTCCTTATCAGAAATACTACGGCCCAAAATGTAATTAACTGCAACTAGTTCCATGTGTATTCAAAACTATAGTTCAGAAATTCCAAAAACAAAAATAATTTCACATATACTTCTTGGGAAAGATAAAATATTTACATGGTTTAACAAAACATGATTTCAGAGTAAAACATTCAAATTCTGAGGATCAAGACCAGCTTAATTTTGTTAAAAATTTCAACTCTTACCCAAATACATCTGTCCAGTGCTATGTAATAAGAAAAACATCTGTCTGTTTTACATTAGCAATTATTGTACTTTTATTACAAGCCAACTTATTTTGTGTTGAATGTCTCAGCTGCAAACAATAAAACAGATGTGGCCAATTCCTACAAGAGCTTTTATCTATAATCAACAAATTACTCTGCCAACTTTTCCTCCACTTTCTATATAAAAGTGAAGGTTCTTAAGGTCATTTATTGCCTTATGTTAAGACACAAATGTTCTATTGCAGTATTTACAATGAGGAAAAACAAACAAGATTCACAAAAGAACCTGTGACAGTCTTAGTAAAAACACTTTTGTGTATAAAACTTATACTAAATGACTACGGCACACTTCATAAACTGTTACATGTCTGAAAGTTATTTATGAACTTAATGAGAAAGAAATCATATTCACCCATTTATAATAGGTCCACATTCTCACCTTCCTCAAAACATATTTCCAGGGGCTTCCATTTTAGTAATTTCTTGTATTTATTAGTGGATGAATAGCCACGTGGCAACCTCTAATATTCAACTGGTCTAAAGCTCTCTCTTCAGGGGTCATTATAGTATTCTCCCTTTACAAGTTTCTTGACATTCTCACCTCATAAATATCTCCTGCATTGTTTCTCCAGTATTTTCATCTCTACTCTTTTTCTGATCTCTATCCCACAAAGTAAAAAATTAATATATTTGTCTTGAGGGGCGTCAGGGATCATTTTAAATATAGTAGTATGGCCAATAATACACATTCTTTTACTTGAGATTCTAAAATCAAATGTGTTATTAAATAGCTTTAAGTTATAAGACAAAATTCTTTCCACCTGGTAGTTTTAGCTTATGTTATATATTGGAAATATTATATAATTTTTACTTTCTTTTTCTACTGTTGCTTATTTAAGTAAAAGTTCAATTTTAAAGAACTGCTTGCTAATTTATAATGTACTCAATGGAAAGTCTCTCAATACGCTAATAAATAAGAGATTAAACTCATTTGGCAGTATTGAGGAAATCACCCCAGATATATTAAGTAAACATAACTTAAATTTGAGAAATGTTAAATATAAGAATATGTTTTTAAATCTGCAAACTGGTGTAATTTATTGATGACTAACATGGTTCTGTTTTTCATCAATTACTGAATTCCAAAAGTCTTACAAATTTGGATTGGTTGCTTTCCTGAGTATTCAGTCATTCTTATAATTTCAAGGCTGATGTTGCTTGGAAACCTGCATAAACACTCCATGTCTTTTCAGAGAAGGAAATAAAAAACTCCTTGGCACTATTTTCTTTTTAGATGGAGAGATCTATAAAACTAGACAAAATATACTTTTATTTATTTAAAAGCCCAGCGCTGTTTACAAAAATCTTGGAGATTTTTTTAAAAGACAGGTTTGCTAAATTTTAATGTTAGAAAATAAAAAAATATACTCACTTTATCAGCATATGAACCATATCATCATTTTATTCCTTCATAATTAGCTACATTTTATCTGAAAGAAACACTAATACTGGGTGGTAAATTGCATGTTTCAGTTTTGCCTTGAATTTAGAATCAAGGGGATAAGAGCTAAAAACAATTTGTCGTTATTTTTCACCAATACCTGCTACCTTCAAGTGGTCCAAAATAATTTATGGGCAAATCTACTTCTTAAGGCAATGTGGTCTTGCAAATGCATGATAAACCAGTGATGTGTATGTTATTAAAGAAAATCATAGGCACATCAGCTATGTGAAAAAGTGGCTAATAACTCCCAAAATACGGCCATCCCAAATGCAAGAGTCTGTACCAGAATCTTGGACATCCTGGAGACTTCAGAACTTTGGGCATCCTGAGGATGCCTGGGTCTAGCTCACAGAAGAATCACCTAAGGTAAAGTCCAATGAGGTGCTCTGGGCCACTGCAGCTGTGTGGCCCCAAGGAAAACTGTTTAAAACTGTGCATGGAAAAGAGAACTCTGCTCACTAGGTGAAGTCATGAGCTATGGTGCTTTCCCTGGAAAACACCCCCAAAGTCTGTTATATTTTCAATGACTGATACCAGGAGTCAATGGGCTAGCTGTGTGGTCTGAAGCCTGGCAGTGGGACAATTTAGATGACCTCGTTCCAGTTTCTGTGGAGATGAGCGTTATAGTTGCAGGCTGTACAAGTCTCACATTTCTTGTTCATGATTCATGTTGATGCCCATGGGAAAGTACCCTTTGAGGATGAGCATCACCAGAATCAATAAGCTGATCAGACTTGCACTGCCTTGGTAGAGACCACAGTCACCTGAATACATCATTGCCCAGAGCATGGTAACCCATCTCCAATTCAGGATACCGCCAAAAACAAAACAAAACAAACAAATAAAAAAAAAAAAACCTTAGTGATTCTCTAACACGTAAGGTCAAGGATATGTGTGCTCTTGACTATCAACTACACAGTTAAGTAGCAAAGGGAACTCTGGAGCCTATAGCTAGGGGTACCAGACATGTCTGTCAAGTAGACCATATAGTTCTTAAGGATACTACTTGGCACTGACAGCAGTAGACACCTTCCTAGGTTGTCCATTGTCATCTCTATCCACACAGTAGAGAGGCCATACTATTCAAAGACAGACGGACTATTTCACACATGTCGATTTCTCAAATGTACCCAATCAGACAATAGTGTGGCCTTTAGAGTAAAACTACCCAGCAGTGAGCAGATATTTGAGACATTCACTGGACCTTTTATGTCCCATATCATCTTCAGGCAAGAGGTACAATGAAAGACAGAATAGATTCTCAAAGAAGAAACTAAAAAAGGTAACTAGAGCCTAAAAACGGCTTGGCTCCCAGAGGCATACACACTTAAGAAAAGCAGTCTGGGTTCTAAGTGTGGCAATTCCCCAGAAGGGTCCCTTTCAGCTAAACAGAATGTTTAATTATGAGGTTTGAGGGGAAGGGAGAAGGCCCAGACTTGCTATAAAAGACCAAAAACACATGGTTAATCTTTCTCACACCACTTCCTCACATACTGTATCCCTGGAAAATCAGGGTGCTGGAATTTTCAAGTAGTAAAGTACTGGGGTTGGAAGACTCTAACCTGTTGACTCTTTTACTGTCCTGTTATGCTTACTAGGTTTAGGCAGTTAGGGATAATCATGATAATGATGATGAATATGAGGTCACAACTCCTATGGTATCTCCAATGTGGCCTACATTTCAAGGAGCAAAAGATGTTCTAAGATGGTACAATGCATATTGTATATAATGAAGAAACTGCTAAGCCATGTAGGGCCAACTCCAGGCCATATAGTATGGGTAAGGTAGAGGGTGGATTAGAAAAAGAGTGAAACAATTGCTGCAGGGACTGATCATGCTGCAGGGACTGAAACACATGGCTATGGGAAGACAGTAACCCTGGCTGTAGAAAAAAGAATACCTTAGACACCGGCACACCCAGGGTGGGTAGAAGAAACATTAATATTTCTCAGCTCTTAGCCACCGAGCCAGTATTACCCAGACTACTGCTTTCAGCTCAACTGTTGACCAATGAAGAATCTTAATCTAAGGAAAGCTGCTGATTGCAGGAGTGAACAAGCCACATAACAAGATTAATTTTCGGGACACTGTTATGATTCCCTTTAGCCGAATCCTACTATTGTTGGTGCCCTGTGGTCTTCTTCTAATACTTAAGGAAAGACAAACTCTTTTGTATATTCTTCACATATTAAAGCTGACCACTCTAAACTCTCTGGTCCAGTGGTGATGAAAAGTCTAGGAAGCCCTGGAGTTCCTCCCAGCCAGCTGAAGTGAGATATGTGTGATTGCCAACACCACTTGCTGCATTCTCAATTTATGACGTGAATGGCTTGGCTCTGGATGAGGAGCTTGGCTAAGGTCTATCCAACAAGTACACCCGATCACCCTACTAGGAGGCATATTTGCTCTCAGCCCCTAAAAGTACAATTAAGTGTAGTATCTAATGAAGTGGTTATGCTTTTTTTTTTTTCCTTTTTTTTCTTTTTAGACAGAATCTCGCTCTGTCACCCAGGCTGGAGTGCAGTGGTGTAATCTCGGCTCACAGCAACTTCCACCTCCCAGATTCAAGCATTTCTCCGGCCTCAGCCTCCCAAGTAGCTGGGATTACAAGCGCCCACCACCATGCCCAGCTAATTTTTGTATTTTTAGTAGAGACGGGGTTTCATCATGTTGGCCAGGCTGGTCTTGAACTCCTGACTGCAGGTGATCTGCCCACTTCTGTCTCCCAAAGTGCTGGGATTACAGGCATGAGTCACCACGCCCAGCCGAAGTGGTTATGCCTTTGAGGAATTGTTACCTGATATGGGAAAGGTCAAGGGTTGGAGTTGTAGGGGAATGGCTCTATCATGATGCTCCAGCAATGGTGAATGTATACTTATAGGCCACACAGTGAATGGCTTTAAATGCAGGTAATCTGTATCTTAGCAGAATGGTTCGTGATCCTCTGGAAAATGAGAGAATGGGAGACTATCACAAACAGTTTCTCATGGTCTCCCAGGTTCTAATGAGGTATGAAGTTTTTGCCTCACTCTTCCTAATCTTCAACCCCTTAGGGTATAGTGGCACACTATAAAAGTATTTAGCTGTACTCTAGAATTGAGTCTTCAGCAATGGGGAATCCTAGGACTCACACTTCAGTCATGCAGCCTTTTGTTTTTCATGTTGTCCTTTTCCTGTATGTGATGAGGACCTGGAGATGTGATACTTTTAGCTTCCCCTCCTTTTGCTGTCTATGTAAATAATAAACTATCTGAATCTAAAAATGGCTCATTTTTTTTTCACTCTGTCGCCCAGGCTGGAGAGCAGTGGCGCGATCTCGGCTCACTGCAAGCTCCGCCTCCCGGGTTCACGCCATTCTCCTGCCTCAGCCTCCCGAGTAGCTGGGACTACAAGCACCCGCCACCACGCCTGGCTAATTTTTTGTATTTTTAGCAGAGACGGGGTTTCACATGTTAGCCAGGATGGTCTCGATCTCCTGACCTCATGATCCGCCTGCCTCGGCCTTCCAAAGTGCTGCGATTACAGGCGTGAGCCACGCGCCCAGCCTAAAAGTGACTCATTTTACCTTTACCAGCTGATTCTGTCAGTTAGGCTTGGCCTCGCACTTGTCTACCTGCTGCATGCTTGAAAAATAAGTTATGGTATATTCATCCTATTAAATAATATACAGCAGTAAAAATGAATGAAGAAAGTATCAACCCGGAAAGATTTATCAAACATTCTGTTAAGATTAAAAAAGCAAGTATAATATGTTCATTTAGGCTTACAAAGAAAAATACACCTACAAATGTGCCTATATATAAATAAATATATATCAGTATAAATGTATAGATAATTATCTGAAAGCAAACAGATCAGATCTATAATACTTATCTCTGGGAAAAGACTGGAAGCGTAGGTAAAATGTTACTTGCGCTGTTTATTCTACATCTACTGTTCTTGAACTTTTCAAAAAAGTATTCAGGAATTATCCATGCAAACAAAGGAGATCATTCAAAGGATGCTAAAAACACTGCTTCCTATTACTTATGTATTAGAACCCATTAACAATTAAGTTTCTTATGTGTGTGAGGGGTTGGGAGGGCAGAAAAAAAACATAAAAAGTATGACTACTATGTGTAAGTATTAAGTAAATAAATTACAGAAACCAAACCTATTTCATCTAAATATCATCCTTTCTAAAATTCCTCAAGGCAAGAATCCTAAATATAATAATTATAACAATACGAATGACATTAACAATAATGAACATTAACAACCAAAAACAACACTTACTGAATATTTTGCATGTGACAAGTACTGTGAAGAGACATTAATATGTACATTCATTCTATACAGAATGTTAGCAGTCTCCACCTAAACCCACTACTAATAGGAAAGTCATTATTTTACAAGGCATGTTTTATTTGTTGGATGGGTACAAAAACTAGAGCAGTATTTCATACATAAGTCAGTACTAAATTAACTTCAGCAGAAAAAAATCCATCTACTCCTTCTTTATTTAGAGTCTGTCAAATGTGTGATGATAGCAATTTTAGATTTCCCTTAATTAAGCATACTTATTGATCAAATTTGTTTTCACACAATATGTAACATGACCTCAAAATGAACCATAGATCTAACCATAAAAATTAAGCTATAAAACCTCTAGGAGAGGCTGGGCGCGGTGGCTCACGCCTGTAATCCCAGCACTTTGGGAGGCTGAGGCAGGCAGATCACCTGAGGTCGGGAGTTTGAGATCAGCCTGACCAACATGAACAAACCCCGTCTCTACTAAAAATACAAAATTAGCTGGGTGTGGTGGCACATGCCTGTAATCCCAGCTACTCAGGAGGCTGAGACAGGAGAATTGCTTGAACCCAGGTGGTGGAGGTTGCCGTGAGCCGAGATCGCGCCATTGCACTCCAGCCTAAGCAACAACAGCGAAACTCCGTCTCAAAACAAAACAAAACAAAACAAAACTTGTAGGAGAAAATCTGACATTTGCAAGCATTTCTTAATATGCAAAAAGTAAGACAGGTTTTTAAAAAGCGTTTACAAACTGGACTTCATGAAAATTAAAAATTTCTGCTCCTGGAAGGACACAAACAAATAAATGAAAAGGTAAACCACGACACAGAACAACACAGGAGAAAATATTCACAACACATATATCTGACAAAGGACTTGTATCCTGAATATTTAAAGAACTCTTCTAACTGATTAGTAGAAAAACAATCCAATAGAGACAACCAAAGGTTTGAAGAGTTGACAAAAGAAAATAAAGCAATGGTCACAAAGCACATGAAAACCCACTAAGAAAACAAAAATTAAAATCACAATGAGATACAATTACGCAAATTACAATGGCTAAAATTTTAAAAAGACTGACACCACAAAGTACAGTCATGGTAAGGATCTGGACTAATTGGAGAGCTCATGAAATAGTGGCAGGAATGTAAAATGACACAACCCCTCCTGGTGGTTTTTCACAGAGTTGAATATTCCATATGACTCAGATATACCATTCCTAAGTATTTACCCAAGATAAACGAAAGCATAACTCTGCACAAAGACTTGTACTCAAATATTCATAGCAATTTTATTCCTAATAGTCAAGAACTAGAAACGACTTAAGGTCCATTAATAGATAAATAAACTGTGTATACACACACCTAGACAATGACTACTCCTCAACAATAAAAAGGAATAAATTACACATGCAAAATCAGGGATGAATCTCAGAAACATGATTCAGAGCAAAAGAAACTAGACACAAGGCTACATAATGTATGCTTCTATATAAATGAAACTCTGGAAAAGTCAAATCTATAGTGACAGAAAACAGATCACTGATTGCCTATGGCAGGAGGGGGTTAAGGAAGGAATGTTGAAGTGAGGATGGATGGGAAGGATGGTCTGGCAAGGGGCACAATGAAATTTTTTGGCATGATGGAAATATACCATAGCTTGACTATGGTGGCAGTTGCATGAGCTTGTATTACTGATGTATGTAATGGGCAGATACTTGAAAATCACCTTTATAAGACATGTTTTACGAGACTTTTGTACCTTTTGAGGGCAGAGGGTATTTCATTTTGATATCCATATCTTATGAATGCCTGGAATATATTTGGTGAGAAACAACTTCAAACAAATTTCAAATAGTATGTCTAAACTCTTTTACTATAAAATTCTTTATTTCATTTTTCCAAGTGAAGATGTACTAAAAACATCATAAATAAAATGTGATTTTTAGATCACCATGCTATATGGTTCAGAAATCTTATTAGAATGTCTATTTTTTCTCTCCTAGCTATTAGATATATTGTCTATAATAGATAACTTTGGTTTCTAACTAAAAATGTGATCCTGACATTGATATTCCTATTCACATTTTCATGTTAATGATACAGTCTGTGTAGAATATAATAAGTCTTTCAAATGAAATCAGAGCTATCACGTCTGAAATAAAGACAAGGAAAACATTTTGTTCTAATACAACTGACAGGAAGTTAGAAGTCGTCTTGACTTCTCCCTCATCTACCGTATCCAATCAGTAAACTAATCTTTGGTCTATTTCTTTAGCATTTGTTTATATATAGTCTTTCCTTCATTTCTATCTCTATTTGTAGCCCTCGCTTAGGAGCCACTTATGCATTTTGCGGTAATGCAATGGGTAAGTGGTTCCAGCATTAACCACTCCCACTTCCTTCAGTAAAGCCCTCCCTATTGCCATCAGAATAATCTTTTAAAATGTGAATATACTGATGATAAACCCAGAATGAACATTATTAACAGTCTATCAATGTTTATAGGAAAAGGTACAAATTCAGGAATAATCCATAATACAGCTTCTAATTTGTATACATTACTCTTTCCTGACCAATACCTAAACTCAAGCTGTAATGATCTACTTGTAAATGTCTCAATTGTTCATGTATTCAACCATTTTTATGACTTTGTACATGCTGCCTGTATTCATGAGGAAATCGTTATCAGAAGTTCTGTTTAGATGTTAATTTCTTCTTTTCTATTTCTTATGTCTCTACCCTAAGAAAATTAACTTCTCTCACTACATGCTTCCTGAGATTAAGAATCCTAGGAAATTCTTATCTTTGCATGCACAGCACCTAGCACAATGCTTAATACATAGCAGGTATGCAACAAATAGTCCTGTAAAATCTTGATAGAGTGGACAACTCTCTGAGAACAAGGTAAATTATCAAAATTCACTCAAAAATAGCCAAGAAATGAAAAAGGCCTATCAAATAAATATATTCAAATAAGCTCTGTGCTCAGACTGCTGTATGTGATATTTCAAACTATAAATGCAAAGAGAATTTTCATGCTACAAAAAGTATTCAATACTGAATATAAACTAGTCTATAGAGGAAAAATAGAATGTCTTTAAATTCACTTTACTAATAACTAGCATAACTCTGATAATCAAAATGGAAAAGAAAGTCACACACAAACTCAGCCATACACAAATGTATGAATGAAGACGTTAAAAATCATAACTAAATATAAGCAACTTAAATCCATCTGTATATTGAAAAACTGATATACTATAGTTAAATACAGCTTAATACAGAAATGCAAGTGTGGGCTAATATTTGGTAGTACATAAATACAACAAAACATATGTCCAAGATGTATGTTAAACATGTTTGTCCAAGATGACTGTTAAAGAGCAAGAAACAAATTACTTCTCTATGATTAGGAAAAAATACCCGTCTGAAAACAACAGAAAATATCATGAAGGAAAACATTTTTGGCATTTGCATTAAAATTGAAAGAAGTAATAAAATATGAAATAGAAACAGGTATAAAATTACTACTATAAAAATAAAAAAACATATAATCACATGGAGATTTTATAACTGGGTAGAAAATGAACTGAAAGCAACAATACTTAACATAATGTTCAATAAAATCAATGGAAATAAAATAGTATAAAATTAATAATTATTCTATATGGGCAGGCTGAATAAAGGTCACTCACATAATACACACACCCTAATCCCTAGAACCTGGGAATGTCACTTTATATGGCAAAGGAGACCTACAGATGTGCCTAAATTAAGGATCTTCTGATGGGGAGATTATCATGGATTATCTGAGTGAGCCCTAAATATAATCACAAGAGGGAGACAAGAAGGTTAAAAAAGGAAGTAGAAAATGTGATGACAAAAGCAAAAGGATGGAGTGATTCTTAAAAGGGGCTGAGAGTCAAGGAAAGGTAGAAATGACAAGGAAAGGGATTCTTCCCTAGTGCCTCCAAAGGAACCAGACCTGTTGAGGCTTGATTTTAACCCAGTAAGGCTGATTTTGAACTTTTGGCCATCAGAACTGAAACAGAATAAATCTGCATTATTTTAGGACACAAAATTAATGTTAATTGTTATAGTGATCACAGGAAACTAATAGACTACAGAAGCATAATAATCAGCTAAATATGTAAATTAAGAAATACTAAAAGAGCAACCAGGAATAATATTACATGAAATAAACAACTAGTAATTGCCTTAAGTGACATATTTAGATATCTGTGTAGAAAAAAGCTTTACTGAGACAGAAAATAATTTTTAAAAAATCTCAGTTCTTATAAGAAATCCTGGATATTACAAGAATATCTTATGCAAACAGTTAATACTTTCAATGTGACTTCACTAAAATAAAAACGGATATGGTTTATTTAGGAAGGATAAAGTGGCAAAATAATTTTAAGTTTGTAGAGAAAAAGAAATGTAGCAATATACCAGAATAGTTTTTAAAATAAAGGACAATAGGGCCAGGGAATTATTATTCTAGTAGATACTTTACAATACAGAGAGACTAAAAAACAATACATCAAATAAGGATTAATATAACAGTGGACCAGAATAAATAGCCCTTTCTCAAAAAACCCTGGCATATGTAAAAATTAAGCAAAAAAATTTAGCATGATTATAGTATATATGATTATTCAAAAATTACTATCAGCAGAAACAGATGACTGGATAAAGAAAATGTGGTACATAGGCCGGGCGTGGTGGCTCACGCCTGTAATCCCAGCACTTTGGGAGGGCGAGATGGGCAGATCACGAGGCCTGGAGATCAAAACCATCCTGGTTAACGCGGTGAAAACCCGTCTCTACTAAAAATACAAAAAACAAAAACAACAACAACAAAAAATTAGCCGGGCGTGGTGGTGGGCGCCTGTAGTCCCAGCTACTCAGGTGGCTGAGGCAGGAGAATGGTGTGAACCTGGGAGGCAGAGCTTGCAGTGAGCCGAGATCACTCCACTGCACTCCAGCCTGGGCAACAAAGCGAGACTCCGTCTCAAAAAAAAAAAAAAAAATGTGGTACATATACACAATGGAGTATTTAGCCATAAAAAGAATGAGGTCCAGTCATTTGCAGTAACATGGCTGGAACTGGAGATGATTATGTTAAGTGAAATAAGACAGGCATAGAACGACAAAGACTGCATGCTCTCACTTATTTGTGGGATCTAAAAATCAAATTTATTGAACTATGGACAGATAAAGTAGAGGATGGTTACCAGAGGCTCGGAAGGGTGGTGGGCGGTTGGGGAGAAGGCGGGATGTTAAATGGGTACAAAAAAAAAAAATAGAACGAATAAGACCTACTATTTGATAGTATAATAGGGCTACTATAGTCAACAATATCTTAACTGTATATTTTAAAATAACTTTAAAAATGTAATTGTATTATTTGTAACACAAAGGATAAATGCTTGAGGGGAAGGATACCCCCTTGCTAATGATGCGACTTTTTTCAGATTGCATGCCTGTATCAAAACATTTCATGTGCTCCATAAATATATACACCTAATATGTAGCCATAAAAATGTTAAAAAATTAAAAAAAATTTAAAAAGATATAGCTGGCATAACTAGATTACTATTTGGAAAAAATAAAGCGAGAACTTCTACTCTCAAAACCCCCCAAATCTTAAATTCTATATAAATTAGAGGCATATAACATAAAAAATAAGATCAAACCATAAGTGAGCATATTCATAACCTTCAAATAAGAAAAGTTATTTTAAGCAAAAACACAAAATGGAAAAAAGGGGGGGAAAGATAACAGACTTTACTATGTAAAAATTTTTTAATTTTGTATGTGACAAACATTCTAATAGTTTTTCGAGAAAGTTTTAGAGGGAGAGGGCATTCATGGAGAGGAATGGGCCAAGTTTTTAAAAGCACACAATATCAGGAATTAGAACATTTCATAAACACACACATACATACACTACTACTAGGAGAGTAAACTGATTTAATTTTTCTGGAGCATAATTTGGCAATGAATACTCAATGTCTTAAAATACTGTGTATACTATACTCCTAATGACTCAGGAAATCCACTACTTTATGTTTCAGAATTTATCATAATGGAGGTATTATAAATGAACACAATAACTTAAATACAATAATATGCCCTGTGTTAAATGTATATTAGCAAAAAAGACTGAAACAAATATATAATAAAGGATTGATAAATATATCAAATGCCTAAGATGAAATAGTGTAGAAATTTTTAAAATCATGCTTGTGAAAAATGAAGGGTATATTATTTAAACATGCACATGGTAAAATATTAAGTGAAGAAAAACAAAAAAATTATATATAATTTCTATGTTATAAAATATGTAATCAAACTAGAAATAAACTTATGAGCTATTTTTTATCTTCAAATACTTTCCCTAATTCACAAAAATAAATGATAACTCTATATTCAAAAACATTTCAAATTAGAATATTGGTAAATGGAAGATCTCAAATGGAAAGTTTTTTTAAATTTCAAAAGCTTCATTGTTTTGATTCTATTAAAGTGCAAAATTCTACATATAAAAAGCCATAAGCAAAAATGAGAGACAATTGGCAAAAAGGGAAAGAACACAAGTATAAGATTATAACAAATGGTTAATGCCCTTATATCATCCACTCCACAATATGTATTTATTACCCACCATATGCCCAACAATAGCCCCATACAGTACAGCAGTAAACAAATCAGATTAGATGCCTGTCCCCATGGTTCTTTCATTCTTAGTGGAAAGAACAGGCAATAAGTAAGTAATAAATAAGTTCAGACAGTGATAAGTGCTGTGAAGACCTTAAAAGACTATGAGGAGAGAACAAAGAAAACAAAACAGAGACAGTAATGTGATAGAATGTGAAAGATGTAAGAAGGGATATTATATTAGGAAACTGGGAATAGCTCCTCTATGGATATGACATTTGAACTGGAACATGAATGATGAACCTTCTCTCACAGTCATGAGTGAAGATGTAGAGGAAGAGGGATCCAGAAATGGAGAACAAGTGCAAAAGCTAAGAGGCAATACAAAACTTGCTTGGCTGAGAAGTGTCCAGATTGTCTACAGCATAAACGGCAGGGGGAAACTGACATAAGAGAATCAGAAAGACTCAGAGCCAAATCAAGTTGGAACTTTTAGATTATCTCAGGAAATTAATAAGGCCTTTCAAATCAATAAAGAAAATACCCAATATCCCCCAAACAATCAAGACTAGAAATAATCCACAACTGAAAAATACAGTTGGTTAATACACACATTAAAATTTGAATCTAAGTAGTAATCAAAGACAAACAAAGTAAAATAGCAAGATACAATTTTCTACCTTTCAAACTGACAAGCCATCAAAAATCATTGTTACATTCAATGGCAGAGAGGTGAGAAAATGACATGATGTCATTTATTTTAGCAAAACTAAGGAAAAAACTAATAATCAAAAATAGATGTGTAATTTAAAAAATTATACTACATTTTTACCATGGAAAAGTTTATGTCGATTAAATTGTATTTCCAAAGAATATTTAATGTTTAATTATGTTTGATACTTTTGATTACCCCATTTCTAATCCATTTACAAATTCTAATAGTGCTCCTCCAAAACATCTTTCCTCTCACCATTTCTACTACTACAAGACTTACACCAAGACACCATAATTTCTAGCTGGGACCACAGCAATAACCCCCTAATAATGCTCTTGCCCCCCACTCCTTTCCCTTGTTCATCTTCTGCACAGCAGGTAAACTAATTTCCTCAGTGTTAATCAGTTCGTAACATTCAACTATCCAATGTCTTCAAATTGTAATTATGGTAAAATTTTAACTCCTCACTATGACTTACTGATCTGGCCTGTACATTATCTTAAAGACCTCAACTCCTGCCACATTCTCTTTCTGAAGGATAGCCAACCCACACAGCATTTCTTTCTTTTCTCTGAGCATGCTAAGCTCATTCTGATCCAAGGACGTTTTTCTTTACTATTCCTGATGACTAGAATGTGACTTTCGTCGTCCTCATCCTTTAGAGTTCAACTCAAATGATCCTTCTCCTATATCCTAGCTAAAATATACCCCCAAGATATTTTATACCATGCCCTTATTTCTTACATTGTATTTATGCCTCTCTAAAATTCTCTATTTGGGTTACACATCTCCCTCTTCTTTTACAAGAATACAAACTCCACGAACATAGAGACTTCCTGTATCCCCAGCATGCAGGACAGTGCCGGGTACACAGTATTACTAAATAAACACTGAATGAAGAAATGAATGAATGAATGATGAATAAGAATAACAGATTATACAAATAACAGAATGTAAATTACATTAGGTTCACTAAATGCCACAAAACTTGTGATAGTTATAATATGAAAGCAACACACACCAACGTTAATATAAATACAGACAAATCTGGAAAACAAAACATACAGGCTTCAGATTTTGTTTCTAAATAAGACAAAATAAAATTAAACTGACTTGAAAAGTTCTTTTCCAAGAAAATAACTGAGACATCAGAATATAAAAAGTGGATTTATAAAATTAAGAGCTCTTATGTATATATATGTGTATATGCCTTTATAGATAGATGATAGATGTAGATAAAGATATATACACATAGATACTAAAAGAAAAAGAGGAGAGAAATGGGAAGAAAACAGGATTATATTAATCAAAGCATTCAAAGTTATAGACTGAAATAATATTTTTAAGAGACTGCATTTAAAATGTTATTTTTATATAACACTGACAACTCAAATAATTTAACTAAACATTTCAAAAGCAAGGATAAGCATATATTCAAATTCAGTCTGATATGAATGACAGTACTTTTGTAATAAAATTTTTCAGAAACTAGTGATTATCTTCAAAGACTATAATAATAAGAGGCAAAGGAAAAAAAAAACAAGCTATCTCTAAAGTTCTAGCACAAGAAGCAAAAATAGCCTGCTGCAGAGTTACTCCTCTTAGGAGGCCATTGTGTCCTCTTACTAGCATAAATCAGATCCACCCTCAGAATAGTAGTTGGGTTTAAGTCTTTTGTAACATTTCCAAGGAAGCTTGTTTCCCATTTGTATTTTATCTCTGAAGGAACCACAAAGAGACTAATGTAAAAAAAGAGACCTAAACAATTAAATCAGGGGTCCCCAATCAGCCATCCCCACTTCCCCCACACCCCTTCCCTGACCTATTAGGAGCCTGACCACACAAAGGAGGTGAGCCACAGGTGAGCAAGCATTAAGCATTACCACCTGAGCTCTGCCTCCTGTCAGATCAACTGGGGCATTAGATTCTCACAGGAGTGCAAACCCTATTATGAACTGCCCATGCAGGGATCTAGGCTGCGTGCTTCCCATGAGAATCTAATGCCTGATGATCTGAGGTGGAGCAGTTTCATCCTGAAACCATCCCCCTCAGGGAAAAATCGTCTTCCACAAAACCAGTCCCTGGTGCCAAAAAGGTCGGGGGCTGCTGAATTAGATGACTTTTGCCACAATTATTTCCTCAAAATGGCATGTAACCATATTTTTAAAAATGGAAACAAAAAGACAACTCAGTTCATCTAAATTATAGTAAAAGCCTACAAACCAGCATGTACTAGCATACTATAAGTAAAATTTGTTTTCACATTAGTAGCAAACCAAGTGTTCTTAATAATTATTCAGAATTCATTTAAGGTACTTTCCTGGTGGTAACACTAATAAGAGTATCATCAAGTTGGAATAATGTGAGATTAATTTTAAACTGTGGCACTGATCTGACTTTCAGCAATCCATTCAATATTTTTAAGACTTAAATACCAGGAATCAACTACTTCACAATTAGTTGAGTGAACTCAGAAATGATTTATGAGAATATCCTCCATGGAAAGCACAAAGGTGAACAATACGTGCTTTCCACTCTTAAGGAAATACAGTGGTAAAACTAGTACACAAACCTATTTTTAAAAACTTATCACTTCTTGTGGTAAGTAATGAGCTAGAGTTTTATCAACAGAGATAGAATAAGCCATACTGATTCAATACAAATCTTAAAGGCAAAATATTTAGGATCCAGAAAAAAAATTGGATGATATTTAAGTAAAAGGAGAGGAAACAGTCACAAGTATATGGTGAAGACATAAGCAAAGAATGATTGGGGTTGGAAGGTAGAATGAGAATAGGGAACTTCTGATTTGGGTTTTCAGGCATGCTGAATCTGTCATACTTTAAAGCACAGTGGGAAAATGTGAAGTTGGAGTTGCAAAGAGACGCATAAAAACCAAGTATCAATTGATGGCTGTTTTCTTATTTGCACTTTCCCTGTAACATGAGTAAGGTATTTTGTATAGGAACACAATCCAGGATTAGTTATGAAATAAAGAACAAGGTATATGAAAAAATTTACAGTTAATCACTTACTTTTTAACTGGACCCACTAAAAGAGGGTTTCTAAAGTCCTATACAATCTTACAATTCAAAAACAGAATGAGCCATTTATAAGGAAACAAAGGGAAAAACAAGTATTTAAAAGAAATATACTTCAGGTGGCATATTTTAGGAAATTATATTTTTAGGCATCACTTTTCCTATTTTATAATTGATACATACTAGATGCATGCCAAAAAGTCTATTGCATTTTAGTTTCCCCGAGTATGCTTTCAAAAACAGAAAAACAGAATTTTGTTCTTCCTAATCTCAAAGTTCCATCCTAAGTCGATGTTCACCTTAAACTCAGTGGAAAATACAAGAAAAATGTATTTTACTGATGTTGTAAATAGAATGTTTGAATTATTGCAAGGGTTGAGGAGCAGGGAAAATCACAGGGATAAACAGTGTTTCTTGATACCTAAAACTGAGACTCACTTGGCCATATTTTGTAGTTTGTTTCTTCTTATGAAAATACACAAAATGTTATTGCTATAAGAAGTATGACTGCACACAAGTAATCATATATATTATATATTATAATATCTGGCACCTTATTGAGCTGATTCTGAGATCTGCCATCTATATCATTTAACCTAATGTAAAGGTCAGAATATCCATTCACTAAGATTCCTAAGCCAATAAGTGCTAACAGATAAAATTATCAAAATTAAATATTAAAATGTCACCAGTCATATTGGTGCAAGTCATTAGGTAAGGTAAACATATCTATTAAAAACTTCATATTTCCAACAACATGAAAATAAGGAAGAAAAAAGATCACTGGGCTATTATATGGCAAGTTGATTTATCATCTTTCAGCCTTTAACAATGTGATTTGAAGGGAAAATATGCTTTCTCTTTTCTTAGTATACCATCTGTACTCATCTGGAACTTTCCAGGAAAAAGAATTTTTAAATAGAGGTAATTTTTCAATTTTCTCTACTTAAAATGCTTTTTGGATTTCTTGGTTATCTAATTTTTACTTATTTGCCTGACTACATGTATTAAATAATTCTACTTTTGACTAAATTTCAGTAATAAAGACTGCATTATTATAAAAAGACTGCATTATTATTCTCTTGAGGAATGGCAGAAATTCGGTGCTGCATTTCAAATTGAGACAACTTATTTAGGGTAATCACTCAAAATAACAGGATAATGTCTGAATGAAACAGAACTTTACTCCCAATAAATATAACAATTTAATTTTCTATTATAGGAATATTATTCTTTTACAACCAACCCTTTTTATGACCAATAACTTGTCTTTCATCATTTCTGACCATATCTAAAGATGGAATCTGAAACCCTGAAGAATTTAAAAAGGAAACAGAAAATTTTGTAATGGCAAAAAAAAAAAAAAAAAAGTAGTAATGGGGTGACAGATCATTACAGCTATTTAATTAAATTAATTAGTTATTTTTACTTGCAACTTGAAGCTACTTGGAATATCTAATTATCTTTATTTATCATAGTTAGCTACAGAGACTGAAATTTAAAGAGAAAGAAAAATAAAGAAGTCAAAGGAAAATGGGAGAAAATTAATTTAGCCCAAACCAGAACTAAAACCTAAAATAAATTTGCCTAAGAATAAATAAACACCACTGAGTTAAAAAGTAATAATCATATATTTCAAAATAACTAGAAGAGTGGAATTGGAATTCTCCTAACACAAAGAAACGATAAGTGCTTGAGGTGATGGATATCCCAATTGTCCTGATTTGATCGTTACGCATTGTATGAATGCATCAAAATTTCACATATTCCCCATACATATGTACAACTATTAGGTATCCATAAAAATTAAAAATTCAAAAAGCAAAAAATATGATAAAAGGCATAGAAACTAACTGTTGATCCCTCAAACTTTTTTTGGAACAAGGAGAAAAATAAATAAGGAGATAGAAGTATTAATTACTTAACAATTTTATAAACTTCAATCTGAGTGTTCAGAAGAGATTCATTAATTAAGCATATAATGTCCCAAACACATAACAGGAGCTAGGCAATAAGAAGTTCATCAATAAGTAAGTCAGTGGCTGTCTCAAAATCTGTCTCATAATCTGGTCAGAGAGACAGACACATCTATAAGTAATATAATAACACATGAAACAAAGTATTAATGAGAACACACTAGAGAGAAATATTTATTCTAACTGCCAAGACCAATAAAGACTTTACTTAACTTGGACATTGAAGACTGGGTAGAATACCGAAGGAAAAAAAGGTAGAAAAGACATCCCAAAATGACAGAACAGCATAAGACAAGGCATGGAATTACAGAAATGGATGGACATTCATAGAAAAGCAAGCTTCCCATTATGGCCTCAATGCCACAATGGTAGTGTAACAGGATATTAAAATGAGAATTTTCTTGTTGTCTCAGTTTCAGCCAATGATCCAAAGCTGAGAACAAGTTCAATGTACTAGAAATGAGGTGACAGATCATCTAGGCTACAGTTGGTAAGAATGTGGCCAAAAATTGCTCAGGCTATCTTTAGCTCACCTTTCAAATAAAAACTATAAACATATACTGAGGGAAGGCAGCTTATAGATTGATTGAGAAGGAAGTAGCACCGTGATGCACTCAGAATTTAGTCTATGATCTAGAATATAGGGCACTCAAGGAGTGGTAACTAATTAAAGACTCATGCCCTCAGTCTGGGCTACTACTTTAGAATTGGCCAGTACTTTAGTAGGTTGGTGGAGTAAAGAAATATATTTTCCCATGGGACAGATAACCCCTAGGAAAACATTAATCCATTTTTAAAGGAACTTACCTAAAGGACTATAAAAAAAGAAAAAAGAAAAACAAGGTAACTCCAAAACAAAGAGGACAGAGATAAACCAGAAAGTCAGAAACTAAGCAGGGTAGTCAAAACCAGACAAATAAAGTGTCAACCGCATCAAGGAACTATAGTTGGGTTATCTCCAAATACTAGAAGTCTTTGATGAATCCAGAAAAGCAAGAGAAGAATCCATTAAGACTTCCAACATACTTTTACTACCAATTAGTTCTTCCCTACTTCTAATCCCTGAACTTCAGAAAACCTAGGTGATGCACAGTGAGGAGGGTGAAAACATAAGGTTAAAAAAAAAAAAAAATTAATGCAACAGCCTACTAGCTGACCAACCTATTTCCTTCCTTATTCAGGTTTTTAAACCCTCTTTGAGCAAGGTTGATGTAGAAAAGACATTTTATATTGGAGGAGAATTTAAAACTTTAATTCATTAAACATTTTCTTCATTACTTGAAAATTTAGTCTATTTTAAAATGCCAGAGTGAGAAAAGAAGGAATGAAAGAATGAGAGAGAGAAAGAAAAAAATTGAGAAGAAAAAAAGCAAGCAGCAGCAGAGAAGCAAGAATAGAGTAGAGATGCAAATAACAGCACTTAAACAGCATTTTATCAAGGAGCAGAAAACATAATATTCAGAATGGAACTGCATGTAAAGTGACTAGAGAGAATAAAGTAACTCTCTGCTTGCACCCTGAATGAGTCTATCTCTTCTAATAAACCCGTTAGAGTGATAAATGGTGGGCAAAGAAGACCAATTGTATGGCCATCATTTTGTTATGATTATTGTGGGACCTGAAATACATTTTATAAATATAGAATCCAAATTGCTTTACTTAAGGAGTAGCACTCATATTATATATGTTGTGAATTTGTTTAGGGAACACATCTACTTATAAAATGTTCAAATATTTCCTGAGTTACAGAAACTCTTAAGTAGTGGAGGAAAATGGCAAATAAGACAGGCTCCACCCTCTCTGACTTTACATCTAGTAGAGGAAACAGACAAGTACAAAGGCAGTTACATTACATGCAATAATTGCTGAAAAGAATAAACACAGAAGGATCATCCAAGAAAATATATAAGTGAGGAAGAAGGGACAGAAGACATCTTAGTGAAGAAGAAATAGAAAGCAAAGCCTGACAGATGAGGTTGAGTTATACAGAGGATAGTAGCCTAGGGATAAAGGGGAAAGTAAGTAGTTTAAAAGAATGGTGCATTCCAATAAAGGCCAAAAGAAAGCATGATATATCCTGGGAACTATAAAGACTACAGTATCAATAAATCAATATGTGCAGTTTTCAAGGAAAGAAATGGGGCTGAAGACATAAGGGTGAGCCAGAACACACACCATGACACAGAATTTGGATTTTATCCTGAGGACAATGGGGGCCACTGAAGGTTTGGTAACACTCATTTTCATACACTGCACATCTATTATATGCTAAGCACTCTTTCACATATGTTTTATTGTTTTTTCCTCACAACAACCCTGTGAGGTAGGTGAAATGATTCCCAATTAACAGACTTAAAAAACAACCTTAAAGTTGTTAAGCAATTTACACTTGATTAATAGCTACAAAGTGGCAGTAAGGATTCGAGATCACACTTCAGAAAATACATTAGAAAGATTATATACACATATATACACACACACATTTACCCACAAGACATATAGAAATTTCAGAATTACAGAAAAATTTTAAAGTAATAAATGCTTAATTCAGTTAAGATTAATTAAAGATAATGAGGTTTCTGGCATCAGTAGTCTTTTACGCAAACTTATACATTTAAAATTTTCAATGAATTCAATTTATATTGAAAAATAACTGCAAAATTTATAAAAATAAGCAGAAATCATTTGATATATAAAATAAGAAAAGCAAAGATATGAGTATTATATCTCCATTAATCTATTGGAAACCATTTAGAAAAAAACATTTTTCATTTTTAATTCTAAAACATTTAAATTCAAATTCCATATATTAGTCTAGGAATATAAATTATATTTTGGATAATAAGAAATGGTGTATAAAATACTAAAGCTTGATTATCAAATGAAGTAACTCAAATATTGACCACTTAGGATAAAAAGAATTGTCCACCTAATCCTACATTGAAAAATCATCTCCCTATTGCTTACAGTAAAACATCTGAAGGTGTTTCGTCTCTCTAACAAATAAAATTTGTTCAGATAAATCTGATAAGAAAAATAATTTTTAAAAAATTATCTATTTGAGAGGGATATAAAAATATGTACCTAATTTAAAAGAGTATTTTGTAAAACTGAGAACATCTGAGAATTTAAAATTATGGACTAAAATTCTACTTTAAAATGTATGTTCTTTAAAATTAGTTTAAATTGAATAAATTCTGCAATGAAAAATATATTGCCATATAGTTTCCTATTTTCTCACCAATTTCACTATTTCTTCAGCTGGTTCTAGTATCTCTTCTTAAAGCCTCTAATGGAAAGCTAGATGTTGCCAGGACATTATCACAAGAGGTCTAAGTATTTATCATTCATACATAAGTACTGAAAAATTCATATAACTTGGCCGGGTGCAGTGGCTCACACCTGTAATCCCAGCACTTTGGGAGGCCAAGATGGGAGGATCACGAGGTCAGGAGATCAAGACCATCCTGGCTAACATGGTGAAACCCCATCTCTACTACAAATAGAAAAAATTAGCTGGGTGTGGTGGCACATGCCTGTAGTCCCAGCTACTCAGGAGGCTGAGGCAGGAGAATCATTTGAACCCGCGAGGCAGAGGCTGCAGTGAGCCGAGATCGTGCCATTGCACTCCAGCCTGGGGATACAGCGAGACTCCATCTCAAAAAAATAAAATTAAATTAAATTAAATTAAAATTCATATAATTTATGCATTTGCTTCATTTTTCCTATTACAAATAGAAAATTATAATGAGAAAGGATGAAAAATAAGTATTTCCTTAAAGTTTAATTATTCATAACCTATAATTTATTTCTGAATTCCAAAATTATTAAGTGAGTGCTAATTAAGTAATAATCCTGCCCACAATTCTGGCCTTTCACAGTATGAGGAAGGCCCTTTGAAAATCACCAATAGAGATAAGAGGTATCTGTTTTATGAAATGGTGATCATCTCTAAATAAACTAAACAAATGTTCCAAAAAATTAATTTAACTGAAACACCGACAGTTTATTTTTGATTACACAAGCAGTATATTTTCATTAAATTCAATAATACAGAAATATATTCAATAAAAAGTTCCCATCTGATTCTTTTTCAAATCCCATACACTATGGGTATAATAAAATACAAGATTCATATGGCTAAATATTGAATCAAGTAAGTTGCCAAACTTCTATCATCTACATAAAGTCTAAAATATAAAAAATAACTTGTATAATTTAAAAATAGATACCAGGACACACAAAGCAGGTATAGTTTGTGCCTTTTCAACCAAAATTTAGTATATAAAACATATAATCTATTCTGTCAAATACTGATGACTTCAGTAAATAAAATGAATGGGATTAAGTAATACTTACAATTACACTGTAGAAAGTGCCAAAGAATCAATTATAGCAATTCGAATATTTCATATATTGATAAAAATACTCTCTTGGCTAGAGATACATAGGTATATTACGTGTAAACTGTAAATTTTTAAGTATTGACATTTACTTCTTTAGTGCTTTGACTATTAAATGAAATACTAAATCTATGCAAGTAAAGAGGGTAAGCCTCATTACAATATGAGTTTTTGGTAACCTTTAAGTAAATTTCCACTCAGTGTAAGTAAAGCCTTTTATTCTTACTCACTTTATGCTTCCATGATGAATAAGATACTAAGAACTGTGCTGTATTGTCCAAAGATTATATTTCATAACAATGGAGTTATCTACACTACAAAATTAGATAGATAATTAAAAATCTTTGTAGGAAATCCGACCCCCTCTATTGATTCTAAAACATTATCACTCAGCATTTAATTAACACAAATAATATTCTAATTAGAATAAAGTCACTTAAGCCCAAATATCTTGGTAAGGTACAATTCTAAATACATACACTACTAACCCTGAATTAAAAGGAAAACACTTAAAATGTCCCTAGAAAATCATTTCTTCTACCTACCTCATTTTACAAGTAAACAAACTGTAGAATGAAGTTATTTTTTATCTGCTTTGACTAAGAATATATAAACATAGATATGTGCACATTATAATTTAACTTATGACACATAATTTAAAGTTACCTAAACCAAATGACACCATATTTAATATGATTAAGACTCTGTGAAGTTTGAGATTCTAATTTCTTCACATAGAACAGTCTATAAATGTAGCAGAAAAGAGATAAAATGTCATACTATTGACTAAAAAAAAACCCTAAAATAACAAAATATAACATTCCTTATCATGTTGTGTAACAACAGACACAGCTGTTTCTAATGATATTTCTCTATTTTATAAGGCATAAACATGCCAAACTATTACTAAAGACAGCACTCTTATAAAAGTGCTTTTACAAAAGAAAATCTCATTAAATAATTAAATGGGAGAGACTAAAACTACAGTAAGCAGAAATTCAAATATTTACTGTTCCTTCTCTTCCCCACTTTTTTCCCCAAATGTTAAAGAAAAAAAAAAATTGAGCAGAGCACAGTGGCTCACACCTATAATCCCAGCACTTCAGGAGACCAAGGCAGGAGGATCGCTTGAGGTCAGGAGTTTGAGATCAGGTTAGTCTCAAACAGTGAGACCCTATCTCTACAGAAAGTAAAAAGAAAAAAGAAAAAAACTAGCCAGTTGTGGTAGCGCATGCCTGTAGTGCCAGCTTCCAGCTACTTTGATAGCTGGGAGGCTATCTTTGATACTTGCAAGGCTGAGGCAGGAAGATCGCTTAAGCCCAAGAGGTTGAGGCTGCAGTGAGCCATGATCACATCACCATCCTCCAGACTGGGTGACAGAGAGAGACCTCATCTCAGAAAAATTAAAAATAAAAATAAAAAAGAAGTCAAAATTGGTGTTTCTAATCCTAAGAATCAAAACTAGTTCATCATAAACTGGCTTTGTTGCAAAACTCCAAAAGAAAGTATTAAAACCAAGACATAAAACACTGGAAGCAAGGTTAATTAAGACGTTCCTGTTGAATTACAAGTTTTTTTTTTTTTTTTTTTGCTATTTTAAGAACATGGCTCTGAAATCTTATAATATTGATTTGGTTACTTAAAAATATTTAAAAACAATATGATTAAGTTCCATTCAAAGTGAAGAATATTGATAAAAGCATTTTAGTTTCATTTGCTTTTAGAATAAAAAGGAGTGCATCCATCTATTTGTTATTTAATTTTGTACCAATCAGAAGACCTTAAAATAAAATTTAGAGCCAGGGAGAGCAGCACTAAGTTTAACTGACCTCAATACACTTTTAGATGATGTTTCCCAGTTATTTGTTATTTTCTCTTATTGGGCTTTCCAGTCTAGGGCAGGTACACAAGAAACTTACAGTCTATGTAGTACTCCTAGTCAGTTTCACTCTGCAGATGGCACAGTGGAGAAATACCTTCTGTACAGCACCATGTACAATTTCTTCTGCAGCTGTCAGCACCTAGGGGAAAGTGCGCTGTTAAACAGTTGCTGCGTTCCACCTCAGAAGTGGCTGCAATTCGGTGGTGGGTGAAGTGACTCCTGTACATACATACAGGGATGAAAAGTACTATAGAAAATGAAAATATATAAGAACAAAGTGGCTGTCTGAAAACTTTGCCACAGCAAAACAGAATACATCACTCAGTCACAAGAGACCTACACAGATGGGCTGTCATTCATTTAAAAATTGAATGCTAAGAATGGTTGCAGGAAACGTAGAAATATACTTACTCAATTCACAAAATAACAATAAACCAAATGTTAAAACGTATATGTTAAAAAATAAAACCCAAATACTTATATTGATTTATAACATTATTTCTACAGAAATTTACCTAAAACCGGGCAAACATATACAACAAGATTCTTTATTCTGCTCAGCTAATTATTTTTTGGTTCAGATGAGAATTCAAGGGAGAAAAAAACAAAATAGGTAAGACATCAAAACTGAAGCACAAGTACCATAAAATATCTAAAAGGGATTTTTAAAAAGTTATTCTGAAATTCCGAATTACTTTATATTTGAAAAAGAATTTTTTGAAATTAGTCCTCAACAACTACTGATGTTTTATAAAAAGACAACTTTTCTTCTCCAAAATCAAATTAAGATAGACCCTAAACACAGTCTTCATCCTTAGCCCATATAAAGAATGAATCAACCAAGTTTGAGATCACTTTAGCTCATTAGTACAGAAAATTATTACCACATTCTGCTTTTACTACAACAACCTGTCCACACAATTTATCTTTGATGGAATCAGAAAATCAAATTCAATAATTATTCTCTGAGAAATATCACTGAATCAAAAGGCTGTAAGGTACTATCTCATCTCCTAGCTCTAGGCACAGCTACTATGTATATACTACTCTGAAGAGGTAACTTTACATTATTCAAAATATTCACACCTAGGTTTCTTTCTGAAACAGACTGAGGGTGCTTTGTGACAAAGTCCAACAAACCTGACCATTAGCATACCATAAGTCAAACTTTTCTGAATCTCACTTCCTAATTAAATAGAATTTATTTGATTTGGCATATACTCAGTGGAGTTAGAGATAGCTGACAATTTCCTTTCAGCTTTCTTAAATTCTTTCTATAATAAAGCACAGTGTAAATATATATTATTTTCCTTAAGTGACAAGATGTGGCTCTTTATTTTAAAAGACATAGACCAGAGATTCCCAATCTAGAGTCCACATATGAAATTTAAGAAATCTAGGAATTCTAGGAAACTGCATACTAAAATAAAAATACATGAGTCCATACATACATTTTCAGGGGAAATGGGCCATAAGATTTTGTTAGGTTTTAAAGGGCTCTGTAACCTCTCATGTAGTTTAAGAAACTTTGATGAATTATACTCAAGAAACCCAACTGAACAAGCAGAATTAATCCTTCTAAAATTAAATGTGTAAATGAGCAGCTGTTTCTTCTCATGTAAAATGAATAATAGTAACTTGAAGGGATAGTCCAACTACAAAATGAATTAATGCATACCAGACACATGATATAATACCTGGCCTATTATTACCAGTAATAGTAATAATTGTTCAAAAGAGCTACCTCAAATAACTTTGGGATTCCACCTTTGTTTACTGCTACGTAATTTCATAATATTATTTTTGATTTAGCCATGTCTTCTAAAATAGATCGATATCACAAACTATGCATTTCTGCATTATTTTCAAAATAAAAATGTTAAGTATAAGTTTTAGAATCCTGCCACATACCTATGGATTCTGCATTTCTCAAAAAGCCACACTGGTCCCTTCTCACACACTGTACTTACTTGGAATAGAGTCAGATATAATAAACATTTTGCTTTGATTTTTATATAAATAATGTCATTTCATTTATCAGTCTTTTATTTATATAACAGTATACAAACAAAAAATCTAAATTTGAAGAATCTAGCAAGGGATCACATTTTTTTAAAAAGTAATGCACATAATACTTTTATTTGTATGTATCATTTTCTCTACTCCTTTTAGGTATTTTTCTGTAGATATAAAGATATAATAACCATTCATACATACATATCCTCCAAAAAGAAAAAGATTATTCTCACCTTTAAAATAATTCACAATATTACAAAACAGTATTATAAAACAGTGTATGCTCCTCAAGACTGTGGTGACTTAAATACTCATTTATAAAATGACAAGTAAATTCTTAACAAATCCTAAAGATACTCAGTGAGGAAAAAGACTTGCTAATACATATAAATTAATAGCATACAACAACTATATGGGTGGTTCCTAACTACTTCAAATGTAAAGAGTGTTTTCTACTCTTCTCATAGTAGAAGTTCCATTAATGTATTCACACAGTGAAAAATATATAGCAGTAGGTTTTATGTAAAAAGGCACAGAAGTAAAGAGAAGCATAGTTTAGCATTCAGAATACTGCAATGAAAAGGATGTGAGTGGAATAGAGTTCATGTAAGAACCACGGAGAGAAGAAGAATAGGCACAGGACCAATTATGTTAAGGAATTTTCGAATGTTTTACCCCAATAGTGGCATTTAAGTAAGTATTTTATAAAAAAATAATTCTAACAGCATAGAAAATCAATTAGAGGTATGGATGATTCAACTGGGGTGATGATAATGGGAATATGCAGTTAGAAATAATAAAAGTGATAAAAATTAAAATTATACTATGTAGAACACTGGAAAAGTAAATAATGTAGGATAAGTCAAATATATTTTCTAAAGATTGAATCTAATAGCTAGAATTCATTAATTCATTTATTCACTCAACAACAAAAAATCCATTGTTTCCTATGGGTCAGGAACTATTTTAGGCACTGAGTAAAGTGGTGAACAAAGAAGTCAATGTCCTGCCCTCTTGAGAATCATGTTAATGTAAGTGATATAACTAACTATTAAATATACAATTTAAGGTATGAAAATTAGTGTATAAACCAAAAATAAAGCAAGTGATGGGAAGAGAACAAATATACTATTTTAAATGTATTCAGAGAATACTAAGGAAGCAGCATTACTTAAATGAAGAATGAATGAAGTGACTCTACTCTCTGGGGTTTTAGAATACCACATACAGATGGCAGATGGTAGAATGATAGCAAAGCTCTGAGATAGGAACATGCGATCAAAAACTTAACCTGCAGTCAGATCACCTGGGGCCTTCCAAGCCATAATAAGGACTTTGGGTTTGTTTTTTGTTTTTACTGTTTTAGAAAGCCATTACAGTATTTTGACTGAGGGAATGATATAACCTGTTTAAAAGGGTTACAACAGCAGCTGTAGTGGAATGAACTTCACTGTAGCTAGGAAGAATAAAACTACTAGGCAAGACAGGTAAAAGAACATAATGAGATATCAGGTAGCACTTTTCCAATCGCCCAGGGGCTGGCAATTAGAACCGAAGGCTAAGAACAAAGGCATCTATCAAGTATTTTATATTTGGAAGACAGACTTAAACAAATGAGAGCCAACTCCACCTCCATAACTTAAACATCTTTACCTTCCTTAGTTCTTCCTTATCCAGAAGTGCCTTCTCCTGTCCCCATCATGAGGCAATCATCAGAGTTTGCTTCACTGACTTAATGTAGCTGAATAGTGCTGTTGCTGAGAGTCCAAATCAAGCGAGAGTTCATCTAAAAGATTAGTAAGAAGGGAAGACTGGTATCTCACCTCTCAGTTGGACCTCTGCTTGTGTGTTAGAGTTGCTTATTATCCCATGCCCACTTCCCTTCTCTGTGCCTATTTGAAGAGAGGGAGAAAAGACATGGAGTTGGAAGACAAGGTACAGATAATTGGACTCCCTCTCTGCAAAAGCAAAGAGTGTAGTGAATGTGAAAGTAGCTGGACTTGAGCCTCCAGTTGATGGGGACTCAAGCAGCCAGAGGCTATGAATATAGTGGAGAGGTAGAAATTGAGAAAGAATAGAAAAAGACAATTCAGAAATGGTTGGTATGACACTCCAAAAACAACCCCCATGCTCCCCACCAAAGTTTTGTACATGTACCTCATCAGAGAGCTAGTACTCCTCTCCCGTCCTCATAGAAGGAGGACTAGGCCGGGCCAGGTGGCTCAAACCTGTAATCCCAGCACTTTGCAGGGCTGAGGTGGGCGGATCACTTGAGGCCCCGGTTCAATATCAGCCTGGCCTACATGGTGAAACCCCGTTTCTACTACAAATACAAAAAAAACTGGCTGGGCATGGTGGCATGCACCTGTAATCCCAGCTGCTCAGGAGGCTGAGGCAGGTGAATTACTTCAACCTGGGAGGCAGAGGCTGCACTGAGCCAAGACTGCACCACTGCATTCCAGCACGGGTGAAAAAAAAAAAAAGAAAGAAAAGGAAGAAAAAGAAAGAAAAGGAAGAAAAAGAAAGAAGGAAGGAAGGGAGGGAGGGAGGGAGGGAGGACTAGTCAGTGTGAGGCAGTGGAGCACAAACAGAAAAAAAGGGAACAAAAGGTACTACTTACATAAGAAAGCCTTTTCCCTTTCCACCTTTCCCCTTACTTCATCAGCACACAGGAGGAGAAATAGGTATATGAGAAAAAAAAACAAAACAAAACAGATCATTCTCCACTCACTGGATTGAGCAAAGAGAATGACTAGACTTCAACCTCTTCCAACACTCTATAATCTCCTAGAAAAGTCCAAGTCATATTGACTGAAAGAAGAGAAATTGAGTTATAGGTTGGCTATGAGGTTAAATTCAAGTTAAACTGACTTTACTACATTAAAGTCAGATTAAATTGAAGTGCTCAGAAATCTATGACATCATCTTGAGATGAGTAAAAGAAACAAAAAAGAGTGATTTGACTAATCATAAACAAAAAAGGTCACACTGGAGAAAAATAAAACCACTCCATGTTCCCATTCCCACTTAATTCACCATCCCAATTCATACTGTATTATAAAATGGTTAGTACCAATGAGGTAGTGATTTTGACTATTCATTTCTCTAAAACATTCTATGAATACTAGGCTGAATACCTAAATTACCACATTCTTATTTATTATTCTTAGGAACAACCAGCAATTACCTAACTATGGCTATTTTGTGGAGATTTCTTAGCGTTTTCCTTGCGTATAAAAGCTACAGAAATATTTGTCTATTTGTAAACAGTAATATTAAGCAATTAAATAACATGAATATGTTTCGTGCATTTGTAGAAAATACTAGGTTTTACAGAAGCTAAAACATAATATCTCCTAAATAAGACACCAAACTTAGAAGCTTGTAGATCAAAAAGGCTCTACAGAAGGAAAGACTAAAAAAGAAAGAAAAAAGAGTTTAGATGGATTCTTGTTTTATAGGAACACTTTCAATATTCATGTTGCAGTAACCTAAAATACAATTGTAGAGAATACTTTGCTCTGACTTATAGTTTAATAACAGAATCTTCCCCTAAATGGAATCATGCTCTCTCCAGGCATTTAATAGTTAAATTAAAATTTAATGGGCATTCTCTTAAAAATCAGGCAATTCCTTTTAAATAAATTAAGGTATCAGTATTTTACATGATTAAATTATGCATGGCCTTGTCTCTTTTTAAATGTCACACTTTTGAGAATACAGAATCCTATTACATTGATGTTTATAACTGTTCATGTAATGTTCTCATTCATTTAACAATCACTCATCATCCTAAATTATGACATGTATATTCAACACATATTTTATCAGTCATTCCTTCTCAGAGGTACAACACACTGAAGAGAAAGTGTGAGTCAAAAATTACAAAACTAAGTTCTAAATTTATACGTTTTTTCTACTCTACTTTCTCACAGGATGTAGAAAGAAATATCAGTTACAAGTAAATTTTAAAGTGTAAGAAAAATCATGGAAACTCAATTCATCCAAACTAACACGTTAATTCACTGTTAGTTAATAATATCAACCTACATAACTTGAAAACAATCAAGTTGTGATGAAATACCTCTAAGCTTTTCTAGCATAAGTAATATTTAATTCAACAACAGTTATCACTTATGTCAACCAGGAATAAATAATCTGCTACCGTAATTTGTTATCACACAATTATTGGGGCTAGTTCTAAGACTTATGTTAACGTTTCTTACAATTGTGCAAAAAGTGGTTGTTCTAACACCAAAAAAATAGAAAAAGTTCAATATAAAACTAACAAAATATGTTCATGTGCTATGTGAGAAGAACCACAATATTCCAATGAAAGAAATCAAAGACAATCTAAGTAAATGACCTATTTCATGTACTCAGAGAGGAAGACTCACTGTTGTTAACATGTCAGATCTTCCCTACTTGATCTATAGATGCAATGCAATACCCATCAAAAGTCCAGTGAGTTATTTGGCAGATATCAATTAACTGATTCTAAAGATTTATACAAAAAAAGCAAAAGGCCCAGAATATTAAAGGAAAAGAACAAAGCTAGAAGACTGACACTATCCAACTCAAAACTTTACAAAACAATAGTAATCAAGACAATGTGGTACTGGTAAAATAACAGACAACTTGATCAATGGACAGAACAGAAATAAAGAAAGCCCAGAAACAAACCCACATCAACATAGTCAACTGATTTTTCACTAAAGAGAGGAGGTAATTCAATACCGCAATGATAGTTTGTTTCAGCAAATAGTGTTGGAACAACTCGACATCCACATGCCAAAAAATAAAAAATAAAATAAAAAACTAATCTAAATACAAATCATAAACCTTTCACAAAAATTAACTCAAAATACACCAAAGATAAAACTCTACAACTCCTAGAAGATAACATAGGATAAAATCAGGGTGACCTTGTGCTTGATAATGATGTTTTAGATACACCAAAAGCAGATCCATGTAAGAACAAAATTGATCAGCCGGACTTCATTAAAATTAAAACTTCTGCTCTGTGGAAAACACTATTAAGAAAATGAAAAGGTAAGCCACAGATAGGGAAAAACACATACCTCATAAAGTACTAGTATCTAAAATATCAAAAAAGCACTCACAATTCAACAATTAGAAAAGACGGACAAAAGGTCTGAAAAGACACCTCATTAAACAGATAAAATGATGTCAAAAAAGCGTACGAAAAGATGCTCAATATCTTATGTATATCAGGACTGTTATAACAAAGTACTACAAACTGGGTGGCTTAAGTACTGGAGGTTGTAAGAGGGAATAAGGTGTTGTCAGGGGTGATTTCTTTTGAGGATGTATCTTTCCAAGCCTCTCTCCTTGGCTTGTAGATGGCAGCCCATATTCCCATGGCATTCTCTCTGCATGCACATCTCTGTACACATTTCTCCTCTTATAAGGATACCAGTCATAATGGATTCAAACTTACTGCAATAACCTTCCCTTAACTTGATTACATCTCCAAATAAGGTCACATTCTGAGGTACTGGGGTTTAAGACTTTAACACATCAATTTTGTGGGGACATAGTATCTCCTTAGGGAAGTGAAAATTAAAACAACAATAAGATACCATATTACACACCTATTAGAACAGCTAAAATCCAAAACGCTGACATCACCATATGTTGGGGAGGTTGCGGAACAACAGAAGGAAATTGCTGGTGGGAATGCAAAATAGTAGAGCCATTTTGATTTTTGTGACAGTCTCTCCTTGTTGCCCAGGCTTGAGTGCAGGCTGCTCACTGCAGCCTCGACATCCTCCCGGTCACAAGCAATCCTCCCACCTCAGCCTCCCAAGTAGCAGGGACTACAGGCACATGCTACCATGACTGGCTAATTTTTTTTTTTTTTTTGTATTTTCTGTGGAGACGGGGTTTCGCCATGATGCCCAGGCTAGTCCTGGACTCCTGAGCTCAAGCTATCTGCCAACCTCTGCCTCCCAAAGTGCTGGGATTACAGGCATGAGCCACCATGCTCAGCCCACTACAGCCATTTTGGAAGACAGTTTAACTGTTTCTTACAAAACTAAGCATACTTTTAACATACAATACAGCAATCATGCTCCTTGGTATTTACAAAAAATTAATTAAAAACATATGCCTACACGAAAACTTGCACACAAAAGTTTACAGCAGCTTTATTAATGACTGTTCAAACATGGAAGCAAAGATGCCCTACAATACAGGTGGATGGATAAAAAAACAGTGATACATCCATACAATGGAATATTATTTCACGATTAAAAGACATGAGCTAACATGCCATAAAAAGACAAAGAGGAACCTTAAACGCATCTTGTTAAATGAAAAAAAAAAAAAGGTCAATCTAAAAAGGCTGCCTACTGTATGATTCCAATTAAATGATGATCTGGAAAAGGCAAAACTATAGAGACAGTAAATGTCAGTGGTTACCAAGGGTGCCTCGGAGGGAAAAAAGGGGAAATGGACAGGTAGAAAACAGGGAGGTTTTCTTTTTACAAATCTTATATATATATATATGAAAACATATAAAAATGTACAACGTAATGAATGAATCCCAAGATACATTATAGACTTCAGTTAATAAGAATATCTCCATTTTGGCTCATCAATTGTACCAACTGTACCACACTAATTGTCCAAACTTGGAAGTAAAGATGTCCTTCAACACAGGTGGATGGCTAAACAAAGTAGTTAATAATAAGTTGTTAATAGTAAGAAAAACTGTGTTAGGAGCAGAGGGAGTTGGGGCAAAAAGAAATACATGGCAACACTTTGGACTTTCTGCTCAATTTTTTCTGTAAACTTAAAACTGCTCTAAAAAACAGTCCATTAATTAAAGAAAAGTAGCTCTTCTACTAAGAAGGTCAGGAAGCAAAGGATTTAGGATAATTACATGGAAATAGAAGTAAACTAAAAAATTAAAGTGCAAAAATACTGTTTTCTCAGTAATAGTCAATAATCCATGACATACTCTATGACAAACTATGACATAAAACTCAATAAAAGTATAATTTCTATATAGGAAAGTTATTTTTAAAAATGGTTTAGACAGGTCATTTTGCAACATTTAACAAAATACTATTTTCATTTCAGAAAGCCAGATAATGCCTTAGACATAACAATATTGATACATAAGGTTATATTTTTAAAAATATTCAAACCATACTTATATCATTCTAAAATACTCTAGCCTACATAATTATATTAGGATGGAATAAGGTAATATTGTTTGAGCAAAGTAAAACAGAACACTTCTGATTAGAAGAACACAAGGATAATTTCCCCTCCTTGCCTACATATCATGCACCTCGCTTGGATGCAAAAGAAAACTTATAGGGAGAAGATCATTTTATATTAACTTTGAGATAAATTTTCAACAAGAAAGTAGTAGTTTTCTACCCTTTAAAGTTAAAAAAAAAGTTGCGATTATTTCTCTGAAGCATGTAGATTCATCCATACTCCTGGTACGATCACTACTGTATATAATGTTCCTATTTAATTTTCCTTTGTCACTTCTATGGCTATAATGCATCTTTCCTAAAAAGAGAAATAGTAATCAAGTTTAGAAAAATATAAAATATACTGGTAGCCACATTAAAGAGTCTCGTTAAAGTCCGTTTGGGAATCCAACAAATGTGGAATTTATTCTTACCGTCATCATTTATTGAATACTGGTTAGTATAATTCTGAGAATGTTATTTAACCACCATTTATAAAAATGGGATAACTGTAAAGGTTAATGCCATTCTAAAATGATGTAGACAGGTTTTTTTATATGAGATCCTCTTATTATTAATTGCTGTTGACATTTACAAATACAAATATCAATGAATGATATTCAAGATAGATTCTATACCACATACACATGGAAGTTTATTCAACAATAACAAAGAATGAAATCCTGTCATTTGCAGCAACATGGATAGAACTGGTAGTCATTATGGTAAGTGAAATAAGCCAAGCACAGAAAAAACAAATATTGCATGTTCTCACTCATATGTGAGAGCTACAACCGTGGATCTCATGAAGACAGAGAGTAGACTGCTGGTTATCAGAGGCTGGGAAGGGTTGAGTGGAGGGATAAAAAGAGGTTGATTAATGGGTACAAATATACAGTTTGATAGTGTTTGATACATCAGTAGAGTGACTTTAGTAACCTTTTGTATATTTCAAACTAATTACAAAAGAATAGTTTGAATATTTCTAGCATAAAGAAAGATAAATATTTAAGGAGGTGAATATCCTAATTACACTGATATGATCTTTACAAATTATACAAAATGTATTAAATTATTGTAATATATTACATTGTATGTATTAAATTATTGTAATAAATTATTGTAATTTAATACATTTTGTATAATTTGTAAATATGCACATCTACTATATATCAATTAAAATATAATGTTTAAAGACAGATCACACACCAAACTGATATCATGACTCTAAGACTATCTCCCTACTTTAAGGATGCCTGAAAGGTACATGAATTTTTTAGCACTCTTTAAAAAAATGTCTATGATTTGTCATATTTAATAATACATGTCTTTAAATAATTTTCTCAAAGGAAAAAGATTATAGTTGATCTACCACAAAGTTGTGGAAATGTGTTACTGAAATCAGTAATTGTATAAATTTAGTAAAATGAAGCCTTTATTGAATAAGAAAATATAAATTTACTTTCTGTCTATGTCACATAAAGAAACTGTCAAAGTGGTGTTCTATAATTTCCTGAGGCTTTTGGGGATAAAAATCAAGTAACAGCAGACTTCCTCAATTAATAGAAGAATTAGCTTAAGGGATAAAATTGCCTCGTTTTGAGATTTTTATCTAATTTTCAATATGTGATAACTCCCACCAGTTGCCTATACTATAATAGAATCTATCAGATTTTGTATAAAATTCTATTAGCCTAACGTGGTAGTTGTAAGGACAGACTTTGGGGATGGAATGTAAGGAAATCTCATCCCTGACTCTAATTGCATAGATATTAGAAATATATATATTTACACACATAAACATATATACATACCATACACACACATTTACATATAAAAAGGAATACACACACACAATGTGGGCAAATTAATCTTTGTGCCATCTTTTCCTCATATATTTATTGTGAACTAATTCAGCTGATACATGAAAAGCATGTAGTTTTAACCATCTCTGGCTCACAGTAAATTTCATATAACTATTATTATTACTGCTGCTGCTTTAACCAATGTTGAATTTAATATACTAACATGTCCAGTGTCCTGAAGAATATAATTTCCAAATGCTCTATTACAGCAGAAGACAACATGGTACAGGGTGGGGGGATGGTTTTGGGATGAAACTGTTCTACCTCAGAACATCAGGCATTAGTTGGATTCTCATAAGGAGTGTGCAACCTAGATCCTTCGCGTGCTCAGTTCATGATAGGGTTTCCGTCCTATGAGATTCTAACGCCACTGCTGATCTGACAGGAGGCGGAGCTCAGGTGGTAATGCTAGCTGGCCCCACAGCTCACCTCCTGCTGTGTGGCCCAGTTCTTAGCAGGCCACAGACCGGACCAGAGCAGGGTTAGGGACCCCTGCCCTATTACTTGAATAAGCTGAATAAGTTTGAGGACTACTAACATTGAAACATAAAAAGCACAGCATTTTAAAATACACTTGGAATTTTTAGATCTTTTGTTACTAAATACTTTGAACTCTCTTGATTTTGAAATCTATTTGCATGTCATATAAGATTTGTGAGTAGAGGTAACAGAAATGCATCCTATCACAAAACTTCTTTATTCTTTAACAGCAGCAGCTGACACAGGAGAATAATTTCCTGCTTCACTGTGCTGACAGCACATCGTCTAGATTCAGAAATTATATCCTCAGCAGGAAGGCAATAGGTTTCTATCTACACTAAGGAAAGAGAAGAATAGAAAAATTACACAAAACAGAGGTGACTTACTATTATCATAAAACAAACTGTATTGAACATAGTTTTTTTAAACTGGTAAAATGACACAAATTATAACTAAATTTATATTTTAAATTTCAAGTATTTGGCTAGAATGTTTCTTAAAGAAATAAAAGTTTTGTCTATTTATAATGTTTAATACTTCTAAACAAATATTATATTTCTCCTACTCTCAAATTTTTAAACAAAAAAAATTCTAAGATCAACTAAAACATATTAGTTTTCTGATTTTAATCATTCCTAGTGTGTTAGAACACTATGTCCTAGTTCAGTCAGTAAATGCCAATTCTTTTAAAAAAATATTTAGGAGAATGGTGTTAAGTGATAATCGTTTATATTAAAGTTTTGTTCTGTTACCAGAAAAATTACTCTTCACTCTATAAGTTATAATTTCCATGTATTTGTGTATGCTGAATATTTATAAGCTGCTAGGTTTTTGTTTTGGTTATATGAAAATCTAGTGACTTGCCTTATTGGAAGTCATTTTTAAGGTGTCATATTAGTTTAAGTAACTCAGATGTCTAAAGAAGTATGTATTGTAGGCTTCTGGTCCATATTAATAAACTAAAAGTATCAAGACCTCAGGTTCCACAAGCAGTTCCTGGATTCAAATCTTTCTGTCACTTACTAGCCCTGTGAAATTGGTCAGTTACTTATTCTGCTTCCTCATTTGTATAATAAGGATAACAGTAGTATGCGTTTAATGGGATTGGTTTGAGTATCAAATGAAAATCTATACAAAAGCACTTAGAAAAAGTCTAGCATATAGTAAGGCACTCCACAAATGCTAGCTAGCTGTTGTTTTTGCTGCTAAGTATGGCAGATGAGCACACATATTAAACTCCACTCCCTTCTGAAACATCACTAAAATGGCAAAATAGTATAAAAGCAGAAAGACAAGGAGAAGGGTGAGGGAAACAACAGCAAACAAGAAATTCAACATCGTTTTGGAAAATGAAAAATTGAAGCAGAATAACTAGGAACACACTCTGCACAGAGAGGAAGCTGAAAACTAGGTAACAGAGAATGCTAATATCAACAGCAAGATAATTTGCCTAATGAAACCCCAGAAAGACAGCGATAATGTTAGCGCTGAATACTGAGGGAACTCTAAAAATCTATATACAGAACATTTTGGCACATAGGTTTACTACCCTACTTTACATATTCTCTTCTTTTCTCCCCCTTGAAGTTCAGAATATTAGGTATCTTGACCCAGAAATGTTCCTGAACTACAACTACCAGGCAAAACAGAGAGGAGTCAAGGGACAAGGTTAAAATGGACAGAAGCGGTTCCTAAATATTGGCAGGCAGATATACACCATGCAGAAAGAATATCTGAAAATCCAGTAGTGAAAGTTTAAGAACTCAGATAACAGACATATAGCTACCGTCATACAGAATCCCTAGCTTTTTGCATGATCACACTAATGAAGCTATCTAAGCAACAAGTCTTGCTAGCAGACACACAGCTTTCAACCAAATATGTAGCACCACATTAAGCCAAAGCTTTGACAAAACGTCTCCAACACAAAAGACTAAAACCAGAAGAAAGAAAGAAGGAAGGAAGGAAGGAAGGAAACTCAGAGGAAATACAATACAAAGAGCAGAAGCAACCTTAAGGCAAAACAATTAACATCTTCACAGACATTAGAACTGATGGTTACAACCACAAAATAAGAACAATATGTCACATTAAAAAAAAAAAACAGTAATAATGGGGGCAGGGGAAGTAAAAAATCAGAGAAACAGTAAGAACTTTTAGAAAATGAAAATAACTGAAACATTCAATGAAAGAAAAAGTTTAGTAAGTCCCTGAATAACTACAATTTTAAGATTTTTTTAATGAAAAAAGAGAAGGAAAATAAGAAAATCAGAAGACAAATCCAGATCAACATAGCCCTATGATCAGTGATACAGAATAGTAAAATGAGAGAACAGAACAGAATGCCTTCATAATTCTGAGGCAAAATTATTTTCAGCCTACAATTATATACATAAGCTTATATTCAATTAAATGTGAGAATGATGACATATTCAACTATGCAAGCTTCTATGACTCCTTTGTTAGGATGCATGTGAAAAATATATTTCTATAAAACAAAGGATTAAAAAAAGTAAAAGCAAGCATTGGATTCAGGAAATAGAGGATCTAGCACTGGAGAAACAGTATAAGCTCTAGCCTAAGCCCAAGTATGGGCTTTATGAGCGTTTTCAGAGATTTATTCTGTTTATATACAAAAAACTCAAATAACTTTAGACCTAAAAAAGCCTTCATCCGGTGGTTTTCAGGTTGTATCTGAACTAGTTTCTTCTAGTCTTACATATAAACTTCAACTCTGTGATGTATGCACTATTATTTTCATCATTTTACAGATGAGAAAATAAAGTGTGTATAGCAAGACAAGTTAATAAGTGGGAGTGGAAATTTTAACCCTGGCAATTTAGTTCCAGAACCCATGGTCTTTAGTGTTTTGCTCTACTATATGTATTATAAACCTATTGAACACAACATATTGTCTTTAATTATCTGGAAAACACTTCAGGACCTCATAGGGCCTGACGTACATAACTTCACCATTTCATAAAAATTGTGGATCTTACAAACCATGGTACTTCAGATTTGATGAACTTGTAGCTAACGGTACTAACAGCATAATAGCACTTACAACGCATCAGGCACTATTCCAATTGCTTTATACATATGTATTAATTCAGTCCTCACAACAATCCCATGAGGTGGGTACAGTTATTATCCCTACTTTACACATGAAAAAATGGAAGCACAGGTTAACTGGCTTGCTGGAGTTCATGTGGATACTAAGGGGCAGAAACACAGGTTAAGTAGCTTGCTGGAGTTCATGTGGATACTAAGTGGCAGAAGGCTCCAGAAACTGAGTTTTTAAATATTATACAGTACTGTTAAAGGTTTTACATACACCATCACTAGTTACTGCTCCTCGCGATAGACAAATTAACATATCCATTTTTATATCAGGAAATTGTAAAACAGAGATCAAGGAACTTGTACAAAATTCACAGAGTTTGCAAGAGACAAGACAGAAATTCAAACCCAGTTCTGCCTCACTTCAAAACCTTTGAAATTGGCAATAACCAACCCTATTTTACTATATAATATATAAACAATATGGTTAAGGACTTTTTTAGTTGTAAAACTATGTCCAACTGGTAAGTCTCATTTAGTGTTTCTGTGAGATAAAAAGATACACTTAAACCTTTAAGTACTCTACCCAAAGTTTAAATACATTTGTGGAAATCTTTCTAAAATGTATCACACATATACCTAACTTCTTAAAATGTAATGAATACAATTCAAACATATCTTGATGAATCTGGTTCATCACCATGATGAGCAGTAATGACTCTGTGTGGGAAAGTAGCTACAGGTGTAGAGAGTACAAGATAAAACTTAAGAGCTATTGAAGTCAACAGGAGTCCTGTAAATTTGAAAAAGACCATGCTGAGAGAATTCACTTTTGTAGTTGGTCTTCGTCTCAGAAAGAAAAACACAATAGCTGCTTGACTTCACTTCCTATCTACACTCACTGTACTTTTATACTCCTGCAGTTTTGTAAGAACAAAATGTTACCCTTTTTGAAATACAGGTAGGTATTTGAGTTATCATCAGCCCCCAAAAGAGACCCTGTGGAATTATCCTATGACTTAATGGATTTCTGGTATCTCACAGTGCCTAGAAGTCTATCGCCCATCCCATCCTTCAAAGTCATAAAGACATTCTTTCGTGTCCCTCAGATGACTCTTCTGTTCTCTTGTACCCACTGCTGTCCCAGTGTATTCCCTAATTCTACAGTCCACCACTCTCTTTCCTTTTCTTTCACCATTTTTCGTTTTTTGTGTATGCAGTCTGTCATTTCTTGGCTTCCACGTAAAAAGACAAAAAATTCGGTGTGATATGACAGCCAAAAAGTGGCAACAAACTTGATAGACAAGAAAAAGATGGACCATGGTTCACTTATTTTTGTAATCTAGCCATTAGCACTGTGCCATACTATAGACTAAATGATATTGTGTGGAATCAAACTAATTACATAAAATACAAGCAAATCACCAACAAATGGATAAGCTAACACCAGTACCACCACATTCTCTCATTTATTAGTTTTCTTTTTAATCTTCTTTAATCCTTGATTAGTGCTGAAAATGTGACAAAAGAAAAAAGCAAGAGAATGCAAACTGAATGGCGTTCTTAAATAAATACTTTACAAAATGGGCTTTCATACAGAAAAAAATATAATGATTCAGAAAAGTGATCTATGTTTGTTTTAAGGGTATTTAAATGAGGAGAAAGAAAGAGAACATGATGCAATTGAAAGATAGGCAGGAGTATGTTTCATGGCAAACAAAGGGATGAAAATATAATTTGGATACTAAAATTATATGAATGATGAAATATTCCTTCAGAGTCGTTGTAAAATAAAAGACTATAAAATGCTATAAGGAATGCATAACATAACAGCTTAGCAAAATCTTAGAAATGCAATGACAAAAGAGTTCAAGCACCGTTCAAGGTTACTAAAAGATATCGTACATAACACCAGTCACAATTTCTAAGGAAATGTCATACTTATTTAACGCTATTAACAAAACTAACTTATCACTAACTTCAAATTCGTTTTAATTTATTGTCATCAAAATAATAGTTACCATTAATAATCAAGCATACACAGAGTATATTTATATACATATATACATATATACTAGTTTGGCTCCAATGATTGTAAGTGAGTACCTTGGAAAGTGATTTAATTTTTTGTGCTTCAGTTGTCTATCTTTAAGAATACATCCTTCTTCATAAAGTTTTTGAAAGAAGTAAATAACATATACACAGTGTGTTGAATATGGCTTTGAAAATAGTAAATGTTCATTAGTTAACTATTATTATTATCATTATTACTATTTCACTACATCTTCCTTATCATCTATTAGCCTACCTCTCAACTAATAAGGCGATAAATCCCATAATATGGCCAAGGCTACAGATGCAAAAATTGTAAAACTAAAAGTAAAATAACATGTGCTAAGAAACAGAACCCACCATAATCTTCTTTCTCACTTGGCATTTCTTGTTGACAATGGCAATTTCTGTCATCAATAAAAATTGTGGAAAAACGGAAGTCATCATTATAAGGAAAACATATTACTATGTTAGAACACAGCAAAAATAAATGCATTTACCCATTTTTAAAAGGCTAAATGCTACTTTTTAAAATCTTCCTTAAGAAATCAATCCTTAGACAAACATTCAATTTTTCTCCCCCTCCCCTGCAAAAAGCTAGAAGCTGGGAATACCGTTAATATCTTCAAAACTACTTGGAAATACCTTTTACATAGGATGAGCACATAAAAAACATGAAAATGGAAGAAATAACTTTCATTTTCCATAAAAACACTTGCCTTCAATCAAACTCACCTTTCCCTAAAAACTGTGCAAAATGATGCCAAATTATAATCCAAAAACCAATATATTAAAGCATATACTTTGGGTTTAAATTTTTAAATCCTATAAAAATAATGTAGAGTATAATCAAATTTAATTGTAATTCATAAAAACTGCCTTCAGAAAAATTTATAGTTTCTGTTATATGTATTATCCTATAACATTTAAGTGTCTTGTTTAATTTTTTTTTTTTTTTTTTTTTTTGAGACAGGGTTTTGCTCTGTCACCCAAGCTGGAATGCAGTGGCGCAATCTTGGCTCACTGCAGCCCCGACCTCCTGGGCTCAAACGATTCCCCTACCTCAGCCTCCCAAGTAGCTGGGACTACAGGCACGCGTGACCTCACCAAATAATTCTGTTTATTTTTTGTAGAGACAAGGTCTTGCTATGTTACCCAGGCTGGTCTCGAACTCCTGGACTCAAGCGATCCTCCTGCCTCAAGCTCTCAAATTGCTGGAATTATAGGCATGAGTCACTGTACCCGACTGTCTTACTTGATTTAAATAGTTTGACAGTGGTTAGAGCATCCCAATCTGGAGAACAATAATATCACCTCCATTTTTCATATAGTTATTCTTCTGCACCTGTTTCATTTCTAGTCTTCTGCTTCATTAACTTTCCATTTCCTCAAATACATTAAATCTGAAATAGTCATCTCAATATGCTAACGATCTGATAACATTTTAAGCAACTTTTTTATTGCTCAAGATAAACTAGTTATGCTTTTAAAAAATAGTTTTTCCATTTGGTTATCAACAAAGCTCTCTGAACTGCTGCACCTTTACAAAGCTTAACCAATATTACAGTCATTTCTGCCTGTATTTAAAACATCTGAAGAGTTTCTTGATATTTACTGTGTGATACCTCCCAACCAAACAAAAATACTGATAGGACTGATAAAGGATAAAATCAAGGAAAAGATAACAATGAAAAGGGAATCTTGGGAACTGCTGGGATCTTGGGAAAAGGTAGGCCAATATATTAAGATAATAAGAGAGATTTAGGTAAAACAGAAAATGTTTTACAGTAGGTTTTTAACACATATTGCTAACTACTCTTTACAATGTAGTAACTGTTATTAGATCTTCTTTCTCAAAATTCCTATCAGGTAGTAACCTAGAATTCCATTTCTTTATATACACAGTCATTCATATACAAAATGAACACTACCCGGGAACTCAAGTATTTATGAGAGAAGAATTTAAACCCCATAGAGGCAGTGCTATACAATGTACAGCATGGACTCTGGAGTCAGACAGACTTGAGTACACATCAACCTTTTCACCAACTGCATGATTTTGGTCAGCTTACCTTATTTCTGAAATGGTTATAATAGACGTATATATTTCCAGGGTAGCTGGGGAAAATAAGAAAATTTTGTAAACAAACAAAAAACCTAACATGCTTTTTTATGTCTGACAGTATAAGCAAGGAAACCCAGCCAATTCTCCTGCCTGAAACAACTATGTCACAGAAAAATATTAAAAACACATTCTTCAATGGCATCTGTTAGCTGACCAGAAACTAATAAAACCTAAATAAATGCAGGAACCTGGAAGAGCAACTAGAGCATGTAAGGGGACATTTACCTTGAAGTCTTTTGATAAACCAAGGTAATATGATCTTTTGTCTATTGAACTTCCTGTTCCAGGTGGGCAGCCTGATGAGAATCCCCAGTAAATACTAACTTTAACCAGCTATGCTGTCATTGTAAGAGTAAAATACGCCCTGATCCTCTGACAATTCCTAACATGCACTTAGAAGGCAGGAAAAAATTATCTGGGAATTCATAACCCCAAGTTTGCCTTCAAGCAGATTTTCAGCATGAATTCATACCTGGTGGTTAAAATAATCTCAAGCCAAGAATTTAGATTCAAGTTGTTCCCAACTATAAATGACAACTAAACGCAAAGCCAAGCCACTCTGAAGGAAACCACCTTTATCCTAGGATTCAAAAAATTCCCTCAGGTAAATTGCTAAGAAAACTTAACAAACATTCACCAAACACACAAGGAAGCATGGTGGCAAGAGTGAGAACCAGCAGAAACAACACAGAGCAGAACTGTCAGATAGAGTATTTTAAAATAAGTATTCTTAACACATTTCATAAGAGGTTTGAACATTTACAGTAAAAAAAATCCGAGAAAGGGTCAAACAGCACTTCTAGATTTAAAAAATATAACTGCAATTAATGAACCTTGTAAAGTATTTTGAATACAGAATATCATAATGTATTTTAATTCATTTATTTCCCATTTTCCTCCTCAAAACACAAACATTTTGATTAAATAGGAGCAGCAAATTTGAATTATTTAAAAATCTGATTTACAATATGCATTTATCTGTGGCTTATTAAATATTTCTTGGCAACAAACCAGACCATTAAAATATTAACAAAAACAAAGAAGTAGATGTGAATGATACGTTAAGAAAAGTTTCCAATGTAATTTTTTAAAATTACATGTTTCTTGAAATCTTACTTGCTTTATCTAGAAAATTCTGTTTACCACAGAAAGCAATTAGGTAATCCTTAGATCTATATATACAATTTATCAAAAACTTCAAAGTGGCATAATCAAAGAAGCAAAAGTGGCCCATTATTGACAAATAATCACACCCAATTTCAACTTCTATAAACTTGAGAGCACAGTCTAAAACAAATTTCTAGTTGAAAAGAATCAGTGCTAGCTTCTTTCAAATCTTTACTTCTTCAACAGCATACTATTCCTTAGTTTATATTATGATCTTCACTTTCACTATCATAAATAAAACAAAACCTAAATAATTTTGAAGTTCTGATTCAATGCATTCTTAAACAAGGGGTCAGTGCTTTTGCTAGATGATAATTCTGTATCTTCCATTTCTGGCTCTTTGCCTTAAAGGGTCTCTAAAAGTAAATGCTAAGAAAGTTAATAGAAGGAAACCATCTGCTTATTCAAATAAAAGTATAAACTAAGGCCGGATGCAGTGTCTCATGCCTGTAATCCCAATACCTTGGGAAGCAGAAGCAGGCAGATCACCTGAGGTCAGGCGTTCGAGATCAGCCTGGCCAACATGGTGAAACCCTGTCTCTACTAAAAATACAAAAATTAGCCGGCAGTGGTGGTGGGCACCTGTCATCCCAGATACTTGAGAGGCTGAGTCAGGAAAACAGCTTGAACCTGGGAGGCAGAGGTTGCAGTGAGCCATGATCGCGCCACTGCACTCCAGCCTGGGCAACGGAGTGAGACTCCAACTCAGAAAATAAATGAATAAATAAAATGTATAAACTATGAAATTAAAAAAAAAAAACTCAACTGAACAAAGTAATCCATCCTCAACTGCTGTGGTTATAGTATTAAAAATCCCATCAATGGCAAAATTGCAGTTGTCAATATGAATATCTCATGTGAACAGATTAAGGAGAAAACAAAAAGGGTTATCTAGCATCTATATAACACATTTGTATATGTGTATGTGTATACATATGTGTATGTGTACTGTATGTGTATACATATGTATATGTATACACACATGTATATATGCATATATTTAAAACCAATAGATAAAAGTTGCAGAAGGCAATTGTTCCTAAAACAACACATAAACTACTCTGGTAGGTCAATCATTTCCTGAATTATCTTTTAATAGGTCATGAAGCACTGCTATAATACTGTAATATGCTGAAGCAGAATCTTCCATAAATTTTATATTACACAGATAATTCACCCCTAATAAAGTATTCCAAACCAACCTTTACTCTATTAAGTTTAAGGTATATCTGTTATATTTCCCTTTGTTTAATTTTCCAAAATTCTATGAAATGTTTCTTTCATATATTATAAATAGGTCTAAGAAAAGTATTTTTTCTCGTTTAACCCACTGTTCACATACATGCACAGCTGCAAGAATCACAAAGTCTGTTCTCTCTTTACTATGAATCCACAGACTTCACTTACAAAGGCTGGTGAAGAGCAATAATTGGTGATGTGTTACTTTGGTTTACAGGTTAAATAATATGGATTAAAATATTTTGAATTAAATAATATGGATTAAAATATATATATATATATGATGTTTAATGACACTTTTCCTGTTACCTAGGATTTAGAAACTAGGACCCAGAAAAGAGAAAAAGGAGGAATTAAGTGTCCTCACGTTCTAAAAAGAACTGAAAAAAAATTGAGGCCAGCCAGTCTCTTTTGGAAGTATTCCTCCCCTAAGGTGCTGCAAGCCAAGAGCATGATTCCTATATACTGAGAGTACTCACGAGAAGATACTATCTTTTCACTCTGGCTTAAATTAATACTTAGATATCAGACTTAACGATGTTCTCTGTTCCTAAGTGGGCAGAAAAAACAATAAAGAGAAATAACAGGAAAAACACATGACATGACAATGACGCAGTTACCTCTAGCACCATATGATATGAGTCACATGGGCCTACCTTAAAAAAGATGTCCACAAGAGCGAGGAGGCTCCAGCAACCCCAGGAAACTGTCTACCCACGTGGCTAGAACACAGAGGGCCTACAACAGAGTTAACTAAGAATATCTCACATCAGGTTTTAACTGTGTAGTAGAAGACCTCAGCAGAGTCCATCACAGATGTAAAGCATGCAACCTATGAGAGAGCTACCATTTGGACAACTGTCACATAGAAGAAGGCATTAATGGCCAGTGTAAATCACAGAGGCATCAAAACTCAATAGAATATTATTACAAGCCTAGTTAAGTAAAAAGAAAGTTTTGCCCATTTCCTTCTATCTGGTCCCTAAACCTAGAATCAGAATTGGGGGAGGAGAGAGACATCTTAGAAATCATCTATACAACCCTACTTAAATATAAATAAAGAAGGTGAAAGCATAGACTACAACAGCTTCCAAGTTTCAAGTTCTTAGGCCCCAAAGCCTGACTATTGCTGAGATGGGGAACAGCTTTAAATTAGATATGAGATTCATATATCATATTACCCTGTACTAAAGGTTTGTTTTTGTTTAATAATCAAAATGAATGGGATGTTATGAAATACACCACAATATTATTCTCTGCTACTCTGGTAGAGTCTATATAAAGTACAGTTGTAAGTGAAACAACCCACCTTAGGGAAAACATCAAGAACATAAAGGGGAAGATTAATTCAAGGTACATGTTGTGAGTAAAACAGACAAGAATTGGCAACAATTATAGAATAAACAGAGAATAGAAAAGGGAACAAGATCAAAATTAACCAATTTTTCCAGTTTGGATAACTTGAAAATCACTGGTGCCAATAAATAAAACAGGAAACACAGAGAAAGGCAAGTTTATAAATTTAAGAGAATACATTTTTTGACACTGAGTTATTTATCTACTCGATTATTCATATACGCAGTACATACAGATTGAGCATCTACTATGTGGAAGACCCTATAAAAGTATTAAGGGTACAATGTCAATAAAGGTGACATGGTCTTCATCATTTTTGTAGCACTTATAGTCTAGTGAGCTAGAAAAGATTTGTAATTACAAGAAGCATTAAAAATATAGGATGTGTCACAAGAACAAAGGAAGGGTCCCTCAACCAGATTGAGGTGATCAGCAAAGACTTCCTGGATGATCATATAAGCTGAAACCTCAGCCTTATATAAGGAACCGCAGTGTGTGTGTGTGTGTGTGTGTGTGTGTGTGTGTGTGTGTATGTGTGTCTGTACGTTTAAAAAAATAATACAGATACATAACCAAATACCTGTGGAAGAAGTAACATGCCAAATTATGTGAACATATTATGTGTACTTTTAGGGTAAGGTAATTTACAGAAAGACTTTATGTAAGGTATAAACAATCACATTTATTTTGAAATACATTAAATATAATAAAGTGTACATAAAACAAAAGATCAAAACAGTTTTGAGCTGAACATATGACTTAAGCATGATCTACATAAAGGGAGTAATTAAAGCTAAAGGGATCTACGGGGCCAAGGACAGAATCGAATGTAACCCTAACATTTACGTGATGATTTCAAGAAACAAAAGAAATCCATAAAAATGTCTGAGATAGTACAGTTAGAGAAATAATGAGAGAAACTGGATCATACAATGTCAAATAAGCCAATGGAGGAAGAATAGTTACTAATATTGAATGCTTTAGAAAATTAAAAGAGGATGATGGTTACATGACTGAAAAAGATAGTTCAGTTAATTAAGCAACTAATAAAGATACCATGAACTCTGAAAGAGTTGGATAACCAGGAGTAATAAAATGCTGAGAAAAAAAGAAACTCAGTAGACTACCCTTTCAAAAAATTTTGTTGGTATGTAAAAGGGAGAGAAAGTGACCACAGGTATTACCAGAATTAAAGAAAGGATTTAGCTTTTGGTAATTTTGTATAAAATAAGAACTGAACATATTATAAAGCCAAAGAGAAAGATCTCATGAAAAAATTTAAAAGATCCAAAAGAATGAGATAAGAATCTGAAAAAGATAAAGGGGGGCATGATAAATGATTCCTAAAAAGAATAGAGAATTCTCATTCTATATATGTAGACAAGGATTAAAGGTGAAATTAAATTATAATTTGAAGTATAAAAGGAAGTTGAGGGAGGTCCTTAAAGATGACCTAAATAAACTGTGAAGCAAGTACATTTACAGAGTATAAATCTGTTGGGGTGAGTTTCTGGGTTGAAAAAGATGAAAAAAGTTTAAAGAGGCACAAAATGTAAAGCTAATCAGAAATAAACAAAAGGATAACAGCAACAGAGCTGGCTCAACTGAAAAGATATGTTAGACTGAGTAGCAGAATCAACTGGCCTGATTTCAGTCTTTATCTAAGGATGCTCAGCAACCCCACAGCAAAAGTACACAAAGTGCAAGACAATAAAAACATAAGGCTGAGCCACATGAGATCTTACATTTTATCTTCAATACTAACAGCTCAAGAAAGCAAAGATTACACTTTTTTTTTTTTTTTTTTTTGAGACAGAGTCTCCCTCTGTCACCCAGGCTGGAGTGCAGTGGCACAATCTCAGCTCACTGCAACCTCTGCCAACTGGGCTCAAGCGATTCTCCTGCCTCAGCATCCCAAGCAGCTGGGATTACAGGCACCTGTTACCACGCCTGGCTAATTTTTGTATTTTCAGTAGAGACGGGGTTTCACCATCTTGGCCAGGCTGGTCTTGAACTCCTGACCTCGTGATCCACCCCCCCCCCCCCGCCCCCTCGGCCTCCCAAAGTGCTGGGATTACAGGCGTGAGCCACCACGCCCAGCCAAGATTACACATTTTTAAAGATTCTCAGAAATAGAAACGAGTATCATAAAATTGGGAAAAATAATAAAATTATTAGTGTATATTGTAAAGCATTCACTGCTACCTTGGAAATGTCATTCATACTTAATTTAAAATAACTTAATTCTGTTAATTTCCCCATATATCCTTCTCTCCCATGACGTCTTAATGTAAAACAGTATTTTATTAACAAATAGCTTTAGGTTTCCGCTTTAAATAGAGGGGCATAAATGAGTGGTTACTTAAAATTAAAGTGTTATCATAAAACTTTAATTTCAAATGTTTTAAGTTAATGGACTACTCATTCATATTGTCTCCCTCCACCCTTTTTGTTTGTTTTAGAGATAGGGTCTTGCTCCGTCGGTGAGATCACGCTCACTGCACCCTTAACACCTGGGCTCATGTGATCATCCTATGACAGTCTCCAGAGTAGCTAGGAATACAGGCTCACACCACTATGCCCACTAATTTAAAAAAATTTTTTTTTTGTAGAGACAGAGTCTCACTCTGTTGCCCAGGCTGGTCTGAAACTCCTGGTCTCCCACAATCCTCCTGCCTCTCAGCCTCCCAAAGTGCTGGGATTACAGGCGTGAGCCACTGAGCCCAGCCTATACTGTCTTTTTATGTTGAAAAAATCATATTGTGGGATATCTTCTAGGTAAATTATAAGTAAATAATTCTCTTAAAACTGCAAACACGTACTACTGTTTAGGAGTTTTGACATCAATATAGGTTTTAACATGTAATAACTGCAGATTTAGACAGTCCTTTTAAAATGTATGTAATTCAATTTAAGATAAATAAAAGTTCAAATTGCTTGACACTGACTAAACGTCCATTCATAATCTAGCCCAATGTGATGAACTTTATAAACAAGAATTGGGGAAAGTACTTTCAAAGAAATTTTTTACTTCATAATACAATGTGGTGAAAAGGAGCTTGCAGTGAGATAAATCTACACAAAATCTGTCTCTATCAGTTATGTGAAAATATAATATAGATATTTCCAAAATAATACATAAGAAAGCTTTTAGCAAACCCACATCATCTTCCATAAGTCAACACTAAGGGATGATTTAAGAAATAACTATGTAATTAATAACCACGAAAAATAAAATGTTTTAAGTCACAGATTTTAAGCTTTAATATTGAGCCATATACTTAAATTTTAATGTTAAAAATGAAATCAAAAGCATACACAAGTTCTTGTCCTTATAATCCAGGAAGCCACAACTACTACAGTTTTCCTTTTTCACAACAGTGATTAAACAAATCTCCTCTACTTTATCACATATATCAACAAGCCTACAGATTTATTTTGTCTTATTCTGGCAGAACATTTACAGAGATTAAATATCATTTACCAGTAAGACATAGTGATAAAATGCATGATTAGAAAAAAAGTCAAAATTGTTATTATATAATTATTTCAAATATTTTATTAAATCTATAACAACTCATTTTTTCTGCTTATGTGGAAAATAAGATAAATGTTTTTAATAATTGAGTACAGAATGAAAAAAACATTAAGTAGTACAGTTAAGCCTAAGAGATTTAAATTAAAACAGATAAATGAACTCTATCAACCAGAATAATTTTTATGGAGACTAAAATGAGGAAACTCGCAGCTGACAGGCATAAATGTACAGTATCTCAAAATATTTTACAGGCAAATATTGACCATTTTGATAATACATTTTTAGGTATATAATTTCCTTAAGGTATAATCCTCAAATAGATGAATTATTGATTTAGCACAATATTCTAAATGGTTCAATATATACTTATCATCTACAATGTGTGTGTATATATATATATACCACCTGATATGGTATACATTTTAAGCTAACTGTGTCTTCTAAGAATGATAGATTTTATTTTTATATAATCTGATGAACAGGTATTATTCAGAACTTTCTTACTCCTCTTGCTTCCTTTTTTATTACTGTATATACTTAAGGTGTAAAACATGATGTTTTGATACGCATATACATAGTGAAATGATTATAAATGAACTCTATCAACCAGAATAATTTTTACGGATACTAAAATGAGGAAACTCCCAGCTGACAGGCATAAATGTACAGTATCTCAAAATATTTTACAGGCAAATATTGACCATTTTGATAATACATTTTTAAGTATATAATTTCCTTAAGGTATAATCCTCAAATAGATGAATTATTGATTTAGCACAATATTCTAAATGGTTCAATATATATTTATCATTCACAATGTGTGTGTCTGTGTGTGTGTATATATATATACACATACCACCTGATAAGGTATACATTTTAAGCTAACTGTGTCTTCTAACAATGATAGATTTTATTTTTATATAATCTAATGAACAGGTATTATTCAGAACTTTCTTACTCCTCTTGCCTCCTTTTTTTATTATTGTATATACTTAAGGTGTAAAACATGATGTTTTGATACGCATATACATAGTGAAATGATTACTACAGTCAGATAAATTATCTATCACTTTCCACAGCTACTTTTTTGGTGTGATAAGAGCATGTAAAATCTACTCTCTTAGTACATTTTAGTATACAACACAATATTAACTATATCCTCATATTGTACATTAGATCTCTAGACTTATTCATACTACATAGCTGCATGTTTGTACCTTTTGACCTACTCTTCCCATTTCCCCTCCCCACCCTGGTAACCACTATTCTATTCTCCATTTCTAGGTATTCTACATTTTTCTAGATTCCACATACAAATAAGGTCACACAGTACCTATCTATCTGTGTCTGGCTTATTTCATTTGGCATAATATACTCCAGATGCATTCATACTATTGCAAACGTCAGCACTGTATCTCCTTTTTTAAGGTTAAATAACATTCCATGATACATATTCATGCTTATTCTTTAAAACTCAATTCCCCTAGGTATAAAAATAATTATGCTACTATAATGGATATATCGATACTGATATTTCTTAAATATAAATTTCCTACAGGGTTCCCTATAACACAAAATTAAACATGAATCTAGATTTCCCAGTGAATTATCTTTGAAATTGTAAATAGTTTGTGAGCTTAGTCTGGTCAACCAAGTAACTAAGACAGGCTACTTTTTTTTGTCATTCACCAGAGTTTTAATACTGAATTCACAGCCAACCATATCTTTATGTTAATTCTTTACCTGCCTACACATAGCAGAGTGCATTTCTGTAACATTTACTTTTGTTTCTGTTATCTTCTTTTGGCTTGAATATATGGCTTTCCTTTAAGGCAAGTATCTTAAATATAATCAGAATTGTGACAGATTGGATCTGAAGTTCAACAGAAAGAGAGAAGGTAAAGATGACTCAAATATTTCTGTCCTCAGACCCTGAAAAGATGAAGCTGCAATTAAGATGGAGAAGACTGAGAGAAGTTGATCTGAGGGGGTCAAGAGAAAGATCAGAATATTTAAAATCATATTTAATTCTAACATACATATTAGACATAGAAGTGATATAAAGCAGGCAGCTGCATCATCAGTGTAGAGTTCAGATGAAAGGTCCACAATGGACACAAACATTTGGTAGTCATCAAAGAACAGATGGTTATTTAAATCCATGATACTGGATTGGATCACCAAGGGAGTAACCACGGACAGAAAAAAAGAAGTCCAAGGAAATGAGAAAAAAAAAAACAGCAAAAGAAATATACGGCTGCAACCAATGAGATAAAGGTGTACCAGAAGCAAAATGAAATGTTTCAAAAAGGAGACAGTGATCACTGTGTCAAATGCTGCTGATGGTTATATAAAAAGGAGGACTGAGAACTGACCACTGAATAAAAAGTATAGAAGCTACCAGTGACTTTAACATGAGTAGTTTCAGTGAAAGGTTGGGTCAAAGTCCTAATTGGAATAGCTTCAAAAGAGAAATGAAAAGAGAGGAAATGGAGATAGCACAAGTATGGGCAACAAATTTGAAGAATTTTACCGTTAATGCCATAATTACCAGAACAGGAAGTGGGATAAAAAGAAACACACTTTTTTTTTTTAAGTGGGAGAAAGAACAGTGTATTTGTAGGTAAAAATAATTTCCAGTAGGGCAAGAACTTGATACTGCAGGAAAGTGGAGAAAGAATTGCTAAATGATATCTAAGTAGGTAAGATGGAATGGAATGGAATATAGAAAAAAAGTAGAGGTAGGCCTTTGCTAGGCACATAGTTTAACAAAATAGTAAAAGTATTCAGATACTCATATACTTAGGTAGGTAGATCTGGTGGTAGGAGCTTATGAAATTTTTAGAATTCTCTCAGTGAAATAGAAAATAAGATCATCAAGGAAGATCATGAAAGAGCTTTCAGAATTGGGACTTAATATCATCATATATTGTGTAGCTTTAATTCCAAAGAAAAGTAAAAAATATTACAAATGAGAAGGAAATCTGGGTTAATGTCAGAGTTCACACTCAAAACCACACCCTAATATTAATAAAGACAGTGATAACCTTTAGTCATCCCTAATACAGACTAACACAGATTCATCGTCTATACACTGACAACATATAATTTAACCCTCACTCCAATCAGACTTCACTGTCATCATCTCTACAGATTTTAAAGATGTAAGAATAAATCCATTACCATAAAGATGAAGTCTATTTAATCATTCTGGAATTAAATGGTCTTTAACAAAGTTTCTCAGTTTCTTTATTTTTTTTTTTCCATAGCAGGTGGTATTCTTTTTTTTTTTTTTTTTTTTTTTGAGACAGAGTCTCACTCTGTTGCCAGGCTGGAGTGCAGTGGAGTGATCTTGGCTCACTGGAACCTCCGCCTCCCAGGTTCAAGTGACTCTCCCGCCTCAGCCTCCCGAGTAGGTGGGACTACAGGCGCGCGCCATCAAGCCCAGCCAATTTTTGTATTTTAAGTAGAGACGGGGTTTCACCGTGTTGGCCAGGATGGTCCCAATCTGTTGACCTCGTGATCTGCCTGCCTCGGCCTCCCAAATGCTGGGATTGCAGGCATGAGCCATGGTGCCCAGCCATCGTATTCTTATATATTCAAAGGTGTACCCTTCCAAATATAAAACTGAATTTACACTATTACAAATACAAAGATTTTATTTCTTCCACAAAGCAATCTAAGAATCAGTATAATCTTATTAAATTTATTGTCCTCCAGGTCACAGTCACGCAAAACAAAAATCATACTTACAGTTAGTTGATCTTGCAATAGTATTACATGAAACTTAAAATATTTAGTATGTAAGTAATATTTAATTTACTATATGAAGTATCTGAATACAGAATTAAGTTTATACAATAATTAAGACAAAATACAAACAAATCATAAAAAACAATTTTAGCGTAATGGCAATCAAGAATATGTGTAATGACTCATGGAAAATACTTGCTAAGGAATGGAAAGGAATAAAAAAAGTGGCCTCTGAAAGATACGTTTAGTAGAATTACACTACTAAAATTTCTTAGATCCTTTATGGAGGCTGCAAGAACATGAGTTAAAATATTTAAGACCTTGACAGAGCCAATATCTTAAAACTTAAAAAAATTAAATTACTTTTATTTACTTATTTTTTCATAAATAATTATACTGCAAAATTAAATTATTTTTAGAGATGGGGTCTCACTATATTGCCCAGGCTATTCCCAAACTCCTGGGTTCAAGCAATTCTACCATCTCAGCCTCCCAAGTAGCTGAGATGAAAGGTGTGCACCACTGCACTGCACCAGCTAAAAAAATCTTACTAACAGCAAAAAAAAAAGCTTTAAAATAAGCCTTATGAATTATCATCTATATTATTAAACATTTAGCTTCATCATTTAATGCATTATGACTTTCATTTTTGCTAGTAGGAAAAAAAATTCAGAAGTCTTAGTATCCTGAAAAAGATCATGAAAGACAATATTAAATATTCTATATGCCACCTGATTTATTCCTGTTAAATCCCAATTAAGACTCTAATCAATGATTTTTAATGTTTTGTATTTGCATATACAAGGATGAAGACAGAGGCTAATTAAGTTAATTTTAATGAGTTATAAAACAAATAAATCCATATGTTTCACATGAGATTATTATAATTTGCTTTAATATTACAAATTCACATGCCTAGTTTTCTTCTCCACTATATAGGCAAAAACATAAACAAATAAAAAAAGCTCTGCATATCTTCAGGGGTATTATAGAACACTTATTTAGGCTATGCAACAAAAATACCCACAAAGCTGAGACTGGAAAGACACCTTACAGTATTTAGAAGCTCCATAAACCCATTAATCAACATAGGTGGTTTGCGGAAAACTCATTCTTATCTATAAAAACGATGATCACTTATAATTACCACTAAAAACAATAACTGCTATTTTAAAATAGAATGTTTAAAAATATATAAGAAATTATTTATATTAATTATCTTAAAGGTGTGGGATGAGGATAGGTCAGAGCTTTGGCATTCTATCACCTGCATTTTTACAACAATTATGAAAAAAACACTTCAATTGTTAAAAATCCTTATATAAATGTTGTCCTTTTTAGGGCCACATTAATGTAATTTATTCTACATTAAAATCTCTGCTATAAATTTAGTATTATTAAATGAAACAAGCATAGAAAGGAGGTGAAAAATGATAGGGTCATAATAAGCTTATTATACACCAAATATTTATTATGTGACATGCTTTTACAGTTTTCCTTTTTAGTACCTAAAGTTATAATTATGAAAGAGGTACAGATACTACATTACGCAGATAAAAAACTGGAGGTACAAGAAGATTAAATGACTGATTAAAATAGTACACCTAGTAAGTGGCAGAGCTGGGATTCAAACTCTGGTCTGACACCACATGTTCTCTAGAAGTCTTGTATTCGTCGTACTTCCACAGAGGCGTTAAGAAGTACTGAACTGATGTGATAATTGCTTAATAAACTACATTGTATAATATCCATTGCATATTTTCCTCATAAAATTTTTTATTAAACTGAGTACTATATCACAGTGATCTGACCAGAGTTTTCTAACCTTAAATCTATAATTCAACAAATCTTGAAAGTAGACATTATATATAATTTAAAAAGTGAGAAACAAAATCTTACAGGGCCAAATGAAGGCAATTGAATCATTTCATGTAAACAATCTCAAAGTTTACATTTCATGTAAGCAATTTCAAACTATCTTAATGACCTAATGTCAATATGAAAATAGGAAAATAGAAAGATATCAAGGTTCTATATATATACACAAGTCTGGTCAGCTGAAAAAATAACTTTTGTATGTTTCCATGTTGCTTAGTTATTACTATTTTCCTTTCAATGGCAAAATTTTTGTAGGATTTACATATGAATTGGAAAAAAATGTATAACCTATCAGAAATATTATCTCCCAGTGATGGGCAAATGTGGCAGTTTGATAAATCTTACTTAAATTTTGAATACTCCATTTCTGAACTCAAATTTATACACAATTTGATGCAAATACAAAATAACAGAATGCTGTTACACAATAACAGAAAATAAACAGGTTCATTATTAACTTGACATATCACAAATAATTTTACCTTTCACTATCTTATATTCTTCATCTGTAAAATGAAGACAAAAACTTCTACCTACACTGATGTTTTAAGAATTAAAATCCTATAGAAATGTAAGGTCTCATTAAGCCATAACTGATCAACAAGTAACTTTTAGTTGTATAGTCTAAAGAATTTAAAAACAACACAATCCCATTTTCTATTAACTGTGATAGAGTCAGTTTAAATGAAAACATAATGAAATTCAGAGTCTGGCTTTTTAAAACACAGAAATTGCAAAAGATATAGAATTCAGATAACTGTTAGTTGAAACATTTCCCAAACCCGAAATTGTACTTATTCTGCATATTTTAAGTAGTCAAAAAATGTTTACATTCTTTACTTATACCTTAAATTTAAATTATCTAAATTATCCTCATTGCAATGCAGTATCTACTTATTTTTAACGCAATCTCCTGACTGATTTGAAGGTGCTTCAGTAAAACCCTTGGATAAAAGCATAATTTTAAAAATAAAAAATGAATATTATGTCCATGAGAACTGGAATATGAATTTAAAGTTGAGCATTCTGTCATAAAAGAACATTATTTATTGCAGTTTGCTTTTTAATGGCTTCACTGCCAAGACTCCATAGAACCTCAAAGCTTTTCCTATGCACTTTTTTCTAAAAATAAAAATATTGTGAACAATTCTCAATTATGTACTTTACTAAACCATTGCTGGCAATACTAAATATGTTAGCATTATTATTCCTTAACAAAATATACATAATTACTATTTACATTTATAAACCTATCAAACTATATATGTTTTTTACTTCTCACTAATCTTGACAAACTTCAGATAATAAGTCAATCAGCCAGATAGATCTTATGCAGATAATTTCAATAGTAAAAAGATTTTTACAGAAATTAAAAAACAGGTTTTGAGTAAAGAGTCCATCAGACTTATAAGCCCAGCAGCAGGAGACTATATCATAAAAGTAGCAGCCTTCCACTGTAAAATTACTAATCCTAGTAATACAGTACATTAAACATGCCATTTCAGATATATGCCAACCTAAAGTGCCACATATGGCATATCTAGCTCATTATCACAGTTTGGGTGTTCGTATGCAGAGACATTCTAGTTTTTAAACAAGATGTCAAATACACCAGCATAGCTGAAAGTGTGATAAAGCTTTGAGAGGAACATACCTTTCCTTAAACAGAATAGGTATACGCTTCAGAACAATTAGTTTAAAATACTACTGTAAAGAAAGCATGGTTTCAAATTTTCAGTTGAGAAGATAAGCTAAAATACAAAATAGAATATCATTTTAAAGGCAGAAACAGTAAAATATGTTAAATTCAAATAAATATTATTTGGAAATAATTCAAAATTTCTTCAAAATTTTTCTCAAAAAGAATTGAATTTGACCTGCAAAAAAACATGTATGCAACTCTTAGCTAGATTATTTCTCACTTTATAAACAAATCATGAAATCATACCATAATACAGATATCAATTTTAAGGAAATGGGACTTTTCTTATGCTTCCTTTTTTATATTGAATTCAACCTTGAGTTACACAACTGGTATTACTGAATTATGAATAGCACTTAAATAAAGATTACACAGTGAATATTTTTATTTTAAATCCCCATCTGTTGCTTAATGTCACTTCAGCTGTTCAATTTTTTAATGTTTCTCTACACAAGTAGCCAATAATTGCACAAATCAGTATAAAATGCAAGATAGATTTTTAATCTCATTTTCTAAATGAAAAAACAGTATCATATTTTTCAGACTTTTAAAAATTCATCTGAATTTGATAAGGGTATTAATTAAGATTGATTCTTATGTGAAATACTTATAAATGATGAAAAATCCCGCTTTATCTCAATAATCAACAAAAATTCAAGCAAAAAAATTACATAACAGAGAATCCACTAATAAATAGTAAGTTTTAATTTTCACTGACATAGCTTAACAATGTTTTGACAATATACCTAACTTTAGCGTTTGAACAGCATCAAATTCACACACACACACACACACACACACACACACACACACACATATATTGTATAAATCACTCATGTTTATCCAATTAAAAATAAGTATATATTTTCATATGCTAAGAAAGCAAGAAAGGCCTACATATTGAATGAATTTAAGAAACAAGAAACATTTCTTCTTGTATATGATCTGAACTGCTATGAATCAAAAGCAAATTAGTTAAAGATCTTCCCCACATATAGCAAAACATTCTTCATAGAAATCTGTCATTCACTAACTGTCCTCCACCTTTTTTTTCTTCCATACTTGGCACATAACTGGTTAAACACAACTCACATTTCTTAACATCTCTTTTCTGTATTTCTAGTTGCCCCATCTTTCCCTTTGCCTTTTCCTTTCTAAGTAAATTGGGTCTTTATAAAATTCTATTTCTATTTCCTAAGCAGAAAGCCAGAATCCAATCGTATACTCAATTATACTTTTGAACAACTGGGCAATCCATCCGCCAGACTATAAGTGTCACTATATTTACATAAATATATATTTTTTAATTACAGTACCACTGTCAGTCATTTTACAGACACACAGCAGATGTAGATTTAAAAAATATTCTTGCTAACGAATATATCTAGGAAGAATATTTTTCAGCCAGTCTTTTCTTCTTTTTCATATGCACTAGATTGTCTCTTACCTGTACAGATATCTATAGTGCCTCCTACCACCACTGACCCCCACACCAACAGCAATATCCACTTTTTATCCAATCAATACCAAACTACTTTTAGACCCCTGAATATAACAGAATTTTTGCACATCTTTATGTCTATATATGCCTTAAATGACTTTCCACTTTTGTTCACCAAGCAAATTAAAATTCAGTCCCCAAAACCCTGTCAGCTCCTCTTCGAAGTCTTCTTCGAAATCTAACCCCTCCTCCCAAGACTCTGACACTAACAGAGATAATTTCAACTTCTAGATATAATTCTCCATTATACAGTTATCAAACTTGTAACCTGGTATCCATCTAAGATTTTAGGGCATTGTATACTTAGTTCTAACCCCAACAAAGCCCACTAATGTTCATAATACTTAAAATCCGTGGCAAAGAAGGGCACGGGGAAACAGACAAGAAACACTATGATATGGTTATTTTAACCCACTGTTCTCCATTACTTTTTAAAATATAAATAAAATTTACAAAAATGTGGAAGACTAATCACAAGGCATGAAAGAGTGCTATCTATTAAATCTTAGATGTTTCACTGGTTTACTATGATAAAAATCAAACAATGTATTAATACAAGAAAAACACTCTTATTTCATGTATCTCTTTAAATTGCATATATTTACAAAGTATGTAAAGACTCCGAAATATCCCAAACTCAATATCTTCCCTAAAATTTTAATTTCAAATAAAGTAACATACTAATACCTTGATATTTAAGTTAGTCAAACTATAAGCAAATAAGTTCCACTCTACTATACAGCTGGTATTTTTTATTTTTCTTGGCACATTAGAAAAGTAAATTGTCCAGTTTCTCAATGTAACAATGTAACCTCCCCCAACAAAGTCACATGTTAACTTCCCCACTATAGTTGGGGAAGAAGATATTAAAATATATTATAAACAAAACACTTAGTAAGCATACTTCTAATATATCACTTTAATTTGATGGTTAGTACTCAAGAAAAATCATGATTGGTCTTTTTCCTTACTGAACATATGGCCATGTGGCCATAAATAAACTACAATGTGATACAGCTATAAAATCTTGTAATATATATATACTTTTAATATACTTTATTAATAACTAATTCTTAAACTCATATTGCTTAAGTTATTTTAAAGGTGGTCTTCATTTCAGAGGTGGCTTTAACATACTCTCCATAATATTGGATTTCAGTTTCTTTCACACAGGATAGCATGCTAAACAGAACGCAAAATTCCCGTCATACTCCACTGTACCTAGCCAATACCTACCCTAACACTTCTATGCATTTCTTGTTCATTTAAATTTCTAAATTCATTATTAAAGTAAACTAGAAGTGTAATGAAAAACTAAAGATGGACTGCCTTCTATATCCACTGTATTGGTATTCCATGAGCACTTCACAGAAGAAATCTCAAATGGTTCATTCAGTCATTCATTCATACATTCATTTAAATTTCCAGTGCCACCTATGATTAAACAATTGCGCTGTATGTTAAACACACAGCAGGCAAGAAGGATGCCATAAATTCCCCCACATCAGTGGACCTTAATCCAATTACTCAACTGATGTGAGTAAAGACTATCACAAAAGAGTTTTTGTTTTAATTTAACACTGTAGAAGGAAAAGTCTTCAAAATCACATTAAGTACTTTTATGATTATATTAGAACATAGTCCTTAAGCCTATAACACAATGAAAATAGTATCAGAATTCTAATTAACTGAGTAGACCAATTTAATGAAATGAATAGCCAAAAAGGAGAAAACAGTGATGTTTTCAAATTAATAATTACTGGACAATACAGCTACATTTTTACTACGTTGCCTTACAATTAGCCTCATGCTTATTTTTTAATCATGGTATTTATCTGTTGAACCAAATGTTATGAATATTCACCCAAATACACTATACTTACAGGAGTTTTTATAAAAGTCATAAAAACATGAAAAATACATATATTATTAAAATAATTCTTGAAAACAAAATTTAACTTAGCCTACTTTTTTAATAAGTCAATACTCTAACCAAAAATTAAAATGTAGAAGTATAGCTAAGGAATGATGAAAGCAAGAAAGAAAAAAAGTACAAATGAAGAAAAATAACAATGCTGCAGAAATCTAATCACCATAAAAACACTGCCACTTTCAAACAGTATAATTAAGGAAAGAGAGAAAATGACCAGGCTACATGCTCCAGGCAATATAACCTATGATATCCTTTTCTAAAAGAAATTTGTTAATGACCAAAGAGCATCCTGCCTATGTTCCTTCAGTGTAGCACATGAACTAAAATAATAATAATAATGGCAAAATAACCACTGGGCCATCATCTCAGTTTTTTTTTTTTTTTTAAAGAACATATATTCATTTTAAGACTAGGAGAGAGAGGAGGTAAGGACTTACTTCCTCAGAGTCACATCCAGAAGGGAGGGAAAAAAAAAGTAGAACAAAACAAGAGAATGAAGTACCTACCACAATTGCACCACAAATTCAGAAAACACATTTCAAAGCTACAGGACAATTACTGGCATTAGAGAAACCTTACGTAAATCACTTAATCTCTTGGTACCTTGGTTTTCTCAACTGTTAAATGAAAGTTTTAGAAGAGATCATCTGAACTTCATCACTTTGATCTATTTCCACAACTCTATGATTTCTCCAAATCTTTTAAATAAAAAGTCTCTTAGCTATTCCTAAGTGTTGTCCTAAATCTTTAACAGGGATCTAAAATATATAAAAAAAAAAAAAAACAAAAATCTAAGGAGAAAAGAGCAAAGCAAAATTTCTCAGGGTAAAGCAAAGTATGCCTATATTCCTCGAATGGAGAAAAGATACATTGTAATAATTCTAAGTAATGATTACCAAATAGCTGCCTACACCAGCGTTTACAGGAAGCATCTGATAAATATGCATAATAATTAACAAGAGACAGCTTCCAGGCAGACTTCACACTTAAGAATGAAACCAAGTTTCAAAAAAAATTACCTTCACCACTTTTTAAAGAAATCATCATCATAGAAAAATAAAAACATGGGTTATCCAAAGAATAATTAAGGACTAAGTATGTGAATGAGCTCTACCAGTAAGAGCTTACTTACCTCCAACACTAACCACTTCAAAACCAGGTATTTCAAGAATTAATATGACCAAAATTAAAAAGCTACAGTTCTTCTAAAATATTTAGCAACATAAAAAGAAAACAAAAACATGTTTTTTTTTAAAATAGTAGGTACCCTATTACCTACTATTCTGTGTTACTGAAATGCACTACTATTGGTTCTATTCTGCCCTTCCCCCCTAGATTAGATCTTAAAACACAGTCTCAGTCCAGTGTATTTTCTACAGCAGCAAATTATTAACAATTTAAATGAAGACAATCTTCTTTAAAATCAGAATGATTTTTTAGAACTAAGTAAACTAAGTAAACTTCTGTCATATCCTAGAAGAAATGCAGGATTTGAAATCTTTTTAATTAACAAACTTCTCTGAAAACTTACACTGTGAGTAAAATTATGGAGCCATGAGAGTATAACTATTCTCAAACATCTTTAAAATGAACTGAAAAGTTCTTCCACAGAACTTCGAAATGTATGCTCAGTTTCACAAGGAAGGTAAAAAAAAAAACACTACCATCTAAAATTTTTAAATTATTGAGTCTGCAATACAGTTTATCAGAAATTAGAAATATATTGAACATCAGTAAGACATAAAATAGGTCTTGAAATAAAAAAGAAAAATATAACATCAATTTTAAATATAACCTATTGAATAAAATTCATTGAAAAATGGACAAAAATGTTTTATTTTCCACACCAAATAATCTTACCTTAATCATTTTGCTGTTAAAAACCTCAAGACATTAATTTCATTTTTCATCTCTTCCTGTCAACAATGCTATGACAGGCCCTGCAGGAAGCAGCAAAGAATCAATGATGGAGTGGAGATAGTAGGTGTTTTCATGATCAAGATTTGGATATCCATACAGTGGTGTGAAACTTGGAAAATACTGAAAATATCTCAAAAAGTTGATCAGTGTAAATAATTATCTTTTTTACTTTGCAGTCTTAAAATGTTTGTTCTTATTCAATGTCTTATTAAACAAAAATTTAAAAATCACGGTAAAAGTATATATGTGAAATTTTAAAGTATTTTTATATTGATAAGAATTGATTAAAAATAGTCAATCATGTCAAAAGAGAATAAAATAATTTATGTTTTAAAGTACTGGAATGAATCTCTTGACCTCTAGATAGCATAGCTTTAATCTTATTTCTTTTAACAGCTATAATTACCAATAAATTCCAACTATTCATAATTAAAGTAAAAATTATTTTCTTCTCAAGCAGTATCTTCAGTATGAAACAGTTATTACCAATACTGGTAAATATTCCTTCAGGAAAAATACATAGTTTACAAAACAAAAAAATAGAAAAAAAACCTGTGCAAACTCCAAAACTTAACTACTCTTTGGTAAATAATAAATTATATTCAATGGATACCAAAAAATTCAGATTAGTAAATTTAATAGAAAATTCAAAGCTATAAAACTGCTTTACAAAGACTTCAAATGGTTTTTACATTCCAAATTATTTTAAGATAGTACAGACTTTGCCAGATTTCGTTTAAATGTATTTTTACCTTTGAATATATTGTCTATTTAAGGGCTGATTAATGAACAGGACTGTGATAACATATCTGTATTCACTGGGAATACTATTAGAACACACAAGAAACTTGTATATATGTCACAGACGCATACTCAAAGTCAATACTTCAAACAGATTGAGAAATTAAAAACAACAGAAATAAATGACACAGTAATTTTTTGAGATTTTGACTAAATTTTAATTTACTTGTAATTAAATGTGGGAAACATTTCAGTAAAATTAAGTTCAAAATCTTAAAAATATTTTTAATATGCTACACCTGTCCTGTTTGTTGGAACACTTCAAACTACTCTGCAAAGTGTACTTGCCAAAGCCATCAATATTCTAAAAAGATACAACTTAAATTTTATAATGTTTTAACTTCCTATGAAAAATAAATGTTAATCTGAGATAATATTTTAAGAAGAACTACCAAGTACTTCCACTTATTTCCACTCACTCATGTTTTACATATGTACTGGTGGCATAGTGAAATGTAAATGCTTCTCACTTAAGGTTATTTTTTTGTTATTTCTATACCTAAAGACCCTATCCTTGTTTTATGTACATTCTATCAGTTTCATGAAAAATCAATGTAGTTGAAAATATTTCCATATTAAAGACGTAGGAAAGCTGATGCCATATCTTTAAAGAATAAAATGAAGAATATGGAAATTTCATCAACCCAAGCATCAGAAAGTATTGAAAAGCACTACTTCATTCCTTGCATGTTGCGTTTTATACCATGACACTTCAGTCTCTGAGGGTCAGGTTAATTAAGCTCCATAGCAGCTGCAGTGCAATGTGAGATACACACTGTTGCAGTTCCCACCAGTCCAGTCCAATTACCTGTAGTATTCCAGTACTGAACAAGTGACAACTAACCTCTTCTCTCTAGTCACTTGCTCCCACTGGTCTACTGATAAATGTTAAAACAAACTAACCTCTTTTTGGAAAAGACTGCAAAGCTGAATGCACCTGCTGCAGGCTGCAATGATGAGTCCCAGAGAGATGTTTGTCAGTCAGATCTCTGCAGATGTTGTTTAACTTTATGCTAAAGCAGTATCCAAAGATGGAAATGAGATGGCAATCAAGCACAAATCTCCCACCTTCGTCCCCCCAGTTTTATTTTGAAAAGCAGAACTTACTCATAAAAGTTGTGTTTTAAAATATAGCTCCACTGAACTGGACAAAACTGAGACTCCACAGTTAAAAATTCTATGGTCAAAAATATTTATTAGGTGCTGAAATTTAGTTAACAAGTAGCATAATATGTAGTCAATAAATGTCATTTGTGTCAGTTAATAATTTTTTAAAAAATTAATTCTCTGAAGCCAGAGCAAAAAACTCCCAAACAATACAACATAAAATACATAAGTTTTTCACTGATGGTTGTCAGTCAGGTTTTTAGTGATATCACATACTCCTTAGCATTTTCAAGACACAGATCATTTTTCCTCTTGCTGTATGAAACATCTTCAATACATAAGTATTGAACTATATCACCAACATGTTTAAACTATTCCTGAAATCCTTTGGGGTAGTATTTGCAAGGCAATGTTGTAGATATATTTCATTACAGTGACACAAATTTTAAATGAGCTGTTTTTCCAAAGCCCAGAAAGCATCAAAAAGCAAATTTCAAAGTAGCATTATGTATATGATTCATGAAAACACCAACACTATAAATTAATGATGTCTTATAACTTACTCTGTCAACATCAAAATGATACAAAAAGGAATCAAATAAAATGTACAGCTAAAATTTTTAGTGCTAATTCATCTTTCTAAAAACCCCACAAAACATCTGCATACACAAGATACGAATAAAATTGTATCTTTTGGAAACTGTAATGTTAATACAGATTGCGCTATGCCAGTAATGTTCCTTCATATGTTAAGATTTCCTATTGCTTAAAGTAAGAAAATAAAGTATTAAAAAAAATTAAACCAAAATACAGCAAATTTTCAGAGATACTAATGTTTAAGTAAAAGATTATGTTTCTCCTTCAACTGTAGATATAGAGATAAAAGATAAAAGTAACCCTAACAATAGGTAGTGTGTCAAATAAACATTACAACTTTAAGATTCAAGGAAAAACACTTTGTGTCAGCAACTCTTTGATAACACTAAAATCCAAAGTATAACCTAGTGTAATGATAACTATCCTATTAAACCCACCCAACAATGTTGGAAATTATACCATTTTATTTTCTGTACTTGTTACAGTTCTATTTATCACTAATTTTGCCTTAAAATATATATTCCAACAAATGTCCAATATTCTTTGCATCTAAGATCAAAGTACAGACTGCAACTTTTAGAAGCTGTAAGAGATTCACATTCATATGTACTACCAATATCATAATACTCTTCCTTCAATGATGTAAACAGAAATAATGTTTTAAATTCATTATCTCCTCTGATTTGCAAAAAATTATCATAATTATACAATTCCAGTTCTAAAGTTTAATTTGGCCACTATATTTTCCCCTTTTCAAAATAAAAGCAATGTTGGGTCTTTCCTTCCCTACAAAAAAATTTCACTTACATTCTGCTCTTTTATGATTTAAAAAAATGTATAATGGTTTGTGTTTTTTTTAAAAAAGCACCACCCAATTTGGAAAGTAAGAAAAATTGAAATATAATGAATGTACAAATAATAATTTCAAATTTTAAATTAAGAACCATAAAAGGAAATATTTTTATTAAATGTGATACTAGTTTTATAATGACAAATATTAAAACAGTGTAAAATAGACAGATTCCAACACTATAATGAAGGATTCTGTTTGACTGATGTAACGAATACCATATAATAGAATAAAAATAAGTATACTATGATATGTTCTAAAATCTAAGGAATACACGAAAATATTTATTGCATACATCCGTTATCATTTCCAACCAATAATGCATGCAGTAAGCTTTTCGGATTACCTACCTGAACCATCCATTAAATAATTTTTACAGATAAAACCAATATGATTATTAACAAAAACTAAACATATCCTTATGCCAAATAAAAGAATAAAAATAAACTATCGTCACTCTGAAAAGGCATACAATAATATATTCCTCAAACCAAGAAAGCTGTTTTTTACTACAAGGTAACTTGCTATAACCTAGTTATAAAAAGATATATAAGTAAATCAAATTGGCTTGCTCTAATCATGTAAGAAAAAAAAAAAGGTATATTCCTAAACCACCAGAATTAAGTCAGTACTCTGTAAGATTTGATTTTGTAAAACAGATAAATGGATTACGTAGTACAGCAAAAATGATCTACTTGTAGATCATTTTATCTGATTGCAGTAATTGAAGAATACATTTTACAATTCCTCATCACACAATTTTCTCAAGTTTGTTATTTAATACACGACATTGAAAAATGCAATGCAATATCCAGCTGTACAAATTCTCAATTAGTGTACAAAAATGTTTTTTCATTTCAACCATAATTTTAAAAATTACTCATAAAGGCAGGGTTGCTTAAGATATTTTCAAAAGAAATAAGAAAAACAAATAAGCATACAAGGAAATTATATTGGCTATAATTTCTTTAAAGTACCTATCGTTTGAGTTAAAATGTATTAAAATGTCCCGAGTGTGTCTGTATTCTGTGTTACACATCCTGAAGAAAGTTTCCGAAAACACACTAGTATTTTAACTAAACCTTACAAACACAATTACATTCTGCTTAAAAACTTGGGTAATTTGAGAAAATCCATTAGGTTATACAACTAAAGTAGACTTTTCCCCAAATATGCTCTTACCAAATGAGAAACAGAAAAGGGGCTTCATGAAATAAACATTAGGCATATTTGTTCCAGTAGATTATGACAGTCATAAATATACATATATATAGCTTTAAGAACTTCATATATGTATGAAAGACACAAAAACGGGCTTCCAAATGATTTCATTAATCCTCTAAGAAATTCTTTATAACTTGATGATATGATCACAGTTTATAATTTAGCTCATCTGAGATGTACAAGGTAAGTGTCCCTTACGTACATCTGAGTAAGAGAAACTGAAAAGCGCTCAGAGGCTATGTTGAAGAATACCGGGATCTTAAAATTATTCTGAAGACTTGTGGTCAAGTGCGAAGAGAAAGACTATTAAAATTAATGTCTATCTGAAGCAAAGAGATTATCTGTCCAAACAGGTAATAATCCAGTTAAAATTGTATTTTAATACAAACTGTTCAGAATTCTTTAAGCTTCTTATAAACTACGAGGCTTTATTTTATCCTTAAAATTGATCCCATACTGTGTGATTGGTTTCCACCTGTTACCGGTAAAGTATAGACTTCTTTTATCCAACATTTCAACTCACATTTGATCAGGTTACGTCACCACACACACAAAATTTTATTCAACGCATTCCAGCTTTCCATTTTTTTCCAACAGATATTCTTGCTCTATACAAATAACATGCCTCAGAACTATAAATAAAATAATCAATTTCAATGTAATAAGCAAAAAATGTACAACTAAGTGGACTAAAAACAAAAGATCTAATTCTCAGTGCACCCTTTCCAACCCACTGAAAATAAACTATATTCAAATGAAAAGGCATTTAATTTACTATTTGGAATATCCTTGATAAACACCAATTTTCTGTAACATCCCTGCACATCTGATACCACCTCATGTATAATGCAAAAAAGCTATTTCATTTTCATCTATTGACAGTGAATTTAATTTACCATTGCAGCTCTTTTCCTAGAACTATCACGTTATTAATTCTGCAATCAAGCTCTTTTGAGTGCTTTTATTTGTACTAAGGGTTTTCACAATTCCACATTGATTTTTTTTATCATAATATACCTTTTAAACATATGAATGTGAATATGTTAGCAAACTTTCTTAATGCATAAGGAAAGTTTCAGAGACAAGGAAAGCCATCTGCAAAACTACACTCATAGGAAACAAACTTTAGAGGAACATCGTGTCTAATATATTACTTTTTAGTTTAATAAGTTTAATGTTTACAAAAAATACTACATTTAATTTGTAAAACTAAATGATAGTTTCAACCATTCTAAAACCTTCTTATCCAGTATAATGGTCCATTTCTAATACCAAGTGATTGGCTATGAAAAAGAAGTCCTCCAAATGTTCTGCTTACATTCATGCCAGATGTCTTTGCTGTATTAAAGAACTCTTACTGAATTAGATCACTGAAAGCAAATCAGCTTTTCTTTTCCACCAGGAAGAAAAAAATTAAAGCAGTATTGGTTCCCTCAGCACTGAATTAACGTTTTTGACAGCCATAAAGATAAAATAACCTTTAAAAAAATCACAGAAAGCTAGATTTAAATAAAAGCAAATCAGCTGATAATGTTTTATCTAGGAAATGTACTACTCAATTACAGAGACTTTTCCCTTAAACCTAAAATACATATAGTGATTAGCAAAATGTAAGAAAAAAATAGAAAAAGATGGACATGCAGAACTATTTAACACTTAAAAAGGCATACTTGAAAGTGAAAAACAAAAAATTTATACCACCAAGGAAACTTCCCATATTCCAGTAGGTTACTGTACTACACTGTCAACATATTTAATCAAATTTAGCTCTTAAGTTAACATGAATTCTGAAGCATTATTTTACTTCTTGCATAACAGTATAAATTTCCTTATATCAATTGCATTAAAACTGCAATATTTAAAAAATCTGAAGAGGCAACACTTGTCCTCTTTACTTCACTCCAAGGCCAACAAACAAAGCAATGAAGCAGAAAGAGGTACATAATGGATTCAGAAGTAAATGGTCCATTCTTTAAGAAGCCTCCCTACCCCCCTCTTCTGAATTCACTCTAAGCTAATTGTCATTACAATGATGTCTGAAAACTTCAGAAGAACCCTATTTCCTGATGCCAGCTGTCCAGGTTTCTATCTTTAAATTTTTGAGTTTTTTTGCTAATAAGAATTATTCAGAAATACCCGAATCATCTTGCAACTGGTCTAATTCACATACACGGTACAACAATTATAGGAAAAAGGCATAATCAACAATAGAAATAATCTGAAAATTTTTCCACAATATATTCCTATAAAGCAATATCTAAATAAAGTCTCCAGTATTGTTTAAAAATTCTTTCAAGACAGCACACAACACAAGTAGATCTTTCTTTCCTGTGGGGAGCTCATCAAACAATCTCTTCACCATTGCACCTACCTGGGTAAAAATCTTTGGACTTAGACAGCTTGATGGTGGCTCCAGTTTCTTTTTGCAACTGAACAATTGTCTGTCCTCCCTTCCCAATTATAGATCCAGCAGCATAACTAGGTATGAGAACCTTTAGAAAATACTGGCCGTCTTCTGAAAAATGCAAAGAAATATACTCGGTTAACACAGTATTTCAAACTTTGTATCCCCTCTCCACCCTCAAGAGAGAAAAACAGCAACTAAAGCACTGGGTATATAACTGCAGGAAATATGAAGTTAAACATTTTTTGAGAATGAAAATAAGCCAATTACATTGAAAAACAAACAGGTACAAAATGTTTCCCATTTTATAGGATTTATACTTTCAAGCTTGGAATTAAAATATAAACATATTCTATTATTTTGCAGCACTGTAAAAACTGATGACTAAATTCCAGTTGTTATTCCAAACATGGAAATCTTCCAATTCTATCTGTGGCAAAATGAAATGAACTGACCCTTTAACAAAACTTCAGAGGTTTATAAGATGACAAACCTTCACTTAACATATTAAAAAAGAAGAAAAGCCCAGGACTGTAAATAGTGATGAGCTATATTTATTTGTCATTAGCAGACACATAAGGACTACAATTAGCCATTGCCTATATCCTACTTAAAGTCCGCAAAACAACCATTCTCCTACCAAATAATCCACCCAAACTGTGGGGTGTATTCCAAGTCTTCAATAACTGCCAGGAAATAACTCAGTGTGGTGGACTGGCAAATCTAACTAATCCTAGTGCATTTCTTTAGCACTTCTTAGTCTACCGTGATCTCGTTTAAGCTCATTAATTAAAGGACCTTAAGAAGAATTCTGCCAATACTAAAAAGCTTAGGAGTCATTTATATTAAATAGGCTTAAAAGTGACAAAACAGGTAATGTTCCTTTCCCAAAATAATCACAACTTTTAAAACGGAAAGGGGGTGGAAGAACCAGGAAAAATAAAATGAAACGTTTTAGAAAATTAAGCCAACTCCACAAACTTTAATTTCCGTCAACTTGATCACATCTTATACAGGAGACACCCCGGTAAATCCAGCTTTCTTAATGTGAATGAATGTTCCAAATGTTGTGGTGTGCCACTCAAAAGACCCCCATCCGTCTACAATGCATATGCTGGAGATAAATTCACCTCTGCTTCGATGCATTGGGTGCATTGTTAAGATGATTCCAGTGCAAATGAAGAAGCGATATCGGTCCCGTTAAAACTCATCTTCCAAGGAAGCGCAGGATGTTAACTAACAAGTCACCGTTCCAGACACCCCCACCCTCGTATGCACCCCCCTGAAGACAAATCAATGAAATATTTGCACCGACAATCTAAGTGCGGTAAGGGCATGCACTCATCAAGATTTTGCATACTACTTGTGGCCCAAAGCAAGAGGATGGAGAGAGGAAAAACTCTCCGGCGCCCCAGTCATTCGCAATCCGCTACCCAAGTGCCATTTATTTATTTATTTTATCAGACTGTTAAACGCAGCGCGCATCTTCGGGCGGCCATCACCTCACTCCGGGGTCATCCTCCTCCTCCTCCTGAATGGACCTTCTTGCCCAGGTCTAGGATATTTACATGGTCAACCTCTGGACCGATTAAATGGAAAGATAGGTCTATTCCGAAAAACTGGTCGCCATTTTGATGAATGATAAACACAGAAATGGAAATGTGTCGGGGACACCTAGGCGCGGGGCAGGTGCAGGGGAGGGGGCGCGGGGCAGGGGCGCAGGGGCCGCCGGGTTCGGGCTGGAGGTGTCCGGGCCGCGGGAGGGAGGGAGGGAAGGAGGGAGGGAGGACGGCGAGGGAGGGAGGCAGGGGCGGGCGGCGGGGGATGGGGCCAGCGGGGAGGTGGAAGCGATACCCACCGCCCGTATTGGTCCTCTTGGTGCTGCCGGCTTCAGGGGGGGCTTCCAGCGGCCTTTTCCGCGAGTCCGGCGGGTCCAGGTCTATGGGAACCCCAGTGTGGGTCCCGTTCTGCTGGATGGGAGCTGCCGCCATCATGTTTGCAGTTCCTGCCGCTGCTACCGGGAGAAGGTTCTCCCTTTTGTTTTGGCTTTTTCTTTTCTTTTTTCTTTTTTTTTTTTTTTTTTTTTTGCGTTTGGGGTTTCTTAAGGTTTTTTTTTTTTAATCGGATCAATATAAATCTCTTTAGGAAAAAAAGCAATGTTGCTGGTTTGTTCTCACTGGGGAGGGGGCAGGGCTGAGGAGCAGCTGCAGTGCAGTGTCAGAAAGGAGACAGGGGAATGGAGGGGGTGTGAGAGACGGAGGGTGAAAGAAGAAGAAGAAAGGAGACAGGGGGAGAGAGTGGAGAAGGGAGAGGGGCGAGTGAATGAGCGGGAGGAGGGGACCGGGGAGGACAGGCAGAGGGAGTGGGAGAGCGCGAGGGCTGGCGGGGCGCGGGGAGAAGCCGAGGAGGAGGGGAGAGTGAGGGAAAGAGTGAATGAGCAGGAGGAGGGGAAGGAGGTGGATGCCGAGAGAGGAGCGAGCGGCAGAGGAGGGCAGGAGCCGGGAAGGAGCGCGGCGGTCCCCGCGCCGCGCTAGCGTTGCGCTCGCTCCCGCTGCTGGTGCTGCCGCCGCCGCCGCTGCCGGAGCGGTTCTGCCGTTGCCTGGGCTGCTCGGCGCTGCTGCTGCTGCCGCCCGGTCTCGCTCATTATTTCTCCCGCTTGTTGGGGGGGGCTGGCGGGGAGGGAGGGGGGTGGCTGTGAGGGGAGGGTAGAGAGGGGTTGAGTTCGTAGACTCCCACACACTTCGCGCTCGGGTCCCTGCCTCTCAGCAGCGCCGCCGCCTCCCAGCGCCGATGCTTCAGCCGGCGGGGCGGCTGAGGGGTGAGGGGGAACTCCGCGGGCGGGGGCGAGGGAGCGTGTGTGCGCGAGCGTGTGCGCGCGCGAGGGGAGCGCGTGCGCGGTGAGGACGCGCGCCGGCGGTTGGGGCGGGGGCGGGGGCCGGGGCGCTCCTGTGGGAAGGGAGGGGTGAAAGGTCGCTGGTCCCCGGCAACACGGCTCAGGCAAACGTAAGCGGCTTGTCGCAGAAACCAAGGGGTCCACGAAACGCGCTAGGCTAGAAGGCGGGAAGGAGAGATTACTGACAGCCGTGCCAGCCAATAAAATAGAAATGTGAGAAAGGTTCTTCGGGCCCCTTCCCAATCAGGAAACTTGGGTGATGAGGGGCAGCGAAGGGGTGGGGTGGGATCTTGGTCCAGCTGGTACTGGAGCGGCGACAATTTTGGCTAGTCTAAGAAGGGCATTCGAGTGACCGTTGACAACGGGTGGGACAGCGTCAGAGCTGGAGGGAGAGCCAGCACTGTATGCTTCCAGGACTTCTTGCTAGGTGCATTAGTTTTTATTTTTAAGAGTTGGGTAAAAGACATTAATTAGTTAGCATCTCACTCATCGGCGATTTTCTACGGTATGATTTCATCCAAAGAGGATTTCTTAATCGCACTGTGTGACACCGTTAGGGGACTTAGAGTGTCACTCGCCGCCTTAAATCCTTTCGGGAACAAGCCAGGATATAAATAAATAAAGCTAGGTGTGGGTCTTCCCTTCACAAGGCGCTGGTAGGCAGACTAAAGACAGGCAACAGCTGAGTGTGCACACAGAACTAAATATTGAACGAAATACGAGTGTCGGAATAAAATTCATTGCCATGTGCACGGCTTATGATTATACAGATCTTGGACATATCACGGACCTGAACGTCAACCCTGCAACACCGGATAAAACATCTAATGTAGCTGGAATAGACTCTGAAAGGACGTTAGGCATTATCTAAATCAAGTCCCTCATTTTACAGATGAGTAAACTGACTCAGTGAAGTATTTTGCTCAAGGTCGTTCATCAAATTAGTAGTTTAATTAACTCAGTGTTCTAGGAAGCAGGGTAGTAGAAAAGCATGGGATTCGGAGTCTGAAATCTTCCTTGGTTTCTGGTCCTTGTAGGCTGTTTTACAAGTGTATCTTGGGCAAATCCCTTAACGTCTTGCCATTTATTAAGGGCTTACTTACCACGTGGCAAACAATCCACTTTGCATGCTGTGTCAATTACATGCAGTATGTCGTGTAGTTATTACTGTCCCCATTTTATGAGGTAGTTTAGGTTTAAAGATATTAGAAATTTACCCAAAGTTACGCAGTTATAAACATTGTAGTAATTTCAAACTCAGGTCTTCGTGACTGCAAAGGCTGCTGTCTTAAGTATTGTAATACATTAGAGCTCCGGATTCCCTCCCACTCAAAACAGAGACTGAGACTCCAACCAATTTCCACCATTATTGGGAGTCAAACGAGAGAGACTGTGGCAATGTATTCTAAGCTGTACAAAGGTATAAACATATTCACTAGATTTGTAGAATGAAGTTATTCCTTCCCTATACTTTCCACTACAACAATTCAGCCAAAAAGATGGCTTTCATACTAAGCATAAGAAGGAACTTCACTGTAATTATGATATTCTAACCAAGAATATATGCATATCTAGGCAATAACCAAAGTGAATAGAATAAAATTTAATTCCTGATAGATTAAATAGGCAATAGCAAGGAATGCTAACGCTCCTCATAGCGTTCTTGTTGGAAGAATCATCTAGGAGGCATTGGGATTTCTGGTGCTTTTTAAGCAATGAGAGATATCAGTCCACTGAATGAGGAAGAGAATAACGTTTAGTTTCGGACTAAAAGTTCATCTGGACTACGGAAAACACGTTTGCCTCAATCAGTGAAGAAGGTATGCTGAGAGCTGAAAGAAAAGGAAAGCAGGTAAGTTAGTGCATATTGGAAAAGGTCTATTAACCAAAGTCCAAAATTTTGATCCGATGTGTAATGTTATGGGAAACCACTATATAGCCTTCATGACCAAAATAAAGAGGAATTAAACATACAATTGGGTACAAATGGAGCTGTGATGAGGAAAAAAGGTTTGGAATAAGTATGTGGTATTCAAGATAGTAAAAGGCTGATGCCAGACGTTGTACAAAGTGTTCAGTGTACAAAATTATGTAAGGACGTTTTTAAATGAAAAATTACAAAAGGGCTGGTATTTGGCACTAGATTGTTTTAAAACAGTAAACAACAGTGGACAAAGATATTTGAAGGACAGATAACTCAAACATATTACACTAAAGCTCGAGCAAAGTATTCAGTAGAATGTAATTTTGAATTGGAGAAAGACTGAGGTTAGAATTGGAAAACCTTAGTTTAACAAATTTCTAAAAATAAAATATATCTAACATAGTTTAGAAAATATTTGGCATTGCCATGCATCAGTTAAGTTGAAAAAGAGCTTGTAAGTTAAATTGCTTTACAGATACATGCTATTAAATAAAAGTCACACTGTATTCTTATAGTATTTATTTGACCCTTCTCTGATTTCTTTCTTCAGACTTAATATTTAAATACTATTATACCTATCACTCCATGGGGCCCAGAAATGGTAGATATAATTTTTAATGTGGATGGGATGCTGAATGGTAACTTAGGTATGATATGCCAGGAATCACAGAGACTATCCCAAGACCTAGTCAGACATCAAAGTATCAGTCAGCTACGAACTATTAATAATCTGGACAATGAAGATTATCAGAGAATACATTCTAATTAAGCTTCCATTTTTTAGTATATTTTGTTGTTTTTTTAAAAAAAATTATACTTCTACATCATTCTTATTGCATATCCCTATAATTCTGATTAAATGGACATCACAAACATTTTACCCTTCGTTTTCTGCATTTTGTATCAGCTAATAAAGCTGAATAACTAAAAATGTACAGTAGATCTCAGTTTATTAATATTTGGTATGATATACCTTTTATGCTACAAATAAACTGTTAGAATATACTTTTTAAAAATATAATAGAAGCGTTTGACCTTTTCTCCAAAAAGAAATACAATTTTATTTTTTAATTAACAAAGCAATTCAGCTCTACTAATTTAATAATATTTATAACACCTTAAGACACCATAGAACTTGTGTTAGTTATAAGCAACTATGATAGAAAATGATATTAATATGAATAAAAAAATCCCTGTTCTTTATTGTCTTTTATTGAGAGAGTTTTCTTCCTGTTTCAGGCTAAGTAATATAGACATAAGATTTTCTATTTTCAGTAACAATGATTGGCTTTCAAGACAAAGGACAGATAGTTGATATCCACAGATATCCCTAAACTCACTTTGTCTCCATTCTCTTGCTTTTCCTACAATCGATCCTGTTACTCAAAACATAATACAAAACATAAATACTCCCACTACTTGAATGTCTCTTGAACGCTTTGGGAAAACATTTTCTGAATTTGTGTCTCACCAGAAGCAGACCCTGATTTAAAGATTCAAGTGCAAGCAATGTATTTTGGAAATAATTTCAGGAAGCACAGTAGGACATGGGAAGTGAGGCAGGGAAGGGAAGGAAAGCAAAAAAAAAAAAAAAAAAAGTGTAAATTGCCAAGCAAGTTGTCATTGTTTTTAATCTCACTGTGATTTTCTTGGAGCCAGTTTAAAACACTAGCCCTAGAACTATCCCACTGGAAGTGTGAGAAAGCTGAGGTATATATGTACTAGCTCCCTTCAGCCATTGGTCAAGATCTATTCCTAGTGGCATTAACTCAATTCATGCTGGCCAGTCTTCAACTGCCAGCACTGCATCTTTTTCTGAGCACTTTCTCTGGTCACTGGAGTCTGCGCTGCCCTTACACAGGCTGGAAACAGTGGGGCATTAATACCTCCTGGTGTCAGAACATCCCCACGGTGACGGAAAATCAGGCCAGTGGGCCCTAAAATGATAGAGCACAGACATATGAGTGAGGCTCTACCAGTTCGTTACAAGTATCAACCTAAATTTAGGGGAAAAGAAAATGAGAAGACTGTTAATAGAAGGTATTGTTGGGAATTAAATAGTAAGGATAATGAAATAATTTGGAAAGCTTGAAGTACTGAAAAAAGAAGGCTTTATAATTTCTATAATTCAAATACTGTAACCAAGCACTGAGTGTAAAAAGCCTGAATAATTTGTTTTCTCTGGGCTCTTCACAAACAAATTTTTAATTTTTTAAGGTATAAGTCATGAAGAATCAATGTATGTATTCTGATTTTGTTGTTGTTATTGTTTTGTTGTTGCTGTTCAATGTAGCACAAAGAAAATAGGAGCAAATATATACCAAAAGATACATGACCTATCCCAATTCTTTTATAACAAGTTCTATAAATAGACGTATTGATTAGAAATACTTTTCTAAGATTTCACTAATAGAAAAATTATTTATTGTACTTTACCTTGTCAAAAATTAAACAGTTTTCATGTTTCTCTACTTAATAATAAATTCACTATTGGTGGATATGTTTATAAAAGTATGAAAGCTCACACTAATTTATATAGAGAGATAAATGTGTTCTATACTATTTCAAAGTCCCCAAATCTTAATATTCCAATTGTAAATATGTCATCCTAATAGATATGTTAGGATTAGAAAGAATACTAAATTCTTTGGCACTGAATATGCTTCCTTGGTTTCTAATGGATCATTAATTTTTCTAGCACTTTTTCTAAATATTATGAAATGTATCATTTCGTACTTTACACACTTGACTTAAAGGCAATAAATCTGAACTAAGACTACACAGTGCAATAAAAAAGAACTTCATAATAATTGTATAATGGTTATGTAAACATTAGGGGAAGCTGGGTGAAGGGTACAGGAGAACTTCTACTATATTTGCAACTCCTCTTTAAGTCTAAAATTATTTCAAAATAGTTAAAAAAGGAACCTTGAATTGATGATCTGGTTATGACTCTTCCACGCACTAACTTTGTGACTTACAGTAGCTTAACTTCTCTGAATTTTAATTTTCCCATCCATATAATAGGAGACTTGATAGATGCTCTGTAAGTTCCTTTTTCTTGAAAAAAAATAGTATATTTTCTACCATTTGTAGAATCTGACAAAGAATATTATCAAAATCAATGTACATAATATGTACCTTACCAGGTATTTTTAAATGAGTTAGCAGTACACATTTTGATGATGTACCGTTAGGCACAATGAAAAATAAATACAAAGGAAAACAAGATTAATGTAAAGAATATATTCAACATACTTACTCTCTGTATTTTTGCATTTTAAAAACAATAATACTTATTAAAATCTACAGTTGAAAATACATTTTCTTGGAACCACAGTTCAAAATGTGATAGTTGCATCTTTTAAAACATTCGGATGTGAAAAATTTCTGGAGTAAAACAATGAAAGATAAAGATGTTAAGATATAAAAGGAGAAGAAAAACGATCTTAAAAAAGAACTACAAAAGTAGACTAACAAAGCAATAACTGACTAGTATTTATATGTTTTGTCAACCAAGTTTTAAATCACTTGGACTGTATACCGTATATACTGTATTCTGATAAAGCCTAGGGTGACTCCAAGTCCAATTGCCCCCAAATGATCCTAGCTTAGGCCAGATGTCCCAGAACAATTGTTAATACCCTCAAAATTGTCCTAACTTAGATTATTATATGGTCACCCTAATAATACTCAAGAGCTATGACTTTTTGTTGTGGACCTTTCCATTTTAACCGTAAGATTTTGTGGATTCATAAGATTACTTGACGTTGCAATTCCTCTATGTGTAAATAATAGAAATATTTATCATAGTTCACTCTTATGCCATCATTGTGGTGTAATAAATTAGTACATTGTCACATCACCGTTTGTGATGTTCTTAGCTAGAGCTAAGTAAGGCCAGAGATCAAAAATAGACATAGGAATTGGTAGAATATAATTTTTTAAATGTATCTTTTCACATTTAAAGATGGAAACAATCATTTTTATAGGATAGCTCCTTCATTAAAAAATACTGTATATAGGAAAATGAAGTGAATTGAAGAAATAATAAATGAGATGTTATAAATATAATGAAATGCAGCTTCAAATGATAAATAGTAAACACACAGATGGCATCAGGGAATAGTTTGCATTATGGATTATTCAGATTTCTTATCTGTTTACTTCCTACTACTCAAATAAGCAACAGTATTTCTTGACTTCTGGATAAGCTTTTAATGCCTCTGGTCAAGGCTCCTTTCTAATGTAGTTTGCTATTTCCAGTGTTTATTACAGGTCAAATAATAAAAAGTTATAACAAGATTATTTGTGTTTATAAGTAAAATAACAAATTGGCATCCTTGTATATTAAAAAAATACATTACCATAAACCATTTGGATGTGAAAAACATTACCATAATCATTCCTAGATTTTGCCTTAATATTTAATCTTTTGGTTTCCCTATGTAGTCATAACCATGCTAAGTCGTGAGTGTGTAATTTACATCATATAATTCTAAATTATTGTATCCATGTATCATTTCATATAATTGAGAGCAAATTGAGCTTACTTATTAAAAAATACCATTTACATGTGGATGTATATGTGCATATATATATATACAGAGATTGTGTGTGTGTGTGTTTATTTGTATGATAGAATGAGGGAGACAAAAAGAAACTGAGTAGAGCTGTTCTAATTCTGTAGTAGCGGTAGAAAAAATACTAAAAAAAATAGTTTTTTTTTCATTTTACCTTCTCATTATAGAAAATGTGGAACATATTCAAAAAGAGATAAAATAGTATAATGAATCCCGGGTACTATATACCCACATTCAAAACTATCAACTGACCAATCAGGTTTCCTTTGTAACCCTTACCTCAGGATACTTTGAAGCAAATTCTGTCACATCATTTTTCTTCAAAAGTATTATAGACTTTTTAAGAAAACTAAAATATTAGATTGAAAATAATTAACAAAACTCCTTAATATCACCAAATATCTGATCTGTATTTAAATGTCCTTGATGGTCTTATAAAGTTATTTTACATTTTGTTCAAACCTCTCCCCTAATAAAATACATGTATTGCAACTGCCTGGTATGTCTCAAATCTTTTTAGGTATACATCAGTCAAGTTTCAACTAGAGAAATCAGAGAAATAAAACCAATAAGTATATACACATATTTTTAATTTTTATTGTTTAATATAGATAAATAGTAACAGAATAATAGTAAGGGAACTGGACTACACAATTGTGGGCACTGACTAAGCAAGCTCAGTGTCAGGAAGATAGAGGGGGAATGGAGAGCAATTGCAGGCCCAAATGTGCTTGGAGTCTCCACTTTCAGGAGGAACTAGTCACTTTGGTAACTAACCTCTTAAATACCTCCTTCCAGGTACTTAAGAAAACTTTCACAGTTTGTCCAGAATTTGACTGAGGAGCTGATATAGTTAGCCTTTGTGTCTCCACCAAAATCTCATCTTGCATTGTAATTCCCATAATCCCATAATCCCATAATCCCCATGTGTCAAGGGAGAGACCAGGTGGAGGCAATTGAATAATGAGGGCTGTTTCTCCCATGCCATTCTTGTGACTGTGAGTTCTCACGAGATCTGATGGTTTTATAAGGGGCTCTTCTAGCCTTCACTCAGCACTTCTTCCTGCTGCCTTGTGAAGAAGGTGCCTTGCTTCCCCTTCACCTACCACCGTGATTGTAAGTTTCTTGAGGCCTCCCCAACTATGCTGAACTGTGAGTCAACTAAACCTTTTTTCTTTATAAATTACCCAGTCTCGGGCAATTCAGTATAGCAGTATGAAAACAAACTAATACAGAAGCCATGACTTTATTTTGATAATTCTAGTCAAATTATCAAAATTTGTGTAGTCACTAGGCCTAGAATTTTCTACTTATAAAGGTCAAGTAAGAATTTAATATACTTCCTATCTCAGGAACATTAAACATATAGTTTTCATGTGAAAAGTTAAGTTTGGGTCTTTTCTATACCTTCCAAGAATCTACTTAATATGTTCAGTAAATCCTCCACCTTCTTGAGCTCATGGAAGACAGTTACAAAAAATTATTATCATTATTTATTGAATCTGCCATGTGTCATTTCTGGTATCATTTTGGCTATCTGCTTTTTCTCTTTAACATGGATCAAATTGTCCTGCTTTTCTGCATGTAATTTTTTATGAGATACCTGTTGTTGTGAATTTTATCTTGTTAAATGCTGGATGTTTTTGTGTTCCTATAAATACTCTTGAGCTTTCTCAAGGGATGTGGTTCTTTAGAAAGTGGAATTTTGGGGTCTTCTAAGCTTTATTAGGTGGGACCAGATCACCATTTAGTAATGGGCTAATTTTGCTGTGTAACTGAGGGAATATCCTCTGAGTACTACAGCTGATGCATAATGAATTATGAGGTTTTCAACAATGTGGGTGGTGGGAACAAGAACAATTCCCAGAGCTGTGTGAGCACCAGGTGCTGTTACCTCTAATCCTTAAGTAGTTTTCTCCAGTGCATGTGCTGATTAGTACTTAGCTGAAGACTCAAAGGGACTCTTTCACATTTCCAAAGTTTTATTTCTGTGGAGCTCTTTTCTCTCAGTACATTGCCACCCTGTGTATTCTAGCCATCCTCTTTGGTATTTCCCTAAAAAGTTAAACATAGAATTCCCATATGACTCAGCAATTCCACTCCTAGATATACACACGAAAGAATTAAAAGCAGATTTCCAAACAAATACTTTTACATAAATTCATATAACAGCATTACAATAGCCCAAAAGTGGAAACAACCAAAATCTCCATCAACTAATGAGGGAATAAGCAAAATGTGATAGTCATCCAATGCGAAATCATTGAACCATAAAGAGGACTTAAGAACTTATGCATGCTACAACATGAATGAAGCTCAAAAACAGTATGTTAAGTGAAAGAAGTCAGATTCAAAAGGTCACATAGTACATGATTCCATTAACATGAAACGTACAGAATAGATAAATCCATAAAGACAGAAAGACTGTTTCTAGAGGCTTGAGGAAATGGTAAATGGGAAATGACTGCTTAATGGATTTGAGTCTTCTTTTTGGAGTGATGCACATGCCTTAGAACTAGATACAGGTGATAGTTACACAGCATTGTGGATGTAAAAAGTACCAATGAATTGTGGTATACCATAAAAAGGTTAATGGCTAATTTCGTGTTATCTGAATTTTACCTCAGTAAAAAAAATGTAACTCCCTCCGATACTCTGCACCATCTTTCCAGAATCCTCTAATTATTCTCTACAAAGAGATTATACTGTGATACAAGTATTTAGCACAAGCCCTATGTTTATAAAGGTTACACCCAATGTAAAACACATAATTTATGAAAGAAAATATGAATAATTTTCCTTAAATAATATTTTGACAAGAATTAAAAGCTAAACAGAAGCATTTTGTGTGTGTATGTGTGTGTAGTATTCTTTCTTCTATCATTGTAGAATGGCCAGATAAATACAATAAATACGTCTTCATTGAACATAAAGTATATATCCTCGTGATGCATTAATAATGCATTTGTGGAAATTCTTGAAAGATTATTTCTTCACTCATTTCATATTTGAAGAAGAAGGCTAAATTAGGGAGGTGTCAGAAAGATAAAGATGAGAAGCAGTATTATATACCATTACCATTTTGTAGAAAAGCCTTTGTAGCATGAGGTAGTAGAGTGTAGTGATTAAGTATACACCCTCAAATCAGATTACCTGGGTTTGTGTATTGTCCTCTTACCTACCATGTGACCTTGGACAAGCTGTCCACCCTTTGTGGCTCAGTTTATTCACCTGTAAAATCAGAATAATGTCACCTGCCTTTGCTACAGAAAATAAGTACTCTATCAAAATTTATACTTCCCCTTGCACAGTGTAATGTTATTTTTGAAGGATGGCTGTGTGGCCAGGCACTAAGTTTCTGAGCTTCCCATGCATTCAGGTATGACCACGTGACTATTTCTCACTAAGAGAGTGAAAGTTGAATTGCTGTATACCACTAAAGGCTCATGGTTTTCAAGAAATTATAGTGCCTTCTTCATAATATTTTCCCCTTCCATCAATCAGCTGGAAGTGGTGAACAATAAGGCTACTAGTCCCTGAACCATAATATGAAAGAAAGCTGCCTATGACCAAAAATGCCTTCACTGGACTAGTATGTGAAGCAGGGAGGGGGTAACATCTACTATGTTACACTACTAGAATTTCGGGGGCCGTTTGGTATAGCAGTAGGCATAATCCTAATATTATATATTAGGGTTATGAAGATCAAATGGATTAATGTAATAGTGCTTGCTTATAACTGAGCTTGGCATATTTTAAGTGTTTGCTAAATGTTAGCTATGATATTCTCTTTTTATTGTGACAAAATGTGAATATCATAAAATCTGCCATTTTAACCACTTTTAAGTGTACAATTCAGTGGCATTATTATATTCACAATGTTATGCAATCTTCACCACTCTGTATTTCCAGAACCTTTTATCACCTCAAATAAAAATCTCTGCCCTTTAAGTTATAACTCCTCATTCTCCCTTCATGCAGACAAATTTGCCAATTCTAGATATTTCATCCAAGTGGAATCGTCCGATATTTGCAAATTTGTGCCTTGTTTATTTCAGTTAGCATGATGTTTGCAAGGTTCATCCATGTTGTAGCATATGTAAGAACTTTGTTTCTCATTATGGCTGAATAACATTCCATCATAGGTAATATCACATTTTGGTTTAACTATTTATGTATGTTGATGAACACTTGAGTTGTTTCAACCTTTTAGACATTGTGAATAATATTACAGGGAACATTGGTATGCAAACATCTTTGTAAATGCCTATTTTCAATTTGGGGGGATATATACATACTCAGTGGAATTGCTGGGTCATATGGTAATCCTATGTTTAACTTTTTGAAGAACAAACTGTTTTACGCAGAAGCAGCATCATTTTACATTCCTATCAACAATGTACAAGAATTCCAATTTCTGTCCGTCCATCATTAACACTTCTTTTTGTTTTGTTTTTGTTTTTATAACTATACCAGTAGGTGTGTAGTGGGATCCCTATGGATTTTGATTTTTATTTCCTTAGTCACTAATGATGTTAAGCATTTTAAAATGTGTTTATGTGTTGATTGGCCATTTGTATATTTTCATTGAAAAATATCTTTTCAAGTTATTTGCCCATTTTTAAATTGGGCTTTTGACTTTTTGTTGTTCAGATGTGAGTATTCTTTACTTATTCTGAATACTAGTGCCCTGTTGGATATAGGATTTGCAAATACTTTCTCCCAATTTAAATGTCTTTTCATTTTCTTGATGATGTCCTTTGATATATAAAAGTTATTAATTTTAATAAAGTCCAACTTATTTTTCTTTTGTTTTTCTTTTCATATCACATCTAAGATTCCATTGCCAAATTTAATGTCATGAAGATTTACCCCTATATCTTTCTAAGAGTTTTATGATTTTAGATCTTATAGTTAGGTCGTTGATTTATTTTGAGTTAATTTTTGTATATGGTATGAGGCAGAGATCCAATTTCATTATTTGCATGTGGAAATCCAGTTGTTCCAGTACAATGTTAACTATTCTTATGAGTTATGGAAGGTATCAGAGTCCAGTATACAGTAGTTATAACTTCCTAGTGACTTGAATATCAGCATACTCTATTTCTTTTATTTTCCTTTTTTTTTCTTCTTTCTTTGCTCTTTTAGCATACTCTTTCTAAATGAAGATTTAGAAAAGGTTTTTGTTGGTACTAATGGAGGAAGACAAAAAATGGAGAATAAAGATGAGGAAAGAAATGATAAGATTCTCTTTTATCTTGAAAAAGTCATTTATGACTATATTAACGGTATGTTCCAGAGCCTCCAAAAATTCCTGGGCACTCATAGTAGGATTCTGATATATAGTTTTATATGCAGTCTTTATGCCCTCTTCCCCAGAAGTCCTGCTACTCTACATAAGGGAAAAGCCTGGGATGACAAAGGATAAATATTTTAAGTGTTCCAGACTTTTCCATTCTACATTTTCACCTCTGTGCTCTATTAGCTCTTTCTAAAATGCAAAGCCAAAATGAAAGTTACTCCCACCATGCTAAACTACACAACAACTAAAATTTCTCTTACGCCTTGCCTTTGGTCTAACAAAACATTTTGCCTCCTAAACTAAGGAAAGATAAGAATTTTAAAAATAGAACTTAGGTAGAAACTAACAAAAAATGGAAAGCATAGAAAAATTAAAGTTTAATCTCTTCCCTGTGTACTAACAACTAAAATGTATCCATGAATTGGCTTCGTTAATACATGTTTATGGAACACCAAGGCTTGCTTCCTATTTCTTACTTCAAATATGCCAAGGCAGCATGTTTATCCAAGTGTTGTTAGCTGGAGACAGACTTGGGATATCCCCACATCTAGGTAATAAGTTTCTCAGTTTTATTTGCAGATTTATTTCCAGCTCTCCCTCCTCAACCCCAGTTTCAATCTATATAGTTTTCATACTTTAAACCAATTATGTGAGTCATAGACATGGTCCTATATTCCCTCAACTAATCCCAAAGATTGCATATTTTGTTAGCACAACCCTTCATCACACCCCGATCCTATGATCTCTTTTTACCTCTCACCTACTTAGCTCATCCTTTGTCTGAATTATTTTTACTAATTGGTTGTGAAGTTAGTCCTACATGCTGGAAAAGACCAACATCTTAGCATTGCAACTAAAGAGCAGTGCTCTGGGTGTTTGTGGCTGAGCATATATTCAGCAAGTGCTGTTACCGAGGTGGATTTAACGAGCCTATCAGTAGACCAGTGCCCAACATATAGTAGAAGACTAGCCTCAATAACACCATCATGGAGCATAAGGAGTAATGGTAAAGACACAATTCCCATTAAGTAAAGACCAGCCCATATCCTCATCCTTATGTTCAATTTCTGAACAGGTACTAACTACAACTCCACTAGATCCTTGGATATCTCTAGGGAGAAAAAGAGTCCCCTTCATTAAATACAAAAAGTATAATTTTTTTACTACTCTAAAGAGAGGGAATTTGAAATATGATTTGAGGTTTTTTTAGAACATAAAGTATGCAACTTAGTATGTGGAGAAAATTCACACTGGCTACATTAATATCCAGTCCTGGTCTCTCAAGCAGCTCTGTGGTTCTGACAGAAAATGCCATAATTCCCTGCTGGAACCTGTCTGAATCCTGTCAGCTCTTCTGACAGCCAGAAGCAATGTTCTCATCTTTTACAGTTTCTAAAACCCTTTTTCTATTGAACTGCCCAGTAAATTCCTATTTCTCTGTCAATGAGAAATCTCTGAATTTCTCAGCTTATTTGCAAAGCAGAGATGAATGACAGATTCTGAGTTTAATTACTATTGAAGTTCAGGACACTAGTTCTGTCTACCACCACAAGCCTTTTTGAAATTCCCCAAATGCTCACAAACAGTACCCATCTAGAGCTCTTTTATTTTAGGTTAACAACTTGAAAAATGCTCTACCAACATATATAATAATAACCAAAATACTAGGAGATATCCAATGAAAATAAGGGCAAAGTTATTTCAGTAGACCTCATAGACCTAAATTAAAAAGTTATTTCTGTAGATCTCCCTTTTAAAGACTTCCTAGTAAAGTTCACTCAGGGATGTCTGTATCTGTACCAGTTGTATATATTTTAACATTCTCTATATCGTATATTTTCTAACATGGTCTTTCTGTATTTCAATCTTTTCATAACTCAATTTGGCGTATTAAATGCTATGTCTTAACTTTATGCTCTTTGCATTCTCAGCCCTTTTGTTGACTATCTGTGACATTGGACAAGCACTTCACCTTTTGGGACCTTATTCATCTACAATATAAAGGAGTTTATTAAACCATTTTGAGAATCCTTATAGTTCTGACTTTCTATAAGAGTAATTTGAAAATATAAAATATGAGTAAGAAGTCAAGGAAATTTTATCTCTCATTCTTTTCTGAGGATTTGAAGAGTTAAATTTAAATCTATTACTTTATGGGAGAATACTAACTTACAATAATATATTAATTTTAATATATTATTGATAGTCAATGAAAGAAGAATGAAGTGTATTGAAATAGATATTTCTCAAAAAATTTGTAAATACTTAAGTCACTCACACATGACGTGTGATGCTGGATTCTTTATGTAGATTTAGATATTGAATATATTCTTTCATAATGCAGACAAATATTATGTCCCTGTGATACATATAAAATGAAATTATTTGAAATAATTGCAAGCCAGAATCAATTATATAGAGGCCAAAATGTATCATTCTGTTGATCCAAATTGTTTTGCCAAGGCAATTTTGAGGTAGAAGCAATTTTGAGGGAGTTTGATTTATACAATTGATAGGTTAAAGGCTGGCTGCCTTGTTTTATTTTACCAGCACTGTCTCCATTTTGAGCTAACATTTCAGCATAGGTAGATTTTATGTTTAAAAAATATTGTTTTCAGTGCTCTTATGAAAAATCACATAATCTAGGAACTCTGGTTCCACATTCACATGTAGCAGTGCTTGGCCAAAGCTGAAAAGCAGCTGTCTGTTTAGTCAGGGCATAGGCTGTGGCCCTTGAACTGATTCCTACCACTCACACTTATAATGGGCTACTTCACTTATTATGTTGCCTACCTGCAATTTCAGTGAATATGTTTATCCCATTTGTTAGCACTGTTAATATTGAATGAAAATAAAATTTTCCTCTGGATTTATAAAAAAGGCTTTGGATTCCTTGTCACCCAAATTTAGCATCCTGTTTTAAAAGCGTGTTTATCAGAATTTGTACGTTTCTATAGCTTTTAGATCCTTAAGCTTTCTGAAGTGAGTAAATGTCAACCCTTGATTGGCATAATGTCCAAATAAAGACAAGGATAAGCATTGAGTTATATATTCTTCACAGAGAAAATACAGAAAAAAGTATTCCATTTAAATTTGAATACCAATTAAATGGAATATTTAATAAGCACCATTATTAATAGTTAAAATTCCTCAAATATTTCACCCTAACACTAAGAAAGCTATTTAGACATTCAAACACTGAAAATAAAAGCTAAATAAGATGGATGTGTTATGGCTTTAAGTGGAGCCCCTTTTTCATAAAAATAAGTTATAAAATCCTTTTTTTTTTTTCCTTAGAGATGGAGTCTTGCCCTGGCCCCCAGGCTAGAGTGCAATCATTATCATAGCTCATTGCAGCTTCAGCCTCCCAATTAGCTAGGACTATAGGTGTGCTACCACACCCAGCTAATTTTCTTTTAATTTTATAGAGATGGAATCTCACTATGTTGCCCAGGCTGGTCTCAAACTTTGAGCCTCAAGTGATCCTCTTGCCTGGCCCTCCCAAAGTGCTGGGATTACAGGTGTGAGCCACTGCATCCTGCTTTTAACATGTTAAAATGATGTTTATGTCATACACTCTTAACATGACTTTGGAATGATCAAAGAATTTTTACACAAAACTCAAAAATTTAAGTCCAATGTGTGCAGAATCCCAGAGGCTCTTCTGCAAAGTACTAGGAAGTCACACATAGTCGTTTAAAAACTATTGTTCAATTACTAACCAGCCGAAGATGAAAATACTTAGAAGATTAATAAACAGTTTACTTAAACTAGAGATTACTTTGCTGTTTGTTCCCTCCCTTCTTAAAATATATTTAATTCTGAAAGAGATATATGGAACCATTGAAGCCGGAAATTATCTTGATGCCTCAGCCATATTTGTGCTCTTTCCACCATGAAGTCTCAGGTGAATGATAGGGTAGAAAATAATATGTTTTGTCCATGGCAGCTGCTGTAGGACAAGGAAATAAAGATCTCTACCTTAAAGTAGAGATTTCAAGCTTTCTGGAGTTGCATTACCTAAAAATTGCAAAATATCTTTTTTATTATTTTATTTTTTTAGAGAAAAGTTTTTGCTCTTTCACTCAGGCTGACTGGAGCAGTGGCACAGTCATGGCTCACTGGAGCCTTGAATTCTGGGGCTCAAGTGGTCCTCCCACTTCAGCTTCCCGAGTAGTGGGGACCACAGGCATACCACCATACTTGGTTAATATATTTTCCTTTTTTTTTTTTTTTTTTTTTTTGGTAGAGATGGTGTCTCACTGTGGTGCCCAGCCTGGTTTCAAACTCCTGGCCTCAATTGATCATTCTGGGCCTCCAAAAATGCTGAAATCACCAAAATATCTTTTATTTGATTTCATAAAACATATTATCCAGCCTCTGGGATAGGATACTTGGCACAGACATTTAATTTTCTGAGTTTCATCGTTCTGTTTTATTTTGTTTTGAGAATTTGGTGGAGATGCTGGAGATCATGAAAAATATTGAGATGTTCCCAACCAGATGTGCAAAATTTTACCTTATGGTATCTTACAATGTTCTTTCTTGCATCTTAATTCTGATAAAAATGTCATCAAAAATGAACATTGGTCTGGCCAGTAAATATAGTTCAGATAGATTGAGTGCTTCCACAGAAAACATACTAGACATTTAAATGTATTTCCACATTAGATTATAAAATCCAAGGTACCAGAGCTTGTATCTGGCTAGGTCATCATTTCATTTCATTTCTCAACATAATACATGGCCAGAATATATGTCTGAAAAAATATTTGTTAAATGAATCCCTACTACTTTTTAATGACCTATTAATTGCATCCTTAATATGTAAGAATTCAGAAGCTTTCAGATATACATTCACTGTAATTAAGACAGATGCAAACTACTCAGGAAGTGTCAAATATGCAAAGTTTACTTTACAGTGAAGCCAGCTATATCATGATGTGTAGCCCTTATTTTACTATTTTTAGATCAGTGTTTCTCAATATCTTCAAATTAAATGTACCCAAATCACCATATTTGCTGAACTAATAGTTGTAGTACCCTTTAGTATGTTGTTTAATAGTCCATGTAGAATAAGCAATTATTTTCAGACAGGTGCTATACTTTTGTAGACAAAACAGAATGAAATTTTAAAATATTTTTCAAGTAGTGGAATTACTACGTAATATATGAAAACATGCTCAACCTCATTATTAATCAGGAAAATTAAATTTAAGCCATAGTAAGAGAGTTCATATCTATCAGATTAAAGCAATGTAAATATCTGATAATAACAGATTTGTCAGGATATGAAGCAATGGTACTCTCATCTTCTTTGGTAGGTGTATAAGGCCAATATCCCTGAAGAACACAGATGCAAAAAGCCTTAACAAAATACTAACACACTGAGTCTAGCAGTATATCAAAAAGCTAATTCACTAGGATCAAGTAGGCTTTATTTATGGAATGCAAGGTTGGTTCAACACATTCACAAATCAGTCAGTGTGATATACCACATAAACAGAACCCAAAACAAAAACCATAAAATCATGTCAGTAGATACAGAAAAAGCCTTTAATAAAATGCAGCATCCCTTCATGACAAAAACCCTCAACAGATTAGGCATTGAAGAAACATACCTCAAAATAGTAAGAGCCAATTATGACAAACCCATAGCCAACATTATACTGAATGGGCAAAAGCTGGAACCATTCCCCTTGAGAACTGGGACAAGACAAAGATACCCATTCTTACCACTCCTATTCAACGTAGAACTGGAAGTCTTAGCCAGAGCAACCAGGCAGTAGAAAGAAATAAAAGACATCCAAATAGGAAAAGTAGAGGTCAAGTTATCTCTCTTTTTAAGTGATATGATTCTAGAATTAGAAAACCCAAAAGTCTCTGCCAACAAGGTTCCTGGAACTGATAAACAAATTAAGTGAAGGTTCATGATAGAAAAATGTACAAAAATCTGTTGCATTTTTAAATGCCAATAATGTTCTAGTTAAGAGCCAAATCAAGAACACAATCCCATTTACAGTAGCCACAAAGAAAATGAAATACCTAGGAATTCATCTGACGAAAGAGATGAATGATCTTTATAAGGAGAACTACAGAACACTGTTGAAAGAAATCAGAGACAACACAAATAAATGGAAAAATATCCCATGCTCATGGATTGGAAAAATAGAGTCAAAATGGCTATATTGCCCAAAGCAATTTACAGATTCAACACTATCCTTATCAGAATACCAATGTCATTTTTCATGGAATTAAGAAAAATCTATTCTAAAATTCATTTGGAACCAAAAAAGAGCCCAAATAGCCAAAGCAATTCTAAACAAACAAAAAAACAAAGCCAGATGCATCACATTGCCTGACTTCAAACTATACTATGAGGCTACAGTAAATCAAAACAGCATTGCACTGGTATAAAAAGAGATATATAAACCAGGGGAACAGAATAAAGAACCCAGAAATAAACCTGTGCACTTACCATAATCTGATCTTTGAAAAAATCAACAAAAATCAGCAATGGGGAAAGGACTCTATATTTAATAAATGGTGCTGGGATAACTGTTTAGCCATATGCAGAAAGAGACTGGACCCCTACCTCTTGTCATATATGAAAATTAACTCAAGATGAGTCAAAGATTTAAAGTAAGACCACAAACTATAAAAATCCTAGAAGAAAATCTAGGAAAATACTCTTCTGAACATAAGCTTGGGCACGTAATTTATGGCTAAGTCCCAAAAGCAATTGCAGCAAAAACAGAAAATAGACAAGTGGGATCTAATGAAACTAAAGAATATCTGCACAGCAAAAGAAACTACCAACAGAGTAAAACAGACAGTCTACAGAATGGGAGAAAATATGCCCAAGCTATGCATCTGACGAATGTCTAATATCCAGAATCTACAAGAAAATTAAACAAATCAATAAGCAAAAAAAACAAAAAATCCAATTAAAAATGGGAAAAGGATATAAACAGACACTTCTCAGAAGGAGACATACAAGCATCCAATGAACATATGGAGAAATGCTGAACATCACTAATCTTCAGATAAATGCAAACCAAAACCACAATGAGATACCATCTCACCAGATTATTAAAAATTATTAAAAATTCAACAAACAACATGTTGGTGAGGCTGAGGAGAAAAGGGAATGCTTATACACTGTTGGAGGGAATGCAAACTAGTTCAGTCACTGTGGAAAGCATTTTGGAGATTTCTCAAATAACTCACTAATAAAATAGAACTACCATTCGACCCAGCAATGTAATGAGTATATAATCAAAGGAAAATAATTCATTCTATCAAAAAGTCACATTATACCCATATGTTCATTGCAGCTCTATTCACCATAACAAAGACATGGAATAAACCCAGATGCCCATCAACAGTGAATTGGAGAAAGAAAATGTGGTACATATATACCACGGAATACTATGCCACCATAAACAGGAATGAAATCATGTCCTTTGCTGCAACACGAATGGAGCTGAAGGCCATTATCCTAGGCAAATTAATGCAGGAAAAGAAAACCAAATACCACATGTTCTCACTTGTAAGTGGGAGCTAAACATTGAAGGTACATGAACATAAAGATGAAAGCAATAGACACTGGGGACTACAAGACAGCAGAGGGAGGGAGCAGATGTGGGCTGAAGAACCATCTGTTATGTACTATTGTTTATTGCCTGGGTGATAGAATGGTTGGGACCCCAAGACTCAGCGTCATGCAGTTTACCCATATAGCAAACCTGTACATGTACGCTTTAATCTATAGTAAAAGTTGAAATTAATTTATAAAAGAAAATAGTTTATAGTAGACATTCAGGCTGTTCACAGATATTTCTTCTTCTTCTTTTCTGGGCTTGCACTAAAATGTTTACCACCCCCTTAAAGTTAAATGTGACTATGCAACCTGTATACTTTTCAAGTGGGAGACTTTAAGAGCTGCTGAGTGATTAAGGAGGTGTTTCCCCTTTTTTTGTGGTGACTGGCAGCGTATTCTTAGGGAGGATAATGTGAAAGAGAGACTCTCCCTACTCAACCCCCTAGCTAAGATGAAAACATAACATGAGCAACAAATAAACCTTTGATGTTTTAACCGCTAAGATTGTGGAGGTTGTCCAAGCCCATTCCCACTGCTCTAGCTTACTAAGTAAAGTCAAACATTTTTGTGTTTATTACCCAGCAATTTCAATCGATGGCATTTGCCCATTTGAGTATATGTATAAGGAAGCAGGTAGAAGGATGTTTACAAGAACATTGTGGTAATAGAAAGAAGAGGAAAAAATGGAGTATCCGTAAACTATAAAAGAATAAACTCTAATATATTCATACAACAGAATCCTGTAGAGCAGAGAAAACTAATGAAACATAGCCAAATGCATCAACAAAGATGAATCTCTAAGTATATTATTGAATGTAAGAAGCAAGTCAGAATAGTACAATTCATGTTAAATGCAAAGTGTGAAGAGTTGATGGAAATTATAAGAATCCATGCATAGGTTGTAAAAATATACAGAAAACCTAAGAAATGATTAATATGAAATTCAGGATTGTGATGTTCTCTTCTCCACTATCTCTATATAGAGTAGAAGACAGAGAAATGTACTCAAGAAGTAGAGGGCTTTTAACAGGCAGTGTTTTATTTCTTAACCCAAATAATGGATATGTCTGTGTTCATGTTAATGCACTATAACTTGTCCTTACATGTTTTATATATTCCTCTCCATGTATTCCATATTTCACAGATAAAACTATTTTAAAGCCATCAATAATAATCCTGACAAAGAGCAGCCCATAAAATAGGTTGAATAATATTTTGTGGAGTAGCCTATATAATTCCTTAAGAAAAGTTTGATTTTGTTGTTCAGGGACACAGATAGAGATGAAATAAGTGATATCCTAATTTTGCTTTGGATGATTTTTGTGAGAAGTTGGGCAATGTTTTATTAGCTCGATTTACATTTTTAGGTTTATGAAGTACCAGTATATTTGAAGATTAGTGTTTACAAAACACCTTGCATCTGAAATAGTACCATATTCTGTATTAAAATATGATACTACTGTTGAAAATAATATATTAAAAATATGCCATAGCTTCTGACTAATGAGCATTCCTGAATGAGTAATGGGAGTATTGGCAATCTAGATCGTTATTGGATTGGTTCTGAGTGATGATATGAAACATTTAGCTTAATGGAAGAGATAAAAAATGAGAGCAATTAGATAGATTTTTGAAAGCTGAAAGTTCAAACAAATACCAAACTCTGAAAACACTTTCATAGTGCTTTTTACATGATGAAAAAAATCTGCCAGGGGCATACAAATCCATAGGAAGAGTGTTTTGAACAGAGAAAAAAAATGTAGCCTTGCTTAGGATGTTAGCACCAAATGTCAAAATGCCATGCTGCTGGCTTTTGGTGTTAACTTTTGTAGATTACGAGTAACCCTCCATACAATTTTAGTTTTTCAAAGGGTCGTAAAAAAAAAAAAAGGTCCCTGCCAACATCACACCTAAATTAACAGTTTTCCATTTTTTTAAATGAGCAGGATTTAGTACAGTGCTTTCCTTAAAGGCAGGACATTAAAGACAGGCTGTTAAGTCAGGCCTGACTAAAACAGGGGTTTGAGGACTGACTCCAAGGTGGGTGAACACAGCATCTGAAGCATGACAGTATCAGGTAGGAGCTGAGTTAATGCTATCCATGGAGAGTAATGTGACTGATGAAAGCACCCTAGTAGTGGTATCTAAAAAACGGCCAAATTTAATGCCAAAGAAGCCTATCTGAGTTCAAATCAGACCTCAGTCAAAGCCACGGGTATAGGTATGTTTCTAGAAAAGAGAAGTAGATTAGGATTAGGCAAGCTGGAAGGCTGAGTAGGATTTGCTAACAGGAAGTTAGAATGTGAATCTGAACCCAAAGCAGGCTGCTAATCATAAAGAAAAAGTATACAATGTAGCTGTTTGCTCCATCTGAGTAACATAAACGTCTAGGGCATTCATACCAAGAGCGTTATGTGTATGTCCTAAACTCTTCTCAGCTAGGAATGGAAATTTGAGTAGTCTACCAGGCTTCTGTGATTCCCAGCTTTTGAACCACATAGAGTTAAATTTGCAGGATTCTGAAGGACTTCTGTACTTGTAATTGGCCAGACCCAAAAGGAAGGGACTGATTATAAAAACCATCTTTTTAATGGTTACAGATAGTCAAAACTTTTGATTCTACTTGCTGCTTCCTGGAACTCAGCCTGCATGCTGTGAGAAGCCCAAGGCAGACCGAGGAATCACAAAGATGAGAACAGAGGCATTCTAGGTATATTAAGCACTGACAACCCCATGAGTGGGTAATTTTGGTAGCCACCTTCCAATATGGCATCCAATAAAGGCTGCTTCCTGGTAGTCACATCCCTGTGTAGTTCTCTTGCACATTGTATCAGTGTTAGTTTGTTTGAATACTACAGAGGTGATGATTGTCACTTCCAAGATTACATTATAAAATGCACTGTGGTTTCCATCTTGGTGGCCCTCTCTCAGATCACTCTCTCTGGGGGAAGCCAGCTGTTATGTTCTGAGGACACTCAGGTAGCCTATGGAGAGGCCTATTTGGTGAGGAACTGAGGCTCACCATGAAGTGAGTCTCTCTTACTTCAAATGACTGCAAATTTAGCTGATAGCTTGCCTCAACTACAGGAGAGACCCTGAGACAGAACCACCCAGTTAAGCTTCTCTTGGATTCTAGATCCACAAAATCTGTGAGATAACAAATTTTTGTATTCTCAAGCTGCCAAGTTCTGGAGTAACACATTGTACAGCAATTAATAACTAAAGCATACATATTAAGCATTTCAGGTCAATTGAGACTCCAGATGATTGTAGCCCCAGCTGACATGTGGAATAGAAGATGCCATCTGAGCTAAGTTAACCTTAAGTCATGATAGACAATAAACCAGTTGTTACATTAAGCCATTAAGTTTGCAGAGTTTTTGCAGCAATAGATAACTATAACAGAAATTGATAACTAGAAGTGGGGCACTGCTGTAACAAAAACCTAAAATATGTGACATTGACTTTGGGACCAGTCAGTGGCTATCAGCCAAAGGAGCCTCAAAGAAACAGTTAATGGCAGCTGTAAGATAGCAAGGAAATTGTTATTGGAGCCTGGGGGAGAGGTGACTCTGTTCTGCCCTATTGAGGAGTGGCAGAATGTTTGACAATGCTGTAACTTGCAGCAATATAAAAGATAGAAAATATATCTAATGAACCTCTGTATTTGGCTAATGAGATATCCACACAGAATGTTGAAAGTGCCAACTGGTTTCTTTTAGTTGTGTATGATCATTAATAGGGTAAAATAAACTAAAGAAGGAACTGTTCAATTTTCAACCAGTGTCTAGAGTGTGAGTCAGCAAACATCTTCTGTATTGGATCAGATAGCAAATATTTTAGGCTTTTCAAGCTGTATGGTGTCTGTAGCAACTGCTCAAGTCTGTAGTTATAGCATAAAATATATCTAGACAATGTGTAAATGAATGGGTATAGCTGTGTTCCAAAAAAACTTTGTTGACCAAAGCAGGCGACAGTCTGCATTTTACCTGTGGGCCAAAGTCTACCCACCTCTGATCTAGAAGAAACACATGTGAACCAGTATTTGTAGGTTGAAACATAAATTATTATTTTATCTAACTCCTTCAGCCCACAAAAACTTTCCAGAATAAATAAAAACCTGGAGACAAAGATCAGATTCATAGTGGTACCAGAACAGCCTCAGAATGAAAGTGAAGATCAGTTCAGGGTGTAATTGGAAGGCCCTTTGTACAGTCCTCAGAAAGACAAAGGGATTATCCCTTAGACTCTCATATAGATAATAGGGCTTTTAGAATCTTAAGGACTTGCCTTCTTTGACCTCTCACCTAGACAACAGAGTTTCTCACAGTCTTAAGGGAGTGCCTCTTAATCCCAAAAGAGATTTTTAAGAATGTAAAAGTATTGTCCCCATAGCACCCTGGTTCTAAGGCCAAGGTAGAGAGGAGTGTGTTCTAAAGAGTCTGTTTTAAAATAACGGTATAGACAGGAGGTTAAAAATTTTTAAAGAAATTTTAACAACTTGGAGTAAAAGAGACAGAAGTAGTTCAAATTGAGATAAGACCTCATGTGTTATTAATCTCCTATGAGAACATGATTTCACTGCAAACACATTCCATTTCTTATGGAAAGAGAAGGATGACTCAGAAGGCAGAGCTATGGGGAACCACTCTTATGTAGCAGAAATTGACCCTAATAAAGAAATATTTTCTGCCCCTTGAAACAAAGAAAATGGTGACAAGTCTTGCTCGATCTCAGAATTGCTATGAACTAGTAACTGCTATGGGACTCCTGTTTCACTGTTGGAGATTGGAGGTTTCTATTGTGGCTGCCATGACCCTTTTCCACTCTTGTATATCGTACAGGTCAGATAATGATTTTATTGGTGTTGTTTCATTTTTTTAGTTCACAATTGCTCCTGAGGACTGTGAAAAGTCTCCCCCATCTGCATCTACCTCTGTCAATAGATGACAGGAGTGTTGGATATGAGCTGATACATAATGGAATGGGAATTTGTGGGGATCTTAGGATGTGGTGATTGTACTTGGTATGAGAATTGTTACTGCCAGAGGGCAGAATCCGGAATGCCTCTCCAAATTCTTCCCCTTCTTGTACATGCATGTTAGTCCTAGTATCAAGTGATGCAGTTTATCTCCCCTTTCCTAGACTATGGGCTGCTCTTGTGACTAACTCTGATCAGTCAAATAGCTATGAAACTGGTGAAATTGCTGCTTTGGGACTCAAAGGCCCAGAATTTAAGAGGATTGGTAGTGTGGTAGATATAAGATATGCCCTTGTCAATAGACAGCAGCAGCTGGAAACCATGCGAATGAGCCATCTTGAACTTTCAGCCCTGCTAAACCACCAGGTGATTGTACCCCACCTTGCTGACATCATACAGGTCAGAACCACCCAACTGAACCCAGTCAAACCATGGAAACATAAACAACAGTAAAATAATTGTTTTGAACGACTAAGTTTTGAGGTGGTGTATTATGCAGCAGTAGTTAACGGAAACATCTTCCCAGCAATCTCCTTGCTAAGCAAAAGTTTTTGGCAAATTGCCGCTGCAGCTACTTCCTCTGTTTACTGTTAACTGGTAATGTATTCCCCACCTTTCTATCCCCAGGTTATTGTGCACTTATTGTAAAACTCAGTATTCCTTTATCTTTTTGGATCTTCATCTATTTGGGAAACTATCTCCCAAATTTTATAAAAATATAAAAAACAAAGTCAGGATTTCTAAAAAGAGGAGGTTTAAGAAGAAAACTTTCAGACATTGCTCTTTGTCCTTTCTTCTTGCAGATACATATCTATTTCTAAAAAGAGGTACTTTGTCTTGCCCTTTCTTATGAACAACAAGCAAGGGGTTAAGGTATATTCATCTCTTTTACTTTCCATAAAAGGAAAAACAGATTTTGCTTGTCTATATCAGAAGGTCTTAGTCCAAAGTAGGATATTTTCCTAAGATTCTGCTGTAACCAGTAGTATTTGACAATCTGTTATGCCTTGAGCAGACTTTGAGAAATGTGGTCTTAAATAATTAATTTTTAATGGTAGCTTTTCAGGGAAATTATTAAGTGGATAAGTTTGGAGTAGGATAATCTTTGAAGATTTTCAATATATTTCTAAATTGTTCCATAAGATAAGAAAAATCGGCTGCCTTATTTTCAGTTTCTGACTCTTTATTAACAGGGTAAGATAAAGTTGTCACTTTTAACTACGTGAAGATCTGTATATTGGTAAATGAATTATTAAGAATCTACTATACATAATAGAAATTTTATTATATTAGCACCAGTGGTGCTGGGTATTTCATAAAGTTTTGGGTACTTTTGGTAATGTTTGTCTCTTATTTTTTTGAATTAAGGTTAGGTTTAACCCTTTGTGCAGATTTGCCCAGGATAGACTGCTTTATGTCCATTATCTCAGGATTACTATTATCATTATTATTACTATTGTTTTCTTTTTTTTTAAACAGAGTCTTGTTCTGTCACCCAGGCTGGAGTACAGTGGCACCATCTCGGCTCACTGCAAGCTCTGCCTCCCAGGTTCATGCCATTCTCCTGCCTCAGCCTCCCAAGTAGCTGGGACTACAGGCACCTGCCAACACAGCCGGCTAATTTTTAGATTTTTAGTAGAGACGGGGTTTCACTGTGTTAGCCAGGATGGTCTTGATCTCCTGACCTCGTGATCCACCCACCTTGGCCTCCCAAAGTGCTGAGATTACAGGCGTGAGCCACCGTGCCTGGCCACTATTGTCTTCTTTTATTCACAAAACTGCGCTTCTTTGGATGGTAAATTATGTGGTTACCTTATCTCAAGTGGCAGTCATATCTAAGACATAAAACTGGGCATACTTATATCAAAAAATAATTAGACATATTTAAATATTTAAATATTTTAAAAGTTAGCATGTTTTGGCCACATAATATGATCAGAGTATTTAAGTGTATTTGAAAGCTTAAAAAAGGTTAGCATACATTTTAAAAAGAACCTACATAATTTTAGGCTTAATTGGTTTAAAATGCCCTTTCTCAAGTTGAAATAAATTATACTCCATAAGTTGACTTTAATAATTTTTGCCTATAGCATATTTTCCAGTTACTTGAAGAAGACAAATGAGGTTTGAAACCACAAGTAAATTAGAGGTTTTCTTGATCAGCAGTTACATAAATTAGAGGGAATGTCAGTTTTATATTAATATTTAATAATAAGTTGATTAAACTTTGAAAACTTGTTTGTTTACATATTATGTAAATTTATTTTGAAATAAGGTTTATGGATTTAGATGATGTTTACATATGTCAGTTTGTAAGTTTACCTGTGCCACATAAATTTTGGTGCTTATATGACAGACCCTAAACAAATTTGAATTTAGACAAAAATAGCAAAATGGTAGAATCAGTGATTAGAAAGATTTTCTTTCTTTTTTTAGAATAACTTCAACTTTTGTTTTAGATTCAGAAGGTACATGTGCAGGTTTGTTACATGGGCATATAGTGTGAAGCTGAGGTTTGGGACATGAATTGTCCAGTCACTAAAGTAATAAGCAGATACCCAACAGTTAGGTTTTCAACCCTTGCTGGCCATCCTCCCCACTCACTCTGGTAGTCCCCAGTGGCTGTTATTGCCATCTTTATATCCATGTGTACCCAACGCTTAGCTTTCACTTATAAGTGAGAACATGTGGTATTTGGTCTTCTGTTCCCGCATTAGTTTGCTTAGGAAAATGACCTTCAGTTACATCTATGTTGCTGCAAAGAACATGACTTCATTTTTTTTATGGCTTTGTAGTGTTCCTCGGTGTGTATTTCATGTTCATTACTCAATCCATGATTGAAGGGAAAGATTTTCAAACTTAAAGTTTAACCTTTGTCCCCATTAGTTTTATATTTTTAATTTTAAACAAGTGTCATATATACTGACATGAAAAAAATCTCTATTATTGTCGTTTTCTCTCTTGGAACCCTGTTTGCTAGCCCTATATCCTAGCCAGATCCATTTTCTGATCTTCTTTGCCTTGTGAATTTTATCCCTGTGAACTTTATGATGTGGTTTCCTTTGTCTTGCATGTCAGATAAAGGACTAGTATCCAAAATATAAAAAACTGTTAAAGCTCAACAGTAAGAAAACATATAACCCATCGAAAAAGTGGGCAAAATATCTAGACACTTCACCAGAGAATATAGACACGTGACAAATAAGCATATGAAAGATGTGCATAATTATTTCTTATAAGGGAATTCCAAATTAAAACAACAATGCAACACCACTTTATAACTATTAGACTGACTAAAATCCCCCAAACTGACAATACAATTCTGATGACAATGAAGAGCAACAATTAATTCTCATTGTTAACCTGACTTCAACCTATACTATAAGGCTATAGTAACCAACACAGCATGGTACTGATACAAAAACAGGCACATATATAGAATAGAAATATCCTGTTTCTATTCAGGAACAGAATAGAAAATTCAGAAATAAAGCTGCATACCTACAACTATCTGATGTTTGACAAAGCTGATGAAGATGAACCATGGGGAAAGGACTCCCTGTTAACTAGATGGTGATAGTATAACTGGCTAGCCACATGGAGAAGAATGAAACTGGATCTCTATCTTTTACTGTATACAAAAATTAACTCAAGATGAATTTGTGATTTAAACATAAGACCTCAAACTATAAGAATCCTAGAAGAAAACCCATGAAATACCATTCTAAACATTTAGCCTTGGCAGAAATACCATTCTAAACATTAGCTTTGGCAAGGAAGTCATGACTAAGTCCTCAGAAACAACAAATGAAAATTAACTAGTGGGACCTAATTAAACTAAAGGGCTTCTACACAGCAAAATAAACTATCAACAGAGTAGACAGACAGCCTACAGAATGAGAACAAATATTCCAAACTATGCATCTGACAAAGTTCTAATATCCAGAATCCATAAGGAACTTTAATCAATTCAACATGCTAAAAACAAACCCATTAAAAAGTGAGAAAAGGACAGGACAGACATTTCTCAACAAGACATACAAGTGACCAACAAACATGAAACAATGCTCAACATCACTAGTAATCAGAGAAAAGCAAGTCAAAACCACAATGAGATATCATCTCTCACCCATCACAATGGCCATTTTCTAAAGTAAAAAAGAAAACAAAGCAAAACAAACCAAGAACAGATGCTGGCTAGGCTATGGAGGAAAGGAAACGCTACATACCCACTGTTGGTGGGAATGCAAGCTAGTTCAGTTACTGTGGAAAGCAGTTTGAAGATTTCTCAAAGAACTTAAAACAGAGCTACCATTCAGCCCAGCAATCCCATTACTGAAGTATACACCCAAAGGAACATAAATTGTTCTACCAAAAACACATGCACTTGTATATTCACTGAAGCACTATTTACAACAGCAAAGACATGGAATTAACGTAGATGCCCATTCAATGGTGGATTGGATAAAGAAAATGTGAGACATATACACCATGGCATATTATGCAGCCAGAAAAAAGAATGAAAGCATTTCCTTTGCAACAACATGGATACAGGCTGGAGACCATTATCCTAAGCAAATTAATGCAGGAAAAGAAAAGTAAATACCACATGTTCTCATTTATAAGTGGAAGCTAAACACTGGGTACACATGGACATAAAGCTGGCAACAATAGACACTGGGGACTACCAGAAGGAGGAGGAATGGAGGGAGGCAAGGGTTGAAGAACTACCTATTGGGTACTAAGCTTACTACCTGGGTGATAAGATCATTCATACCCCAAAACTCAGTGTCATGCAGTACACCTGTATAACAAACCTGTACATGTACCTCCTGAATCTAAAATAAAAGTTGAAGTTATTTTTTAAAAAAGAGAAATCAAAACAGTCTAGCCACTTTGAAAGACATTTTGGTAGTATTAAAAAATATTTTCAATATTTAATATATTTTAATTTAAATGTTCAATTTTTAAAACAAAGTTGAACATAGTCTTACTATATACAGTAACTGCACTCCTGGGTATTTACTCAAATGATATGAGTACTTATATACACACAAGTATGTATGTACTTATGTACACACATTCATATGAATGTTTAAACTAACTATTCATAATTACCAAAAACTGGAAACAACCAAGATACGCTTCAATAGGTGGTTGGATAAACAAATTGTGTTACATCAATACATTGGAATATTCTTCAGTAGTAAAATAAAAGAGCTCTCAAGACATGAAAAGATGTGGAACATCTTGAAATGCAGTTTGCTAATTGTAAAAAGGCTGAAAATGTACATACTTTATGATTCCAATTATATGACATTCTGAAAAAGGGCAATCCTATAAAGACAGTAAAAGGTTTGGTGGTTACCTGGGGTTCAGTCAAAGGGAAGGAGGGTCAAATAGGTAAAAAAAAAAATTAGGGTACTTTTTTTAGGAGATGAAATCATCTTGTGTGATACTGTAATGGTGGGTACATAACATTAGGTGTTTGCCAAAAACTTATAGAACTCAGAACTTTACAGTACAGGAGTGAAACGTAATGTATGTGAATATTTTAAAAAATCAACTAGGAGGTCAGAGGATCCCAGGATGGAATGCAGATTGTGACAAGAGACTCTAACTGTATTACAAGTGTATGGGAAGAAAACATTAATGAAGGAAGTGGGGGGAAGGTGCTAATATCTAATAACTTTGGAAAGGAATGGATCACACAATACTAAATGCAAAAGAAACATCTGATACACGCTGTATTTATTTGACAAAGTTGTTTCCCATGGGGTTTTGAGTTAACAATGCTGATGCAGTCATCCCTTGTCCCTCGAAATCCATGGAGGATTGGTTCTAAGACCCTCAAACATTCCAAAATTCGTGGAATCTCACGTGCCTTAGTCAACCCTCTGTAGCCAGAGATTTTGCATCCATGGTTGGTTGAATTGCAGATGTGGAACCCATGGCTACAGAAGGCCAACTACACATACATATTTCTTTTTATTATATGTATGTGTGTGTATATATATAAAACAAAAAAAAATAAATATATATGTAATCAAAAAAATCAAATGCCCATGAATCCATAGGGGATATATATATATATATATATATATATATATATATATATATATATATCTCCCATATCTATATATACCCATATATAGGATATATACATGAATACCTTTTCTCTGGTAAAGTCTTATATTTAAAGGCTTTCCTATGTAAATCCAAAGTTTTGAATGCTTAGGAACCAGAAGAAATTCCTAAACAGAAGTCTCCTTACCAATAAAGTCATGATTGAGCCAAACCCTAATTGCTCACAGATGAAGGTAGTGTTGAGGTGTTTGCGTTTCTTTAATTCTTACTGTCTCTTACATTTCTTTATACAGTTTTGAGTCATTAAAGTGATGTAGTCATTTTAATAACTTATTTATAACAGAAAAAGCTCGATTATGTCTAGGAACTTGTGCTCCTTTTTTTCACATCTTCTCCATCTATGTCAAAAATGGTCCAAATGTTAAAATAATAGTATTCTTTTTTTTTTTTTACTTTTTTTTTTTTATTATACTTTAAGTTTTAGCGTACATGTGCACATTGTGCAGGTTAGTTACATATGTATACATGTGCCATGATGGTGCGCTACACCCACTAACTCATCATCTAGCATTAGGTATATCTCCCAATGATATCCCTCCCCACTCCCCCCACCCCACCACAGTCCCCAGAGTGTGCTATTCCCCTTCCTGTGTCCATGTGATCTCATTGTTCAATTCCCACCTATGAGTGAGAATATGCGGTGTTTGGTTTTTTGTTCTTGCGATAGTTTACTGAGAATGATGCTTTCCAATTTCATCCATGTCCCTACAAAGGACATGAACTCATCATTTTTTATGGCTGCATAGTATTCCATGGTGTATATGTGCCACATTTTCTTAATCCAGTCTATCATTGTTGGACATTTGGGTTGGTTCCAAGTCTTTGCTATTGTGAATAATGCCGCAATAAACAAACGTGTGCATGTGTCTTTATAGCAGCATGATTTATAGTCCTTTGGGTATATACCCAGTAATGGGATGGCTGGGTCAAATGGTATTTCTAGTTCTAGATCCCTGAGGAATCGCCACACCGACTTCCACAATGGTTGAACTAGTTTACAGTCCCACCAACAGTGTAAAAGTGTTCCTATTTCTCCACATCCTCTCCAGCACTTGTTGTTTCCTGACTTTTTAATGATTGCCATTCTAACTGGTATGAGATGATATCTCATAGTGGTTTTGATTTGCATTTCTCTGATGGCCAGTGATGGTGAGCATTTTTTCATGTGTTTTTTGGCTGCATAAATGTCTTCTTTTGAGAAGTGTCTGTTCATGTCCTTCGCCCACTTTTTGATGGGGTTGTTTGTTTTTTTCTTGTAAATTTGTTTGAGTTCATTGTAGATTCTGGATATTAGCCCTTTGTCAGATGAGTAGGTTGCAAAAATTTTCTCCCATGTTGTAGGTTGCCTGTTCACTCTGATGGTAGTTTCTTTTGCTGTGCAGAAGCTCTTGAGTTTAATTAGATCCCATTTGTCAATTTTGGCTTTTGTTGCCATTGCTTTTGGTGTTTTGGACATGAAGTCCTTGCCCATGCCTATGTCCTGAATGGTAATGCCTAGGTTTTCTTCTAGGGTTTTTATGGTTTTAGGTCTAACGTTTAAATCTTTAATCCATCTTGAATTGATTTTTGTATAAGGTATAAGGAAGGGATCCAGTTTCAGCTTTCTACATATGGCTAGCCAGTTTTCCCAGCACCATTTATTAAATAGGGAATCCTTTCCCCATTGCTTGTTTTTGTCAGGTTTGTCAAAGATCAGATAGTTGTAGGTATGCAGCGTTATTTCTGAGGGCTCTGTTCTGTTCCATTGATCTATATCTCTGTTTTGGTACCAGTACCATGCTGTTTTGGTTACTGTAGCCTTGTCGTATAGTTTGAAGTCAGGTAGTGTGATGCCTCCAGCTTTGTTCTTTTGGCTTAGGATTGACTTGGCGATGCGGGCTCTTTTTTGGTTCCATATGAACTTTAAAGTAGTTTTTTCCAATTCTGTGAAGAAAGGCATTGGTAGCTTGATGGGGATGGCATTGAATCTGTAAATTACCTTGGGCAGTATGGCCATTTTCACGATATTGATTCTTCCTACCCATGAGCATGGAATGTTCTTCCATTTGTTTGTATCCTCTTTTATTTCCTTGAGCAGTGGTTTGTAGTTCTCCTTGAAGAGGTCCTTCCCATCCCTTGTAAGTTGGATTCCTAGGTATTTTATTCTCTTTGAAGCAATTGTGAATGGAAGTTCACTCATGATTTGGCTCTCTGTTTGTCTGTTGTTGGTGTATAAGAATGCTTGTGATTTTTGTACGTTGATTTTGTATCCTGAGACTTTGCTGAAGTTGCTTATCAGCTTAAGGAGATTTTGGGCTGAGACAATGGGGTTTTCTAGATATACAATCATGTCGTCTGCAAACAGGGACAATTTGACTTCCTCTTTTCCTAATTCAATACCCTTTATTTCCTTCTCCTGCCTAATTGCCCTGGCCAGAACTTCCAACACTATGTTGAATAGGAGCGGTGAGAGAGAGCATCCCTGTCTTGTGCCAGTTTTCAAAGGGAATGCTTCCAGTTTTTGCCCATTCAGTATGATATTGGCTATGGGTTTGTCATAGATAGCTCTTATTATTTTGAAATATGTCCCATCAATACCTAATTTATTGAGAGTTTTTAGCATGAAGCGTTGTTGAATTTTGTCAAAGGCTTTTTCTGCATCTATTGAGATAATCATGTGGTTTTTGTCTTTGGCTCTGTTTATATGCTGGATTACATTTATTGATTTGCATATATTGAACCAGCCTTGCATCCCAGGGATGAAGCTCACTTGATCATGGTGGATAAGCTTTTTGATGTGCTGCTGGATTCGGTTTGCCAGTATTTTATTGAGGATTTTTGCATCAATGTTCATCAAGGATATTGGTCTAAAATTCTCTTTTTTGGTTGTGTCTCTGCCCGGCTTTGGTATCAGAATGATGCTGGCCTCATAAAATGAGTTAGGGAGGATTCCCTCTTTTTCTATTGATTGGAATAGTTTCAGAAGGAATGGTACCAGTTCCTCCTTGTACCTCTGGTAGAATTCGGCTGTGAATCCATCTGGTCCTGGACTCTTTTTGGTTGGTAAACTATTGATTATTGCCACAATTTCAGCTCCTGTTATTGGTCTATTCAGAGATTCAACTCCTTCCTGGTTTAGTCTTGGGAGAGTGTATGTGTCAAGGAATTTATCCATTTCTGCTAGATTTTCTAGTTTATTTGCGTAGAGGTGTTTGTAGTATTCTCTGATGGTAGTTTGTATTTCTGTGGGATCAGTGGTGATATCCCCTTTATCATTTTTTATTGTGTCTATTTGATTCTTCTCTCTTTTTTTCTTTATTAGTCTTGCTAGCGGTCTATCAATTTTGTTGATCCTTTCAAAAAACCAGCTCCTGGATTCATTGATTTTTTGAAGGGTTTTTTGTGTCTCTATTTCCTTCAGTTCTGCTCTGATTTTAGTTATTTCTTGCCTTCTGCTAGCTTTTGAATGTGTTTGCTCTTGCTTTTCTAGTTCTTTTAATTGTGATGTTAGGGTGTCAATTTTGGATCTTTCCTGCTTTCTCTTGTGGGCATTTAGTGCTATAAATTTCCCTCTACACACTGCTTTGAATGCGTCCCAGAGATTCTGGTATGTTGTGTCTTTGTTCTCGTTGGTTTCAAAGAACATCTTTATTTCTGCCTTCATTTCGTTATGTACCCAGTATTCATTCAGGAGCAGGTTGTTCAGTTTCCATGTAGTTGAGAGGCTTTGAGTGAGATTCTTAATCCTGAGTTCTAGTTTGATTGCACTGTGGTCTGAGAGATAGTTTGTTATAATTTCTGTTCTTTTACATTTGCTGAGGAGAGCTTTACTTCCAAGTATGTGGTCAATTTTCGAATAGGTGTGGTGTGGTGCTGAAAAAAATGTATATTCTGTTGATTTGGGGTGGAGAGTTCTGTAGATGTCTATTAGGTCTGCTTGGTGCAGAGCTGAGTTCAATTCCTGGGTATCCTTGTTGACTTTCTGTCTCGTTGATCTGTCTAATGTTGACAGTGGGGTGTTAAAGTCTCCCATTATTAATGTGTGGGAGTCTAAGTCTCTTTGTAGGTCACTCAGGACTTGCTTTATGAATCTGGGTGCTCCTGTATTGGGTGCATATATATTTAGGATAGTTAGCTCCTCTTGTTGAATTGATCCCTTTACCATTATGTATTGGCCTTCTTTGTCTCTTTTGATCTTTGTTTGTTTAAAGTCTGTTTTATCAGAGACTAGGATTGCAACCCCTGCCTTTTTTTGTTTTCCATTTGCTTGGTAGATCTTCCTCCATCCTTTTATTTTGAGCCTATGTGTGTCTCTGCACATGAGATGGGTTTCCTGAATACAGCACACTGATGGGTCTTGACTCTTTATCCAATTTGCCAGTCTGTGTCTTTTAATTGGAGAATTTAGTCCATTTACATTTAAAGTTAATATTGTTATGTGTGAATGTGATCCTGTCATTATGATGTTAGCTGGTGATTTTGCTCGTTAGTTGATGCAGTTTCTTCCTAGTCTCGATGGTCTTTACATTTTGGCATGATTTTGCAGCGGCTGGTACCGGTTGTTCCTTTCCATGTTTAGCGCTTCCTTCAGGAGCTCTTTTAGGGCAGGTCTGGTGGTGACAAAATCTCTCAGCACTTGCTTGTCTGTAAAGTATTTTATTTCTCCTTCACTTATGAAGCTTAGTTTGGCTGGATATGAAATTCTGGGTTGAAAATTCTTTTCTTTAAGAATGTTGAATATTGGCCCCCACTCTCTTCTGGCTTGTAGGGTTTCTGCCGAGAGATCCGCTGTTAGTCTGATGGGCTTCCCTTTGAGGGTAACCCGACCTTTCTCTCTGGCTGCCCTTAACATTTTTTCCTTCATTTCAACTTTGGTGAATCTGACAATTATGTGTCTTGGAGTTGCTCTTCTCAAGGAGTATCTTTGTGGCGTTCTCTGTATTTCCTGAATCTGAACGTTGGCCTGCCTTGCTAGATTGGGGAAGTTCTCCTGGATAATATCCTGCAGAGTGTTTTCCAACTTGGTTCCATTCTCACCATCACTTTCAGGTACACCAATCAGACGTAGATTTGGTCTTTTCAGATAGTCCCATATTTCTTGGAGGCTTTGCTCATTTCTTTTTATTCTTTTTTCTCTAAACTTCCCTTCTTGCTTCATTTCATTCATTTCATCTTCCATCGCTGATACCCTTTCTTCCAGTTGATCGCAGTGGCTCCTGAGGCTTCTGCATTCTTCACGTAGTTCTCGAGCCTTGGTTTTCAGCTCCATCAGCTCCTTTAAGCACTTCTCTGTATTGGTTATTCTAGTTATACATTCTTCTAAATTTTTTTCAAAGTTTTCAAGTTCTTTGCCTTTGGTTTGAATGTCCTCCCGTAGCTCAGAGTAATTTGATCGTCTGAAGCCTTCTTCTCTCAGCTCGTCAAAGTCATTCTCCATCCAGCTTTGTTCCGTTGCTGGTGAGGAACTGCGTTCCTTTGGAGGAGGAGAGGCACTCTGCGTTTTAGAGTTTCCAGTTTTTCTGTTCTGTTTTTTCCCCATCTTTGTGGTTTTATCTACTTTTGGTCTTTGATGATGGTGATGTACAGATGGGTTTTTGGTGTGGATGTACTTTCTGTTTGTTAGTTTTCCTTCTAACAGACAGGACCCTCAGCTGCAGGTCTGTTGGAATACCCTGCAGTGTGAGGTGTCAGTGTGCCCCTGCTGGGGGGTGCCTCCCAGTTAGGCTGCTCAGGGGTCAGGGGTCAGGGACCCACTTGAGGAGGCAGTCTGCCCGTTCTCAGATCTCCAGCTGCGTGCTGAGAGAACCACTGCTCTCTTCAAAGCTGTCAGACAGGGACATTTAAGTCTGCAGAGGTTACTGCTGTCTTTTTGTTTCTCTGTGCCCTGCCCCCAGAGGTGGAGCCTACAGAGGCAGGCAGGCCTCCTTGAGCTGTGATGGGCTCCACCCAGTTCGAGCTTCCCGGCTGCTTTGTTTACCTACGGGAGCCTGGGCAATGGCGGGCGCCCCTCCCCCAGCCTCGCTGCCGCCTTGCAGTTTGATCTCAGACTGCTGTGCTAGCAATCAGCGAGACTCCGTGGGCGTAGGACCCTCCGTGCCAGGTGTGGGATATAGTCTCGTGGTGCGCCGTTTTTTAAGCCGGTCTGAAAAGCGCAATATTCGGGTGGGAGTGACCCGATTGTCCAGGTGCGTCCGTCACCCCTTTCTTTGAGTCGGAAAGGGAACTCCCTGACCCCTTGCGCTTCCCAGGTGAGGCAATGCCTCACCCTGCTTTGGCTCGCGCACGGTGCGCGCACTCACCGGCCTGCGCCCACTGTCTGGCACTCCCTAGTGAGATGAACCCGGTACCTCAGATGGAAATGCAGAAATCACCCGTCTTCTGCATCGCTCACGCTGGGAGCTGTAGACCGGAGCTGTTCCTATTCGGCCATCTTGGCTCCTCCCCCAAAAATAATAGTATTCTAAGTGGATGTCACTGTCTACACTATGACAAGAGTAAAACGCAGAGGAACTAACCCATTTTCAGCCTGCTTGCCTAATAAACTGATTTTCTTATGTAACACAGATAAATTTGATGCATAGGTCATCAATATCTTATAGAAATTTAATATCATAAAAAAAGATACAAGCTGAAGGGATGGTCAATTATAGTCATCCCATTTTTGTCCTGATAGTTGACATCTGCCTATACAGATGATGATAGTTATTAAATATTGCATTGAAATTCATGTCTATGATAAAGCAAACTTAGAGATTACTGGGGAATAGAGGAATTCTCTAAGAAGAAAGATCAGCAATTCAAAATATTTTCTGTTGAAGCAAAGCTTCAATAAATTTAGAAATAACTCACAAGAAGGCTGAATGTCTAAAGAAAGAAATGCATGCCAATTCAGGTTTTCAAGCTAACCATTTTTTAATCTTCTCTGGTGTAGAATTTAATTTTATCTTCTAATTTAGTCATACAAACTTTTACTTCTACTTTGAATGCATCTATAACATATGGTATATATCTATTATCTTCTATGTCATTTAGTTATTAAAGTAACTTTCCATAGCTCATAAAAGTAATGTTTTTCACAACAGAAATTTAGAAGACTGACAAGACATATTTATAAGATACCATTGTACCTCTACCACACAGATTGTCATCCAGATAAGCAAAAAGTAAAATAATGTTATCTGTGAGCACAATAACTCAATATATAGGAATTCAAATGTTTTTTTATTTGGTCATCAAGGAAGCTTCATTTGTCTTCTCTTTTTTGGCCTGTTAGATTACTCCATTGCATTTTAGTGCTATCTTCTGTTACATGTGTTTCACAATTAATTCAAAACCTCCTTGTCAAATTATTTATTCTGTAACTCAACTAATGAAAAATATCTTAAATAAATTAATTGCATACTTAAAGAACACATCTAGACATATGGATCTGCTTTCCTGCCATCCTGAATCATGAAGATAAGCAGTTTTCAGCTAAGGCTGTTAGTGTCTTACCTCCATCAGTGGAGCTTTGGAGAATGGATCAATGGGAGGATGTGGCCTGTAGTTTTCAGATCTATTTGGCCAGGATCAGTAAAATTACACTTTATTTACAATATTCTTATTTTCTCTTGTTGATTATATGACAGCATACTAAATCAGAGAAATCATAGTGTTGTTGCTTAGTTACAATGGATTTTCATTTTCAGTAATTCTTCAGCAAGTAAAAAGATTTTAACTCTTTTTTTTGTTTTTTTTTGTCATTAAAACAAAGGGACTATGATGTCTCGTCTTAAAATCAACTCCAATTTTTTTATTCACTTTTGTTTTCGCTTTTTTCTCTAGCTAACTGCCTTTCCTCATTCTAAAGTTAGCTCTGCTAAATTTGAATATCTTCCGCCAAAATACTTTCTGGCAATCTACCAATGTTTTCACCATTGATATGTGTCAGCTTTCAGGATTTTTCAGTCTGTTGATTTGTTTCTCTTTGAATTCATCCTTCTTCATTCTGAATAGCTTCTGTATTACACGTTTCTGCTTGATTTTTACTGTGGATGAAGCAACGCTTCCTACTTAGCAAAAATAAATTAAAGAATTCTTTCACTTCCAGAAGCCAGAGAGATCAAAGTGCAGTCTGAAGAGTCTGATCATCACTTAAACTTGGGGGCAAACAAACGAAGCAGAAAGAAGCTTGCCGGTTCCATTAAATTTTATTCTTGCACACTCAGTGAACCTGGAAGATGATTTTACATTTTAACTAACTAGGCTTTTTATTATTTGCAAAAGCTCCAATTTAAAGTCTTGACTGAAGATTCTTTAATTCATGCACAAACCACAAAATGTATTTTTTTTTTTTTGCAGCAACAGTGAGAGCTCAGAAATTCCCAGACTGTTTTGATGATAAGGTCCAAGAACTTGCCATGTGATCCATCACTACTAGACTCCCACAACTGCATTAGATTTGTTCAGGATTTTCATATAATTTTCATAACTGGCTAAGGTAGGTCATACTAACATAAAGTCCTAGCATGTATAATATTGAATTTGTTCTTTACCAATATCTTATGGGATCTAAACCTGCTACTATATCCTTCTTTATATTATTACAGTGTTGAAGAACACATTTCCATTAGACATTATGTTTCTCATGTTTGAAGAACATTTTCTCTTGTTCAATATTTAGAAGTAGCATGACATGGTAGAAAAGCCTCTAGACTGATTATTAAGAGGCCTGGTTTTTCATCCTGTTATGTCTTGACTCATTTTTTATGATACTTTTATATTATTTAAGTTGCTTTTGTTATAAGGAACAGAAGCTCACCCTAGCTAATGTAGGAAAAAAATAATTTCTTGGAGGATATAAGAAGATACAAGGATAGCTTATTTAAAAAGAAACAAGAAAAACTTTAAAAAATAAAACTCAGGGCAGCTTTTGGAATCCTGGTAGCAACAACAAAGAACTCATCAGGTACTGCTGATGGGATAAAACAGGTCCAAACCCTCTCAGTCTTCTTTTTCTTTCTTGTTTACTCCTTGCTCTGTCACAAATTTCAGATAAAACATATCTTATTGATCTAAATTGAAGAACATGAAGGGAAGCAAATCCTCTTGATTGATTTCCTAACTGGACTGGACTTAATGGGAGAAGACCACTTACCTCAAAACAAAATTCAAGTGTGTTAATGGGAAAAGAAAAAAAAAGATATTGGCAAAATAACAAAATGCAAAAGGATGTGGCAAAAATAACAAGTTGTTCACTCAACCTTTATGCTTCCAAAGACGTCACCCCATATTGCTATGGTTTGTTTGATAGGAAATATTAGAAAAGAACCATAATAATTCAACTTGATAATTATATGTGTTTAAATGGGAGCCACTTTCTAGCAGTTCTTTCACTGCTTTGGACCATTTCCTTATTCTCCTATAGTAGGCTATAGATGTAGCTTTCAAACTGACAACATGGCATCTAGTTTTATTCATCATCCTCCTAACTGCTCATCCATAACTTTTAGAGTTATTCTAAAATATAATTTTGTGTCTTGGAAGCTTTCAGTGGCTTCAGCATTATCTATAGATAAACGTAATACTGTTCCGTCGACATGTTTGGCAGAATTAGATGCCCATTCTACTTAGCTATTACAGCATTCTGTCTATAACTTCTTTACAGTTCTCAAATCACTGAATAATTATTGTAGGACAGAGAAAACGTCTGTTTAAAACAAAAATATTTCAGATAATTGTATATAATTCTGGCTTTCTTGCTGCTGCTGTTTTCTAAGACAATTCATATCTGCTTTAAAAAAAAATTGTATAGTTCTAGCCAGGCACTGTGGCTCACACCTGTAATCCCAGCAGTTTAGAAGGCAGAGGAAGAGCTCAGGTGTTCAAATCCAGCCTGCACAACATCGTGAGACTTCACCTCTCCAAAAAAAAAAAAAAAAAAATTATTAGCTGGGCATTGTTTTACATGCCTGTAGTCTCAGCTACTTGGGAGGCTGAGGTAGGAAAATCACTTGAGCCCAAGACATTGAGGTTGAGGCTGCAGTGAGCTATGGTTGTGCCACTGCACTCCAGCCTGGGTGACAGAGTGAGACCCTGTCTCTAAAATAAAATAAAGTAAAATAAAATAAAATAAAATAAAATAAAGAAAAAGAAAGAGAAAAACTCATTATAGTTCCTTGTCACAGAGGTTCATAGAGGAAGAATGAAAATTGACACATATTTAAGGAAAAACAGCAAAATTTTCAAAAACTCTGTAAGTTCTTCCATTCTGTTAAAAGGTCCAAACCTGGAGTGAACAGTTATTCATTTAATGGGCCACCTTAATGAATTTGTGTATATACACAACTGACTTGAATTTCATTCCTCTGTACAATCAAGTGACAAGTGATGTGAATTTTTATTTTCCGGTGACAACATGGGGTAGAGTGGTTTAAGGAGCCTGCAAAGCAGAATGAAAAACAAATTTGAAAAAGATTTTAAGGAACAGAAAGTCATGCAATGTGGAAAGCCTTTTCGGTTGGGGAATCTTCACAGTAAAACCAGCCAGTGAGGATTTCCCAGGATAGGAATTGCCAAAAGCTTGTGATAATAGTTGCATCCAGGTTGGGTGCAGTGGCTCACACCTGTAATCCCAATATTTTGGGAGGCCAAGGCAGGAGGCTTCCTTGAGTCCAGGAGTTTGAGACCAGCCTGGGCAACATGGCGAAACCACATCTCTACAAAAAATACAAAAAAAATAGCCAGGTGTCATGGCACGAGCCTGTAGTCCCAGCTACTCTGGAGACTGAGGAGGGAGGATCAATTGAGCCCAGGTGATAGAGTCTGCAGTGAGAAACATAAAAGTTAATCTATCATGCTAAAAATGTCATTGAAATCGTGTCACTGCACCCCAGGCTGAATGATAGAGTGAGACCCTGTATCCAAAAAAATAAAAAGTTGCATCCAGTATTTAATTTTAAGTCATTTGCTCTTCCATTTTTCCATGTATTTTTTTTTAATTATACTTTAAGTTCTGGGATACATGTGCAGAACGTGCAGGTTTGCTAAATAGGTAAGCATGTGCCATAGTGGTTTGCTCCACCCATCAACCCGTCATCTACATTAGGTATTTCTCCTAATGCTATCCCTCCCCTAGCCCCCCACCTCCCAACAGGCCCCAGTGTGTGATGTTCCCTTCCTTGTGTCCATGTGTTCTTGTTGTTCAACTCCCACTTATAAGTGAGGCATGCAGTGTTTTGTTTTCTGTTCCTGTGTTAGTTTGCTGAGAATGATGGTTTCCAGCTTCATCTATGTCCCTGCAAAGGACATGAACTCATTATTTTGTATGACTGCATAGTATTCCATGTTGTATGTGTACCATATTTTCTTTATCCAGTCTATCATTGATGGGCAGTTGGGTTGGTTCCCAGTCTTTGCTATTGTGAACAGTGCTGCAATAAACATACATGTGCATGTGTCTTTATAGTAGAATGATTTATAATAATCCTTTGAGTATCTACCCAGTAATGGGATTGCTGGGTCAAATGGTATTTCTGGATCTAGATACTTAAGGAATCGCCACACAGTCTTCCACAATGGTTAAACTAATTTACACTCCCACCAACAGTGTAATAGCTTTCCTATTTCTTCATATCCTCTCCAGCATCTGTTGTTTCCTGAGTTTTTAATAATCACCATGCTAACTGGCATGAGATGGTATCTCGCTGTGGTTTTGATTTGCATTTCTCCAATGACCAGTGATGATGAGTTTTTTTTCATATGTTTGTTGGCTGCATAAATGACTTCTTTTGAGAAGGGCCTGTTCATATCCTTTGCAGGCTTTTTGATGGGCTTGATTGTTTTTTCCTTGTAAATTTCTTTAAGTTATTTGTAAATTCTGGATATTAGCCCTTTGTCAGATGGATAGATTGCAAAAATTTTCCCCCATTCTGTAGGTTGCCTGTTCACTCTGATGATAGTTTCTTTTGCTGTGCAGAAGCTCTTTAGTTTAATTAGAGCCCATTTGTCAATTTTGGCTTTTGTTGCCATTGCTTTTGGTGATTTAGTCATGAACTCTTTGTCCATGCCTATGTCCTGAATGGTATTGCCTAGGTTTTCTTCTAGGGGAGGTTTTATGGTTGTAAGTCTTATGTTTAAGTCTTTAATCCATCTTGAGTTAATTATTGTGTAAGGTATAAGGATGTTGTCCAGTTTCAGTTTTCTGCATGTGGCTAGCTAGTTTTCCCAACACCATTTATTAAATAGGGAATCTTTTCCCTATTGCTTGTTTGTGTCAGGTTTGTCAAAGATCAGATTGTTGTAGATGGGTGGCATTATTTCTGAGGCTTCTGTTCTGTTCCATTAGTCTATATATCTGTTTTGGTACCGGTACCATGCTGTTTTAGTTACTGTAGACTTGTGGTATAGTTTGAAGTTGGGTAACATGATGCCTCCAGCTTTGTTATTTTTGCTTAGGATTGTCTTGGCTATATGGGCTCTTTTTTGGTTCCATATGAAAGTTAAAGTAGTTTTTTCTAATTCTGTGAAAACAGTCAATGGTAGCTTGATGGGGTAGCATTGAATCTATAAATTACTTTGGCCAGTATGGCCAGTTTCGTGATATTGATTCTTCCTATCCATGAGCATGGAATGTTTTTCCATTTGTTTGTGTTCTCTCTTGTATTCTTGAGCAGTGGTTTACAGTTCTTCTTGAAGAGGCCTTTCAAGTTGTATTCTTAGGTATTTTATTCTCTTTGTAGCAATTGTGAATGAGAGTTCACTCATGACTTGGCTCTCTGTTTGTCTATTATTGTTGTATAGGAATGCTTGTGATTTTTGCACATTGATTTTGTATCTTGAGACTTTGCTGAAGTTTTTTATCCGCTTAAGGAGATTTTGGGCTGAGATGATGAGGTTTTCTAAATACACAATCATGGCATCTGCAAACAGAGACAATTTGACTTCTCTTCCTATCTGAATATCCTTTATTGCTTTCTCTTGCCTGTTTGCCCTGGCCAGAACTTCCAATATTGTGTTGAACAGGAGTGGTGAGAGAGGACATCCTTGTCTTGTACTGGTTTTCAAAGGGAATCCTTCCAGTTTTTCGCCATTCAGTATGATATTGGCTGTGGGTTTGTCATAAATAGCTCTTATTATTTTAAGATACATTCCATCAATACGGAGTTTATTGAGAGTTTTTGGCATGAAGGTGTGTTGAATTTCATTGAAGACCTTTTCTGCATCTATTGAGATAACCATGTGGTTTTTGTCATTGGTTCTGTTTATGTGATGGATTACGTTTATTGATTTGCATATGTTGAACCAGCCTTGTATCCCAGGGATGAAGCTGACTTGATCCCAATGGATAAGCTTTTTGATGTGCTGCTGGATTCTGTTTGCCAGTATTTTATTGAGGATCTTCACATTGATGTTCATCAGGGATATTAGCCTGAAATTTTCTTTTTTTGTTGTGTCTCTGCCAGGTTTTGGTATCAGGATGATGCTGGCCTCATAAAATGAGTTAGGGAGGAGTCCCTCTTTTTCTATTGTTTGGAATAGTTTCAGAAGGAATGGTATCAACTCCTCTTTGTACCTCCGGTAGAATTTGGCTGTGAATCTGTCTGGTCCTGGGCTTTTTTGTATTGGTAAGCTATTAATTACTGCCTCAATTTCAGAACTTGTTATTGATCTGTTCAGGGATTCGACTTCTTGGTTTAGTCTTGGGAGGATGTATGTGTCCAGGAATTTATCTGTTTCTTCTAGATTTTTAAATTTGTGTAGAGTTGTTTGTAGTATTCCCTGATGGTAGTTTTTATTTTTGTGGGATCAGTGGTGATATCCCCTCCATCATTTTTTATTGTGTGTATTTGATTCTTCTCTGTTTTCTTTCTTATTAGTCTGGCAAGTGGTCAATCTATTTTGTTGATTTTTTTTTCAAAAAACCAGCTCCTGGATTCATTGATGTTTTGAAGGGTTTTTTGTGTCTCTAGCTGCTTCAGTTCTGCCCTGATCTTGGTTATTTCTTGTCTTCTGCTAGCTTTTGAATTTGTTTGCTCTTGCGGCTCTAGTTCTTTTAATTGTGATGTTAGGGTGTCGATTTTAGATCTTTCCTGCTTTCTCCTGTAGGCATTTAGTGCTATAAATTTCCCTCTAAACATTGCTTTAGCTGTGTCCCAGAGATTCTGGTATGTTGTGTCTTTGTTCTCATTGGTTTCAAAGAACTTAGTTCTTTCTGCCTTAATTTCGTTATTTACCCAGCAGTCATTCAGGAGCAAGTTGTTCAGTTTCCATGTAGTTGTGTAGTTTTGAGTGAGTTTCTTAATCCTGAGTTCTAATTTGATTGCACTGTGGTCTGAGAGACTGTTATGATTTCCATTCTTTTGCATTGGCTGAGGAGTGTTTTACTTCCAATTATGCGGTCAATTTTAGAATAAGTCCGATGTGGTGCTGAGAAGAATGTATATTCTGTAGATTTGGGATGGAGAGTTCTGTAGATATCTATTAGGTCTGCTTGGTCCAGAGCTGAGTTGAAGTCCTGAATATCTTTGTTAATTTTTTGTCTTGTTGATCTGTCTAATATTGACAGTGGGGTGTTACAGTCTCCCACTATTATTGTGTGGGAGTCTAAGTCTCTTTGTAGGTCTCTAAGAGATTGCTTTATGAATCTGGGTGTTCCTGTATTCGGTGCATATATATTTGAGATAGTTAGCTCTTCTTGTTGCATTGATCCCTTTACCATTGTGTAATGCCCTTCTTCGTCTTTTTTGATCTTTGTTGGTTTAAAGTCTGTTTTATCAGAGACTAAGATTGCAATCCCTGCTTTTTTTTTTTTTTCTTTCTATTTGCTTGCTAGATCTTCCTCCATCCCTTTATTTTGTGCCTCTATGTATCTTTGCACATGAGATGGGTCTCCTGAATACAACACACCGATGGGTCTTGACTATCCAATTTGCCAGTCTGTGTCTTTTAACTGGGGCATTTAGCCCATTTACATTTCAGGTTAATATTGTTATGTGTGAATTTGATCCCATCATTATGATGCTAGCTGGTTATTTTGCCCACTATTTGATGTGGTTTCATCATAGCGTTGATGGTCTTTACAATTTGATATGTTTTTGCAGTGGCTGTTACTGGTTTTTCCTTTCCATATTCAGTGCTTCCCTCAGGAGCTCTTGTAAGGCAGGCCTGGTGGTGACAAAATCTCTCAGCATTTGCTTCTCTGTAAAGGATTTTATTTCTCCTTCACTTATGAAACTTAGTTTGGGTGGATATTAAATTCTGGGTTGAAAATTCTCTTCTTTAAGAATGCTGAATATTGGCCCTCACTCTCATTTAGCTTGTAGAGTTTCTGCAGAGAGATCCACTGTTAGTCTGATGGTCTTCCCTTTGTGGGTAACCTGACCTTTCTCTCTGGCTGCCCTTAACATTTTTTCCTTCATTTCAACCTTGGTGTATCTGATGATTATATGTGTTTGGGTTGCTCTTCTCAAGGAGTATCTTGGTGGTGTTCTTGGTATTTCCTGATTTTGGATGTTGGCCTGCCTTGCTGGGTTGGGGAAGTTCTCCTGGATAATATCCTGCAGAGTGTTTTCCAACTTGGTTCCATTCTCCCGATCACTTTCAGATACACCAATCAAGCATAGGTTTGGTTTTTTTCACATAGTCCCATATTTCTTGGCTGCTTTGTTTGTCCCTTTTTATTCTTTTTTCTCTAATCTTTTCTTCATGCTTTATTTCATTAAATTGTTCTTCAATCTCCGATATCCATTTTTCCATTTGATCGATTTGGCTGTTGATACTTGTTTATGCTTCACAAAGTTCTCGTGCTGTTTTTCAGCTCTATCAGGTCACCTATGTTCTTCTAGAAACATATTATTCTAGTTAGCAATTCCTCTAACTTTTATCAAGGTTCTTAGCTTCCCTGCATTGGGTTAGAACATGCTCCTTTAGCTCAGAGGAGTTTGTGGTTACCCACCTTCTGAAGCCTACTTCTGTGAATTTGTCAAACTCATTCTCTGTCCAGTTTTGTTCCCTTGTGGTGAGGAATTGTGATCCTTTGGAGAGGAGGCGTTCTGGTTTTTGGAATTTTCAGCCTTTTTCTGCCGGCTTTTCGTCATCTTTGTGGATTTATCTACCTTTGGTCTTTGATGTTGGTGACCTTCGGATGGGGTTTCTGGGTGGACGTTCTTTTTTGTTGATGTTGCTACTCCTTTCCGTTTGTTAGTTTTCCTTCTAACAGTCACGCCCCTCTGCTGCAGGTCTGCTAGAGTTTGCTGAAGGTCCACTCCAGACCCTGTTTGCCTGGGTATCACCATCAGAGGCTGCAGCACAGCAAAGATTGCTGCCTGTTCCTTCCTCTGGAAGCTTCATCCCAGAGGGGCACCTGCCAAATGCCAGCCGAAGCTCTCCTATATGAGGTGTCTGTCGACCCCTGCTGGGAGGCGTCTCCCATGCAGGAGGCATGGGGGTCAGGGACCAACTTGAGGAGGCAGTCTGTCCCTTAGCAGAGCTCGAGCGCTGTGCTGGGAGATTTGCTGCTCTCTTCAGAGTCAGCAGGCTGGAACATTTAAGTCTGCTGAAACTGTGTCCACAGCCACCCCTTCCCCCAGTTGATCTGTCCCAGGTAGATGGGAGTTTTATATATAAGTCCCTGACTGAGGCTGCTGCCTTTCTTTCAGAGATTCCCTGACCAGTGAGGAGGAATCTAGAGAGGCCGTCTGGCTTTGCTGAACTGCGGTGGCCTCTGCCCAGTTTGAAATTCCTGGCGGCTTTGTTTACAGTATGAGGGGAAAACTGTCTACTCAAGCCTCAGTAATGGTGGATGCTCCTCCCTGCACGAAGCTCGAGCACCCCAGGTTGACTTCAGACTGCTGTGCTGGCAATGAGAATTTCAAGGCAGTGGATCTTAGCTTGCTGGGCTACATGTGGGTAGGATCCGCTGAACTAGACCACTGGGCTACCTGGCTTCAGCCCCCTTTCCAGGGAAGTGAATGGTTTTGTCTCACTGGCATTCCAGGAGCCACTGGGGTATGAAAAGACTCCTGCAGCTAGCTCAGTGTCTGCCCAATGACCACCCAGTTCTGTGCTTGAAACCCACGGCCCTGGTGGTGTAGGCACCCAAGGGAATTTCCTGGTTTGTGGCTTGTGAAGACTGTGGGAAAAGCATAGTATGTGGGCCAAAGTGCACCATTCCTCATGGCACAGTCCCTCATGGCTTCCTTTGGCTAGGGGAGGGAGTTCCCTGACTCCTTGCGCTTCCCTGGTGAGATGACTCCCACCCTGCTTCTCCTAGCCCTTTGTGGGCTGTACCCACTGTCTAACCAGTCCCAGTGAGATGAGCTGGGTACCTCAGTTGGAAATACAGAAATCATCCACCTTCTGCTTTGATCTTGCTGGGAGCTGCAGACTGGAGCTGTTCCTATTCAGCTATCTTGCCTGTGACCTTTCCATGCCTTTATATTGGACATTGCGTCTATCATTTCAATATCCCTTCCCCTCTTCCCTGATTATGTGGCAACCATTTGGTTTAGATGAGATGAACCTTTTTTTCTCCTCCAACAGTCATAGCAAATTAGTCTAAATGATCAGGTAATCTCATAATACTCTACATAGCAATTAGTTTGAAAGTAGTCTAGGCTGAATCCATTCAACACTTTTCCTAACATGTTCTGAGACAGCACTGTTTCCTCTGCCTAGAACTCCCATCTTTCAGATGTCTACATGACTTCTACAGTTTCTTCAAGTTTCTCTTTAAATATACCTTCTCCATGAAGTTTTCCTTTACTCCCCTAACTAAAACATAAACTACATCTTGTGCCCTTCTGTGATCACTGCATATTTATATTTATTGACTTGTTTATTATCTATCTCCCCAAAGAAAAATGCAACTCTGTGACAGCAGAAGTTTCTGAGTATTTTTTTCACTGTAAATTCCCCAATTCTTGGACCAATAACTGTTTGTTGAATGAATAATTTTGTGTAGTTAGAGATTTATTTTTCTACCACATACAACCAAAAATCCTAAGGGCTACAGCTCTGATTTAATGTCCATTCACTATACCATTATTGTTATTATTTTTTTTTTAGAAAACTCAGTTAAATCTGAAGATCTTATATTTCTGGGAACTTTGGGAAATATGAGATAAGTTATTTGTCCCTTTTAGGGTAACTTGGTCACAAAAAATGAAACATTGTTGTAAGAATGTATCAAGGAAAGTGGAGCGAAAGGCCAGTAGGAAAACCAAGACTCTCTGGAGAAGTCAACAGGTGAGAAAGAAGGCTATGTTTTTTAAACATATACAGAATAGGAAAGCTAGTTCATGTAAATATTAAGGGAAGTGTGATAACTCAAGGCTGAGACTGGGTCTTTCCATTTATCATTGATCCAGTACACAGAGAAGGTGTTCAATAGATTGTTATAGAAATGAAATAATACTGGAAAAGAGTTTGGAGTTGGAATTGCCACTAACTAGGTGTTAGATGTGTTATTTAGTCTGCTTTTGCTAGGCCTTAGTACCTTCATCTATAAAATAAAAGTGTTGGACTTCATAATTAAGTCCTTTTCAACTGTAAAATATCCTATAATTTTAACTGCTTATATATGAGTGGAGACATGCACATACTTTCATCTAATGGAAATAAAGATATAGTTCTTAAAAATTTCCCTTGCAAATGTATTTTGGTTAATATAGCTGCCATCAATTTGGCTTATAAAATAGTGTTTTCAATGATCTTTTAGCATGATAGATTAATTTTTATCTTCCTAAAGCCATTTCCTCTGAATGCTGCTGAATTCACACTTCACTAATGGCAAGGATCCGATTAGAACTAATTTCGTAGTGATTCTTTGACATTTTCAAAAACAGAAATGTGTGTGCTTTTCTGAATAAAAGTCAGAGCATACCATAAATTGTAAAAGTTACTATTAAAGTTCAGTCTAATATTGGATAGTAGTATGAAAGTAAAAGTGCCTGAAAGGCTGAACACTTGCAAAATGAGTTTCTTTAAAGTTTTTCCATCCTTCATTTCTTTTAGTTTTATCTCCCATAATTCTGTACACCCAGATCCACTAGACCTGTTTCCAGACTTCTGTCCCTGTCATTACCCACTTTGTCAGTTCCTCAGCTTCACTATTTGATAAAACTTAAAGAAGCTGATGGTGTTTAGCAGCATAGGCTAACAAGTCAGCCTCTCTCACTCACCAAGAGTGAGAAGTCAATGCAGAAACTCAGTCCTGTGGATAGGGTCTGTATAGGAGAGAACAGAGACTTCTAAGTGACATAAGCACCAGCAGTTTGTCCCTGAGTCCCAAATTAATGAATCTAGTACAAGAAAATTTGGGAGAGAAACACAACATCTTAACATTTGTGACTGGGCCGCTTGATTATATTACTAGGAAGTATGACAATTTCAAATCTACTTCAATGATGGAGTTTTGCTTCTGGAAGAATTCTTCCCTAGGCTGGACTTAATTCAGAAACTAAATGATGGTCCTGTTCTACAATAAGAATTCATTAGTGGAGCAAGCCAGAGAAAGTAAAGGCAGGAGGAAGAAGGGAGCTAAAAATGCCTTTACTTTTATCGTAAGGAACCAGTGAGTCAGACATAAGAAGGAACAATAAGGTTTAAGTGAGAGTATAATTGCTGAGGCTAAGGAAGTGGTTTAATAAAGAGTATAATTAATAATTTAAGTGAATTTCCATTTATTCATAAGTTAAAATTTAATTTGTGATATGTTAAAAATGGTATAAATTCAAAACTATTTTACAAAATCTATCAGAAAGGGGTCAGATTTCATACCGATGCACAGTTGTTTTTTAAAATAAAAATTCAGCGTAAGTTTTCTTTTTCCTTCCCCAAACCAAAATATATCTTCCTTTTCTCCCTCTTTTTTTCTCTTCTTTCCTCCCTTCTTACCTTCCCTTCTCCCTTTCCTTTGAGTCCTGTAGGGCATAGCTAAATTTTATACAGGGGCCATGTTGAATGTGAAAGACAACGTGTTCAAAACTGCGCTCATATTCAATGAGTAAGTAGCTCACACTATGAGAGACCTACTGAGCTGATGGTGGTTTCAGGTCTCCCGTCTCGTGTTCATTTTGGAGTAGACGTTTAATGACTGGAATAGCACATAAATTACCTGATTACTTTTGTATTTTTTTCTTTTTCTTTTTGGCCAAGTGTGCATAACTGAAATTTCAGAAGTTCAGTGCTATATGATATGACTATCTTATCATGCTGAAGAGAAGCTAAGGATATGGATTAGGAAAAGGCCATTTAAATACCTATTTAGGTGGTTATAAATGACATCTGAATAAAATTTATAAACAATATTGAGGAAATGTGAGCCAAATAACAGAGCTAATTAAGAAGTTTCTGGATCTGTTAAAGAAAGAGGCAATTATTGATGGAATTTTTGAAGAGCACTGTTCCTTAAACTTTGGAAAGCCTAATTATCTTGAGTGTTTGGGTAAAAATGCAGATTCTGGTCTCATTCCAGTAATTCTGATTCAGTAAGATCAGGATGGAAACCAGAAAAGAGAACTTTAAATGAACAAAAGGTGTTTTGGATGTTGGTGTCCTCTGGTCTCATTTTGAAGACCCAGGTCCTAGATGGAAAGAGAAGGAAAGACAATGACCATACATTGGGGGTTAGTTTTGGCAAGGAAAATGCTGAGTTTTCTCCTGAAGGAGAAGAGAAGATTTTTAAAATGAAATTAAGAAAGAGCTAAACTGAGGTTAGAAAGAAGACAGTGGTCTTAATTTGGAAGATGAGATAGACTGAAAGATGATCTTTCAGGAGTCAGAGAATGGTGAAGAGCAACCAGGGGAAGCTTGAAAAGCACGGATAAGGTTTGAAATAGCTCTTATAGCTGAGTGATTATGGCAAGGCACTGGGTCTGCTTGGGTCTTCATAATATTATCTGTTAAATGATGAGATTGGAGCATCATAAACTTGGAGGCCCTTCCCAACTATAAACAATTGTTCAGTTCTTCCATGGGAGAAGTTTCCGTCAGCACATCATCTCTGAGTATAAAGTACTGCTATCCATAACAGTTGTGACAGCAGGTATTTTCCTCCAGGCTCAGGGACAGGTCCTCTGAAGGCAACATATTTCCATCTTAAGGAAAAATGATTTCAACTATAATCTCCGTACTGCCTAACCTCTATTTTGACTCTAAGAATTATTTTCCTAAAGAGTGAACAATAAACATTGTTAAACAGCAGTGATTAGCCAATTTAAAATTGGGTAGTATAAACTTTTGGAAAACTGAGTCTGTAAGATTCTACAATGTTGTCCCATTTTGGCAAGCAAATCAATCAGTAACTTGAAAGGCGATGATCTACCTCTAAATTATATATTTTTATTTTTTCTTTCTACTGCTCCTTTTCACTATAGGCTTGGGATTTTTGTTGTTGTTACTATTGTTTTAGTTTTTCCTGTCTCATCTCTTAACTTGACTCTCCTTATTGATGTTAACCATGAATGTCGGGAAAGCAGTGATACAGCATATATCCTTCTTGGACAGAGAAAAAGAGATTCAGACAAGTACTTATACAGTTAGAAATTGCAATCCATTCTACTTTTGACTTAGTTATGGTAGATGGCAGCTCTCTGATCTCATGCTGATGAACAGATTGAATTATAAATACAAAGCTAATATTTATTGGATGCTTACTGTGATTCAGGCCTCTCTAGCATCAAAAGAGAGTGCCCGAAGAGTGCCCTTGTATATAGAAAGTGTGATATTTAATTTTGTTAACTTGACTAGGCTGTGGATCCAATTTTTTTGTCAAACACCAGTCTAAGATGTTACTATGAAGACATTTCTTCAATGTGATTATCATTTAAATAAGTGGACTAAGTAAAGCAGTTTACCATCCATAATGTGGGTGGGCCTTATCCCATTCATTGAAGGCCTTAAGAAAAAAGACCAAAGTTTCCTGAAGAAAAAGGAATTGTGCATCCAGATTCCCTTTGGATGCAAGACTGCAACATCAACTCTTGCTGGAATTTCCATCTTATCAGCCTGCCCTGCCCTGTGAATTTCAGACTTGCTAGCCCCTATAATCACAGGAGCCAATTGCATAAAATCTCTGCTCTGTGTATGTTTATACGTATATGTGTGTGTATATTTGTATGTGTGTGTGTATATATATGTATATGTATATATGTGTGTGTGTGTATATATATCTGTGTTTATGATATATATGTCAGGGTTCTCCAGAAAAACAGAATCAATAGGAAAGCATATATATATATATATTCTATATATATATATATGGAACCCTAATACAGAAGGCAACTTATGAAACATGGAACCTCCTAATGGGTCAGTGGCTTCAATCTATTTGGGATGAAGAACATTGCCAAGACTCAGATGAAAGGCACAAACTTTTTACCCAGGAAAATGTGTTTGCAGGTACATACATATAAAATTTTGCACACCTACTCATGCAAGGTATCTGAGGATTAATCCTTGTACTGGGTTTAGATATCAAACTGATTTGTTTCTAAGTAAAATGCAATGAGACCTTCTAGGTTGGAGGTCTTATTGATTTTCACTCAGATTGCAGATAGAAGTTAAAGGCCAAAAATGTGGTGCGCAGATAAGAATATTATTTACAATCTTCTTCTGGAAGGACCTGAAACAAAAAAACTGCTTCTGTTGATGCACTTTTGAAGGACATTAAAATTGCAAAATGCACACATTCTGAGGCAGCATAGGGTATAAAGCCAAAAAGTTAATGGGAAGGGAGGGCTCCCACATGACAGTTGAATTGACACAATAGTTTTACCAAACACACTCAGAAACTCAACTACTGGAATGAGCATGAGAAATAGGTAAAAATAAGAGCAACCCAAATAGGCGCTGATTCTTAATCCCAAATTGTCAATGGAAGATTGCATAAATTCCTTCCAGAATCTAGAATATGCCTATTCTTTGTTTCTTGTTACTTTATGGAAAATTATTCCTTTTAAGATGATTTTGTAGATATTTCAAAGAAAATTTTAGAGAGTTGATTTTCAAAGGGCTACTGTCTCAAGTGATGATCTTTGACCCATAAATATGAGCAAAAAGTGGCTGCTAGAAATTAGTACAAAGAGGACTCAGATTCTGTAAAAGTTTAGTAAAAACAAAAAAAACTGTATAAAATAGAGCAACACAAAATATGAAGGATATCATTTGTTGAATTTAAAAGATCAGAGATCTTCAGTTAAATATTTTGTAGGTTAACTCATTTTTTGCATATATCAAAAAAATCTTGTCCTATCATCTCAACATATATAGGTACGACTTCTTATTAAGTCATTGTACTTTAATTTAATGCTACACTGTTATCAAAAATATTCAAACCCTCGTATACAAAAATTGTAAGCTGAGAAATGAAGAATGCTATCATAGCATTGTTTATAGTTTTGCAATGAATTTAATGCTAGGCAAGTTCAGGCATACGTAAAGGTGCAGGCTGAAATTATAGAGTAAGATTTTGTTAAGGATTGGCAAGTCATGTTATAACAAATTCTGTGTATAACATGGTACGAAGGTTAATTTTATGTGTCAACTTGACTAAGCCACAGGATACTTATATTTTGGCCAAACACTGTTCTGGTGTGTCTGTGAGGATGTTTTTGAATGGGATTAACATTTCAATTGGTAGAATCAATAAAGCAGATTGCCCTCCCTTTTGAGGGTGGGTCTGGGTTCAATCAGTTGATGGTCTCACTTAAACTGAAACATCAGCTCTTCCTAGGTCTCAAATGTGTCAGACTTCGGACTGGAACTACACCATCCGCTCTCCTGGATCTCTAGTTTAGTGACTCACCCTGCAGATTTTGGGACTTGTCAGTCTCTATAATTGGGCCAATTCTTTATAATAAATCTCTTTCTCTGTCTATGTATATACATTCTATTAGTTCTGTTTCTCTGGAGAATACTGACCAATGCACATAGTATTAAAATAGTTTTAGCACTTATTTTAAATTTTGGATGCTTCTATGCTTTCTTTGATAGTGGTATTGTAGGCTTTATATTCTTGCATACCTTTAATATTTACAAAGATTACATTTTTCAAATGTTTAAAATTACTCTTAAAACTAAAATTATTGTTAAAATATGAAAAATATGGAAAGAATCTTGTGATAAGATTGATCTGGTTTAAGATGATATAAGATGTTGTATTATGTTAATAAGGTTATTCAGTTGATGTCCGCATTAATAAAAACATAGAATAAAATATTTTGCCAGAAATTCTATAAAATCACTAGAAATTTAAAGACAAAATATAGCAAGAAAGATAAAGACAAGTTATTTTTGTTGGGATCATTTTTATGGCAACAAAAGTTACTCAAATCCTTGATACGTTTATGCAGTGAAATTTTGAAAAGAGTTTTACAATCTCTGCCAAGTCACTACATCATGAAACAAAACAAAGTGAGCAGAAAAATAGGCTTTCAAATTCTTTCAGAATAAATGAAACAGCTTAATGTTATCGAAAATTTATGCAAACACAATTTGAATCTGATGCTGAAAATGCACTTATTAAATGACATTCTATTATATTGTAACAATTAAATTAGATTAGCAGGCAGCTACAAAAATACAATTAGTACATTGTCTGAAAATGAAGCTAAAAGAAGAATGTGCATACAAGTTATTTGACAATTAGTTTATAGACTGACATATGTGAAATGTTTACAATTCAACTGTACAAGAGAAAAAATAGTTTAGAGCTCCCTATTTGCTTATTTTTATACGATATGTGATACAAGGAAACTTATTACTTTGCAAATCACTTGGCATAAGCAGAAAAAGAAATTTGGTTTAAAATTGTGAGGAAATAATTCAATAAAAATCAGCATAAGTTCTCTAAATTTTAAAATATAACAGAAATGAATATTTCATTATGAAGATTTAAGTTTCAATCTGTTTATCCATGCTTTTTCAAAATGAACACAGATATAATTATGTGCCATACTGTAAGCTAATTCATGTGTTAAGTGATTTGTAAACATTATCTCACTTAATATCCTATGAGGTAGATATAATTAGCATTACGAATTTACATCTCAAGTAAACGGTTTAAAGAAGTCAAGGTCAAATAGCAATTAAATGGGGGAGGCAGAGCTCTAGTTGCAGGTCGTTCACCCTTCAAACCTTATTCCTTTAACAGCTATTATATTATAACTTGTAAGAATTCAACTTTGAAATAATAGTTTTCTCTAAATCCTCTTTCATGCTTGTGGATCAGTTAAATTAAAGTGTGTCATGAGATTGCAAAGCATGTCATTCAAAACTATTAGATTTAGAAACTAATTTTCTATGTGAATTCAGACTTTCTTCTAAAGGTAAACCAAATTAAATAAAGAAATTAATTAAATGTTGATGTTGAGGCTACTGTGATATACATAGCAATAATTTAAAAATTTATAGAAACACTATCATTGTTCTCATTTAATTACTTTCTATTAAGTAACCATTTTAAATTTAAACTTAGAAAATGTGGTTGTACTAAAGTTAACACTTTCATCTCTTCCTTGAGTTCAAGATTTGACTTGAAAAATTACAAATTTTATACAAAATGAACATTTATTTATGACAAATTCTCTATTGTCTCATATTTATGACAAAAACCACTATACACCCCAAAATTATCTCACATCCAGGTCTTCAAACTGAATCCTGAATTCTTATCAATGAACTGTGCTGTTTACAGATAAGTTTGTCTCAATATATTAAAAATATTTAAATAATCATAGTTTTAAAACTAATAAAAGAAACCAAAGTAAAGATAACCAGTAGTTTTTTCAAGAAAAAGTTAACTTTAGATATATAATTTTTAGTATATAATTTTTTTATTAGAGATTTACTAAGCTATCAAAAATAAAAGTCTTTCTGTTTGGTTTTTATTTATTTTAATTTCCTATATAATTTGGCATGTAAAATTTCAGTTTTGCTGCAATCGTAGATAGATAAAACTTTTGAACATTTTGCTTATTTGATAATTATTTTCAAGAAATTACCTTCACCTGCATTGTGTTTCCATTTCACTATAGAATCATATCACTCTCTACCTCAAAAATAGCTTCTTTCCTATATTCTTTCATAATAATAGTATCTGGAATTTTATACTTTAGTGTTTAAATAGATTATTTTCTTGTTTTTCAATCAGACAGTGCATAAAATATTTCATGAGCCTTTAAATACTGCTTTGTTCTTAACAGCAGGTTATCAAAATTAAAAGTTCTATGATTAGTGGTATATATCAAATTCAAATAACAAAATACATGCAATAATTTCTTTTTTATCTTCCTAATCCTACGTGGCCAATTTCACGTTCAACCATGTCAGAATTATCTGTGACCAAAATATGCGGAGCGTCAATTTGTAATGGCTTGTAAATATAGGTCTACATGTTGTGGGATTAATATTTTTCATGCACAGCAAATCAGAACAAACATATTTTCTTCAGTCATGTCAGACCCTGACAATGTCATATTCACACGCCCTTCACAACCAAGACCAAGACATTCACAGTTTGTAAAGAGACTGAGTTGATAAGTGACAGAAACTGACAAGCACCAGCTTCAGATATCATTTTAGAGATCCTGCATTTATGATTTATGTAAAATGTATAAATCAGAGTACCCAAAATTACATTTTTAGTAATAGAATGATAGTAAGTTCATCTCCTTCAAACAGCAAAGAAAACAAGCCTATTTACCTTTTCCTTACTTAATAATTTCCTAGTTAATAATTTAGGCATTTTGTAATATTTATTATAGTTTAAGCTTATTAATAATGACAAATGTAGTAAAGACACCTGATTTGAAGTAGAAAAGAGGGGTACAAAAAGATACCTGGGGGCCAGATAGACTTATTAGCTGGATGACTTTGACAACTTTCTTAATCCTCTAAGTAGCAATTTTTAAAATATGAAATATGAGAATATTAAGGACTACCTCACATGTTTTTGTGGGGATTAAATTTTTAATCAGTACAAAATTACTAGTGCAATCTGGCTGGAAGTAGGTACAGTACTCAGTAAACATTCATTCTCTGCCCTTGTTTTTTCAGTGTTTTTCTCTCATTAACTATCTAGAATTATGTTACCCAACATGGTAACCACCAACCATTTGAGTGTATTGAGCACTTGAGGTGTGGCTATTCTGAAATGAGATGTGTTGCAAGTGAAAAATATATACTAGATTTTGAAGACTTATGATAAAAAATGCAAAATATATAATTTAATATTTACATTGATTATATGTTAAAATGGTACTATTTTATATATATTACTGTGCATGAAATACAGTATTAAATAAATTTCATGTTTCTTTTTCTTAATGTACTGCAAGACAATTTTAAATTACATACGTATTTGTGTCTCACATTGTATCTCTATTTAATAGTGCTTACCTAGAAATGAAAAGATTTTAGAATTCCAAGATTTTAATAAAATTCCCAATTTATATAAAAAAAGAAAACGGTTTAACTATGCTTTCATATTTTAGATTCCTTGTAGAAACAAATAATATATTATTACAATCTTATAAAAAGAAAATCAAATCATATCAGCTAACAAAACAGAGTTACAAGGTGAAAAGGAGTTTTTCTTCATCTACTACAATTTAAAAAATGGGAATAAAGTAGAAAAAAATCATATTGTTATCCTTGTTCTCCCTGCCTTGAATATAATGGCTGTATAGGGCATCGCTCAAGCCCATATTCTTTACAGCCAAAGAAGTCAAGTGTTCTCCTGAACTACCTAAGATTTATTGAGGTCTTGACCAGTCAGATTCCTTAACCTAGAGAGGGCCATAGCCAGTTTCTCAGAAGGCAGAGAGAGTGACAAAAGGAACTGCTAGTATTAGATATTCTGAGCAACTTCTATATACTATAATAAAGCATGCTTTGTAAAAGGCAAGTCTGCTCATGTCTTTTTCCTTCTTAAAATCTTCAATTACTCCTCACAGTTTTTACGAGAAAGCTAGAAGTCTAATTTCTTGAACAGAAGTTTCCCTTGTTAACATATAAAATTGTTTTTTCTCCTTTTCCCTATAAAGGTGTGGAGCATTACAGGGGTAGGAGTCCTCTCTGCCTCATGCCTGCTTTAGGCCATGCAGTCCAGCCTTACCTGGCCTAGCCACACTTCTGGTGTAATAAGAGCATGTGAAAAATGTTTGCTTTGCTATTATTCTGCTTGTAAGTTTTCTTTTCCCCCAAAAAAACACTCATGTTCTTTATACCTGTCCTCTTAGCATGTATGTTCCAGTGAAGAGACAAACAGATAATAATTAACAGAGATATCTTAAATATATAGAATTAGATAGTGATAACTACTAAGGAAAAACAAGTATTGAAGAGGAATAAGAAGTGCTCATTACAGAAGTTTGGGTTTTAGATGGGGTGGTGCTATGGTCTGTATGTTTGTGTCCCCCTACCAAATTCATATGTGGGAACCCAATCACCAAGGTGACACTATAAGGAGGTGACACTTTTGGTAAGTGATTAGATCATAAGCCCACAGCTGTCATGAGCAGATTAGTGTTCTTATAAAAGAGGCTCCAGAGAGCTGCCTTGCTCCTTTCACCATATGAGGACACAGCAAGAAGGTGCCATCTATAAACCAGAAAGCAGACCCTCACTAGCCACAGAGCCTGCAGGCCATTGATCTTGGACTTCTCAGCCTCCAGTACTATGAGAAATGAATTTTTTTGTTTATGAGATACAACATATTGTACTGACCAAAAGCAAAAACAAAATGAAGAAGTAGAATAGAAAATAATATCATTTGCTGCAGCAAAAACAGGAATTATTTCAAACTCATACACCCACATTCAGCTATGTGTTTACTGAGAAATGATATATAATGTGTTTCTTAATGTGGGTCATGTACAGAGAGTTCGAAAAATACTATGCTGGCTGATAAGAGGACTTCTCAAATAGCATCTGCTATAGAGAAGTTAAGAAAATGAAGAAGGCCAAGAAGATGTGATGGGCTCTTATCTCCAGGAAAAATGAAAGCCTAGGGCTAAATGAAGGTAGTAAGGCATCCACTTATCCCATCTGTTGAATTAGAGATTTTTTTAAAACTGCATTTAATGGCTAGAGTTTCTTGTTCTTTTTATTTTGATGTCCATTGTATGCATTCGTGCAAGTGTATAGTTGTGTGTATTTATGTGATTTACCATAGTGGCCACCAGTACAAGCCTGAAAAGAAAATATAAAGAGCCCATATACTTATTTTCAAAAGAAGTAAGGAAAATGAGAATAGAAGCCAGGCATGGAGGTACATTCCTATAGTCCCTTCTACTGGGGAGGTAGATGTGGAAGAATTGCTTGAGCACAGGAGTTAGAGGTTGCAGTGAGCTATTATCATGCTGCTGCACTCCAGGCTGGGAAATAGAGCAAGATCCTATTTCCTAAAAAAAAAAAAGAAAATTGAGAACAGAACCCCAAAAATGGAATGAGAGTGGAGAAGGCTAAGTCTGTGAGAGCTGCTGCAAAGCGAGAAGATAATGGAGAACGAGCTCCAGAGACCTGTGGAAAGAATTAAGAGCTGAGCTTTATGAAGGCCCATGTTAGATTTTCAAACCCAGTCCACAAAGGCATTTTCTAAGACTCAATCTTGATTCTTTGATAAATCTCCCTACACTACCTTCCTCATTAAATGTGTCTCTTTTGATTCTGCAATTATTATTTTAATGCAGATGATTCTTAATAAATCTTTACCCATAAACATAGTTTTCCTAAGTTCCATTGTAGCATCTTCAAATGACTGCTAAGCAGTTCTTTGAATATTTCTTTCATTGTATTTTCTGGCTCCCAGCCTGAGAACCTAAACTGCATTCAGGACTATCCATATACGTCTGGAGAGCTGGCAGTTCAGGCCTATTAGGGATAACTGTGCACGAGAAAATGAAACATCTTTTAGTCTCTCCTAAAGGTATAAGTAGGGAAAAATCAAACTCTTTAAAGTTGATTAAAAAAATAAGAAGATAAATACCTCTACAGTCCAGGTGGTGGGCCACCATGAACCTACACCAAAAGAGCAACCAGAGCTAGAAGGAGCTATCCTCCTCTAAGCTCAGAGCAGGAGGGAAATAGAGGGGAACCTTAAGGAGATTTCCTAAACAAAGAAAGGAAGGCTTTTTTTTCTTGAATTCAATGGTATGTGTTTGTGTTTGGACATTCCTGTGTTTTCTTGTTTTAAATTTTAATTTATTTTCTTTAGAGACAGTGTCTTATTCTGTCACCCCAGCTGGAGTGCAGTGGTACAACCATAGCTCACTGCAGCCTCTACCTCCTAGGCTCAAGTGATCCTCCTGCCTCAGCCTCCCAAGTAGCTGGGACTACAGGCACATGCTACCACACCTAGCTTTTCTTTTTCCTTGTAGAGACAGGGTCTCATTATGTTTCCCAGGCTGGTCTTGAATTCCTGGGCTCAAGCAATCCTTCTGCCTTGACCTACCAAAGTGTTGGGGTTGCAGGTGTGAGCTACTGTGCCCAGGTCCCTGTGTTTTCTTGGAAGAAGTACTTAACAATTTCTACGTTGTTTCTGTTCTGTTGTGCCTACAAACTGTTGTTCTTTGGAGAAACATGAACTACTTTTAGATTAACATTACTTCAAACATTTTGAAATCTCCATCAATTTCCTAGTTTTGTCTTTCCCCTTTGGATCTATTGATGCCCTTCAATTCTAAGAAAGTTACACTTTATATTATGATTTTCATTTCCCATTGAGCAAAACTAAGAATTACATCAAACTCTGAAACCTAGAATCAAAGCTCCAACCCTGATTTTCTTCATAGCCAAACAAGATGTGTAAGCCAGTGATTCACATGCCTGCCCTCAGTGGCAAATTGAGTTGGTTTTACCTTAGACCTGATTGGAGATCTACGCCTGCCCAGGCAGGATTAGAAGGAAGTTTTAGCAAGGCCATCAGAAAGGCCTTGAGCCAAAGTCACTTGTCAGAGGAGTCCCACATCTCCAAGGAACAGGCTTACCTCAGTATCCATGCCAGGCTCAGCCATTGATTGGGAGCAGCCCTTGGGAACGGTGACCTCAGCACAAGCACACAGATAATTTTAGCATAACAACTGGAACTTTTGGTAAATTATACTCCTCTAGGCCGGAGTACAGTGTTGTGGATTGTAGCTTACTGCCACCTGGAACTCTTGTGTTCAGGTGATCTACTTCAGCCTCCCAAGTAGCTGGGATTATAGGTAGGCACCACTGTACCCTGAAACGTAAATTATGATCAGTTCAATTCCGTGCTTCTGTGTTCTTGTGAAAAAATTGGGAGCGAGGGAAGGAGGGGGGAGAGAGAGAGACAGAGAGAGAGAGAGAGAGACATATTTATCATCAAAATATTAATTTCGATATAAAAAGTTTAATGAATGTCTCTATCCTGATTGTTCTTAATTTAGCAAGAAGAAAAAATCATATTCTCTATGGAAATAACCTCACATTTGTTTTTCTATATTAAAAGTTAAATTTGTGATTTTTTCTATATAATTTTCTCAATAATGCAGATTTTCATTATAGTTATAAAATAGAACTGGATTTGGCTCATTATCTAATGGAGTGGAATTTGGAAGTTCCAAATGGTGTAGAAACATTATTTGTGTGATAGAATGAGATTAACAAACTATATAGAATTCCATATTGTTTAGCAGTGTCAGGGAGACTAAGAGAAACATACTGGAGAGGACTTAGATATATCAACTATTATTTCCATTATACAGGTAGGAAGTCAAGGCTCAGAAAATTTGGATATTGATTCATCCATGAGAGTAGGACAGCCTTCAAATTACTGCAGAAACTTTTTTCCCGGAAGTCAGCTTTTCTCCTTAGAGATGTTTCTTAATTCCAAGCCATTTGCACATTTGTTTTTGTCCTCCCACAGTTCCCACGAATTTAGTCTTCTTATTTATTTTTCTGTATATATCAGTACATATGTTTCTACCAGCGTTCCTCTTCCCCATTGGAAGATAGTCCTAGAGTCAGTACTGTGGTTAAGAGAATGTCACTTGTGTAAGTTACATAAAATTTCTAAATATTTTTCTGAACTTGGAGCATCAAATGAGCTCATGTATTGGTAAGAATATTAAACTATATAAAGCAATTAATACACACAAAAGCTATTTTGGGGGATTATGGAGAGTACAGACTCTATCTGAACCAAGTTGCTTGCATAGAAAAATGCTGAAGAAGATTTCCAACCTAAAAATAAGTGAAAAACCAATGTGTTCAGAAGGCTGAACTTGGATAGGCTCAGGTAGCCAATAATTGAGTTATGAGAATGAGAAAAATAAGAGGGGGAAATAATTAAATAATCTCCCTGCTGATTAAAGTGATTGATAGAGAAATGACTAGCCCTGTGTTTTCTTTTTAAATCTATAAGTAATTTGCCTTTTTGGCCCCTTCTCTTTATCTTATCTTCATCTTTCCTTGTAAACAATGGCAAGTTGCTGAACACAGAGAAAATGCCAACAAAAGCCAACTGGGAAAAAGAGAAAGAATAAAATTTATTTTATTTATTTCTATTACTCTTTGAATTGCATAAACTATAAAGCTCTGCATGAGATAGCTGCACTTCTGAAATACTAGTTGTCATTAATTACACTTTTAACAGAATAGTAGCCATTCAGTTCTCCTATTGCCAAACAGCACTAATGCCATGACATTCTGTGGTCCAGAAGTTAAACTAAGGTATTACATAGAAACTGTGGAACCAAGTCAACATTTTTATATAACACCTACTAAACACACTTAGTATTATGTATACTGCTATTTTCAGGATCATAAAAATGACTTCTTATCTATAGTAATACAATTTTATATGAGACAACATACTCATAGATATGGACAAAAAATAAAATCACAAATACATTAAGCCTACTTAGATTTTTAAAAATCTCACTATTATACTTTTAAACTAATGTTGTGTGAGAGTTAAAATTCAGCATTAAAGAAAGAACTTGTTGTTTCATCCTTGTGAAGTTCATCAAATGTACTTAAGGCATCTGTTATAAGTCCTCTACATCAGGCAGAAATTAGTATTAAGAGTTTTAAATCATGTTCATCCTTTCAAATGGTTTAAAATATGCTTATGTAGAGTTACTAAGAATAATCAAGTATTTTTATTGTAATAAGTAATTTGAAAAATACCCGTTATAAATCATCTAAAAACATTCTTGCTGAAAACACAATTCACCATGAGCTTGAAAATGTACTTTTGCTTTTCATATTCTTAGTTCTATATTTTGATTTAGGTTTTTAATCAGATCTTTTTCATAGATCAAACCCTACCCTAGCTCTGCCCAAGGTTATGCAATTTAACAGAGGACAGCATTTTGTACTCAGCAAGTTTTACAGGGTAGAACGAAAACATGTTTGTAGATTAATGATGTAGTATTCTTTATGATTAAATTTTCAAATGGAGAGTCATAGCATCAAGTAGTGGAAATAACACTGGGGCTGGAGTTAGGACTGAATCTGAGCTCATTTATGGGTGGAATGACCTTGGGAAGCCATCTGCTCTCTGCAAGGCTGTTTTTATCTTCAGTATAAGGAGATGATAAAATCCAACTAATAGTGTCATGGAGAGTCAGCTTTGTAAAAGCCCACAGTTTAGCGTCAGTTTTCTACTTGTTAGTCAATAAATATGTGTTTATTACTTTTATAAGAAAGAAGAGAGGGTTTTATACTTCAGCAAGATTTATTCAAAGCTTTTCTTAGTTCATAACTGTTTTTAGCTATTTAGATACATTAATAGGTCTAATTTACTCATGAAATAACCGGGTAAGTTTAGTTTTGGAAGGATTACTGCATTTATTTGACAGAATCATTCCTAATTTTATTGTTTTACTTGGTGAGAGAAAAGGTGTATGGCTACTTTATATATACACAGCCAAGTTTAGTACATAAAGAAAAATCTACAGGTTTATAGAACCTCTAAAATTTTAGTTGCTTTCTGTTTCAGCTGAGGAAAACACACACACCCCAAAAAATGTTACCCAGGATTTTTGTTTCTTTCTAGCAAATCTAAGGCAGTTCAGCAACTCTATAACTGTAACTGTTTTCCCTTGAGATTTCGTGGGCAATTGGTAGAAATCATATGGAAAAATATAGCTTGTAAGTGACCTCTAGGTTTCATTTCCTTAGCTGCTGGAAGAGGGATGTATTATGAGAAGCAGTATGTTTAAGCTCCAGGAGATTAGGGTGTGGGTATGAGCTACGATAGTGTTGGTTGTTGTTTGATGAGGTGACTTATTTGTGGAGTGGGGCTGACAACTTTGTTGGAAGCTAGGTGATCTCACCCTGAGGGTCTGAACTGTAATGGTAGACCCATGCAAGAAGATAAATGGAAAACCTGGCTTGACAGTGTTGAAGTGTTAGAGGGAACTCAAAGACGCTGTTCATCTGGATTGACCTTCAGGTTGAAACTAGGTAAAGTGTGCTACATGTTTGTTTGCCGTGAAGTGCTCCTGAGTCATACAGAAAGATAGGGTTTTTTTTTTCTTATTTAAATCAATTCTTTAACATAAAATGTTAACAAAAACATCTAGCCTAGGGTTTCAAAATGTATTCAACACAGAAATCTTGAAAATATTTAATGCATCAAATAATTTTCCTTAGCCTGTGAGATATCTTGCACTAAAAATGTCTTTCTGCTGAAGTATTTTCTGAAATATTAGTTTCCACTTTTACTTTTTTCTCCCAGGACATCCATTCCTCTGAACCAAAGCAGCTCCCTTATTTTATTTTTTCCTTTTTTTTATTTTTTTCTAGTTCTGAAATAACCCATCTTGAAGACATAAACAATGTGCATTGATGGCTAGCCAGACTCTGTCCTGCCACAGTTCTCCTCCTACTCTTCATTTCTTACCCCAAGGAGTAGTAAACATGAATCCTGACCCACCAATGCAGTCCCAGAACTGAGAAAAGATTCACTGCAGCTAAACAGTAGGTAGAAATAAAAACAATGACTCAATTCAATAATATTAAGTGTGTTGGGAAGACAGTCTCCAAGAGAAACGATAAATAACCTACATAATGAAGAATTAGTTAGCAGTGTTATGTAAATATTGTAGCAGCATCAATGAGGAGGTAAGCAGAAGTATTTTAAGACACTATATTATACAATACACTGTGCACTGTTTCCTGGTGATAAGGTTTTTAAAGCATCTTTATAAGCTCTTCTTCTCTGTTGTGACAGGATTATTTTTGCACCTTTGGAAAGCAACTGAAAAAGGAAGCCTGGAAAAAATCCTGCCTAACAAAGCAGCAGTACTCAAATAGCTTTAACTATAAGAAAGAACTGATTCAAGATATGAGAAGAGATTTAAGATATAAGATTAAATATAAGTGTAAATGATATCCTCATTTTTATTGAAATGCTGTGTATTCCTATTATTTCAGTGAAATGTTAAATGGCAAAGGATGCATTTTTTAGATTATTTTTTTCACTGAATTTTAAACAGTCTTTGAAGCAGATATTTCATATAACAATATCCAGAAACAATAACACATATGTGGATAAAGTTGAGTGGTTGGATAATGTATTGTGCAAATTATCAAGAAGAAAACCATCTTAAAGAAATATTTTAGCTTAACAGCATCAATAAATGGGACACCTAGTTCACTTAAAAAAATTGACAATGAATGTTTTCCTCCTTATACCCCTGAAGGCCTTGGGTTTGGAATGACAAAATATTCAAATATTTTGAAATTATCTACATTTTAAATATTTATTCAAGGAGAATTGAATCTTGATTGACAATTGTGCACAAATTGCTGAAATTCAAAAATTCTAAATCTCATGTCAGATATTAGGAAATTTTAATTTTTCATTTACTAAAACGGTAAAAATGTAGACACTAGAAAAAAATGAAGAAATGACAATGTCATAGATAATCAACAAACTGAATAATTAGGTGGAATTACTCAACCCCCAGATTAGTCCATTTTCATGCTGCTGATAAAGACATACCCAAGACTGGGCAATTTACAAAAGAAAGAGGTTTATTGGAATACAGTTCTACATGGCTGGGGAGGCCTCACAATCATGGCAGAAGGCAAGGAGGAGCAAGTTACATCTTTCGTGGATGGCAACAGGCAAAGGGAGAGAGAGAGCTTGTGCAGTAAAACTCCCATGTTTAAAACCATCAGATCTTATGAGACATATTCACTATCATGAGAACAGCATGGGAAAGACCTGCCGCCATGATTCAACTACTTCCCACTAGGTCCCTCCCACAACACATGGGAATTCAAGGTGAGATTTGGTTGGGGACACAGTCAAACCATGTCATTCCACCCCTGGCCCCTCCAAATCTCATGTCCTCATGTTTCAAAACCAATCGGGTCTTCACAACAGTCTCCCAAAGTCTTAACTCATTCCAGCAATAACTCAAAAGTCCACAGTCCAAAGTCTCATCTGAGACAAGGCAAGTCCCTTCCACCTATGATTCTGTCCAAATCAAAAGCAAGTTACTTACTTCCTAGATACAATGGGGGTACAGGCATTGGATAAGTACAGCTGTTCCAAATGGGAGAAATTGGCCAAAGCAAAGGGGCTACAGGCTCCATTTAAGTTTGAAATCAAGTGGGGCAGTCAAATTTTAAAGCTCCAAAATGAACTCCTTTGACTTCATGTCTCACATCCAGGTCACGCTAATGCAAGAAGTGGGTTGCTGTGGTCTTGGGCAGCTCCATCCCTGTGGCTTTGCAGGGTATGGCCTCCCTCCCGGCTGCTTTCACGGGCTGGCATTGAATGACTGTGGCTTTTCCAGGCACACGGTGCAAGCTGTCAGGGGATCTACCATTCTGGGGTCTGGAGGACAGTGGCCCTCTTCTCACAACTCCACTAGGCAGTGCCCCAGTAGGGACTCTATGGGGTGGCTTCAACCCCACATTTCCCTTCCACACTGCCCTAGCAGAGGTTCTCCATGAGAGCCCCTCCCCTGCAGCAAACTTCTGCCTGGACATCCAGGCATTTCCATACATCCTCTGAAATCTAGGCGGAGGTTCCCAAACCTCAATTCTTGGCATCTGTGCACCCACAGGCTCAACACCATGTGGAAGCTGCCAAGGCTTTTGGCTTGCACCCTCTGAAGCCACAGCCTGAGCTGTGCCTTGGCTCCTTTTAGTCACAGCTGGAGTGGCTGGGATGCAAGGCACCAAGTCACGAGACTGCACACAGCATGGGGACCCTGGGCCTGGCCCATGAAACCACTTTTTTCTCCTAGGCCTCTGGGCATCTGATTAGAGAGGCTGCCATGAAGACCTCTGACATGCCCTGGAGACTTTTTCTCCATTGTCTTCAGGATTAACATTAGGCTCCCCATTACTTATGCAAATTTCTGCAGCTGGCTTAAATTTATCCTCAGAAAATGGGGTTTTCTTTTCTATCACATTGTCAGGTTGCAAATTTTCCAAACTTTTATGCTCTGCTTCCCTTATAAAACTGAATGCCTTTAACAGCACCCAAGTCACCTCTTGAATGCTTTCCTCCTCAGAAATTTCTTCTGCCAGATACCCTCAATCACCTCTCTCAAGTTCCAAGTTCCACAAATCTCGAGGGCTGGGGCAAAATTGCCACCAGTCCTTTTGCTATAACATAACAAGGGTCACCTTTGCTCCAGTTTCCAACAAGCTCCTCATCTCCACATGAGACGACCTCAGCCTGGACCTTATTGTTGATATCACTATCAGCATTTTTGTCAAAGCCATTCAACAAGTCTCTAGGAAGTTCCAAACTTTCCCACATTTTCCTATCTTCTTCTGAGCCCTCCAAACTGTTCCAACCTCTACATGTTATCCAGTTCCAAAGTCGCTTCCACATATCCAGGTATCTTTTAGCAATGCCCCATTCTACTGATACCAATTTACTGAATCCACTCTCACACTGCTGATAAAGACATACCCAAGACTGGGCAATTTACAAAATGAAGAGATTTATTGGACTTATAGTTCCACATGGCTGGGGAGGCCTGACAATCATGGAGGAAGGCAAGGAGGAGCAAGTCAAATCTTACATGGATGGCAGCAAGCAAAGAGAGAGAGAGTTTATGCAGTAAAATTCCCATTTTTAAAACCATCAGATCTCGTGAGACTTATTCACTATCACAAGAACAGCATGGGAAAGACCTGCTCCCATGATTCAACTACTTCCCACTAGGTCCCCCACACAACATGTGGGAATTCAAGGTGAGATTTGGGTGGGGACACAACCAAATCTTATCAACCCCTTTATACAGCCAACTCTTCATTCTCTAGCTATGTTTATGTAGTTTGTAGACACTCTACAAAGACTGTTTCATGGAAGGATGCCTTCCTCCTTCTGGTCTTCCTATTGCCATTAGTTGTTGCATACTCAAAAAAGGCAAACATATTTTAATATTATATTTTAGCAAGAGGCCACCAGAGAAGAAATATATCTAGGACTAAAACCCAGAGGCCCACATGTGCTGAATGAAAGTAGATAAAAACAGATATAAGGAAGATATTGACTTAAAAGGGAGTAAGTCAAAATATAAAAATACAGATACAGGCTAGAATCTAGGAGTTGCATCCTGGTTACCAAAGACAGTGAAAAGGGGATAGATGAGCACAGAATTCATTTAGCAATGGCAATCAGGTGTCCAGAAATGAATTAAACTTCTGAAGGTCTAAGAAAGGTCAAGGGCTTACATTAAATAGATACATAAATTCTCCCATATTGGAAAAATCTTGCTTCAGACACTATTTATAATCCCAAACCCAAGAACTACTGAATTCAATTCAGTTTATGAATGGCCAAGATATGTCAAGTCAGTCTCTCAGTATGTGATACTTAGTTGTTTGCAGTTGGTATTACTTCTTATTTCATTGTGACTTACAACATTGTAAGACTCTCTTCACAGTGAGGAGGAGTATTAGCTTTCCATAATCTCATGTCTCCATACATCACCAACCTATTTACCAAACCAAATTAAGTCTAAACAGGTCAAAAGTTAATGTATTACAGGAAAAACAGGATCGAGGTAGAGGGACTCGTGAGTATTTGTGAGCTGGACTAGAGGTGGCATAGTTGGAACCTGAGATACTGCAGAGCCAGCTGACTTGACTGACACTTTGACTGAGGTAGGAGAGGAAACTGGCACTGAGGACAAAATCTACACGTTTGCTTTCCTGGGTCAGGAATTAGGATTTGGGAGACATTTATAAACAGCACTGCTTTTCAAATCTTTAGGAAATAATTGAATTTAGGGTTAATTCTACCTTACAACTTCTCTTGTAATGTGGAGTGGGACCTAATTTAAAAGAGCAGACACAATCAGAAGAAGCCTATTGCAATCAGTATTTCTATGGAATGAAATACTCCAGGAAACAACAGTTCTAAAATGGCTACTCTAAGAATGTCGAGGGTTTTGTTAAAACCTAAATATTTACCACAGTGTTGAATTTTGAATTGTCAACACAAGATTAAAAATATTGATTAATTTGAGCAAACTCCCACACCTCTGAGACATCCAATTGTGGAGAAAAAGTTTTTAAAAACCGAAATTATTCGTGGAATAGATGGTATCTATTTAATATTTCACTTCAGGTTTCATCTCAGATTTTAGCATTTTTTTTTACATGAAGAATATTTTAAACACAATTTACTGTTAATCTTCTGAAAACTAACCCATGGTCACCTGTCATATAAACCACTCGGTCAAAGCTCTAGAGACTGATTATAGCCTCAAAATGAAAAATTCTTAAAAAAAAATAAACAGGTCAGTTCATAACGAATCTTATCTGACGGGGAATATGGCTAATCATAAAGAACAATGTCAGTCACATTTAGTTTTCAAGAAAATATTTCCTGAAGTATTCAGTATTATTAGCTAATGTACTCTACCTCTTCATTATCAGATTTCAGATAACTTATTTCTGAATTTCCTAATAAAATATAATTTTATTTTTTATGATAAAATATAATTTTATTTTTATTTCATGATAAAATATAATTTTACTTCTGGGAGTTTTGTTTTAAAAACAATCTCTTTCTATTAAATTAATTCATTAAATTAACAAATTAAATATATTAAGCCATCTCCCCAATTTTTATTTTCACCCCTTTTCTCCATCTCTGCTCTCCCCATTCAGTGGAGTTTTCCTTTCTGTGCTAAAAGAGGCTATGATGGCTGCTGAATGATTTTGGCCTAGAGATGGGCACATGATGTGAGCTGGATCACTTAGAAAACTTCATTGAGATTTCATGTAGAGGATCTGGGAGATAAATGCTCTCTCCTTCCTCTGGTTTGTCTAAGCCAGGATTTGTGACTCCCAAGTCAACTACAGGCCATGCTTATCTCCCACTGCTTGCAAGAATCAAATCATCGAAAGGAAAAAATAACATAAAAACATGCAGATAAACAAAAGTGAGAGCAAAATAAGGGAGAGAAGGAGGGAGGGAGAAAGACAGCAATAAGATGCAGAACTCAGGGAAGAAGGAAGAGGAAGACCTAATTCAGAACCTAGATCCATCCCTATTCTTTCCACTAAACTGTATGGACCACCTTTTTATTTTCTTTAGGCTAGTTTGAGTTGGGATTTTGTCATTTGAAATTGAAAGTGTTCCAACTAAAATACTGTTCAAAGAGATTTCTTCCTGGTATTAAGTGTGCCTGTGTTTCTTCAAGATTCCAAGTTTTTGGCATTTAATTAAAAAGCTCCTAAGTGATCTGGTTGGCTTAACTTTAATATCTGTGCTTTTCAGGAATTGATTTAAATAAATAATGGTGTTGATAATATCCCAAATATAACTTCTTTAGGGTTACTATTATGGAATTTTTGGAATTGAAGTAATCTAAAGAATATATTGAACCAATTATCTCCATTAAAAATAACCTATTTCTCATAAAATTCATTTGAGGATTTGTTTGTTATAACACTGAACATAGCAAAGAATAAATTAAAAGCCTGATATTTCGGGGATTCTAAATATAGTGTTATTTAAAAAACCGTTTATCCTAAAAAATCCAAAACTACTCTGTATGATAGCTTGTATTAGTCTGTTTTCATGCTGCTATAAAGAACTGCTCCAAGACTAGGTAATTTATAAAGGAAAAAGGATTAATTGACTCATAATTCCACATGGCTGGGGAGACCTTAGGAAACTTACAATCATGGCGGAAAGGGAAGCAAACACATCCTTCTTCACATGGTGGCAGGAGAGAGAAGTGCAGAGCAAAAAGGGGAAAAGACCCTTACAAAACCATCAGATCTCGTGAGAACTCACTGATAATGTTAAGAACAGCATGTGGGAATTCCTGCCATTATCTAATCACCTTCTATGAGGTCCCTCCCCCAAAACACGGGGATTACAATTCGGATTACAATTCAACTTGAGATTTAGGGTGGGGACATAGCCAAACCATATCATAGCTCAATTTAATTTTTAAATTTAAATGTGCTTCTATATTTTTAGCAAATAAAGCTTACATTTTCTGAACTCAGGTACTTTAAAAAATGTGAACTATTTTTTTCTAGAGCAGTTTTACAACAAAATTGAGTGGAAAATAGAGATTCTCTATATACATCTTTCCCCCATGTATGCCCAATCTTCTCCGCTATCAAAACCCACAGGATATATCCCATATAATTTCATAGTAATCTGCATTTAAGATGCCTCTAAGGTTTTTCATGGCCAAATAGATTATTTCATTTCAGTGCTGAATGATATTGTATTGTCTGGATATACCACCATTTATGTATCCATTTGCCCACTGAAGGGCATCTGGATTGCTTCTAGGTTTTGGCAATTATCAAAAAAACTGCTATAAACATTTCTGTGCACATTTGCACATATTGTGTAGACATAAATTTTCAACTCATTTGTGCTGGAAAGTCCTATTCCACCTTCCTGCTCCAGTGGCCTGTAATTCTGTGACATTATCTACGCTGAAAGGATCTTGTCTTAGTTTTACAGATGAGACCTAAGATTATCTGTGTATAACATGACCTCCCTGGGTATGGCAATCATTTAACTTCTTTCCTTCCTCCTTTCAGAGGTCTGCTTTATTGAAAACCTCATTCGTAAAAAAAAAATTTGAATTTTTATAGTGCTTTATAGATCTGTTTATTGACTACTTGGGCAGTGTTACACTTTTATAATTATCATAACTTTACAATACATATCGGAAGAATGGTATGGTTCCATATTATATAGAAATATAACATCAATAACCTGTAGAATAAAGATAATTTTCAAAACTTTCTGTCACTTATCTCCAAACAAAATAGTATGTTATCATTCCTCTTTCTTTATTATAAAATTTTAGATATTGTCAATTGGTTTTGTACTGGGTATTAATTTTACTGCTTAAGCAAAATGGCAATATTGACATTTCAATATATATTTTGCCTAATATTTCCTTTCTTGCATTCTGAATACACTTTGAAAAAATAAACCTGATAAAGTGTTCAGACTTATAAACCAGTGAAAGTAAAATATTTTAAATATAAAAATTCATAAATATGTATCCTCTGTTCTTTATTCCTTATGACTTTCTTTGATATCGGCTCTACCTTCCATTTCTCTCCAAAGATATCCTAAGAATTACTTCTGATGTTACTGGTGTTTTGGAGAGAGTCTCAGAATCTTCCTACTATGTTGAGCTGCTCTGAGTGGAACTTTGAAGGTCACCATCTCAGAGAAAGCCCACTGCCTTTTCCAGTAGCTCTAAATAGCAGCAGTCTCGATTTCTCTTTCAGATAACTCAGGAGGGTTGGTGTTACCTGTGGTCTAAATCCTTTCCTTCCTACTGGGGAGATTAGTTCACTTCAGAGGGCTTCACCCAGCATGTCCATGCACAGTCTTTTAAGTAAAGGAAGATGGGAGGGGTTAGGGGAGTTGCAGGAGCTTAACAGAAAAAGAACTGGAATGGCTGAGGTAGTGTCAGGGTTGGTAAGGGGGGAGGCAGGGAAGAGAGAAAGAGGAAGCACTGATCAGAAAACTGCAAAGAGTGAATAAAGCTGCTGATGAATTTATGAAATAATAGCATCTTAGTACTTGAAAAAGGCACAGTGTATGGAATTCCAGAAATGGATTTTTTTTTTTTTTTTTTTTTTTGAGATGGAGTCTCGCTTTGTTGCCCAGGCTGCAGTGGCGCGATCTCGGCTCACTGCAAGCTCCATCTCCCGGGTTCACACCATTCTCCTGCCTCAGCCTCCCAAGTAGCTGGGACTACAGGCGCCCGCCACCACACCTGGCTAATTTTGTATTTTTAGTAGAGACAGGGTTTCACCATTTTAGCCAGGATGGTCTTGATCTCCTGACCTCGTGATCCACCCGCCTCGGCCTCCAAAAATGCTGGGATTACAGGCATGAGCCACCGCACCCGGTCCAGAAATAGATTTTGTTAGTACTACTACTATGACGATGATGTGTTAGTCCTCTTATAAACCTTCCTTATACAAAACACATACTTTTCAAAATTTTAAAAATAACTTTTTATTTCAAAATAGTTTAAGACTCACAAGAGTTGAAAACATTAGAGTTCTCATGTATTCTTCACCCAGCTTCTCCTAGTGATAATATGTTACATAACCATAGCATACAGTCAAAACCAGAAAACTGAGTATGATAAAATACTATTAGTCAGGTACAGGCATTATTTGGATTTCACCAGTATTTGCATGCGCCCTTTTTGTCTATTTGTCTGTTTGTTTGCTTTTGGTTTACAGTTCTATGGCATTTTATCACAGCAGTAGACTCAAGTCACCGTCACCATATTTAAGACACATACTTTTCCCCTCATTCCCAATTTGGAATTTTTGTAGAATTAACATTCAGAATTTACATTGTTAGGACCATAAATACTGTTCATTGCTGAGCTACATAGTGACTGTACATGCTGTAGTACAACTTTTTCTAAAGTTTATGTAGTCTATTGCTGTTTTTTGTTTCTATTTCTGTTTCCTATTCTTTCAAGCCAGAAGGAAAGGGAGAACAAGTCTGCTGGAAGTGTAAGACATCTTTTTATCTTCGCTGTATTCTATTGGTGAGAAACAGGTACCAGGTTCCATCCAAACTCAAAATGAGGAAATGATAAAATAGCAGCAGTTGAAGATCACAGGGGTCACCTTACAGTCGGTTTGCCGCATATTTGTTTCTTTCTTTTATTCTTTTCCTTGATATCTGACATGTCTAACATACATTCCACTCTGTATTAGCTAACATACTAGCCAATATAGTAAAGCATTCTTTCTCCCAGGTTAAATACATCAATTATTTTTACTACTTCTTCTTTCTAGAACTCTGTCAGCTTACTCCTCCTCTTACTCCAAGCTGGGCTGTTGCTTTCTAGGCCTGCTGTACAACCGTTATCCTAGGATTTTCACTTACCATCTAACATGGGATTCCCTTTGCCCAATACCTGCTTTGGATCCCTTTTTCCTGAACTCTATGTTTTTTCTCTTTATTATTTCAATCTCTTTAAGTTCAGCTCCTGGTAGTTTCTTTTTTTTTTTTTTATACTTTAAGTTTTAGGGTACATGTGCACATTGTGCAGGTTAGTTACATATGTATACATGTGCCATGCTGGTGCGCTGCACCCACTAACTCGTCATCTAGCATTAGGTATATCTCCTAATGCTATCCCTCCCCCATCCCCCCACCCCACCACAGTCCCCAGAGTGTGATATTCCCCTTCCTGTGTCCATGTGATCTCATTGTTCAATTCCCACCTATGAGTGACAATATGAGGTGTTTGGTTCTTTGTTCTTGCGATAGTTTACTGAGAATGATGCTTTCCAATTTCATCCATGTCCCTACAAAGGACATGAACTCATCATTTTTTATGGCTGCATAGTATTCCATGGTGTATATGTGCCACATTTTCTTAATCCAGTCTATCATTGTTGGACATTCGGGTTGGTTCCAAGTCTTTGCTATTGTGAATAATGCCACAATAAACATACGTGTGCATGTGTCTTTATAGCAGCATGATTTAGAGTTCTTTGGGTATATACCCAGTAATGGGATGGCTGGGTCAAATGGTATTTCTAGTTCTAGATCCCTGAGGAATCGCCACACTGACTTCCACAATGGTTGAACTAGTTTACAGTCCCACCAACAGTGTCAAAGTGTTCCTATTTCTCCACATCCTCTCCAGCACCTGTTGTTTCCTGACTTTTTAATGATTGCCATTCTAACTGGTGTGAGATGGTATCTCATTGTGGTTTTGATTTGCATTTCTCTGATGACCAGTGATGGTGAACATTTTTTCATGTGTTTTTTGACTGCATAAATGTCTTCTTTTGAGAAGTGTCTGTTCATGTCCTTCGCCCACTTTTTGATGGGGTTGTTTGTTTTTTTTCTTGTAAATCTGTTTGTGTTCATTGTAGATTCTGGATACTAGCCCTTTGTCAGATGAGTAGATTGTGAAAATTTTCTCCCATGTTGTAGGTTGCCTGTTCACTCTGATGGTAGTTTCTTTTGCTGTGCAGAAGCTCTTTAGTTTAATTAGATCCCATTTGTCAATTTTGGCTTTTGTTGCCGTTGCTTTTGGTGTTTTAGACATGAAGTCCTTGTCCATGCCTATGTCCTGAATGGTATTGCCTGGGTTTTCTTCTAGGGTTTTTATGGTTTTAGGCCTAACGTTTAAGTCTTTAATCCATCTTGAATTGATTTTTGTATAAGGTGTAAGGAAGGGATCCAGTTTCAGCTTTCTACATATGGCTAACCAGTTTTCCCAGCACCATTTATTAAATAGAGAATCCTTTCCCCATTGCTTGTTTTTCTCAGGTTTGTCAAAGATCAGATAGTTGTAGATATGCGGCATTATTTCTGAGGGCTCTGTTCTGTTCCATTGATCTATATCTCTGTTTTGGTACCAGTACCATGCTGTTTTGGTTACTGTAGCCTTGTAGTATAGTTTGAAGTCAGGTAGTGTGATGCCTCCAGCTTTGTTCTTTTGGCTTAGGATTGACTTGGCGATGTGGGCTCTTTTTTGGTTCCATATGAACTTTAAAGTAGTTTTTTCCAATTCTGTGAAGAAAGGCATTGGTAGCTTGATGGGGATGGCATTGAATCTGTAAATTACCTTGGGCAGTATGGCCACTTTCACGATATTGATTCTTCCTACCCATGAGCATGGAATGTTCTTCCATTTGTTTGTATCCTCTTTTACTTCCTTGAGCAGTGGTTTGTAGTTCTCCTTGAAGCGGTCCTTCACATCCCCTGTAAGTTGGATTCCTAAGTATTTTATTCTCTTTGAAGCAATTGTGAATGGGAGTTCACTCATGATTTGGCTCTCTGTTTGTCTGTTGTTGGTGTATAAGAATGCTTGTGATTTTTGTACGTTGATTTTGTATCCTGAGACTTTGCTGAAGTTGCTTATCAGCTTAAGGAGATTTTGGGCTGAGACAATGGGGTTTTCTAGATATACAATCATGTCGTCTGCAAACAGGGACAATTTGACTTCCTCTTTTCCTAATTCAATACCCTTTATTTCTTTCTCCTGCCTAATTGCCCTGGCCAGAAATTCCAACACTATGTTGAATAGGAGTGGTGAGAGAGGGCATCCCTGTCTTGTGCCAGTTTTCAAAGGGAATGTTTCCAGTTTTTGCCCATTCAGTATGATATTGGCTGTGGGTTTGTCATAGATAGCTCTTATTACTTTGAAATACGTCCCATCAATACCTAATTTATTGAGAGTTTTTAGCATGAAGCGTTGTTGAATTTTGTCAAAGGCTTTTTCTGCATCTATTGAGATAATCATGTGGTTTTTGTCTTTGGCTCTGTTTATATGCTGGATTACATTTATTGATTTGCATATATTGAACCAGCCTTGCATCCCAGGGATGAAGCCCACTTGATCATGGTGGATAAGCTTTTTGATGTGCTGCTGGATTCGTTTTGCCAGTATTTTATTGAGGATTTCTGCATCAATGTTCATCAAGGATATTGGTCTAAAATTCTCTTGTTTGGCTGTGTCTCTCCCCGGCTTTGGTATCAGAATGATGCTGGCCTCATAAAATGAGTTAGGGAGGATTCCCTCTTTTTCTATTGATTGGAATAGTTTCAGAAGGAATGGTACCAGTTCCTCCTTGTACCTCTGGTAGAATTCGGCTGTGAATCCATCTGGTCCTGGACTCTTTTTGGTTGGTAAACTATTGATTATTGCCACAATTTCAGCTCCTGTTATTGGTCTATTCAGAGATTCAACTTCTTCCTGGTTTAGTCTTGGGAGAGTGTATGTGTCGAGGAATTTATCCATTTCTTCTAGATTTTCTAGTTTATTTGCGTAGAGGTGTTTGTAGTATTCTCTGATGGTAGTTTGTATTTCTGTGGGATCAGTGGTGATATCCCCTTTATCACTTTTTATTGTGTCTATCTGATTCTTCTCTCTTTTTTTCTTTATTAGTCTTGCTAGCGGTCTATCAATTTTGTTGATCCTTTCAAAAAACCAGCTCCTGGATTCATTGATTTTTTGAAGGGTTTTTTGTGTCTCTATTTCCTTCAGTTCTGCTCTGATTTTAGTTATTTCTTGCCTTCTGCCAGATTTTGAATGTGTTTGCTCTTGCTTTTCTAGTTCCTTTAATTGTGATGTTAGGGTGTCAATTTTGGATCTTTCCTGCTTTCTCTTGTGGGCATTTAGTGCTATAAATTTCCCTCTACACACTGCTTTGATTGTGTCCCAGAGATTCTGGTATGTTGTGTCTTTGTTCTCGTTGGTTTCAAAGAACATCTTTATTTCTGCCTTCATTTCGTTTTGTACCCAGTAGTCATTCAGGAGCAGGTTGTTCAGTTTCCATGTAGTTGAGCGGTTTTGAGTGAGATTCTTAATCCTGAGTTCTAGTTTGATTGCACTGTGGTCTGAGAGATAGTTTGTTATAATTTCTGTTCTTTTGCATTTGCTGAGGAGAGCTTTACTTCCAAGTATGTGGTCAATTTTCGAATAGGTGTGGTGTGGTGCTGAAAAAAATGTATATTCTGTTGATTTGGGGTGGAGAGTTCTGTAGATGTCTATTAGGTCTGCTTGGTGCAGAGCTGAGTTCAATTCCTGGGTATCCTTGTTGACTTTCTGTCTCGTTGATCTGTCTAATGTTGACAGTGGGGTGTTAAAGTCTCCCATTATTAATGTGTGGGAGTCTAAGTCTCTTTGTAGGTCACTCAGGACTTGCTTTATGAATCTGGGTGCTCCTGTATTGGGTGCATATATATTTAGGATAGTTAGCTCTTGTTGTTGAATTGATCCCTTTACCATTATGTATTGGCCTTCTTTGTCTCTTTTGATCTTTGTTGGTTTAAAGTCTGTTTTACCAGAGACTAGGATTGCAACCCCTGCCTTTTTGTGTTTTCCATTTGCTTGGTAGATCTTCCTCCATCCTTTTATTTTGAGCGTATGTGTGTCTCTGCACATGAGATGGGTTTCATGAATACAGCACACTGATGGGTCTTGACTCTTTATCCAATTTGCCAGTCTGTGTCTTTTAATTGGAGAATTTAGTCCATTTACATTTAAAGTTAATATTGTTATGTGTGAATCTGACCCTGTCATTATGATGTTAGCTGGTTATTTTGCTCATTAGTTGATGCAGTTTCTTCCTAGTCTCGATGGTCTTTACATTTTGGCATGACTTTGCAGCTGCTAGTACCGGTTGTTCCTTTCCATGTTTAGTGCTTCCTTCAGGAGCTCTTTCAGGGCAGGCCTGGTGGTGACAAAATCTCTCAGCATTTGCTTGTCTGTAAAGTATTTTATTTCTCCTTCACTTATGAAGCTTAGTTTGGCTGGATATGAAATTCTGGGTTGAAAATTCTTTCCTTTAAGAATGTTGAATATTGGCCCCCACTCTCTTCTGGCTTGTAGGGTTTCTGCCGAGAGATCCGCTGTTAGTCTGATGGGCTTCCCTTTGAGGGTAACCCAATCTTTCTCTCTGGCTGCCCTTAACATTTTTTCCTTCATTTCTACTTTGGTGAATCTGACAATTATGTGTCTTGGAGTTGCTCTTCTTGAGGAGTATCTTTGTGGTGTTCTCTGTATTTCCTGAATCTGAACGTTGGCCTGCCTTGCTAGATTGGGGAAGTTCTCCTGGATAATATCCTGCAGAGTGTTTTCCAACTTGGTTCCGTTCTCACCATCACTTTCAGGTACACCAATCAGACGTAGATTTGGTCTTTTCACATAGTCCCATATTTCTTGGAGGCTTTGCTCATTTCTTTTTATTCTTTTTTCTCTAAACTTCCCTTCTTGCTTCATTTCATTCATTTCATCTTCCATCGCTGATACCCTTTCTTCCAGTTGATCGCATCGGCTCCTGAGGCTTCTGCATTCTTCACATAGTTCTCGAGCCTTGGTTTTCAGCTCCATCAGCTCCTTTAAGCACTTCTCTGTATTGGTTATTCTAGTTATACATTCTTCTAAATTTTTTTCAAAGTTTTCAACTTCTTTGCCTTTGGTCTGAATGTCCTCCCATAGCTCAGAGTAATTTGATCGTCTGAAGCCTTCTTCTCTCAGCTCGTCAAAGTCATTCTCCATCCAGCTTTGTTCCGTTGCTGGTGAGGAACTGCGTTCCTTTGGAGGAGGAGAGGCGCTCTGCTTTTTAGAGTTTCCAGTTTTTCTGTTCTGTTTTTTCCCCATCTTTGTGGTTTTATCTACTTTTGGTCTTTGATGATGGTGATGTACAGATGGGTTTTTGGTGTGGATGTCCTTTCTGTTTGTTAGTTTTCCTTCTAACAGACAGGACCCTCAGCTGCAGGTCTGTTGGAATACCCTGCAGTGTGAGGTGTCAGTGTGCCCCTGCTGGGGGGTGCCTCCCAGTTAGGCTGCTCAGGGGTCAGGGGTCAGGGACCCACTTGAGGAGGCAGTCTGCCCGTTCTCAGATCTCCAGCTGCGTGCTGAGAGAACCACTGCTCTCTTCAAAGCTGTCAGACAGGGACATTTAAGTCTGCAGAGGTTACTGCTGTCTTTTTGTTTGTCTGTGCCCTGCCCCCAGAGGTGGAGCCTACAGAGGCAGGCAGGCCTCCTTGAGCTGTGATGGGCTCCACCCAGTTCGAGCTTCCCGGCTGCTTTGTTTACCTACGGGAGCCTGGGCAATGGCGGGCGCCCCTCCCCCAGCCTCGCTGCTGCCTTGCAGTTTGATCTCAGACTGCTGTGCTAGCAATCAGTGAGACTCCGTGCTGTGCTAGCAATCAGTGAGACTCCGTGGGCGTAGGACCCTCCGAGCCAGGTGCGGGATATAATCTTGTGGTGCGCCGTTTTTTAAGCCGGTCAGAAAAGCGCAGTATTTGGGTGGGAGCGACCCGATTTTCCAGGTGCGTCGGTCACCCCTTCCTTTGACTCGGAAAGGGAACTCCCTGACCCCTTGCGCTTCCCAAGTGAGGCAATGCCTCGCCCTGCTTCGGCTCGCGCAGGGTGCACACACCCACTGACCTGTGCCCACTGTCTGGCACTCCCTAGATAGATGAACCCGGTACCTCAGATGGAAATGCAGAAATCACCCTTCTTCTGTGTCGCTCAGGCTGGGAGCTGTAGACCGGAGCTGTTCCTATTCGGCCATCTTGGCTCCTCCCCCACCCCCGTATTATCTTAAAAATTAGTAAGTACGTGAGTATTTTCAGATCTTACAAGAGTGAACATGATTTAATTTTGACTTTTCATTTGATGCAGTATTTTGGCTACATAACAAATTCTAGGTTGAAAGCAGTTTTGCCTCAGAATTTTGAAGGCATTTTTCAATGTCTTCAGTCTTCCATATTCCTGCAGCAGAGAGCAATTTTATTCTGAAAACTGCATCCTTTTATGTAATCTCTGTAAGCTTTTGATATCTTATGTATGTTCTATTTTGAATTTTTACAGCATTGTGCTTGCTGTATCTTTTTTCATTATCTCTTCTTTTCAGTCAGCTTATTTTCTAATGTGGAAATTGCTTATTCATTTCTAAACTATTTTCTTATATTGCTTCTTTGAAAACTTTTCTGTTTGTTTTGTCTCTTCTCACTTTGTGGAACTTTCATGAGAGGGAGGTTGAATCTCCTAAACTGATTTTATTTTCTTACAATTTATTTCTTATTTTCCATTTCTTTGACTTTTTGTTCAGTTTTCCAGGAGATTAGCTTGATTTTATTTTCCATCTCTTCCATTGGATTTTTAAACTTTTTGCTATGGCAGTGTTAATTTCTAATAGCTGTTTTGTTTTTTGACCTCTTATATTTTCTTTTTCATATCCCCTTGATATTATTTTATTGATTCAATGTTGTATGATCTAATGTCATTAATTGCTAATATTTTTGAAGTTTATTTCTTCCTAAAGTTTCTTTTGCCTTTTGTTGGTTTTAGTCTGTCTTTCCTATTAGAGGCTTTCCTTGAATATGTAATGATCCTAAGCTGACAGTTTTTGCCTTTTTAAAATTTTATTTTTAATTTTTGTCAGTACATAGTAGGTGTATATATTTACATGGCACATGAGATGTTTTGATACAGGCTGAGAGTTTTAAGCATGAGACACTAAAAATCTTTTTGGAAATTGTGTGTGTGGCTGAGGCTTGTCATTAAGTGGCTGCAATATAGGGTGATTGAGTGACTGATAGACTTTCTCATTGAGGAAACAAAAAATGTTAGTATTTATATGTCTTTTCTTTTGGATTGGTTGTTATTATTATTTTTTAGAGTCAAATCCTCCCTTCTTTTTCTTGGGGTTTGTCTTACTATCAGTAGCCTGGGATCACAGGGTAGGCTCTCTTTGCTCCCAATACAGAATTTTTTAGATTCCCTTGTTCTCAGTATGGCCACATGTTGGCCTGCAATTTTGCCTGGTGTACCTAGGTCCATAGCTCTCATGTCCAAACTCTCTAATTGGTTAACCTGATCTTCCTAGGTGGGGAAGAAACAGTCTCAGAAAGATGAAGGGGATCTTGTTTCAAACTCCTGAGGCAAATTATCCACCAAACCTCTTTTGTTCAGCCTCACCCTTCATGCTAGCTTTCAGATATATTTGGTGCTTCAAAATCCTGAGCTTTTTGAGAATTTCCTATCAGAATAAAGTTAATTCTCATTGGTATCATCCTTCTGCAGATATTTTTTATCTTTAAAAAAATCAATAAATGTAAAATAGCTTTTAATATGTGGTTAATAAATCAACCACACCATAGACTTTCTTGATAATTAAATTAAAAACATAAGACAGAGTAGGCTATTATCTGTTAGCCATTCATCCCATTGAAATTCCTCTGGATTTATTTGTATGCATTTTAGAATTTAGATTGTCCAGATTTATGTTATTTTAATGTGGCAAGTATAGTTTTCTTTTTTTTAGTATTTTAAAAACATGTGTTTAATTATTTATTTTATACTTTTAAGCTCAGGAGTACAAGTATAGGTTTGTTACATAGGTAAACTTGTGTCATGGATTTGTTGTACAGATTATTTCATTACCCAGGTATTATGCATAGTACCTATTAGTTGTTTTTCCTGATCTTGTCCCTCCTCCCACCCTCCACTCTCCAAAAGGCTTCAGTGCCCATTGTTCCCCTCTATGTGTCCATGTGTTCTCATCATTTAGATCTCAATTAAATGAGAACATGGGGTATTTGGTTTTCTGTTCTTGTTAGTTTGCTAAGGATAATGGCCTCCAGCTCTATCCATGCCCCTAAAAAAGACATGATCTGTCTTTTTCATGGCTGCATAGTATTCCATGGTGTATATGTACCACATTTTCTTTATCCAGCCTATCATTTATAGGCATTTAAGTTGATTCCATGCCTTTGCTATTGTGAACAGAGTTACAATGAACATATGCTTGCATGTGTCTTTATCATAGAATGATTTGTGTTCCTTTGGATATATACCCAGTAATGGGATTGCTGGGTCAAATGGTATTTCTGTCTTTCGATCTTTGAGAATTGCTACACTGTCTTCCACAATGGCTGAACTAATTTACACTCCCACCAACAGCGTATAAGCATTCCTCTTTCTCCACAACCTTGCCAACATCTTTTTTATTTTATTTTATTTTTTTACTTCTTAATAGTAGTCATTCTGACTGGTGTGAGATGGTATCTTGCTGTCATTGTGATTTTCATTTGCATTTCTCTAATAATCAGTAATGTTGAGCTTTTTTTCATATGCTTGTTGGCCACATGTATGTCTTCTTTTGAAAAGTGTCTGTTCATGTCCTTTGCCCACTTTTTATGGAGTCGTTTGATTTTTTTCTTGTAAATTTAAGTTTTTTATAGTTGCTTGATATTAGACCTTTGTTGGATGCATAGTTTGCAAAATTTTTCTCCCATTCTGTAAGTTTTCTGTTTACTCTGTTAATGGTTTCTTTTGCTGTGCAGAAGCTCTTTAGTTTAATTAGATCCCATTTGTGGATTTTTGCTTTTGTTCCAATTGCTCTTGGCATCTTCATCATGAAATCTTCCTGTGCCTGTGTTCTGAATGGTATTGCCTAGGTTGTCTTCCAGGGTTTTTATAGTTTTGGGTTTTACATTTAAGTCTTTAATCCATTTTTAGTTAATTTTTGTATACAGTGTGTAAAAAAAGGGTCCAGTTTTAATCATCTTCATATGGCTAGCCAGTTATCCCAGCACCACTGATTGAATAGGGAATCCTTTCCCCATTGCTTGTTTTTGTCAGGTTTGTCCAAGATCAAATACTTGTAGGTGTGGAGTCTTATTTCAGGGTTCTCTATTCTGTTCCATTGGTCTATGTGTCTGTTTTTGTACCAGCACCATGCTGTTTTGGTTACTATCACCCTGTAGTACATTTTGAAGTCAACTAGTATGATGCTTCCAGCTTTTTTTTTTTTTTGGCTTAGGATTGCCTTGGCTATTTGGACTCTTTTTTGGTTTCATAGATGTTTAAAATAGAATTTTAAAATAGTTTTTTCTAGTTGTGTGAAGAATGTCAGTTGTGGTTTAATGGGAATAGCATGAAATCTATAAATTGCTTTGGGCTGTAGGACCATTTTAATATTTATTCCTCCTATCCATGAGCATGGAATGTTTTTCCATTTGTTTGTGTCATCTGTGATCTCTTTGAGCAGTGGTTTGTAGTTTGCCTTATAGAGATCTTTCACCTCCCTAGTTAGCTGTATTGCTGGGTATTTTATTCTTTTGGGGGCAGTTATGTATGGGATTCATTCATTATTTGGCTCTTGGCTTGCTGTTGTTGGTGTATAGGAATGCTAGTGGTTTTTGCACATTGATTTGGTATCCTTAGACATTGCTGAAGTTTATCAGTTTAGGAAGATTTGGGGGACTGAGACAATGGGATTTTCTAGATATAGGATCATGTCATCTGCAAACAGGGAGAGTTTGACTTTCCTTCTTCCTGTTTAAATGCCCCTTATTTCTTTCTCTGGCCTGATTGCCCTGGCCAGAACTTCCAGTAGTATATTTAATAGGAGGATATCTACTTCTGGATTTTTTTTTAAGTATTCCAAAACAATCTTTATACTGAACAAATTCTTTTGCTGAAAAGCATTGATAGTTTTATGGTGCTAAATTATATTCTTTGAAAATAGGCTTTTGTTATCATGTGCCATCATATCTCATACTGTCATGTTATTGCTAACTTGAATTGCCTGGTTATTGAATATCTAAATTTCACCAGAAAAGTGTTTTTTATTCAGTGGAGTAAGAGAAAGGAGTAATCAAATAACCTAGTGTCCATGATGTATAATATAGGATCTGCAGCTATTGATCAACTTGAATGGATACTTATAGGTTTCCATGTGCTCAGGAACCAGCATTTCTCATGTGTTTCACCTTCATTAATCCTTTCCAAAAAAATTTTGTGCAGCACAGAGGAGGTTCCTCAGAGAATCCAGCTAATGCTGGTTGCTTCTTACTTAGAGAAGGTCTTAGATATGTGGTTCTCTTCCGAGCAATCTCATTAATCTTTTTTGTCATGGAGTGTTTAATTCCTGGGATAGTAATGTTGAGCTCACCTTTCACTGTTACTCCAGTCCATATGCCTAAGATTTTACTTTGTTCCATATGAGTATGTATTAACTTTTGAACTACCTCTACTAAGGTTTATATTGCTTAGATGGTTTTATATCTAATTTTCAGAGTCTACAGTTTCAAAAGCCCATAGTATTATTTTAATAATTATTAAGTCATTATTAATTAGTATTCCCGTTTTTACTATTATTAATCATTGTCACTCCTATTGAAACGTAAAGTTTTGTGTCACATATAGCTTTCAATTTACGTTTATTTTCTAACATCTAAGGAAGGAAGTAGACTAATATATAGTTTGGAATTTGCAGTAGCTAGGGAGTTAATAAAATAAAAACATTTCAATTGATCTTGCAGAGATAAATAAGATTAAATCAAACATAGAAAATGAAATGCAAAAAAAAAAAAAATCTAAAAGACACAGAACAGGCAATTGCTAGTTGCCTATCCAATAATGATTCTCCTATTGTTTAATAATAGAACACAATGTAATTAAGTACTTTATCTTTCAACCTCCCTTTCCATTGCCATTAGGGGTGATGACTTGACACAATTCTGGTCAATGAGATACACTCAGAAGTAGCTGTTTAAGGGAGAAAGGGCTACTTAAAGGGAACAGGCCTGCTTGCTTCTTTGGCCTTTGTCTTTTGCCCTTTATTCTTCAACTTTCCTGCCCAGAAGATAGACACCCTTGGAGGTAGGGTAGCCATCTTTTGATAGGAGAAGAGACTCCAAGACCATAAACACTTTCTTGAATAGTTGAATCCCCTTGATTTCCTTTTTATGTACTTTGATTACATGGAAAAAATAATTCCCCATTTGAGTAAGCTGTCCTTGTAGGATTTTCATTAACTACTGCTGAATTTAATTCCTAACCATGGAGACGTCCTCATGGTTTCTGAGGAGAGTCCTTTGCATGTTGCTTACATTCTACACTGCTGAGTGACACAGACTTCTGTGCTAAACTAATTTCCAGTGAAAACTATTTAGTATGATCTGTATCTCCTGAAGGAACAGTGGTTTTTATCTTTCATCTTACTGAAAACTTAGAAGTAATTGAGAGTCTTAAGTGGCTACATGACAAAAATGAGCTTCCTGCCATAATGTGTTCTGTTATCTGTAGTGTGTGGATAATCAGAGCCATAGATGGGGGTTTCTTCTTGCATTAATGAAAACCTTAGGGGTCATGCATGCAAAAGGGCAAACACACCTCACATCTCACCTCTAGCTAAATTAGGGCAATCTTCCAGCCTTTATTCTTCCAATCCTTGGCACTGTCTTCCAATAGTAAGCCTGCAAATCCATTTCAACCATGATATGTGATAAAACTGATGCTTAAAAATGAACCAATTATGCATGTATATAGGGTATATAACCGTTTAATGTCATTATCAATTTCCATAATTTATTCTACCTTTCTTTGGAACACTTAAAGCAAAAGTCTAACGGAATTTAAAGATGATATTTTCCAGAGTAAGATGTATATTAAAAATAATTTAGTTGTGCTGAACTTAGTGGTGTAAATACATTCTTAGAAATGGCAGTGCTAAATGAATTAGTGCTGTCTCAGTTAACATCACATGGTACTTACAGAATTGTATCTACAATGCCATTTATTCAAATCAATGTCTAGTTAGGGTTTGTTGGTTGATGACTTTATGTTTCTGCATTCTTTACAATTGTTTTAATGGTGGATTTTGCTAGGACTTGCATATGATTTACCTCAACCTGAGAATTTACTCACTCCACTCAGTAAAGCTGGCATTTTAATGCAACCCATGCAGTACCCATGATTGCTTATTCTTTGCAAAATAATGAAAGTGTCTTCAGATAATAGGATGTAATCACACTAAAAGGGACTTTTGTGTAGTAAACAAAATAAAGAGATTAGAAAGTGTAATGGAAATGGAAGAAAGTGCAATAAAGTGGCTAAGTATTCATTTGCATGAGAGTAAATTCTGTCATACTGGCTGATCAGTGTGATGAAGAATCCTAACTATGTAGCTGCGCTAAATAAAGTATTGCTGCAGTCATTCAAATGTGCTTAATATTTTTAAAAGCATTTTCACATTCATTTACTAAGACCCTTTTTTAAATTCCAAACATGTGTACTTCAATTTAATTTATGTTCAGTGTATCTGACTGTATTTTCATGCATTAAATTAATTTTACCTTTAAATATGTACTTGATTCTGCTTTTAGGCAACACAGAATAGCATGTGGCAAAATTACACTCCCACTGTGAACAACTACAAAACTGGACAAAATATATGATGCATCTGTTTTCTAGGATTGGACTATAGGCAGTGTAGATGTTTCTAAGAAGGGAAACATGCAAGGTGTACCCCAGGTTCATGGTGTCTTGCACAGGGCAGGACTGTGAGGCCTAGCTGACAGCACCTGCTCCAGGGCTGATAGCTAAAGGGAAATACCAGAGGTTAGGCAGTGCAGGAGATTTTAGTATTCAGGACCAGGCCGAATGACAAGGCCTTACACACCTGAGACATTTAGCTGATACTCAGAAAGGTCATATTTAGAAATAATCACTAGAAAATAAGATGAGGGCCAGAGCCTAGGACCAAGCTCTAAGTGACAATGGACCCTCTTTAACAAAGCATAAAACAAACTCTTCAGGATCAAGGGGAATCTGCCAGTAGTTTAACTGCTAGCCAGATCACAGCTCAACACCCTTTACAAGAAGACAGTATAATGCAAATAATTCAGTTGAAACCCATGAAGCAGGTCTGAGTGCTGATGGTAGCTGGGGATAGGAGTCAAGGGTTGAATAAGGAAGTGACCCTGTGTGAAGTTTTGATTCACAGGAAGAAGGTATATAAAAGATAGTGGCATGACAGAGGCTGGAACCCTCATGAGAAAGGCAAATTCTCAGGGAAGCAGTTTACTCCAGCAGTCCTGGATTGAAGGAGAGACTAAAGACACATGACAGCTAGATACAGCATGTGACCCTGTATTGGATCATTTCATAGAGGACATTACTGGAGCAGTCACTGAAACTCCAATAGGGCTTCTAGGTGAATCAAAACGGACAATTCTTGCAGCCTTTCTGCAAATTTAATTTTTTTTTCAAAATTAAAAGAAGTAAAAATAAAGACACATAACTTATCATTTTTTGAAAAAATAAAACCACACCCTTTTTGATAGTATCAGATCTGATAGTATGCAGAACTGTCACATAAATTATGTCATTTCTCTGCACGCCTGTAGTCCCAGCTGCTTGGGAGGCTGAGGTAGGAGAATGGCGTGAACCCGGCAGGCGGAGCTTGCAGTGAGCCGAGATCTCACCACTGCACTCCAGCCTGGGCGACAGAGCGAGACTCCATCTCAAAAATAAAAATAAATAAAAATAATAAATTATGTCATTTCTCAAGTTTTTTTTCCTGTAATGTCATTATGTCATAGCATAATATATATGTGCATTTATTCTCAATGAGCATGAATTTTAATCCTAGGTCTTAGAAATATATCTTTGTTGTACAAATGTAAATGTTTGTTTTAAATAATAGGTTAATAAAGTCAATAATTCATTTAGGGCCAGAACATGGAAGAAAATAAATTTGTAGCCAAAATGAAGTCACATTTAATGGCCACCCAGTGGGGGAAAGGAACATAAATCTCCCCAAAACACAGTGAATTGATGCCCAGGTGCTTGTTTGATGCATTGTAAGCAAAGCTGGCAAATGCCAGTGAAGCTTTTCTTAGAGGTTTCTAAGCCTTTGGAAGATGTTGCCAAAACTTGACTCAAGTCACTGGCAGGAAGAACAAGCTCTCGAAAACTACTTGTTGCCACTCCAAGGGCCATTTTAGGTTATTGGTGCTTATCCAGAAGATTCTCCTGAAGTGACCTTAAGGTACACGAAGCCCTATAGTGCCCTATTCTGAGCATTTGCACAACCTTCCCCTGTACAGGAAATGTCCCAGTGGCATTTTACAATGTGGAGGCAATGGCAGTGGCTGTGATGGTGTGTATGTGTGTGAACAGGGGCATTATGTGGGGGAATAATATAATTTGATTAGAATAACTGAGAAATTATCTGCCTTTGCTGGTACCTACCAGATAGAAGCTCTGAATCCAGAAGCCTCAGGTCTTTTCCTGTTGATTTATTTACCTCTTTCTGTGCTGAAACTTACCACACTTATAAAAAAAAAATCATTTTTTCTTGCATCTATTTGATTCTTCTTTCTTTTCTTCTTTATTAGTCTTGCTAGCGGTCTACCAATTTTGTTGATCTTTTCAAAAAACTAGCTCCTGGATTCATTGATTTTTCGAAGGGCTTTTTGTGTCTCTATTTCCTTCAGTTCTGCTCTGATCTTAGTTATTTCTTATCCTAAGCCAAAAGAACAAAGCTGGAGGCATCACACTACCTGACTTCAAACTATACTACAAGGCTACAGAAACCAAAACAGCATGGTACTGGTACCAAAACAGAGATATAGACCAATGGAACAGAACAGAGCCCTCAGAAATAATGCTGCATATCTACAACTATCTGATCTTTGACAAACCTGAGAAAAACAAGCAATGGGGAAAGGATCCTCTATTTAATAAATGGTGCTGGGAAAACTGGGTAGCCATATGTAGAAAGCTGAAACTGGATCCCTTCCGTATACCTTATACAAAAATTAAGATGGATTAAAGACTTACATGTTAGACCTAAAATCATAAAAACCCTAGAAGAAAACCCAGGCAATACCATTCAGGACATAGGCATGGACAAGGACTTCATGTCTAAAACACCAAAAGCAATGGCAACAAAAGCCAAAATTGACAAATGGGATCTAATTAAACTAAGGAGCTTCTGCACAGCAAAAGAAACCACCATCAGAGTGAACAGGCAACCTACAAAATGGGAGAAAATTTTTGCAACCTACTCATCTGACAAAGGGCTAATATTCAGAATCTACAATGAACTCAAACAAACTTACAAGAAAAAAACAACCCCATCAAAAAGTGGGCAAAAAATATGAACAGACACTTCTCAAAAGAAGACATTTATGCAGCCAAAAAACACATGAAAAAATGCTCATCATCACTGGCCATCAAAGAAATGCAAATCAAAACCACAATGAGATACCATCTCACACCAGTTAGAATGGCAATCATTAAAAAGTCAGGAAACAACAGGTGCTGGAGAGGATGTGGAGAAATAGGAACACTTTGACACTGTTGGTGGGACTGTAAACTAGTTCAACCATTGTGGAAGTCAGTGTGGCGATTCCTCAGGGATCTAGAACTAGAAATACCATTTGACCCAGCCATCCCATTACTGGGTATATACCCAAAGGATTATAAATCATGCTGCTATAAAGACACATGCACACATATGTTTATTGCGGCACTATTCACAATAGCAAAGACTTGGAACCAACCCAAATGTCCAACAATGATAGACTGGATTAAGAAAATGTGGCACATATACACCAAGGAATACTATGCAGCCATAAAAAATGATGAGTTCATGTCTTTGTAGGGACATGGATGAAGCTGGAAACCATCATTCTCAGCAAACTATCGCAAGCACAAAAAACCAAACACCGCATGTTCTCACTCACAGGTGGGAATTGAACAATGAGATCACATGGACACAGGAAGGGGAACATCACACTCTGGGGCCTGTTGTGGGGTGGGGGGAGGGGGGAGGGATAGCATTAGGAGATATACCTAATGCTAAATGATGAGTTAATGGGTGCAGCACACCAACAAGGCACATGTATACATATGTAACAAACCTGCATGTTGTGCACATGTACCCTAAAACTTGAAGTATAATAATAATAATAAAAAGAAAGTATAGGTAATTATAACAAAAAAAACATAAGCAACTTTTCACTAATATTGTTCAAAGGGCAATGTTAACTATGAAAAATTTATGAAGAAACAGAAGACATTTTAATTAAAATATGTAAAAAGAGGTGTAGGAAAAAAGAGCCAAACAATAAATGCTGCTAAAAATTCTAATTTGAATACTTTTGGACATGTACATTATTTTCATTTCCAATTCCAACATTTCTACCATGCATTGTTAAAATAAGATTCTCTCAGAGGGAGTCTCTCGTGGGCCCTAAGCCAGCTATCAGTTCAATTCACAACACAGTATCGTTCTTGTTCTCATCTACTTCATTTTTAGTTGTTCATTTCTGATTCGTACTGAGTTGCTTATGGGGGCTTCACTGCTGTTTATACTCATCATGTAAAGATCAGTTGCTGTTTTCATTGCTTTCAAACTCCTAATTTTCAAAACAGCTGAGCAATTCATGTCTTTCTGTGGAGTATGGGGAATGGCTTCCCTGCCTACTTTATTTGCCCCCTGTCCCCTAGGTCACACGTTTCATTTAGTATATACCTCTATGGAATTGATCCTTATCATGAAAGCAATACTTATGTTTATGATGAAATAACTCTATAATATATGAAAGCAAACAATGAAATTTCAATTATGCTAATAGGCCTCAAGTCATCTTTTGATTATTTTTTAATTTTAACTTTAGGTGCAATACATTGTATTATTCGTTATTACTAGTTCATGACATATTACTTTATTATTCTTCCTATAAACACTCATACACACACACAAACACATATGCTTTTATATAAAAACAACCCAAGTTTAAATTGTTTTCAAGCAGTTTGGCGACAATGTCCTCCTTGTCTTCTAACTCACTCCAATTATGTTTATGCTTAAGATTCTGTGATGCTTTTATGCTAAACCCAGAGTGTACATTGTCCCATATACATAACTCAAATATTCTAGGCCTTATAGCTTGTGACTGTAAGGAAGAGAGCACTTTCTTTTTACACTCAAAGTGTAATGGGATGCTTTCCCATTGGACGACTGCCTACAAGTAGCATCCTCAAAGTGTCTCCTGATAATTTATGAGATTCTCTCAGAGGGAGTCTGTCTTGGGCCCCAAGCCAGCTATCAGATGAATTCACAACAGTATCCTTTGAGTTCTTTTCTACTTCAATTTTTACTTGTTTACTTCTGATTTGTTCCGAGTTGCTTCTGGAAGCTTCACTGTTGTTTATATCCATCATGAGAATCAGTGTAAAGGTCAAAGTCATTGTTTTAATTGCTTTCAAACTTCTAGTTCTCAAGACACCTGAGCAATTCATGGTTCCATGTGGAATATGGCGAATGGCTTCCTTACCTACTTTATGCCCCACTCTGTCTCCTAGATACAAAGCAGCTTTACTTGTGCCCCAAACTTCAAGATATTTTCAGATCCCACCTCAATCTCTCTATCCATAGAAGTACTAAAACAATCCCAAATAATAGGTTGAGGATAGATACCATGGAATCCCCTGTGTCCTTCTCCTCCCTCTCCTGATGCCCTGACTCCAGCCAAAGTTCCCCTATCCTTTTCTACTTACAAAGTGAAAACTTCTGCTTGTCAATGGAATCAAATGGATACTAGTCATTGAGAACATAGGTGTTCTTTACATTAGTAATTCCTAGCAGTTAGTATGGTTTCTAGTTTCTAGTTACTCAAGTAGCCATTCATCTCCAGCTCAACTAGCTAACAAAACTCCCTCAATACAAAATATTTTCAAAGTATGATTTAGCAGTACAAAATCTTAAAAATAACTCTAGTTTGTCATTCCTAGAGAGAATGTAACATCCTGACAAGAAAGCCAGAAAGAACATACAGTTTCTGTATTTCTATGCAGGATTATACCTCAATAAGAGTCATAAGAGTAAGGTAAATAATGAGTACAATAAGTTTATATTTCTTATTACTCTAGGAATCTCTATGGCACTGCCCTGCTTCCTTTCTACTAGGTTGGAAAAGATGAATGAATGAAAAGATGCTGCTGCCTCAGAGCTTTATCTCCAACCCGAATGGCAGCTGGTTTGCATAATTTGAGGATCATGTTATTGGGCAAGTTACTATCTTTTGTGAATCACAGTGCTTATTCAGGACATGCCTCTGCAGGATTAGAGCAGAGCAGATATCCCAGCTCAGCCCCTACCCTCAAACTTCTCTTAAGATACCACATTTGAAACCTGGAAGCTTCTGGTTACATTAGAAGTATATCCAGCTCACAGGGGAAAGAGCAGTCATGGCTGGTTCTGGCAATTTAATATCAGAAAGTTGTAGATGGGCAAAGAATGGGATGTCTACTAAAGACCAGTGAATTCAAACTTGTTCATGAAGGTGTCTGCATTAGCTGAGCATTTCTTGTTGAATATTTACCTAGTGGATAACAATTACTATGTTGCTACTATATACCAGGTACTGTCCAAGGTAGGGACAAAGATGACTAAGGTAAAACAAAATCTGAAGTTACCAGTTTTAGAAATTTTGTGGCAACGGTATGGAAAGTGGAAAGAAAGAGTGTGGTGAGAGATACAGGGAGATCTAGTTGGCCATTGAAATATCCAAACAAGTCGTGATGAAGGTGGAGACAAAATGTAGAAGACTGAAGAGAATAGAGCTGAGAGATAATTCAAAGAAAGTGTTGACATAATCTATTAGGTATGATGAATAAGGGAGGTGGAGAAAATAAGATGGCTCCTAGGATTTTAATTTCCTAACTGAGTAGATGCTGGTGTCTTTTCTTGAAACAATGCTTTAGGAAGTAAAGTGGTTTTCTGTAATGATTGTGGTTAAGGCAATTAAAAAACATGGAATAGATCAATTGTAGGTATTGTGAGAACAAATAACTTGGTAATTGTGTATACGTGTGTGTGTGAATGTGAGTGGCAAAAATAGTGAATAATTTCCTGTTGTTTAGTGTCAATTTATGGACAAATTACCATTTGTCTAAAGCTCAGTAAGGTTTAGCTGCTCAAGGAATATTTTCCTAATGGTGTTAAACTGAAAGCAATGAGCAGTGAGTGGTGTGTGTCTACCAGGAAATAAGCCCCAAACCAGGTTAATAACATAATATGATATCTTGCTTGAGTGTACCTGTTACCCATAGGACTAGGCAGGTGCATCAAGAGATTGTACAGAGAGAAACAGATGTGTAGAGAGTGAGGCACATGTATATGGTCAAATTTTGTATATATCACAATGTATTAGTGAGATTGTTCTTTAATCCTAACGTCTATTCATATCTGAGTCCTAGAGGTCTAAGAAAAACTGAAAGAGTGTATCTACTATGCACTCTAGAGAGTACTGACAGCACGAGTGTCACTCAGAGCAAGAATGCAAGAAATTTATACACCTCAGCAGAGAAAACAGCTCTGGCCTGGATTGCTTTTGGCATTTGCTGGCTGAGCCAATAGCTTCCATATTAAGTAGCTCCAGAAGCTTTGGCAGCAGCAGAAAACCTCCACTGATGCAGGTGTCTTTTCTCTTGGGCTTGGAAAGAGACACCTTGGCACATGCTGGCAGCCTTCACCCACAGTGTGGGCAATGGCAAAATAATGTGGATAGGTATAAACAATAGTGTCACACCATTGCTGCTCATCACTGCAAGAAGCCTGAGCCGTGAGGGAAAAATGGCCAATACTGCATGATGACTGAGAAAAGATGGTTAATGAGCACATGTGATGTGCTTGCTTTCCTGATGATTCTTTTACATTGGGGTGAGGTTTGTGGCTTTATTTAGTGTGTGTGTGTGTGTGTGTGTGTGTGTGTGTGTGTGTATACATATATATAGAGAGAGAATATATATATATACTGTGTATGTGTGTGTATATATATACACTATGTATGTGTGTATATATATATTATATATATATATACTATGTGTGTGAGTGTGTGTGTGTATATATATATATATATATATATATATATATATATATATATATATATATAAGTTTTTACTATGACATTGCTAAGCACATGAGGCCACATAAAATTGTGAACATTTCGTACAGTCTTATTCTCTGGAAAGTATTTCACTAGTTTGTGATTGTAGCCTCAGAATAAAATGGAAACAATGCTTTTCACAAATTACATTACACATATCAGAATTGCTAACATTTCTTCTAATATCCCGAAGTAGCAGGATTTTACAACTATGTCATTTTCCTTCCTGTATACAATTAGGTGACACTACTATTATTTTTCTGTGCTGTCAAACCTCAGTTTTCTTGATTTCTGTGCACACCAAAACTATCAAAAGAATGTTATAATGCATGAGACACTTTTAGAAATGTCAATGGCCATAAATACTTTCAAAATGGTGAAAGTTTTTTTCACTGAGTACTCTTTGTCTAGGGAAAACAAAACCAAAACCAAACCAACCAACCAACCAAAGAAACAAAAACCCTACAAGGTCGGGTGTGGGGGCTCACGCCTGTAATCCCAACACATTGGGAGGCCCAGGTGAGTGGATTACTTGAGGCCAGAAGTTTGAGACCAGCATGCTCAACATGGTGAAATCCCCTCCCTACTAAAAATGCAAAAATTAGCCACATGGGGTGGCACATGCCTGTAATCCCAGCTGCTCAGGAGGCTGAGGCAGGAGAATCGCTTGAACCTGGAAGGCGGAGGTTGCAGTGAGCCGAGATCATGCCACTGCACTTCAGCCTAGGTGACAGAGTGAGACTCCGTCTGAAAAACAAAAACCAAACAAACCAAAACCCTACAAAAACAAAAACAAAACAAAACAAAAAATCCTAAGATAATTGTGCCCCAGTGAGGCATAAACAGTTTTGACTCCAAATGGGTCTCTTGCTTTGGTGAAGTTACACCAATATGACTTCTCATGGCCATTGATATGAAGAAACACCAGTGTCACAGATCAAGCCAGCAAACAGTTTTGAAAAGAATAGTGTTTACTGTTATGAATGAGATCAATTTCCTCCAAGCCAGGTTTTTAAATCATTTTCTTTTCAAGAAGTTTTGTCATAAATTCAAGTATAACAAAAAAAAAATTTTTAAGTCCCAAGAGGTTTGCCACCTTTTTAAGTGCTTGATTCAATTTTAAGTAGAAGTTTCACTTTTGAGAGAATGAGGAAGTTCATTCATAGAAGAACCTCACAGGGAGAAGTACACTCAATGGTTGGCTTACTTGGTAGATATTTTGGTCCAATGAATAAGGCATTATCTTCTGATTTAAGGTCCTGCCATTTGCCTGCAAATGCTTTTGTAAACAAGGAGTTCTTTTGGCCCTTTTTATTCTGCTAGAGGAGGATAGGAGCTGTGGAACATACACACTTTTCAATTTCAGAAGTTCTTCTAGAATCCGGAGTTGAGAGTGACAGTTTTGTCATTTTATCCATTGGCAGAAATATTTGGATATATCAAAGTACTGAAAAAACGTGTTTGGAAGTTACCACTGCTCTGATGACCTTAACTTTGAAATATGGATTTATTTTATTTTCAAGCTGAAATAGACAGGATCAGTGATGCAGTACTTGCCAAGGATGACCTTACTGACTGGGGAAAATGATGTGAGTAGAATTTATCAGAAGGGTCCTGGAGAATGCGTTGTGTTTGTTTTTTTTTTTTTCACACAATTCTATCTTTGAGGGGCAAAGAGGGTAATGCTAATTTTAATTCTGTATAATATGACAATGTCATCTTATTCAGGGAGCTAGATTTTTCACTATTTCTTGCTGCCAAGCAACAGCAAAATCAGAAATCCAGTGAGCATCCAAGATACATTCTCTGTGCCATGTCAAAGAAAACTAAAATTTTTTAATCAGCTTCTTTGAGATTTCATATTGAGGAGAATTATTTTTCTTTTTGTTTCCACAATGCAATTTCTTTCCATTTTATTTCAGAAAGTGGTCATCAGTTTTTGCCTGAAAAATGAGAAGAATTATTGAATCATAAAGTAAAAAAAATTGCTTAAGTGAAAAAGTCAGTTTATAATGAAATAAAATATATGCATAAATATATGTATATGTGCTCATATTCATATTGTTGATTAAGGGGCTCTGGCTTTCATAAATTTTACAAACAAATCTAGTGACCTTTGCAACAATGAAAACAAAAAACCCCACTCTACTAAACTAGATCCCTAAAAAATTTCCAGCTTTAATATCCCATGATTCTGTTTCATAATATAGAATTAAAACCAGACTTCAGGGATCTAGAACTAGAAATACCATTTGACCCAGCCATCCCATTACTGGGTATATATCCAAAGGACTATAAATCATGCTGCTGTAAAGACACATGCACACGTATGTTTATTGCGGCATTATTCACAATAGCAAAGACTTGGAACCAACCCAAATGTCCAACAATGATAGACTGGATTAAGAAAATGTGGCACATATACACCATGGAATACTATGCAGCCATAAAAAATGATGAGTTCATGTCCTTTGTAGGGACATGGATGAAATTGGAAATCATCATTCTCAGTAAACTATCGGAAGAACAAAAAACGACACCGCATATTCTCACTCACAGGTGAGAATTGAACAATGAGAACACATGGACAGAGGAAGGGGAACATCACACTCTGGGGACTGTTGTGGGGTTGGGGGAGGGGGGAGGGATAGCATTGGGACATATACCTAATGCTAGGTGACGAGTTAGTGGGTGCAGCACACCAGCATGGCACGTGTATACATATGTAACTAACCTGCACATTGTGCACATGTACCCTAAAACTTAAAGTATAATAATAATAATAATAATAATAATAATAAAGAAAAAAAGAGAAAAAAATAAATTAAATAAAATAAAATAAAACCAGACTTCAATCAGAACTTAATCTGTGTTTGGTCTAACACACACACACACACACACACACACACACACAAAATAAGCATTGTATCAGTTTGCTAGAGCTGCCATGACAAAATACCACAGACTACAACAGAAATTTCTCACAGTTTTGGAGGCTAGAAGTCCAAGATCAAGGTCTTGGAAGGTTTGATTTTATTCTGAGGACCCTCTCAATGGTTTGCAGATGGTCACCTTCTTGCTGTGTCCTCATGTGGCCTCTTTTTCTGCGTATCCACACTCCTGGTGTCTCTGTGTGTGTGAATTTCTTCTTCTATAAGGAGGAAATTAGACTGGATTAAGGCCCATTCTAAGGACCATATTTTAACTTAATCACCTGTTTGAAGAACCTTATCTCCAAATATAGTCACATTTTGAGATACTGAAGGGTTAGGACTTCAACATATAAATTTCAGGAGGATGTGATTCAGCCCATAACAAGTATCCTCTCAGTGCAAGGTGAGGATGGCTTTGGTGAAGTCTTCAATCATGGACTTTCTTGGATAGGAAAGAAGAAAGTTTATGCATGATATTAATAAGAATGCCAGAGATGTAAGATGAGGTCAAGAAAGTTACAGAAGTATACAAATTAAAAACTTTCAAGCAGGAGGATTTAATTCTCCATGTAGAATGATGAGAAGTCAGGTAAGCTAAGTGTAGCAGTTGTCTACTATCTGACAAATGTCATAATAAAAATAACACATCTTAAAAAAAGTTTTCAGAACAACCCAGTTTTCTATTTATTTGTCTAATATTATGGAGGGAATTTATCACCACACCGAAATTTCTGAACTTCTTGTCTACTTCTTCTCTCAGTATATCTGCCCTTTTTTGAAACATCTTCTCAAATTTCCTTCACCATCTGTAGCTCTTTGCCTTTCATCTTACACTCTGCCTCTTTCTCCGTGACCCTACATCGTAAAATCTAGAACTCTCTTCAAAGGAAAAGTAAGAGAAACGAAGAGGTCAAAACCAAAAACCTTTGGTTGGGGAGGGAGAATGCCTGATAATACCTACAAGTTAATTATTTTTCATTTGTCACATGAATAACCTGCATTTTGGAAAATTGAAGATTGTTACTATTGTTACTGATCTTCCCAAAAATGGCTTCAGTGAATGGGATTAGAGGCTTCATTAGAATGGGAAGGGTCATGCTGGAACTGAGGCATTGAAAAAGAATAACAATTATTCTTTCCAGATGATAACTCCTAAGGAACTCCTGGATAGAGAAATTGCCAGAGGGAAGCTAGAGGGACATGCAGGGTACAAGTTTTTATGCTTAGAAAGATTTGAGTAGATTTGCATTCTGAAGAAAAGAGTCTATTGAAAAGGAGATGATGGTCATTTGGGCAGGAAAGGGAAGACTTGATGGATTATTATCCCTGAGAAGGAGATGAGATAAAATTTAGCTAATCTGAGAAGGTCTGAAAGGAAGATAATTTTTTTTATAGCAGGAGTGAAAGTTTATCAAAAAGTTTTAGAGCAGGAACAAAAGAAAATATACTTGAAAGAGGGACAAGTGGGCCACTTGATTCACATGTGTGGTTTGAACTTTGACTCAGGGTTTTATATGTTGGCTTGCTTCTGGGGGTTGCATCCCTTCTCCCCTGATTCTTCCCTTGGTGTGGGCTGTCCACATGCACAGTGGCCTGACAGCACTTTGCAGGGGCTGCATGTTCAGTGTGCTTACTGAAGTTGTGCACATGCTCACTTGAGGCATTTTTCCTTTACCAGTTGAGTGTTCCTAAAGGAAGGTCATACACCAGTTAAACTCCATGACTTTGCCTCCACTCACCCAACTTCTGACTTTTAGTGGGAAGGTGCTGATCACCAGTTTCAGAAAACCAAACACTGCATGTTCTCACTCATAAGTGGTAGTTGAACAATGAGAACACATGAACATATATTTTTAGGAAGCAAATTGAGGCACTTAACTCCTGGCAGACTGTATTTTTCAGGGAAGTAGGAAGAAACGTTCCTTCCAGCAGGAGGAAGACTAGAAATCTTGGGAAGACTAGTGAATATTTGGAATATATGGGGAGACCAATAGGAGAGGAAATCAAAGTTTTGACTCTAAATAATTTTAGTTTTGAAAGTAGAAAATAAAATGAATCCAGTCATCTTAGGGCAAGAGTTGCTTTTCTAGTCCTGTAAGTAGCTGAAAATGATACTCAAGTAAGAAATACGAAGATGAACTACATTTTCATTATGAAGATCTATTTGTCATGTATAAGTCCTTGAATTAAACTGTTTCAACATGAAAAGCAAGGAGGTATCTTAAGGCTCAGCAGATTTTGTCTCCCCTTTTCCTTTGTTAAAAACTACCAAATGTAGTAATGTTAGTTGCCATAACAATTGTGAGAACTTCTCATTTCCTTCAAGTGTAGGCAAATGGAGGGTGTCTGCTGTATTTTATTTTTATGGCCCTACTTTCAGGCAGTGTCAGCTGTTTTTAGATTGACAATAAAAATCCTTATTGCTGGGAGAATTATATTCCTTAAGTTTCTTTTCTCAGCTTTTCCATTTTCCTTTGTAGAACTGTTAGAGAGTTGGAACAACTCCACTGAAGCTTAAGCATCCAGTGTCATCAGTGGAGAGTGGGACACAGACTGCAGATGCAGACAAATTGTTGTTTGTTTCTATTGATTTCCCAGTGTTGCAAGAAATATGGCCATAGAGTTGTTTGTTTTTATAACTACTTCTTATATCATAGTAATGTTATTCTGTAAAATTCTCAAGCATACGGTTATATTTTTAACATAATTTCTCTATCTTTTGGCATAAAGAATAGCATCAGAAATGTGCATAAGTCTTTACCCACTTTTAGACATTTTGGAATCTTAAGCAGACCACTTAATTATCAGTGTGTGACATCATTCTTCCATCAGTTGTTCCATTCCTCAGCACCTGCTTATTGAATGCCCACACGTATGCCAGGTCTTATGCTGAGGTTTTGGAGATGTAGAGATGAATGCATAAATCCAGTTCCTATTTTAAAATTTAGCCTCCATTTCCTCCCCAGGATAGTCATGTATAATGGTATATATGTACTCAGATTTAATATTACAGTTAGCTTAGGAAAACAAATCAAAAGTGTCTTCTATGCATCCTCAAAGATCCACTTGGGGAAGCAAATCAGAGGGTCTTCTATGTACACCAAACATTGCACGCCATGAGAAAGATGCTGTTCTTGACACATCACATACATTAATCCCTTCATAAACACTACGAAGTAGGCATTACCAGTCTCATTTCACAAATGAGTTAAGTTACCCAAAGTAATTCCCCAGTGGTAAAGAGAGATTTCACCCCCAAAACGCTGACTTGAAACACTGTGCCCTTTACTGCTTCTTTGTGTGTTACTTTGGCATATTAAAAAGATAAAATTACAGAATTTAAGATTTACAGATAACAGAAGAGTGGTTCTCAACTGGGGGAGATTTTGCCCTCCATGGGACATTTGACAGTGTTTGAAGACATTCTAGCTCATCACTACTGAAGGGGTTGAGGCTCCTGTGCACTGCTAAACACCCTACAGTGCACAGGAGCCACTTCAGCAAAGAATGATATGGTTCAAAATGTAAATAGTGTCATGGTTAAAAAATTCTGCCTGAGAGAGTACAACTTGGGGACTAGGCCTCAGAGAGACACGATTACCTCCCCAAGTCACCAAATCATGTTGATGTCTCCTGATTCCCAGTCCAGCTCCTCCTTCTCTCTCTATTGCTGGTTTTGTGCACCATAATGCACGTCAAAGTTACTGGGTCCTGAGTTCCTGGCAAGTGTTTTTTGAGTGTTGCACTTCATTTAAAATAGGAAGAGGGCCAGGCTAGTCATCAGTGGAATCTGAACCCTTTCACCCGTGATTCTCTCTTCTTCTGCTACTCCTTCCTGGTCATCTGCAATTTTCTCTTCTCATAAATGCCTTCTTGTAGCCTTTAGCTGTTCAGTGCCTTATATGTATGCCCTTCTTTCTCTGTAGTGTCTCCAATTCAAAATTACCTTTTCTTTCCTCAGTACCTTTCATCAAAATTCTCTTAGTGAAGTTTAGCTAAATATCAGAAAGGAATGTGCAGAGTTTGTGCTCAAAAGCAGGCTGGCGAGTCCCGCCGAGCTTGGAGCCCATCTCTGCCTATTAACCTATGTCAACATGTGTCGACGAAAAGAGTTGAACTCTGTAAAATATTTGAAGAGATTTATTCTGAGCCAAATATGAGTGACCATGGCCCATGACACAGTCCTCAAGAGGTCCAGAGAACATGTCCCAAGGTGACCAGAACGCAGCTTGATTTTATACATTTTAGAGAGGCATGAGACATCAATCAAATACATTGAAGAAACATATTGGTTTGGTTTAGAAAGGCAGGAAAACTTGAAGTGGGGTCTTCCAGGCTATAGGTGAATTTAAACATTTTTCTGGTTGACAATTGGTTGAGTTTGTTTGAAGACCTGGGATCAATAAAAGGAGAATGTTCAGGTTAAGATAAAAGACTGTGGAGGCCAAAGTTTTTTGAAGTTTTCTAGTGGCTGCCCTTAGAGAACAATAGATGACAAGTATTTCTTATACAGATCTTAGTTAATCTCTTTAGGATTGGGAGGGTCTGGAAGAAAGACTTCTATGTTAATAGAGATTGTTTAAAGATGCAAATTTTACCCCACAAAGAACAGAGGGGTCATTGCAGGGCCATTTCAAATATTTCAAAATATGGCAAAGAAACATGTTTTGGGGTAAAATATTTTGATTTTCTTCCTTGTCTCATAATGTTATGCCAGAGTCAGGTTGGAAAGTAAGTTATGACACACAGGGTTAAATAAAACCCATCTGATATGAATTTATTATTTGTATGGCATGACTCCCCAGACCCTTCAGATAGGAAATAGGAATTTGGGCAAGATAAAAATCAGAGTTTAGTCCTCACATGTTTTGTAACCTCTCCATATACCACCCACTTAATCTATCCTAGAATTTTATTTCAACTTAATGATTATTTGAATTTGTATGGTGGAAACGCTGGGAGGTGGGAGCCTCCCTGTTTTCTCATGAATTATACTATGTGGTGATTTCATTCATAGATAATGTTTGCTTTGACAGTAAGCACTGGTTGCCTTGTTAGTCCTTTCCCATCCAGGGGAGTAACTACTCTCTGCTTTTCCTCACCAGGAACTGAATCTTCAGTCACCTTGATTTTGGACTTCCCAGCCTCCAGGACTGTGAGAAATAAATATCTGTTGCTTAAGCAACTCAGTCTATGGTATTTTGTTATAACATCTCATGCTGATTCATACATGATCCAAGAGGCTCACTCACTTCAAGGAATATCTAGAAAAATTGGGAGTCCATGTTGCAGGAGTTCTCTAGTTTCCAGATTTCTTGAAGGACTGTTAAGTCTTACCTATTTTAATGGATAAACAACAAATGATTTCTTTTTCTCAACCTATTTGGTCTTTTTCTTCCTGAGATCACCATTAGCCTGATTCTCTGCTTCCCTAGGCTTAATATCCAACTGAAGCACAACCCTGGCAGGAAAAAAAAAAAAAAAAAAAAGAACCTCTGGTATTGGTACCACTGTCACTGAGCCCACTAGATCAGAGTTAAATCCTGTGACATCTGGGCAAGATTAGAGTAACTGGGCTATCAAAAAGAAAAGCTGAGAAGACACTCAGCTTTTAACACTCCTCTTGCCCCAATTATGCCTAAATATCAGGCAGTATTACTCATGTTTTATTTTAGTTTTAATTAAATTTGTTTTATTTAATTGTAAGTCTCAACTCATTAATATAGGTGATTGTCATATTATTTTGCTTCATGCCATGATCATCTGACTTCTTACAGGTAAAAGTCTTGGAGGGAATATGACATTAATATACTACTTTCTTTTAGAATTCAGTGTCTGCATTTGGAACTCAGACAACAAGTCAGATCATTTGTGTTCTGTAATGCAGATATGGAGGTAGAGACAGTTTTAAGTTAAGAAGGGACTGTCTACAAAAGGAAAGAGTGCCACCAATAAACAATATTTATTTGGCGTCTGAAGCAGGAACTTAGCAGCCTGCTAAGACATGCTAAATTCCTGCTTCAGATGCCAAATATATTTATAATTGAATAAAATTCATAACTGGTAGACATAAAGCTTTCTATACTCCTTTTAATGCTAAAATACTTCAATTACAATTTAACAAGGTGCTATATTTTGTTGAGAGCTTAAGCAAATTAATTTTGGGCATCAGTTTCCTCATCTTTAAAATGGACCAGATGAAACAAAGATCTCTTCCAGGAATGAATTATAAATTCTGGTGTTCTATGATCTTTTCTTTTTGTTGAAAACACACAACGTATTACATTATTTGAGGTTCCTTTGCTGACATTTTGCTCTATGGGGTTTTGCAAACATAATAGGTACAAAGATTGAACTCTCTAATCATCATACAAAAATGCAAAGTTGGATTAGTAAAGATCTTTGGGATTTATGTCATGGTTATTTTACTCTGTTTTTCAACTGGTTTTTCTTAGCTGTTCTTTAAATGGAAGAGCGTTACCAGCTCAGTGTAATCCTGCATATAAATGGGAGACAAACCCAATCCTTTCTTTCATCACTTGGATACTGGTTGTGACAGCAACGGTAACGTTTGCTTTACTACTAGTTCTGTTGCTAACTAATGTGAGACTTAGAGTGAGTCATTTCATATCTCTGCTTCTTGATTCCATGCACTGAATATACAATCTCTGGTTTCTTTTTTTTTTTTTTTTTAGTTTATCTGTTTAGAAAGGTAAATATATGCTCACTGTAGAAAATGCAAGTGATACTAAAAGATATAATGAAGAAAGAAAAATAAAGCAAAATGTTACCACCCAGGGACCACACACACACACACACACACATACACACACATTTACAAACACTGCTGCAGGCAATAGCATGAATAAGGATGTATATATCTTTACATCCTTATTCCAATCTCTACTTTGAATAAACTTCTAGGGACCAAATTGCTGGGTCAAAGTATACTTCTCTGACTCAAGATGTCATGTTTTCCACAATGGTGTTAATATTTTGCATACCACCAACTAGCTGTTTCCTCACATCCTTCACCACACTAAATACTGGCAATATTTGTACCTTTGTGGAACTGATTCTGAAATCATATCTCACCATTACTGGTTATTGCACATATTTGATGTTATAAGATAATATTTTGAAAGATAATATATTTATGACATTGTTATTTCTAATTTCTGCTGATAACAAGATTAAGCTTACATTGTCGTGGTTGGGATAGAATTGTTTTTGTGGGTTTTTTTTGTTTTTTTTTTTTGTGGATTCCTTTCAAAGGCATATGTCCTAGCAGTTTCATCCTTTCCAAGGATTCAAAAATGCATTTGCTTCCTTCTGTCTATGGCATACAAGTTCAAGATCTTTTCCAAAATGCATTTTCACATTGCCTCGTGGTGTCATAGCACCACATGATCAGGTTGTGTTCCTGTAGAGATAATGTCACACAATCTGTACCCTGATCTGTGGAAAAACCAGATATAGCTTGTTTAAGTACATTTTTTTATTTGTTAGCCTATAAAAGCATAAAAAAAGCTCATTTCAGCTTTAACAATATCTAATTAGTGACATTCCCTTTACCAAAGTTTCTATCCTTTTTATTGGCTCTAGTCAAACTATTTTATACGTCCTGCAGAATGTCTCATCTTTTTTATTTCTTTTAAACTTCATTATCTTTTTGATGACACAGTAATTTTCTTTCCATCTTTTATCTCCCTTTAGCTGACATCTTCACTTTGTCTTTCTTTACAACTATGCTAGCTCTTATCCATTTGTTTTTGTAACTTTTAATGGAAAATTCAATTTCTATGAAGTAAATGCTAGTATCTTTAGAAGTACTTAATTAAGTTCTCAAAAGGTTAGGTGAGCAGATTAAACAAAAAATATAAAAATGTGGCAAGACAGCTTCCTCATGGGACTCTGCCAGAGAGGGTTTGGGGTGAAGAGTGACAAACTGTATTAAACTGATATACTATTTTTCATTAATGTCTTCCCAAGAAAGATTCAGGGAATCTGTTATATGCTCTTTACACTTAAGATTCTGAAATATCTATGTATACTGAAGTATGAGCAGGCAATATAAGTAATCAGAAAAAATAAATATTGAAAATTGATAGAATTCAGAACTCATGATACTGTATTGGTTTTATGAACAATAACTAAGCAACTTTAAAACTATTTTTTTCAGAATTTTGAGCCCTATCAAGGATATATTTGATCTGTATAGTTATTCATATTCTGTAAGCACCTTGCTATTGTGGAAAACATACTGAATTGGGAGCTAGGAAAATACTATAAGTCATCCCTCATCTGATCTCTCATCTGTATTATTGCTTCCAGATCTGTAGTTCTATGATAGTCATCTTTCCCCTGTTTGTCTCTTCTGTTTTTTGCTCATCAGAGTTGTACCCTTTTGATAAGAGAAGACAATCACACTCAGTTACATTTGCAAATATAATTATATTTCTCCCAGAAAAACACAATTTTTATTAAATTTAAACCAAAAGAGAATAGAAAGGAGAGGAGGAATAGGTGCAGGATTTCCTTTGTGCTGGCACAATTTAATATATTCTGGAAGCGACCTTTTGAAATAGATAGTCACCTAACTAAATTAAGTGGGAATAGAGAAGCATCATTGAAAGCAGAAGAAATTTGAAACTAAGTGGGGGAAAGTTTACTGAGCATATCAGCACCAATGATGAAATGCGGGAAAGGGAGTATAGCATGGTCTTAAGAATTTGGGTCCTGAAATTGCAAAGACCTTGTTTTGAAACATGGCTCTGTCATTTACCAGTCGAGTGTCCCTCTCTAAGCCCCAACATCCTAACCTGTAAAATGCAGACAATAACAGTACTTGTCTCATAAGGTTTTTGTGAAAATAAAATGCAATAGCACATGTAAAGTCCTTAGCATGGTGACTGATACTACTAATAACAAACATTCATTCATTAATCACTAGGTGACAGTCACTTTTCTAAGGGCTTTCTGTGTATTAACTCAGTAAATGTTTAATTCATGTTAGCCTTTTTATCCTTACACTTGTTATTGGGAAGTAACAAATTTATCGTAGGGGCTCCCAAGCTTCCATCTATCTATCTATCTATCTATCTATCTATCTATCTATCTATCTATCTATCTACACATATGCTTGCATAAAATGTATATGTGTAGATCTATATCTGCATGTATCTTTGTAGAAAATTAAAAACGAGGATGACATAAAATAAAATAATGCAATGGGTTTTGGTTCTCTATTGTGTTCATTTTCATATTTGAATATCTTTTTATAATATTTAACATTTATATAATGAAATAGACCTGAAACAAGAATCTTTCCATGTTCCTGTATGCCTACAGTTTTTACTATCTTAGCAAGTGCTCTTTTGTTGTCTGTTAGGCGAAGGTCATATTTCAAAATTTTATTTTCAAACCAAGACATAGAACTGCCCTTTAAAGGAAATCTAATGATTATACAAGTAATTAAATATACTCATTATTTTTATATTATCTCATTGAATTATACTACCTCTATGAGCTAAGTATTATTAATCATATTTATAAGAGGGAAAAACTGAGGCATAGATATCACACATAATTTGCCACAATATGAGATGAGCAAGTGATAAAGTCAGGACTTGAAGACAGAATTTTAAAGTTTAAATCTCATTATTGTTTCATTATTAGTGCTTCACCAAAATATCCTCAGAGCAGAGAACACTGCACCCTGGAATTCCAGAAGCATGGTCTGAAGAAGTAAATTACAGACAAATATGTTCTAGAGTCACTTGTATATCTTCAAATCATGTAAAATTTTCATTCTATTCATATTATTTCCATGCTAATTTTAAATAAAACCAATTATTCTTCTTATTTATTGTTGAGGCTTCACTACGTCGCACACTCCCATTCATATGATAAAGTCTAACCCACAGGACCTCAGAATGTGACTGTATTTGGATATAAGATCTTTAAGGAGGCAATTAAATTTAGATGAGGTCCCTGAGGTGGACCCTAATTCAGTATCAGTGGTCTCATTATAAGAAGAGGAGCTAGGGCCGGTTGTGGTGGCTCACGCCTGTAATCCCCACACTTTGGGAGGCTGAGGCAAGCAGATCACTTGAGGTCAGGAGTTTGAGGCCAGCCTGGCCAACATAGTGAAACCCCATCTCTACTAAAAATACAAAAATTAGCCAGGATGGTGCTAGGTGCCTATAATCCCAGCTACTCGGGAGGCTGAGGCAGGAGAATCTCTCGAACCTGGGAGGCAGAGGTTGCAGTGAGCTGAGATTGTGCCACTGCACTCTAGCACTCTAGCCTGGGCAATAGAGTGAGACTCAGTCTCAAAAAAAAAGAAAAAAAAGGAGCCAGTACACAGATAGGTATACAGAGGAAAGACCATGTGAAGATACTGGAAAAAGGCCACTATCTCCAAGCCAAGGAAAGAGGCTCTCAGAAGAAACTAACCCTGTCAACATCTTGATCTAGGACTTTCAGCCCTAGAAATGAGAGTAAATGAATTTCTGTTGTTTAAACCACCTGGTCTGTGGTACTTTGTTATGGTAGCCCTAGTAAACAAATATGCTTACCATTTGGTAAAAATGATACTCCAGAAGGATGTGGTACACTTATCATACCTTCATTTATCCTCAGTTATACCACCATAGTCTCCTAGGAGACAGAGAAAGAAATAAGCATACCTTGTTGCCTTCCTTGGAAAAAAGACTCAGTGTGGAAACAAAAAGATAACAATATTTTGAGGCACTATTCAAAATGCACGTTAGGTTAACTATCTATACTAACTCGCCATTGATAGTAATAAATTTTTGGTTTAGAAATTAAGACTATCATTATCAGAATTCTGTATTTATTCTTAAGCAGATGCCTTGATTCCTGTTTAAGGCTCAAGAGCGTGTACCAAGTATTGCTGTCAGCCTCTTAGGAGTAGACTGAAGCCAAGAAACCTAGGTGATAAGGAGAACAATGCAACATCCCTTGTGGTGAAAGGAGCCTTTGTTCATTTAAGATAAAAACCATGCAAACATCTGTGTACTTATTTTCCTTACCAGTAAACAGTCAGAACAGAATACTTCATTTAATAACTAAATTCTTATTTTTTTTCTGGGCTAAATGCAATGACCATATGTGTTGGCCACATCTGTACCCTGAGTATAGTGGAGACATACAAAAATAAATCTAGTAAATGGAAAGATGAGAATAAAAATATAGCCTGAATTAAAATAGTGTTCCGTGTTATTAAAGTGAGTAAATGTTAGTGCAACAAATATGAGATATGTCATTTGTACATTTTTAGCAAGCATTCACAGACCTAAGACATAAATTGATCAGCACCTCTCCATAATGGACTGAAAGATCTAACTTTCCTGCAGACTTGGGAAATTATTCAGAATATAAATATAACAATTTATTTATTGACTTTGCATCCCAGGAAATATCAAGAAGAATTGTCTGATATAAATGTAGACCTTGGCCTTGCTAAAATCAATATTTATCTCTTGGGTCAATCAATTTATTGACGTTCACCTCAAAGAGAAGTCAGTATGTGTGTAATATCACTGTGGACAAAATTTCAACATAGAAATGTTATAATGCTGAATTTAGTTTTGTTTCCCTGAAAACTTGTTTGTCCTGTCTGATTTTATATGGTCCTATCAGGTTCAAAATAAGAGAGTTTAAATATATTAAATATTTTAGACTATTGTTTCTCATATCACTTAGCAAAAGCAAAAATTATTGCCTTAATGTTGTTTAAAATTGAGTAAGTCCAAAGCAACTCTTACCAGTTTAATTTCTTATAGTGAAATTTTCATCAGATGCATAGAAATCATTTAAAGCTATGAATTGTAATTACAAATTTCCCAAAGAAACAATGTCATAATTTTAAAATAAGTAAGGGCAAAGAACTATGGTGAGTAGAGGTAAAAACTTCTAAAATTATTTTATATGGCAATCATCAACTGGTTAATTGTGGTAATGTAGAAAAGCACACATCACATATGAACACAGAATTCAAGCTAATGTCACAAGCTAACGAAAAGCAGCAAATTTGCTGTCCATCTACTTGACATATATGTTATTTGAGCTAATCATTTCTACTTTGCAGCTGATGTCTACCTTCATTACAGAAACTTATGCCTGTCTTTAAATATATTTGATTTATTTTCCCAGTACACTGAATTCATGTGTATTTTTCTTTTTACAGTAGCAAACCAAATATATTGAATATTTTTATGTACTCTCCTTGCAACTAATATATATCTTGCTTAAACTATATATGGCAATCATACATAAATAATCACACATGGTTGATGAATTGCCTGCTTACTTTTCTTTGCTGTGGATAATTCAAATGTTAGCTGTAACATACCTACCAAAACTTTCCATCCCACTCTTTTCTATGAAATTATATTAATTGTCAGGAACAATCAAAATAAAAAGGTTTGTAAAGGCAAATTCACTCTCAAGAGATTTTATATAGACAGAATATGATATATATTACCTAGGCCTACAGGTGAGGCCAATGGATTTGGCATTTACTTTCATATTTCAAGCCATAGGGCAGGAATACATTCACCAAGTTGATTCAGATCCTAAAGTTCTTCTTCTATGCTCTAATCTGTAAGACTGAAACATGGCTATTTCTTTCCTCCTTCTACTTCTTGTCTCTTGGCAATGTGATTGAAGTACAAGGAAATCAACCCTCTTGACTTAACTATGTGACTCACATCCTACTTACTTACTGATTTTGACCACTAGCTTAGCCCAAACTTCCTTCCTTTTATTTTCTGTGGTTCACTTAAATCCTGAAACTTGAGTGATTTAATATTCATGTTTTCACTGGGCTTGTGGACTAATTATATAATAAGTAACCTTCCCAAAATATATTGGCATAGAGAGCTAAAATCCTTTTCCTGACACTTCAGACATTACAATAGTATCTACATGACAGATATTGTGCAAATTAACTACAATTGTCCTTTTCCTTCTCATTGAGTCTTTTTTTTTCCCCTTACATTTATATATTTGCCTAATGTAGCTTCAGATTGTTTCTTCCACAAAAACTACTTTTATTACATCTGGTTAAAACATGTAATACTAATTTAAAGGGCTATGTTAATTTTTTGTTAACTTTTTAAATGGAACTTACTATGTTTTAGTTGGTTAGTTTGTTTTATCATAGAAATAATCTTAAGCTCTGAGCAAAGATTTTTCTGCTTTTAGTTACAGAAATTCTGATAGGAGTATAATGTAAGGTAATACACTTAAAATATTAACTGGTTAAAATAAATTTTGGATTAAAGTTTTTGGAAAATCAGGTAATATTTATGCTTTCAAAATTTAAGAGTTTTATATCTATACTTAGCCATCAGTTCTTCAGAGTCCTTCCCTTGCCCTCACATTGGAATCTTTATTTGTATTATTCCCTTTTCTTGTTCCATGCTATTTTCTTCAATGAACTTATCACAATTTGTAATCCTATATTTATTTATATTTTCATTTGTTCAATAAAGAATTGTCTTCTGGGCCTGTGCGGTGGCTCACGCTTGTAATCTCAGCACTTTGGGAGGCCGCAGTGGGCAGATCAACCCAAGGAGGTCAGGGGTTTGAGACCAGCGTGGCCAACATGGCAAAACCCCGTCTCTACTAAAAATACAAAAATTAGCAGTGTGTGGTGGTGCCTGCCTGTAGTCCCAGCTACTTGGGAGGCTGAGACAGGAGAATTGCTTGAACCGGGGAGGCAGAGGTTGCAGTGAGCCAAGATTGAGCCACTGCACTCCAGCCTGGGACAGAGTGAGATCCATTTAAAAAAAAAAAAAAAAGTCTTCTTAACTAGTTTACAAACTTGAAGAGCTCAGGAATCATATAGACTTTATTCATCAATGTAAATGCTGGGCATAGGAGAGTATTACAGTATCTGACACAATAAATGTTTGTTAAAGGAATTAAATAAGAATGATAGTGAAGTAACAGAAATGAGGTAAAAAAGAGAGAAGGAGAAGGAAATGAAGAGGAGGAGGAGAGGAGAGGAGCAAGGAGGTGGCATTGAGGAAGGGAAAGGAGGAGGAGGAGAAAAAGGAAGAAAGGAAGGAGGGAAGGAGGAGAAAGAAGAGGAGGAGATGGAAAAGGAGGAGGACAGCTAGAGGAGAGCATGGTAATTTTTATGAACTGTATATGCACTAGCTATTTAATCCTCACAACAGAACTATCAGATAGTTTCCACTGAAGAAAAGGTTAGCATAAAAGGTTAGTAACTTGCTTATGGTGACATCCCAAATGGCAGAGCTGGATCTTGAATTCAGGCATAATGACCTCAATTTGGCCAGTTGTGCCCTATTCTGAATGGAAAGACTATGAAATATTTCCCAAGCTGTTTGTGACACTCATTGCATCTTTTCCCAAGGCAGCTACGGTGTAAAATTAGGTTTACATGAAAGCTGTAGTATAATGTTGTATAGTTCAATAAGCCATGTGTAGAAGCTGAATTTTTCAGGCACTAAACAGATTTACTTTATTCTTTTAATACAAATATATTTCTTAAGAAAACCCAATTGCAGTGGCAGCAATTGTTCTTCTTGGGGTTTATCTGTAACTCCAAGTCTGTGAGTTATACCCTTACCTGTCCAGCTATGTCAGATATAATTCTATCCGAAGTTTTCTGAAGTTTTGAAATTTTTATGTGAACCACTAATAGGATATAGAATCATTAAATCCATATATTACCTTAAGCCAAAGTGTTGGTCTGTGCTTTGGAAGTAAAGAAACAAGTCAACATACTACTCTTAACTTCCCTCCCTTCTAATAAATTGATTTGTGTCTTGACTTCCACCCAATTTGTCCTGTCTTTGAAGAAAAAGTGCTCCTGGTTTCCAAAGCTAGTCATTCTATCCTTAATTGAATTCATTCTTATTATTGATTGCATTCATTATTATTCTCAGTTTCATAATTGTAGTCCCATAATTTATTACTCAATTAATATCTTTCTTTATATTCACCAGATTTTCTGAAGTCAACAAACACTCATATTTCAAATGTAAACAAATAAAACCAAACTCTTTTACCAGGCCCTGCTTCCCTCACCTCATGTCTTTTCTTAAGTTTACTAAATATTTTGAAAGACTATTTTACATTGCTATCTCTATTTCTTTACCATCCATCTATATGTTTCTTTATGGCTTCTGTCTCCTACACTTTATTGAAACTACCAAATCAGAGGTCATCAGTAATGTATTTTTTGCCATTTCTAGTCATTCCTAGTCCTCATCTTCCCCAAATTTTCTGCTGTATTCGACCGTTATTGGACACTCTTCATTCTTTAACCTTTCTGTGCCATTGATTCTCTGACATTGTTCTTTAGTTAGCTTTATCTTATTTCTTTAACTAAGGCTATATTTTGCTACTCTTGCTTTTAATGTGGATCCTTGTCAATTTCACCATTGAGTTTATTACCTTTCTTCTCACCCCTTACATATCACAGTTTTCTGGGGGGGTTTGATTAATCCTTACATATAAAATCTTTCCCTTTCTGGTCTTGGTCTTTTTATTGTTTAATGTCTTTTTTTCCCCTTAGAAATATCATGCCCTCACTTCTGGGCAATAACTGGCAACTTTGCATGTGTTTCTTGAAATTTTAAACCTAATTCCCAATAATTTGCATATCTTAAAGCCAAATTGAATGCAATCCAGTATAGTTGATACTTCATCTTTCTGGTCACCCATGAAAAGAAGTAGTTATCCTTAAGTCATTCATCGCCATCATCCTTGCCACTGTTAAATTACTATGTTCTATTTGTTCTACCTGCGTGATGGTGCTTCATCAGTCTATCATTTAATTTTGTTCTTCCTCCTGTAGAGCACGCAATGACATTACCTCATACCCAGAATATTCTTGTAGTTTTCTAATTGGTATTTCTGTCTTCAGACTTTCAATATACTACTGTACCTTTTACACAGGGTCCAGAATTAGCTACTTAAAATGTAGGTCAGAGTACATATCACTTTTTTTTAATAAAGAAAAAAATGGCAACAGCCTATGGCCTACAGAATACAGTCAAAATTACCTAAAATGACATTCATAGGCTGCTACAGCTGATCTCTGTATGATTGTTCAGATTACTTCCAAATGCATATTCTTTCATTGAGCTTAACTTTAGCCATTTTCTCATTACACCATGTATTTTCATGCTCTTATTATGCTTTTGGTCCTAATTAACTTAGAATATGTTTTTCTTACTTTCTTCCCTGTCACTGAGAGCCCATCAATCCTCAAAGTGTTAAATTAGTTTATTCCACCTTACATTGTGATCGTCTTCCTTTCTAGTTTGTAAACACTTCTAAAGCAGAAATAATTTTATTCCTAATTGTATTCTTCACTTCATCCCCCACCACATACATAACACACACACACACTCTGTCTGTGGTACATAGACAGTGTTTATTAAACATTTTTTGGAATGTTACTGTAAAGATATCAGAATATATAGACACATGAAAATCAGTTTGGCACTTTAAGGTCACACTTTTTCATGCAGGAATTGTTTTACATAGAATACAGTATAATTTGGCCAAAAAAAAAAAAGCAAGTTAGTTATCCAAAAAGGCTCAATTCAATAACTTTCTTTTCAACAGCCTGTGTAACATGCCTGATATTCACAAAAAAACTGGACTTTGTCATCTGGGCTCTTCACCAGATCCTCCACTAAGGCCATTACTTTCAGAATGTACAACCTGCTAGCGAATATTCATGATAAACTGAATTACCAGGACCACTGGAACCTAGCTAGTGGTTGCCACCACTGCATGTTCTTTGCTAGTGAGTAGTGGAAGAAGTAGTGAGAGTAGAGTGTTCAGAAAGGCAAGCATGGAATGATTATTTAACAGAATATTTGACAAATGTCAGAAAAGCTATTACGTATATAAAGCTAAAAACGAAAAAAACCCTCAAATTTGCTTGTAAATCCAATGCAACTATTATTAATAAAAACTCACATGTAGCCCCTTAAAATATATGTTTGACCAAATGCCTCTGAAATGTTTAACTTAATTATTCAATAATTTTATTTAAATTATTAACAGGAAAATTTAAAAATATACACGAACAAAAAAAATCAGAAAAAAAAAAATCCTGTTTTTAAAAACTACCCAGAAGGTAGCATACTCTACTACACAGTTGCATATTTTTTAAACAGAAAATTGGAGCTTAAACTAAATTTTTTCTTTTTGTTTACAACATATTTGGAACATCTTTTTATGCTATTAAATGCAATATTTATATTTAATCATTGCATATTATCTAATTGCAGCAATTTGCTCTAGTTTATTTAATCAACTCATGAATGTTCAGTTTCTAAAACTGCTTGCACATAAATTGTAAAAATTTTCACCAAGAATTTAGTAGAATATATTTGGGAGGAAAAGAGAAACAAGGAGAGGGAGAGGATTTGAGAAGGAACACTAAATCCTGTGTCCTCCCAGGGCATATTTCTAGCTCTAGTATCCCTGACTCACAATCATACTGAAAAAGAAAATATATATATATTCTGCCTGAACATCCAACTGATTTAAAGTCTGTTGATGACCCAAAGTACAGTTCCAGACATCAGAAATGAAATCTCAATCTGTGCCAGTTAAATGTTAAATAACTGTATTTCATTATTAATACAAAAAATATTTTATTCATTACACATACCAAAGAGATCAGAGTTCATTCATTCTTTCATTCATTAAACACAGCTATGACAGCCTCACTGTGTCTCTAGGATAGGAAGAAAAGAGAAAAATGAATATCATAATTTTTAATATGTGAAATAGGAAATGGAGGCAATTTGGGTGGTCAAGTGACTCAATCCAAGTAACTCCTATAGTTTCTCTTTTAGTGCCCAGTTGACCAGAGTTGCTTTAACTCAGTCTGGTTCTTCTCTAATCGGGTCACTCTCCTTCCTGTACTCCCTGTGTGTCCTGCATCCACACCTTTGATTCTGCTGGTCTTTCTCTGCAGAAGGGGAAAACTACAAGCTGACGATGAAGACTCAACTACTTACTAAACTTTCCCTTGTCCCCTTTCTGAGAGTTTTCCAAACTACATTCCAAGATTTGCTCTTTACAAGTAATAGACATTTTGTGGGGGAAAATAAAAAGACTTCCATGCTTAAAAACATCTGACAACTCTTGGAAACTCTTATTTAAATAATTCTGGTAGGGTTCACTAAAGTAGCAGGATTTGAAAACACTAACGTGAGAATAACACAGGAGCTCGTCAGGCTAGATTAGTTCAGTTTTACACACTCCTAGCACCTTCTGCTACTTATTCGCAACATCTTCCCAATTATAGTTCAAACAATTATTTGGTTAGTTCATGTATTCCCCATAGAATGTAAGGTTCTCGAAGGCAGGGACCATGTTTTTCTCATTCACTTCTACATTCCAGAGTAAAACACAGATAAAAATGGCACAAAGCAGAAACTACAAAATGTAGGTTGAATGAATAAATAACTGAATGGATCTTCATAAGAGGATGGAATATGTAGTTTTCTCAGGTATATCTGACCAGAAAACCTTTCTTTTGTGGAATATCTATTAACATTTCTTCCCCTTACTTTTCTAGTTGAATTTGTTGGTGGAACTTCGGATCATCTTGTGTACAATATCCAATTGTCCTCTTTTGTTTTCTGTTTGGAGTGGGACCACCCCAATATACCAGGTGTCCAAATCAAAACATAGAGATCATCCTTAACTGATCTCATCCATGTCTAATTCCATTAACTCCCAGTCCTTTTTGCTTCTACCTATCTTCATTTGCTTTTTTTTAACCCTTTGAGACCCTAGCATAAGCCAAGAAAATACATCTTTCATAATAGTATCAGAACTGTTTTTTCTTGCTGCCCCACAATCTCTAATCCATCATAACCGTCAGTTTTTGTCATCTGAATCTCTTGTTTAAAATATTTTTAGACTTTGAACAATTTGTACAACTCTGTACTTACATCTTGATTTCAGCATTACACTGCCTGACTCACTGTATATACTCCAGTGCTGTTGAATGTTGTTGGTTCCCTAACGCCAGCATATTCATTTTAGCTTCTGACTTTAGGACTGTCATATAGGGCTTCACAGCTGTGCACTGCATGAATCTAACATTGTGATGTGAGTGGGGTCCCCTAGAGATGTGCAGCACAACGTCCCTACCTGATGACTCATTTTTTCCCTCATGGAATCCTTTGTGACACTTTTTCTTGTTTCTTATTCTTCTTGTTTTTGATTAGTCATCTCATGCTTACTCCATGATCGTTGGGCACCTGTACCTTGTGCCTCCAAAGCATACTTACATTTCTTCTGTCATAGCACTTGTCACTGTCTTATAGGTATTTTCTTCTCCATCTAGACTGGAAGAACCATGGCAGCCAGGCCTCTGCTAGCCTACATGGTGGATATTCAACATCTTCCCAGTGCCTAGAAAGCCCCGCATCCTCAGGGCCTTTGTTGTTGCTATTCTCCCACTTGCAGTGTCTTTCCTAGACAGTCACAAGGCTTTATCCTTAGCCTCCTTCAGGTGTTTACTTGGGTATCACCTTCTTAGGTCCCTGACCACCTTATGGTAACCCCACCTCTTCTGTCCCTATTTATCTTCCTTTCTTGCTTTATTTTGTCTCCATCCCAGATCAGCTGAACTAGGTACCAGTTTTCAGAATAGTCAACCAGGACAACAAACCAAAAATGAAAGTATCAGACCTTTGATCACTTACTGCTGGAGTGTAAGTGAAAGAATAACTTAGAGAAAGTGTAGACGCCCCCTCCACACCACTTCTTTCCATTTTTGCCCATGGAAAGGCACAGAGGTTTAAGGTCAGGAGGATGAACACAGATGTAAAGGTTGGCTCACTGCTGAGGAAGCCTAAAAGAAAAGGTTCCTGTAGTTTAATGGACATGGGGGCTATGGGGAGAAGGAAAGAAAAGGACCAGGAGTGGGAAATGTATTGAGTACAGATGGTCCTTGACTTATGTTAGTACAACTTATGATTTTTTGACTTTAAGGTGGGTTTATGGGAGCATTAAGTGTATTTTCCAGTTATAATATTTTGGACTTTTATTTTCTACTTACAATGGGTTTATCAAGACATAGCACCATTCTAAGTCGAGGAGCATTGGTATTGAGTCAAAGCGAAAAGGATCTTTGAGACTCATCATCTTTGCACTCAATAAGGAGTTTTAGACAGATGAATCTGGAGAAAGCCTTCCATAGAGGCCTTGAAATGAAGGTTTCTGGGCTAGGGATTTGGTTATACATAAAGCATGGCTGGCTAAGGGGGCCTGAGACTTTGACTGGAACTCCTTTCAGAGATGCAATGCACTGGCTGCACCAAGTTGGCTGTGGCTATAACAGCTTTCCCATATGAGACCTGGCAAATAAAGCCTTGATAATTTCCTGTGGTTGGACTTGAAGTCACACATAGGTTTTTAGCCAGGAGCCAGACTCTCCTGTTTCATTAGCAGTTATCACTTTTATCATACTGTATGTTACAAATCCACATTTCATTTGTTTTCTGTACCTTTCACTAGCTTCATGAGGGCAGGGGAATTTTGCTGTTTGCTATTGCATTGCTAACGTATAGAGAAGTGCCTGGTACGTGGTAGATCATTAAAAATGTTTATTCAATGAATGAATTAGTTTTACTTTATGTGTGCATTTTTGTCTTTGCAACTAAGCTATAAATTTTCTTGAGGATCGAGACCTTGTCACATATTTCTTGCTATATGTATACCTTCTCAATCAGATAGTATAGTTTAAATGTTAAAAATGTTATTCACTGGATTCATATGTAATTTTCACCCTGTATCTTAAGGTAACACTTTAGAGTTACAGGGATAAAGTCTAATCTTTTCTTTATTTCAAAATTTGAAATATTTTAAAACAGGTGTCATTTATTTCCCTAACTTTTGTTTTTTCCAAGTGAAATCTCTCTCCCCTCTTTACCCATTTATCACATAGCAATGGAGTTGTGATGGCTAATTTCACTTGTCAACTTGTCTGGGTCACTGTGGGCAGATATTTGATCAAACATTAGTCCAGATATTTCTGTGAAGGTAATTTTTAGATAAGATTAACATTTAAATCAGCAGACTTTGAGTAGAGTAGGTTACCCTTCATAAGATGGGAAAGTCTTATTTAATCAGTTGAGGGCCTTAAGGAAAAGATTGACCTTTCCCAAAGAAGAGGGAATTCTTCCAACAGACTGCCTTTGGACTAGAATTTCAACATCTTCTCTTCTCTGGATCTCCAGTTTCCATAATTGTGTGAGTCGGTTCTTTCAAATCTCCCTCTCTCCTCTCTCTCTCTCTCTAGGGTAGAGAGAAATTTGAAGGAATTGACTCACATATATATGTATATACGCACATATATACCATATATACACACAGTCACACATACACGCAGACACCCACACAGAGACATACACACACATATCCTACTGATTCTTTTGCTCTGGAGAACCATGAAAAATACAGGAGTCCTGTTTTTCACCCTCCTGTTAGTTCTGGAACCACTACACCCCATCAGTGTTCCACCTAATTGATATTAATATCTGAAGCAGACACAGTGCTCCAAATATAGTCTTATCAATGCAAGATACAGGGATATTGTTGACTCCCTTGCTAAACACTGTTCTATGAAAATGCAATATATATTTGTTGGCTCATATTAAATCTCTTATTAATTAAAAATTATCTAACGTAAGCTTTTGTGTTGTGCCAGGAATTGCATTAAGAAATGTGAATATGGAGCTACAAAGTAGGGTCCCATTTCTCCAAGGACATGAGGATTTCCTTCCTATTCACAATCTCTGCCATCCCGCATTTGTGGTTGACTTTTAAATTTAGGTGTTAGACTTTATATTTATCTTCCAGAATTCCTTCTTGCTCAATTTGATCTACTGTTTCAACCTTCATAATAAAAAAATTGATTTTTTTATCATGATTCTGTCATCCAATATTTGACTACCTCTCCAAGTTCATACACATCCTTTCTATGTCTACATCTATTTTTAAACTAAAATTGTGAGTAAAGCTCACAATTCAATTCACAGATTCAAAAATGAGCCATTTAATCATCATCATTTGACAATAATTGTTCAACTAACACATATCCACGTAATTTACAAAAATCCTCTGTACTCTATCTTGTTCACAAAGACACCAACAAAACACTGCATTAAGTGCCTCATTGAAATGCAGATTCACTATGTCTAAATAATTTAATTAATTTGGTATAATTTATTCTTAGTGAACTCAAAGTGGCTCTCAGTGATTGCTTCTTCCTTTTCTAGGTGTTCATGAGCCATCCGTTTAATTATATGTCTTGGAATTTTGCTGGGAATTGATGGATTGCTCCATGATATATAATTGTGGTATGTCCATTTACATTTTCCATGAGAGAAGAAAAAATACATTGATCTGTATACCATTTTCTAGCACTCTTTCCACTCACCATGATTATCTTCACGCTGCTTACATTGATACTGTAATTACATGAGAAATAGGAGCTGCCTCATGGAATCCAAAGGCAGGAATGGAAATGTATTTTAGAAATCAACCACACATCAGTCCACTTGAAGGGAACTCAGCGAGTTCTCTTAATCCGTTGTCTCTCTTTTCCTTTTCACATCACCTTTTCTCTCATCCGTATTCATTTGTATAGAGAAAATGTATGTTTTCTAGTTAAAATAATAGATAACAGCTAATATGAATAACTCTAAAATTTACAACCGTTCTATTTCAGAAAGTGGCCTATAAGCTGAAATCTCTTATTTCATATTCTATGCAGAAAGGATTTTTGATTCACTTGGCTGAGATTTCAATGTCTGGATTAACTAATATTGTTAAGGAAATGGAATAATGTTATATGAATATGACTGTCCGATTCTCAAGCAGAAGTAAAATGTAGAGGGGAGCTTCCAGAACTAGAGATGATGTTCAGACAACCCAGTAGGTATACATCACATACAATGTATCATTCAGATATCCAAGGATGAGAAACGCATGGCAGCCTACCCACTTGAGGCCTGGAATTGGAAGCCGGTATCTGAAACTGCTTTGTGTCTTTCTAGGGTGATCTGGCTTCTCATCTATACTTTTCTTTTTACGCATTCCTCTGGTGTTTATGCTCCCAGAATACTTGGATTCTTTGGCTATTCATGGTCATGAGTCCTCCATGACTTCACTGTGCAAATAGCTTAGACTTACAATGCTGATCCTTGCGTAACTGAAAATGACTCTTCACTTCTATTGCTTACCTTCATCTGACTAGCTACTCTTTCTGAGGTTTTGAGTTAAGGTTATATAGAGAATGAATCTGCTTAGTTACTAGCAGTTAGTTGATTGGTTTGGGATTTTTGTCAGATTCCCACTGGTAAGAAGGGGACCAAGGCAGGACATTTTGATGGATACTTTTGCTAAAATAGAATATAAATTATCTATTCATAAACACATTGACCTCTTATAATAGGTAGAGCCATCTAGATATCTTTTCTTTGAACTTGGTTTATCTTTAGTAGTATGAAGAAAATTTTCACCATAGATAAGTTGAGGATTAAATATCTATACTTGCCTACTATTTTGGTTAATGTGAAACGATCAGCTTCAACCACTATAATTAATTATCTTTTTGAAAAGGTGCCTTGAACATGGATGATACATTTTTATTATCTTCAATTATCTTAATAGTTCTATGCTGAACTTTATATTTCTGGAGACTTCTTAATCACTTCGAGCCTAGCCTCAGTTTTCTCTTCGATAAAATAGTTATAGAAACACCTGTCACAACATCACCTATGGGAACAACCAAGCATCTTGTTTCCACATAACAGATGCTCAAAATGTAAGAATCTGGCTCACACCTATAATCCCAACATTTTGGGAGGTTGAGGTGGGCAGATAAACTGAGGTCAGGAGTTCGCGACCAGCCTGGACAACATGGTGAAACCCATCTCTACCAAAAACACAAAAATTAGCTGGACGTGGTAGTACGCTCCTGTAATCATAGCTGCTTAGGAGGCTGAGGCAGGAGAATGGCTTGAACCTGGGAGGCAGACGTTGCAGTGAGCCGAGATCACGCCACTACACTCCAGCCTGGGTGACCAAGCTAGACTCTGTCTCAAAACAAAAACAAAAACAAAAAAGTAGAAATGTTTTTCCTTTCTCACTATTACAGCGCAGGAATGTGTATATAGCTATGACATTTTCTCTTATGTACTTTTCCCTCTTGTTTCTACCTCCTTGAAGTCATTTATAATTTTCTTATCAGAATTTCTTTTTAAAAGCCTCTAATTCTTTTAGAAGTCTAAGGTGGTAGAATCACTCACATCTACTCTCTGAAAGTTTTGAAATCTGCTTTTCTAAAGTCCTAAGTATCTGTCAGACTGTGCCGAGTGTTTCCTTTCTTGGCTATTTCAAGCACTAAGATGACAACTTGACTTTCTCCCCAGGTTCCTGTCACTTGAATTTCATGAACCAGTTTTTTTCTTTTGGTCAAAGTTAAGTCCAGAGAAACAGTTGTCCTCATTGCTTCATCAAGTAGCTGAGAGACAAAATTTTCAACAAAATTCATTGACATTTCAGCTATAGCCTGCCTACCTCTAGTTCATTCTCACATCAAAATCATTTATGCCTCTCCCTCCTGTAATCCTGAGCATGGTATAATTCACTGTTTCTCAAACTGTCTTTAGATAATGCAGTTTTATGGTACAGGAGTACTCTATAAGAATTTTAAATGTTGTGGATGTTTTAAAAATTTTGCTGATACAGTCTGGATTATTATTTCAATTCCTGGATTTGCATGCATATTTATGATTTTGTAGATGTCAAGTATCACCTAAAATGACACTATTTAATATTATTGTGCTGCCTTTAGGGATGACATGTCTTAATATCAAGATGAGAACAATATTTTCATGTATATTGTTGCTGAATTATTTTGCCTCTTATAACACATAATTCCTTTTGCAAAGTAAATTTGCAATTAAAAGACATTTCCACAGCATAAAAACTTTAGTTCCTTAAGTTTTTCAATAGATTAAAACATCGATTTGACCTCATGAAAAAGACAGTGCAGTACTAGTTCAATTGTCACTCGCTAATGAGAAAAGAACAGAGGAAGTTAACTCAGCATATAAATAATGCATCTCCATCAAATGAAGACCTTGCTGTTCTGTAGGAATAAAGGTGTAACAGAGTTTGAAGAGAAAGAGTGGAGGAAGACTTGAATTATCATGTGGAACACATTTTTTAAAAAAGCAGGATAATACATTTCATATCTGTCTTGTTTTAATTTTAGAAAAACACATTATTACATAGAATAATTTGAATGTTTTTGGTTATGTTCGCCATTGCTTTAATTTAGACTATTCCTTATACATCTTAACTTTATAATTGTGTTAGGATAGGGTAGGTGTTAGAGATTCAATGGTGTGTATAAAAAATTCTTGTTCCTGTTCTGGTAGAGCATTTCTAGCAAAGTCAGAAGCATCACGAAGCCTTGCAACTACTGCAATGCTGCTTTTCACCTCAGGACATTGGACTATCTCCTGAGATGACACGAGAATGAAGCAACATCTTCTCATTCCCTTCCCATCACTCATATAGCTGCTCTGTATGATGGAGTCTAATATCAAGCTTTGTAGTTGCAGCAAAAGGGTTAAATTAGAAATATAGCTACCTCTCAGTACAGATTTATTTAAGAAAAGTCTTTAAGCAGCCAGATGGCTGTGTGGATATTCTCAGATTGTGGGTGAGAGTGAAAGAAGGTGAGGTGAAGATGAAAAAATAAAAGATGTGCCAGGAGGAAAAAGAAGAGGAGAAGGAAGTAAAAAAAAGAAGGGAAAAAGGAAGATTAGAAGGAAGGAAAAAAGAGGAAAAAGTGAAAAACATAAAGAGAGAACACAAAGTCCATATAAAGTTGATATTAATAATGTAACCTAAAATAATTCTAAAAATACAACACAATTAAATCAAAATAGCATATATACTTATTTCTTAATGTTTAATTTTCTTCCATCTCCTTGATTTTTTATAATTGAATAATGTGTTACAGTAATTTATATTTGAGCCAGAAATATTTAGATTATAAACTAATCATTGCAGTTCATGGTATATAGACACTCATTAAATTTTTAAAATATGTACATATGTGGTAATAAAATTTGATGCAAAGGCAAAAATTTTAGGATTTAGTATGTGAAATTTATTGTTGAAAAAGCAGGTTCTTGCCTTCTAAGGGTTTAGATGAAAAAAATAAGAAAAAATAAGAAATGCAGGTTTCAATAAATGCCAATTAAGGCTTGATTCTGATAATCATTTTTAAAATGTTATTTACTATTCCAAGTAATCAATAAAATTAAAAACAAGATATGATTTATACGTAACACACAGGAGAATGTAAAAGTAGAAAAAATGTAGTCTATTCAGAAAAAGTTGACTGAAATAAGATAAAATATATGAATTATAATATGAATGAGATTAATTTATTCATTAAAATACATAATAATTGTTCAAGTCAAACATATAAAAGAATATGATCACATGCTGTTTACAAGAGATGCTTGAAAAACAAACTGATTAAACAAATATTTTAAACAAGCGTAAACTATTAAAAAGGGAATTTGTATTAGCAGTAATAACATCAAGTAGGTAAGGCTATTTTATCTCAGCTACAGTTTAAATCAAAGGATCACTGAAGTATGAATGAAAGTTCTTATAAAGTCATCTGACGAAGGATTCATGTGTAAACCTAAGTAAAAGAAACCAAAACCAGAAACTCTATAGTACACATATAGAAAAAAATACCTATGTTAAAGACAATGAAGCACCTATAATACAAGTAAAATATGCTGAATAAGAAATGTAAATATTTTATTACAAATGGTTTCTCAGATCCACGGAGAAAAACATGATTTTGTGAGAGGTAATCATTTGAAAGTAAAATCAACTCATATCTGTTTTCAAGCAACTCACAATATAAATTCAATTTAGGATGAATTAATGATCTAAAGTGGTCAAATAATTTGAGGATAAACTACACACAATATTAGACTCTGGGAAATTCACAATAAGCATTTGTCATATTAAAACTCCGGGGCCTTTTTTCACTAGTGAGACTTGCTTTTCTAACTGATCATAGAATAATCTTCCACATAATAATATTGTATTAACATGGAACTAAAATTTTGCTGAAATAGCTTTGGCAGGTGCTATGCTAGAGACAAAGCTGATTACTGTCATTATTATTCATTATTTTTTGGAAGACACAGGTAATGCTATAAAACAAAATTTTAAAATGCATAGATTTTGAAATAAATATTGCCAAAATCATTTTTGGTTTGTAGATAATATGTACCTAGCTGAGAAACCCAAGAGAATCAACTGAAAGTCTTTTTTATGTCCTTCCAACTTTTATTTTAGGTTCAAGGGGTTCATGTGTGGGTTTGTAACATGGGTAAATGGCTTGTCACTGGGGCCTAGTGTACAAGTGATTTCATCACCCAGGTAGTGAGCATAATATCCAAGAGGTAGTTTATCCATCCTCACACTCCTCCCACACTCCACACTCAAGTAGGCCCAAGTGTCTGTTGTTCCCTTCTTTGTGTCCGTGCGTACTCCACATTTAGCTCACATTTATAAGTGAGAACGTGGTATTGGGTTTTCTGTTCCTGCGTTAATTCACTTAGGATAATAGCCTCCAGGTGCATTCGTGTTGCTGCAAAGAACGCGATTTCATTCTTTTTTATGGCTGTGTAGAAAGAAAGCCATGGTGTATATGTACACATTTTCTTTATCTAGTCCACTGTTGATGGGCATCTCAGTTGATTCCATGTCTCTGCTATTGTAAAAAGTGTTACAATGAGCATATGCATGCATTTGTCTTTATGGTAGAACAATTTATATTCCTTTGGGTATATACCCAGTAATGGAAACTGCTGCATCTATTTTAAGTTCTTTGAGAAATCTCCTGACTGCTATCTATAGTAGCTGAACTAACGCACATCCCCACCAACAGCGTACAAGCGTTCCCTTTTCTCTGCAACCTTGCCAACATGTTATTTTTTGACTTATTAGTAATAGCCATTCAGACTAGTGTGATACGGTATCTCATTGTAGTTTTGATTTGCATTTCTCTGATGATTAGTGATGTTGAGCATTTTTTCATATGCTTGTTGGCCACATGTATGTCTTCTTTTGAGAAATGTCTGCTCATGTTCTTTGTCCATTTTTTTAATAGGATTGTTTTCTGCTGGTTGCTTTCTGAAATTCTACTGGACCTAATGCGTGAGTTATATGAAATGTTTTTTATAAAATCAATATACAAAATCAATATCATTTTTATATACCAAAAATAAATAATTAGAAAATCTGATCAATATGTTTTATTCATGATATCACTGGAATTCAACTTTGAAGAAAATCTTGAGAACCCTTATATTAAAATAAATAATAATTTTTACAAAACTATGTTTAAAGGCACTCCAGGTATTAACAAAATCTTACTGTAACAACAAATTTCTAGAATCTGATTCTAATTCTTCCTCACCCATGCAAGCCTAGTTCACTGAAATTAACATGAGGCATTTAAGGAAAATATACTCATTGGAGTAAGTAAACTTCCTTCAAGTTTCTTCCACCAGAAAAGGAAGATTTATCTTTCATTACAATCAGTCAGAGGAGTGGGGTCTTGATATGGTTTGGATTTGGGTTCCCCAGCAAATCTCATGTCAAATTGGAAAAGAGGCCTGGTGGGAGGTAACTGGATCATGGGGGTAGATTTCCCCCTTGCTGTTTTCATGATAATGAGTGAGTTCTCATGAGATCTGTTGGTTTTGTTTTTTTTTTTCTTTTATTATTATACTTTAAGTTTTAGGGTACATGTGCACATTATGCAGGTTAGTTACATATGTATACATGTGCCATGCTGGTGTGCTGCACCCACTAACTCATCATCTAGCATTAGGTATATCTCCCAGTGCTATCCCTCCCCCCTCCCCCCACCCCACAACAGTCCCCAGAGTGTGACGTTCCCCTTCCTGTGTCCATGTGTTCTCATTGTTCAATTCCCACCTATGAGTGAGAATATGCGGTGTTTGGTTTTTCGTTCTTGTGACAGTTTACTGAGAATGATGATTTCCAATTTCATCCATGTCCCTACAAAGGACATGAACTCATCATCTTTTACGGCTGCATAGTATTCCATGGTGTATATGTGCCACATTTTCTTAATGCAGTCTATCACTGTTGGACATTTGGGTTGGTTCCAAGTCTTTGCTGTTGTGAATAATGCCGCAATAAACATACGTGTGCATGTGTCTTTATAGCAGCATGATTTATAGTCCTTTGGGTATATACCCAGTAATTGGATGGCTGGGTCAAATGGTATTTCTAGTTCTAGATCCCTGAGGAATCGCCACACTGACTTCCACAATGGTTGAACTAGTTTACAGTCCCACCAACAGTGTAAAAGTGTTCCTATTTCTCCACATCCTCTCCAGCACCTGTTGTTTCCTGACCTTTTAATGATTGCCATTCTAACTGGTGTGAGATGGTATCTCACTGTGGTTTTGATTTGCATTTCTCTGATTGCCAGTGATGATGAGCATTTTTTCATGTGTCTTTTGGCTGCATAAATGTCTTCTTTTGAGAAGTGTCTGTTCATATCCTTCTCCCACTTTTTGATGGGCTTGTTTGTTTTTTTCTTGTAAATTTGTTTGAGTTCATTGTAGATTCTGGATATTAGCCCTTTGTCAGATGAGTAGATTGCGAAAATTTTCTCCCATTTTGTAGGTTGCCTGTTCACTCTGATGGTAGTTTCTTTTGCTGTGCAGAAGCTCTTTAGTTTAATTAGATCCCATTTGTCAATTTTGTCTTTTGTTGAGATCTGTTGGTTTAAAAGTGTGTGGCACTTCCCCCTTGGCTCTCTCTCTCTCTCTCCTGCTCTGTCATGGTAAGATGTGCTTGCTCCTCCTTTGCCTTTTGCTGTGATTATAAGTTTCCTGAGGCCTCCCAGCCATGATTCCTGTACAGCCTGCTGAATTGTGAGTCAATTAAACCTCTTTTCTTCATAAATTACCCACTCTCAGGTATGTGAGAATGGACTAATACAGGTCTCAGTATTTACTCAATTATTTTTATTTTACTTAAGGACCACAGTTCAATAATTCAAACCATGTTTTTCTTGGCTAAGTTGTACTGCCTGGTAAAATTTGTCATTGATTTATAATATATTTTGAGCCAGAACATTATACTTCCTAAAATTTCCATAGGCGATATAACTTTTTGTTTTTCTTTTTCAAAAGCAGAAAAAACATAATGTATTGCAGAGGGAAATCCATAATCAATAAGGCCATTTCTGCCTTATTTTTATTTTCATCGAAGTTAAACAGCTTAAAATTTTCTTGAAAATTTAGCCAAAATTTAAATATAATTTTATAGACAAAACTTGAAAAAATGATTATATGTTTAGAAGAATAATTAAGGAATAACTGAAGAGTATTTTGAAGAATAACTAAAGAAGCTTTGAAAAATAAGGGTATTAACATGAATACTTTATAGCTGGGTGTGGTGGCTCATGCCTGTTTTCCCAGCACTTTGGGAGGCTGAAGTGGGCAGATCACTTGAGGTCAGGGGTTTGAGGCCAGCCTGGCCAACATGGTGAAACCTCATCTCTACTAAAAATGCAAAAATTAGCCAGGTGTGGTGGCACACACCTGTAATCTCAGCTACTTGAGAGGCTGAGGCAGGAGAATCACTTGAACCAGGGAGGTGGAGGTTGTGGTGAGCTGAGATCACACTACTGTACTTCAGCCTGGACCACAGAGTGATACTCCATCTCAAAAAACAAAACAAAACAAAACCATTTATAGTTTAAAAGTATTCAACAGAACAAGCAGGTTAGTGAAAATAATAGTACATGAAATAGAACCATGTATGTAGAGAACTTAACTATATAATAATATTGACCTCTCAAGCCAGATAGAGGAAAGAATAAAACGTTGAATAAATACTGTTGGATCAACTTGTTAACCATTTGGGAAAACAGTACCTATGACACCTTGTATCTTAGTCATAAATATAAAAGTTACACAAATTAAATTATTTTCAAAGAAAGCATAGTCAATTATAAGGTATGATGTTGTCATAAACTCATAGACTGTGTGTTCAGTTGTTTTATAACTGGCTGTTTTATTTGTAGAGAACATGTATAAAATAAATACAAATGCATGCACAGGTTGTGATCTTTTATTAAGCGTGGCACATATGGCTGTGGCATTGTACACAGTTGTATAATTTTATATCAAAGTCATGTGCAAGCCCAAATCTAAAATATACACTTGTGAACTACAACCTTCCTAATCAATGACTCTATCATAAGAACTTCAAATATGTGATTTATTGTGAAAGTAGCAAAACAAATGGATTAACTTAAATACTCAAATCCATCATTGTTGCTCCAATGTGTTAATATTTTAAGATATTGTAGGACAAATTTTGTGTTAATTAAACAAGTGATAACTTCACAAGCTTCAGTAGCCTCATCCGTATAATACAAATAATAACACCTTCCTCATTGAAATTAAATAAAATTGCATATATAAAACACAGTGACATGTAGTAGGCACTTAAATATTAATTTTCTTCTATTTCCCTGTTACCTGAATGCCTGTGCACTGCCAGTGAACACGTACTACACAGTAAGATTAGGTTAATCTGACTATGACCCATGCAAGTAATGGGATTTTAATCTTTGATATGGGACAAATGGAAGTTAATGAAGTCATAATTTTTTCCTTTTGTTGATATTAAATTATTACAACAATTAACCCAAAGAACCCACACAAAGAGTTATTTCAAATGCAACATCAGGAGATGCCCAAATCCAACATTTCATTTTGATTTCCTATAGCTCTGACCTGAATGCTCTAGCTTATTGAGAAGAATTTTGAAAATTCAAAAGTTAGAAAATTCACTTTTGTATTTCTGTGCACCCAATTTGGTTTTAACACAAAACTAAACAAAATATCAAATCGTTATTGCCTAATGGTCTTGCTTTAGTCCTTCACAAATGCTGTTCTGTCTTCCTGCGGCATTCTTTCGACACTGTCTCTCTCCTCAATCTAGCCACCTGAATCCTACTTAACCTGAAGTTTTCACTTAGACATGATTTTGCTGGGATATCTTTTGTGATTCTACCAAACGGGTAAAATGTTCACCCCTTTTATGTACTTCCACAGCATATTGAGCTTCCCACGCCATTTCTCAAATTGAATTCAAATTACTTTCCTTATATATCTGAAGTATTGATATGTGCTAGACAGCAAGCTCCCTGAGAACAGAAACCTCCTGTATTGATCACCATTGTGTCTCTAAAGCTGTGCATAGTACAGGGTACAATATAAATATTCAATTAATATTTTTTGAATTGAGGCTAATTAGGAAAAGAAAATGGCTAACTTTGGAATTCAATTCAACATAAAATCTAGAAAGAGAATTGTGTAAATCTAAACTATTAATTCAGCTCAGCATTTGAGAGCCTGCTATGAATTTTAAGCTATTAATTACACTCATTCTCTGTAATGAGGATTTGCAGTTCTGAAGAAAAGCTAAATGATGCCTTGTGAAAAACATTCATTGCTCTGTAACTGTTTAATGAATAGTTTTATCACCAGCGAAATTATCAGCTTTGATATCTGGAATCAAATCTTAGACTATCCTGTCATCCCTTACAAACACACTCAGGAGCCTCCAGAAGTATTGTGTTAACCTATTACATGGTTAATCTATTAACCATGAGATGTATGTTACTAAGTCATTATCTGTAAAACAAAATTCTACTGTTTTTGCTGTTTGCCTCATTTATTGATATTTGTCAACATTTTCTGAATTAAAATTTCAAGAACCACATTTGTATATGGTTCTTGACAGAAAAAATGCAAGAGAAGGTTTTTTTTATGCCTTTTAAAGCTTGTAATCAAATTAGGAACATTTTAAATACTAAAACTGATTTTTGGTAATTTAATTTGCCATTACTGTGGATTATTGCAGATTACCCTAGTATACTGCAGCTTAACAGCCAAGGAAAAGATAAGTAGGAGAGAAAAAGTCAGGTGGTTTCAAGGATAAAAGGCTTCCCAAAGAAGATGAAGTTTACACTATGAGTAGTAGAAAATATACCCTCCATTGCAAGAAACAGAAAGTCCCACTCGGATACAAAAATAAAGGGAATTCATCAGCTCCTGTAACAAGAAAGTTCAAAGGTAGATCTGGCTTCTGAAAAGAATTCATCCTGGGATACAAAATGTCATCAAGGATCTGGCTCCATTTGTTTGTAAGCTTTTGTGTCTGCTGCCCTCGGCACGTTGGCATCATATTCAGGCACCTCTCTTCTGGAAACAATAATGATTACAGAATTCCAAACTTCAAACACTCTTCTTACTCTCCAGAGGCTGAGTTATCCTGGGAGAATTTCTGAATGAATTACTGTGGCTTGTGGGTATGGAGTGCATATGCCCCATCCCTGGCTTTGAGAGAGAAGTAAATTCCTCAGAAGATTCTGTATCTCAAATGAAAACAAGATGCTAATAGGAAGGGGAAAGGGGAAAATTGGCGCTGAGAAGGCAACCAATAAACATTGGCTGCACTTGGCTTTGAAGGAAGTGAAGAATACAGGCTTGTATTCTTGTATCTAACTTGTAAGTTTAGATTCCAGGCAGAAGGAGTGATGTGGCAATCAGTAAGAAAAAAATCATGGAGATGATTTTTAGCCAGAGTGTAAAGAAATAGTTATATATTGATGAATTATGTGATCGAAAACTTTTATATGGTCTTGAAGATTAGATTAAAGATGCTAAGTTTAGAAGTTATATCATGGAATGGATACTCTAGTGTAAAATTTGCCCATTGAGACTAATAATTCTCCCCCTCCACCTGCTTTTCATGGATATAGCAGCCAGTAAAAGCTATTCCAAAGATACGAGAACAATTACCAAGACCCTTTTAGTTATGTATACAAAAAGCAATAGTCTTAGGGATGGCTGAAGTTACCTGAGTGCAGATGTTGTAGACTAGGAAATTAAGTATAGCTTTCTTGATATGCATTGTAACCATACTGGTAGTTTCATCTGCAATTTCTAAAACTCCTACTATGGAAAAACTGTCATGGAACTGATCTCCTCATGGCATAGCCATACACAGTTTGAGTTGTTGATGTTCACAGCTGGCAATATTTTTAAGACTGAATAATTACAGAATTTGTTGATGTTAGGTTCTATATTCCAGTGTAATTATCTTCTTGAAATCAAATTAAAATATACTTCTGTGACAGGTAGAAGGGCTTTGGTTGAAAAGAATACACCGTCTCCCTATTATCTAAGGTGGTCTCCCGAAACAGGAAATAAGGTCTAAGGATATGTGTTACACCTTGTTGGGGGAAAACAAATATAAGTTTCTTGTTGTATTCTGTGACTGTTTTATTCTGGACTAGGAACTGTGCATAGTCAAAGTATTCCCACTGGTTAGGAGTAACCTGGTTTTTAATCTCATTTTGACAGCATTGGAAATGGATGGGGAGAAGGCCTGATGAAAATTACTGAGGAAGCCTCTTAGCCTATGTGCTCTGAGAGTAGTGACACCTAGCAGTCGTTGTAAGTAGTTCCCCGTTTGCACTTTACCTTCATTTTTACGCAAATCTTTAGTAAAAACTATGTATCTTAAATATATAGTTTCATCTCTGCTGAGCCATAGGAAATAAAAATGGGTGTATAGCTTATGCCAGGCCAGTGCTGAGAAGAAAACCAATAAACATTTAGGGATGATTCTGACTAATCCTTCAATGCCAGAGCAGTGGTCTAGCAATGGCCCCCACTTGAGGACAGCTGTGAAAAATGGAGGCCTAGTCTTAGGAGGGTCAGCAGCAGTAATGGAGGCAGTGGGGCCACCTGGTGGAGACACTGGAGAGATTGAAATATTCCAGACTATAATAAAACACGCAGAAATGTTACTGAGTAGAGAAACAAGGCTCTCTGAAGGGACATAAGTAATTGGGACATTCTGATGGGGATTATTAAACAAAAATATAATTTATATCATACTCAAAGGCTGGCAAGGTAAGGACATTTGGCTAATAATATTATAAGGAGCCAGGGTAATAATAGTATAAAAAACAGTACTGGAGGAGCATCATATAATACCATTAGTCATGTATAGGGTAGATCATAAGGCAGAATAAACTAAAGATCAGGGTGACCAGTGGAAGAGTGAATGAGAAATAAATACCATTAATGGGTTTTAAATTCCTCTGTTTCAAAAGAATCTGCAAACTTTAGGGTTGAATAAAAATGTGTTTTGTGTGTGGTGTGAGCCGATGGTAGTTGAAAAGAAAATAGTTCAATCTGGAAAAGAAAAATAAATTAGAGAATAAGCTCTAAGATCTAGATCCCTTTTTCCATTTCTTGCCCACCACAGTTCAGTCTAGATCTGAAAGTCACACTAAGTCCCCCCTTCCAAGAACACTGGCATGATTCACCAACACCATGATTTAATTTGGTCTCTCTCTACTTAGAAGCAAAGTTTGATCGGAAAAACAAAACTGAATGTTTCCTTATCATGGCCATGTTTGTACTTCTTAAACTATGGAAGTAATTTTAGGAGACACGTAGAGTATCCAACATCATTCCTCTTTCTTTCTTTCTCTTTCTTTCTTTCTTTCTTTCTTTTCTTTCTTTCTTTCTTTCTTTTCTTTATTTGCTTTCTTTCTTTCTTTCCTTTCTTTCTTTCTCCTTCCTTCCTTCATTCCCTCCCTCCCTCCTTCCTTCCTCCCTCCCTCCCTCTCTCTGTCTCTCTCTCTCTCTTTCTTTCTTGAGACTTCTTTCTTTCTTGAGACAGGGTCTCACTCTGTCATCAGGATGGAGTGCAGTGGTGCAATCTTGGCTCACTGTAACCTATGCCCCCAGGCCCAAGCAATTCTCGTGCCTCAGCCTCCCGTGTAGCTGGGACTATAGTCACATGCCACCATGCCCAGCTAATTTTTGTATTTTCAGTAGAGATGGGGTTTTTCCATGTTGCCCAGGATGGTCTCAAACGCCTGGCCTCAAGTGATCCACCCACTTCGTCCTCCCAAAGTGCTCCAACATCATTTCTATCCCCAGTTGTATTTTAATGGGTATGATGAATTTGGGAATAATAAATTATATTTCTAAATGTCAAGTTATATCTGTTTCTCTTAATAGGAAACAAAAACCTAAATAAAACAGTTTATATTTCCCATGGAATAATTGTATTAGACCCTGAAGGGTTTTTTAAACATTAAATTAATTAAAACTTAATTTCCAAATTGAAATATAAAATTTTATGTACTTATCATGTACAACATGATGCTTTGAAATATATGTACAGTGTGGAATGACTAAATTAGCAAATTAACATGTGTTACCTCACATACTTATCATTTTATAGTGAGAACACTAAACATCCACTCTCTTAGTGTATTTCAAGAATGAAATCTTTTACCTATAGTCACCATGTTGTACAATGCATCTCTTGGACTTATTCCTCCTATCTGACTAAAATCTGTACACTTGGAACAATACCTCTCGAACCCCTTCCTCCACCCCAACTACTCTAGCTCCTCATAATCACCATTCTACTCTCTATTTCTATGAGATCAACTTTTCAAGATTCCACATATGGAGATATATTAGTCTGTCTTCATAATGCTATAAAGAACTGCCCAAGATTGGGTAATTTGTAAAGGAAAGAGGTTTAAGTGACTCACAGTTCAGCATGGCTGGGGAGGCCTCGGGAAACTTACAATCATGGTGGAAAACAAAGGGGAAGCAAGACACCTTCTTCACAGGGTGGCAGGAAGGAGCAGTACCAAGTGAAGTGGGAAGAGCCCCTTCCCTTATAAAACCATCAGGTCTCATGAGAACTCACTCACTATCATGAGAACAGCATGGGGGGAAACCACTTCTATGATTCAATTACCCCCACCTGGTGTCTCCCTTGACACATTGGGAATATGACTATCACAATTCAAGATGAGAATTGGATGGGAGTACAAAGCCTAACCATATCAGGAAATCATGCAGTTTATCTCTCTGTACTTTGCTTATTTCACTCAACATAATTTTAATATGTGTGTTAAGTGTGTCTTAAGTGTTTTTTATTAAGTACAGTGCTGAACCAGAGGGAGAATTAAAGATTTAGGTGGCCTTGCTATGATAAGATGACAGAAATTTGATATGTGGTGTTAGCTAAGGTTTAATATTACCAAATACTTTTGACAAATTTTGAATTACTGGTTAATTTACAGCTGCCCATGTGCTTCATTAGCTAGAGAATATTTAGCTCCAATTTCAGAGATCATTTTCAGTTTTAGTAATTATAATCCCTCTATGATTTAATTTTTATCATTTGTCTGTGGGTCCATGACACAGAAAAATGGACAAAATATTGTGTGCAATTATATTAAAGTGACTTTTAAATAATGTAAAACACAGTGGAAAATTAATATTTTCAAATAGGAGAAATCCTTGTGTTACTATTATAAGAGTTTTGTTTTTTTAATTAGCCTAAAGTCATTAAGAATCTTAGATAACATTGTCTTTTCCAATACTACTTCTTTAGAAGAATTCAAATTATTTTTGCTAAATATCTTTATTAAAGATCTAATCTTAAAGTATTTAAGTTGCTAAGTGATGGTAGATAAGTTGGTGGTTTCCTATTTTCTCTAATGCTAAAGTTAAGGATGATAAAAGATATTTCAAAGTACTTTAAATTGTGCAGGAACATTTTTTTGAACAGCTTGACAATATTGTATATTCATAAAATAGCTCTTTAAAAAACAAATTTGAATATTTCTTTTGCTAACAACTTTTGTGACTTATATTTGGGAAATGTTTGGAAAATTCAATAAAAGCAAACATTATTATAAACAAGTTTCACATAAAACTTGGTAGCATAATTATATTATTAGAGGTAAAGTTTTTCTCCTTTCTCTTTTTCCTTCTCTCCTCCTCCTATTAATGGAAATAACTCCATTTGGATTGAGAAATAAAAATGTCAGTCTACTACAACATTGTAGTGTAGAGTTATCTTAGATATATGAGTTTTTTAGCTCTTGCCATATGCAAATGAAGAGAAAAGCATGGATGATAATTTTCTTGAGGGCATGGTGCCTGTCTTTTATTTATTATATTCTCTGTGCTAACATAGTAGAGCATAATAGTCACTTCTGTTATGAATTCCAGTAAAATAACCATATAAATATAACCCCGAACCTCACTTCTGATTGCTGGTTTAAACTTAAGACAAGGTTTAGGCTGGGCATGGTGGCTCACGCCTATAATCCCAGCACTTTGGGAGGCCGTGGCGGGCGGATTATGAGGTCAGGAGATCAAGACCATCCTGGCTGACATGGTGAAACCCCGTCTCAACTAAAAATACAAAAAAAAAAAAAAGGTTTAGAATTTCAGGATTCCTTGACTCCTTTTATAATATTAGTTAATTTCATAGTATTTTTCTTGATCATTCAGGTTAGTTATCATGTCCATTATTTTTCATTGTTTTCTGTTAATACTTTATGTCTTTTCTAATATAACCATGCAGTTTCCTGGACTTAGCATCTGGAAATAAATTTCAAAATTTTGAAGTGATTTTCCACCGTTTTTTAAAGCAAAATATTAAAGTTGACTTTTAAGTAGAGTTTAATTTCTTTCTGTGACAGAAGACCACTTAAATTATCCTAAGACAATGGATGTGAACAGGCACTTTTCAAAAGAAGACATACATGCAGCCAACAATCAAATGAAAAAAAGCTCTACATTACTGATCATTAGAGAAATGCAAATCAAAACCACAGTGAGTACCATCCACACCAGTCAGAATGGCTACTATTAAAAAGTCAAAGAGATTGCAAAGAAAAAGGAATGCTTATACACTGTTGGTCAGAGTGTAAATTAATTAACCACTGTGGAAGACATTGTGATGATTCTTCAAAGACCTAAAAACAGAAATACCATTCAACCCAGCAATCCCATTACTGGGTATCTACCAAAATCAATATAAATTTTTCTATTATAAAGACACCTGCATATGTATGTTCATTGTAGTACTATTTGCAATAGCAAAGACATACAATCAACCTAAATGCCCATCAGTGATAAACTGGATAAAGAAAATATGGTACATATACCATGGAATACTATGCAGCCATAAAAAATGAATACGATTATGTCTTTTGCAGGAACATGGGTGGAGCTAGAGGCCATTATTCTTAGCAAAATAATGCAGGAAAAGAAAACCAAATGCACCATATTCTCACATATAAGTGGGAGCTAAATTATGATTACACATGGACACATAGAGGGGAACAACACTCACTGAGGCCTATTGAAGGGTTGAGGGTAGGAGGAAGGAGAGGATCAGGAAAAATAACTAATGGGTACTAGGCTTAATACCTGGGTGACGAAATAATCTGCATAACAAAGCCCCATGACGCAAGTTTACCTGTGTAACAAGCCTGCACATGTGCCCCTGAACATAAAAGTTTAAAAAATGTCCTGAGAATATATCATTAAAAATGTTATTTGAATATCACATCTTCTTGTATAATGATTATGGATGAAAAAGCAGGCAAGACTTTTTACCACTAGCTTTGGATGACTTAGAGGAGAAAGTGAGAGTTGAACTGTCTTGTTGATTCCCTAAAGTGAGATAAGTTCTTTCTATATGAAGTTCCTGAACATCATGACTGATGTTAGCTTTCCTAATGGACTTTGATGAGATTTTCATGAAAGTTTTTATGTTCCTAAGTTTCATATGATTTCATATGAAAGCATGATTGTTTAAATATAAACTAATTTCCATAGATATATGATAATAGATAAGTTATTTTCCAAAGCCTATTTTGTTTATTCCTTTGCTGGAACAAACACCCAGGCAATGAGTCAACACAACCAATAAGAATGTTCTCTTTTTCCTTATAATTTTTAATGAAAATATTTATAATAAGGAATAATTTGGAAAAATTCAGCTCATAAGCTAATAGAAGTTGACATATCCATCACTTGCCTTATATGAAACCAGTTTTTCAAAAGTCTATGAAGTTTTGGCAAATATTTGACAATCGGGATGCATGGTTGATGATCTCATTCCACATTAAATATTATAAATATTTCCACCTTTTAAAATTTTGTTTCAAATATTATTGCTTGCAATTTATTTGGAAGGCAGGAACATCTATATGCTTTGACTTTAAGGGTTGTCAAGTTATGTTCATCTTTACTTCAACAGCTGGAAATTCCTAGCGCAAGGAAGGTAAAGACTGGCAAATATCCCCCTCAGAACTAGCATAAATGCAAACATGGTTATTTTGTAAGGCCCTCCTGACACCAGGGCTGTTAAGTAATACTTGGCGTTCAACTTTGGGGCTACTAATATTGAAAACATTTAAAGAACATGAAAGTCTCTGAAAGCCTTATAATTGTAAATGCTGAAGGAGGGACAGTTTCCATCATTCAAAATCAGGAGTGTTAACATCACAGTCAATAAAATTATAAATATGAGATTTGTGGAGATCTTATTTATGAGAACAAGGTCACAAAATCAAAGATTGAAAATTCTGCTGTGAAAAGTTGAGAGTCATCTGAATTCCCTTTATCCAAGCAATAGCTAAAATACATACTCCAAAAGACTCCCTTACATTTTTATTAACATTTAAAATTGGCAATGTAGATAAAACATTGAGAGATTATGATGTGAATTATAAAAATTAGCTGCATTGTGTCAAGTCATAATATCTTGAGGATAAAGAAGATGACAAAGTTATAATAGCAAACAGGTGTTATGTAAGACTTTTATGTATATTATTCATTGAAAAAGGATATGCTTTTTCTAAGGGGATAAAAATTATGTAAAAATATAATATTTCTTTATTTTATCTATGCTGAATAGCACCCCAGGCCTTCCCACAACTTATTTTAATGGATTGAATTTCTGTAGCTCTTAAAATCTCTGAAATAGCATTTTGATATGCTAGGACAATCATTATTTCTTGGTTGATGTGGTAGAAAAATAACTAAGTTTCAAGTTTAGATTTTCTTGGTTCATATCCTATGTTGATAATATCGCATAAGGTGGCCAAGACAGAAATAGGAAGAAAATATATGCTCAAACCTGTAAAGGCTGCTGATAGGATATGCCTGTGTTTTGAGATAGTGCTTTAGATCCTGTTGGTGGGTGCGTGGTTACGGTTATGGAGAGGGTATTGCTGTACACATTAGGTAAAGTAATTTCTATTTGGAGTACAAATTCTAATTACTTACAAAATGGAGAGCACAAATAAACATGAGCTGGAGCCATAATTCCAATAGAACACGCTATTTATCTAATTGTTTGAGAAATTAGATAAATGCAGGAAACAGCAAATGTGTTAGACTTCTAGTAGTTTCTCCCAATAAGTGCTCTTTTCAGACAAAAAAGTTTGCTATAAATTCTAACCACCTCACACTCTTTATGCTTCGTTCAATATATTGTGTACTTTCACGCTTTCTTGCTGTTCCATCTGCCTAAAATGCATCTTTTTCTGTATTTATTTAATAATCACTTACATATATTTCAAATAGGTTTTTCTTAAATAGTCATCCTCAATCCAGCCCCAGGCAAAATTAACCACAGATCTCTAATTGTTTGGTTATTATAAAATTATTTCTGTATGACTCTGTTTCCACTTTTAGATTATATTTTTCACAAGGACAAGACCATGACATTTTCTACTATCTCCATACCCTCTCTTAAATATTTATTGAATTGAATAAAATAACTTAATGTTTAATAGTTTCGTATTACTTTGTAACTCTCACACACACATTGTTAATTTATTTCTGTGCATTGCTTGATATTCACAGAGTTTTAATATCTTCTCTATAGCAAATTTCATACTGTTTTCAATGTTCAGTTACACTTTTTTATTTTTGAATTCTTCCTAGATTTTGCTTCCGGCTTTTGTCCTTGAACTTCAAAATATAAGAGGAAGACTTTCATTTGATAATCAATTCAAAAGAAAAGTCTTTCATACTGAGAGCCTACAAAAGTTTTTGTATTAGTAGGTACTCTGTATTTTAACAAAAATTCAACATTAAGAAAGATTATTTTTCTCTCTTTTTTGTATATTTGTACACCACAAAATAGATGGCATATATGACACGTTTCCACTGTTTCATACGTTCATGATCTAATCTTGGCTGTAGTCCCAAAATCCGTTTGTCAGCAGCCTGCTGCTTAAATCTAATGCCCTTTTCTCCCATTCATCTTAGTTGAGATAGAATTATTGACAGAAATGATTTCTAGAGGGAAATTAAGAATGATAATTAATGTGGTGCCCCTTACAGTTACTAAATGGCATGTCTGTCTCTATTTGTGTTGGGGGAGGTGTAGTAACTTCATCCAATTTAAATGAATCAGTATAAAATTTGGCACCAAGACATACAACTCAGAGACCTTATTAAATACAAGGATGATGCTACATTACATTTAAGCAGTACCTGTTGAAAATTAACACCTAATAGGGTGCAATTGCTTCACAGTTTCCTCAAGAGGAAATCTGCCTTATCTCTTTAATTCAATTCATTTTGCTTTGAATAATTTCATGTATATTATTCAGCTTCTGGCTCTAAACAGTGGCAAAAGTATTTATTCGTTAGAAAGTAAGTGCCTTGGTTGTTGAGCAATCCTCTTATACACCAGACACATTTTCCCCTGCTATAGACTTTTTCTTCAAATACCTACTTGCATTTTATTTTGTGGATATTTCACATAATTAATTATTTAGCATCAAATTGATCAGCTTGGAATAAAGGACTAAATATAAGCAAATATATTTATATTTTAAATTAATTTTAGTTTTTATTTGGCATTGATATGGTTTGTGTCTCTTGTCCATTTGTAATCCCCAGTGTTAGAGATGGGAGGTGATTGGATCATGGGGACAGATTGCTCAAGAATGGTTTAGTATCATCACCTTAGTGCCATCCTCACCGGTGAGTGAGTTATGAGATCTGGTCATATAAAAGTGTGTAGCACCTCCCCTCTCTCTCTTGCTTCTGCTTGGACTGTGTGATGTGCCTGTTCCTTCTTCACCTGCTGCCATGATTGTAAGTTTCCTGAGGCCTTCCCAGAAAGCCTAACAGAAACCAGCATCATGATTCCTGTATAGCCTGCAGAACTGTAAGCCAATGAAACCTCTTTTCTTTGAAAATTACCTAGTCTCAGGTGTTTCTTTATAGCAATGAGAGAATGGCCTAATACAGATATAATTTACACATATTGTTTAAATGGTCAAATAGCATTCCAAGGTTTCACTCTTTCCTCCTAAATTCCCATCCCCAGGGCTGATGTTTGGTGGGTGTATCCTGGAGCAGTCTTGCTGATTGTTTATGGACAGAGACTATTGGATTAGTTGGCATATATGTAAGTTATTGGTTGTTAAATATTTTAATATTCAGCCTTACTCATCCCCCTCCCTCGTTCTCATTCCAAGGGAACTTCTATGAAGAATTAGAGATACATGATGGATGAAAAGGAAAAATGAGGCCATTATTATTCCAGAAAAATGGCAAAATGCTATACAAGAAAGGAAATACATTTTCAATAAACTTGTTTTAGCAAGTAACATTATTTATATAGTCATGACAGTATTAAAGCTGAATATTGATTTACCTCAGAGCCATGATATAACTATATTGGGAACGACACAAGAAAAGAAAATGGTGTGGTCATGGTATTAAAAGTGGTTAGATGACATAAAAGGCAAATAATTAATAGTGTCTAAAATTGATCAAGCAGCCATATAAACAGATTGCTTAGAAATATGAAAGTACATAGCAGAAGAAACAGCTAAAGAATTTATTTCCTCTCTGCTCAGTTAAAAATACACTTTTTAATTCTTTTAGTGATAACACTAGAAATCAAAATTTGCATACTTAATTCACTAAGTCCAAACATACTCAATACTTTTGTCTTTCTCTCAGACAATATTAGAACTGTAGATCATTTTATTTCCACTTAATGCCCCTTTCTAGACTTACATGTTATTGATTTATATACTTTAATCTTAATATTTAACTATAAAACATATTATTGTTTTATATGACCATTCTTCATTTTTCACTTACCTTTCTCTCCATTCCTAGGATTACCATCCTTCTGCCTAAAGTACTTGCTTTACAATTGCTTTTTATGAGACAAGGTATGCCTTAGCTTGGGTGAAAGATAGTGTTTGTGCTGGGCACTGGTAATCTTTTATGCAGAAGAAATCTTACAAGGCAGCATTTTAAAATAAAACATAAAGAAGTAGAGCTTTCCTGATTGATTTGAGTTAGGAACCTAAAATCCTGTTTAGGCTTTGATTTACTCATTTGTAAATTGAAGCTACAGCACAAAATGGCCATTTTTTCTCATCTACAATTTTCAATTCTTCAGCTATCTAAGATCTCTTCACTCTTCAGTATGATCTATCAATTTACCATTATCTACAAATTGAATGACCTTCTATTTCTTTCATTCATATATAACTCCTTTATTTATTATCTTCCCAAATAAATAGCCACAGGGTAAAAAAGGGAAGGAAGCATAATGCCATATCATGGATGTAAAATGTTGCCAGTGACTTCTCTCCTTATCTCAGACTGTTGGTACTTTTAGTGGTGATGGTGAAGCTAGTTTCTTACAGCTTCTGTTTCTCACTGGAGCCCAAGGTTTTGGAGGACTCACATAGCAGGCTTCATGCAATACTATTGTGTCCCTAAACCCCAGGGGACAGCACTAATATTGTTTTCTAGGTGAATAGTGCCCTGTGGAACTCCAGGAACTTCAAAACATTTATATCCAGGCTTTTGCTACATTTTGATTAACAACCCTTAACACTGTGCAACATGGCACCCTAGTCCCGAGTGAGAATCCACCTGCCCAGAGGTAAAGTCCTGCACAAATTCTTTTTTCTCTTTAAATGACAAAAAGAACAAAGCAAAGATGGTAAACAAGACACAGGGAAAGAGAAATGAAAGTTGTTTTGCTTTGTTTTTATTTTTTGCTTCGTTTTGTTTTTAAAGATGGAGTCTTTCTATGTTTCCCAGACTAGTCTTGAACTCCAGACTCCTGAGTAGCTGGGACTCCAAGGGCATGTCATCATCAAACAAGCTCAGTCAAGTTTTGACTCCTGGTTATAGTTCCAGTCATGAGAGCAGACTTTAGGAAATCACAAGATGCAAGCTCAATTAATAGCATGGTACTCTCCTAAAATCATTAGAGCAGCAACCATAACAATGGGGATGTATTGCCTGCTGCAGCTGTTTTATTTCTGGAAGCTCACTTCACTCCCAAATGGGAAAAAAATACAACACAATTACTTGACTTTCCTTTCCATTTCCTGTCTAAAAATTTTTCTTTTGCTTTGCTGAAGGAAAAAAAAAAAACCAGCATTGATTGATACAGCTGTATGTTCACAGTAGGTGATGCAACTGAGCTATTTTCACTAATAATACATGCATCCACTGAAGGGGTATTTTTTGAAGGAAGAAAAGGCATTTTCACAATCAATCAAATCCTGTTTCAATTTTTTCCTATGTAGTAAAGTTAGAATAACAGATATCCTGAAAAACTATGTAAATGACATCCTTTTTTTTCCATTTGTCTACCCATAGATTTCTTCAGAAGTGTGGGCTCTCAGGAATAAATAAGACAACTATGTCATTGGGTTGACTCCATTTTTTCTTTTAAAATTTTTGATTATCTCTCTATAGAAAGAAAAGAAATAATTTGATGTGATTTATTATAAGGAAAAGTAACTTTCGAAATCTTCCAATCAAAGTTATTATTCTGAGCTTTTAATCCTTTTAGGGGACTGAGGCACTTACTTTTCTGCCAGCTTTCACTGTTGCTGCCTGCATTTCTATCCCTCCATCCTTAATGATACTGCATCTTATTTATCATTTGTCCATTCCTGAGGCACCTTTGATTCCTTACTGTTTTATGTAATACATTTTGTCACCCACCTCTTCTGATTCTATATGTACTCATTTTCATTTGAACAGTTAAATATGGTTAAAAATCTCACACAACTGCTACTGAATTTAAAGACAGAGAAAACATACACACGCTTGTTCTGACTACCATTGGTAAACAAAGTGAAATGGACATATTGTACAATGTATGCATCTATTTAATTTTCAGATAGGACAACATATTTTGAAGATGAAAGTCATGAAATGGTCTCTGTTAACTACCTACATTAGTTAATCTGAAATGTACCACAGATTCAAATATGTGTACAAATATCTAGATTTATTCCATAACCTTCCTCACTGGTTACAAAATATTTTAGTGACTTCTGTATCAAACTAACCATGTAATCTTTTAGTGGTTAAATTTTTAACCACTAATCTAATAGATCTTAACCACTAATATGACTTGATCCCTAAGTTATATTTCTATCCACATTTTAAATATTTGCAAATATAAACTATGCACCCATTTTCTTCAAAGGTTACAATAGTATTTATAAGGGAGCACTAAAAAGTGTCTTGTTTCATGGTGTAACAAATAATTGTAAACTGTCTTCTAATCATTTATTTCTCTTTTCTCAATTTCCAAAAGTCCTTAATTTCCACTGAGTGATACTTGCAGTGTTAGAGAAACTGCTTCCACCCTGGGCTACGGTAGTGGAATATGTAGACTACAGTATCTCATTCCATATTCCTACCCCAAGTCAGAGTAATGTGTGATTTAACCTGTTCTAATTAAGGTAAATAACAGAAATTCTGCTGGGTATATTGGGGTTAAGATGCATATACTTTATCTCTCATTATTATTATTTTTTAAATAAGTAACATAGAATATGCAGAATTTTTTGATCTGAAGATGTAGACTGGGCCACGATGAGGACCAATACCACTTGTATTAGTCAGCTTGCATTAGGTTATGATGCATAGCAAGTATCTCTTAAATCTGAATTGCTTATGACAACAAAGTTATTTGGTTTCTCTCATTACTTGTAATCCGTAGGCCACTGCTAAACAGAGATAACCCAAGTCTACTCTTTTTCTATGAGTCTTTTTTCATTTGAGAATTCAGGTGGAAGGAGCAGTCTCTATTTGGGCCATGCAGTTCTCATGGAATAAATAAAATAGCTGCTAAGTGAGCCCAACCACTTGAGTGCTCAAAGTTTCTGTTCAGTCATGGTGTACTTCACATCCATTCACCTTCCATTAGCCAAAGCAAATCACACAGTGAACTCCAAGATTAACTGGGCAGGGTAATTAAGATGTTAATAAGTAAAGTCAGTTTGCCTTTATGTATAGCTGCTATAACTTTCCGAAATTTTGGACCTACCACGAGATAATGGTTATTAAAAAGTAAAGTACAGTTAAATGTTATTAAAAGTTGGATTTTAGTTTTAATTACTCGGAGAAAAATGATGTCACTTTAAATAATGATTTGACTTTGGTTTTAATGAGATAAATTTGCAGTAAGGAGTTCTGAAACATCCAGTGGAACTTCTCTAAATTTACCAAATGTTTCTCCAGATGTCTATTAAGTGTCAAATTGAACTTGCAAATTATTTTGCTTCACGTGGGGTTTTTAATTGAAGAATCACTCATTTTCTTCTTTCTTCAAAATCTGTGACATTTGGTAGTTGATAGTATTACACAGGAAAATTTCCTTTCAATAAATTTATGTTTCCAGTATAATCAAGAAATACTTTTTTTTCCAGTATAATCAAAGCATGCCCTTGCAGATTTCAACATGTACATGTGATGGTGAATGACACCTATTTTAAATAAAGTTTCCATGTTGCTTTATCAACAGATTATGTAAATTAAAAATTATTCAGTTAACCACATATTTTATTTTAAAATGAAAAGAACATTGCTATGTATATTACAAAATTCTTAAGGCATATGTGAGTCCAGATTTGTTTGCTTGTTTAAATATAACTTCCTGAAGCAAATTTGGCAAATACGTGTCTGAAAATTATACCTGAAATTCTGCCATATAAATTAAAGATAGAGGTAATAAAATAACATATTTTGTATTGCTTTATGTATTAATTTAAAAACTAACAATTGTATGGTCTGTTATATCATCTATCATGTGATTATAGAAGGCTTAGAAATAAGTAAAAGGGAAGAAAGTCATGGAACTAAGCCAGAAGTGGAAGTGCAGACAGACAGGGGTATCAGGTGGCTTACATAATCAACAGAAAGGATGAGAACCAAGACTGAGCAGGATCTTGGTTGTGCAAAAAACTCTGCACAGATAAGATTTTGTTATAAGAAGTGTTTGTTTGCTTAGGGCATCACTTTTGGCATAATTGTCCCTGCTCATGTGACATTTCTGGCCCTGATGCCACTGGACAATTAGCTGATATGCTGCTTGCCTACATCTTTGAATATTTGATTTACATCATGTCACTAGGCTGTCAACTCTTGGTAGCTGCTTCACAGAGCCCCTGTTTGGCCCTTTATCTTTGTGTCACTCCCCCAGTTTTCTTTTTCTTCCGTAGCAGCTACTAAGTTGCTGTGTTGACTCACATGCCTAACTCTAGCTGCTAAATCATGTTGAGAGAGACATATTTTCACATACTGTAGAGGTGGGAGGAAATTGCTTGCCATACTGAATATTTGCATGCTGGGCAGACAAGACAATAATACACTGTCTACCACTGTCACTTTTGGTATTATCACACAAATATGGGATCATTAGCATTTTTGTTTATATATTTCTAATCATTTGTATTATAATTAGTACATCAAACAAAACATTTTCTTAAAATCTTAGTTTAATAAAACAAAACAAAGTTAAGAGATTAAAAACTGGAGGTTATCTGCACCATATATGATAAAAATATTAATGATCTTAATACATACAAAAATTTCAAAATCAATAAGATAAAACAAACATTCCAATTACAAATTGACAAAGGACATGGACAAGCAATTCTAAAGGGAAATGTAAAAAGCTATTAAACATGTGACAACATGTCAACATAACTGGCATTCAAAAACACACACATACACAAAGCAATGATTTTTCACATTTTTTGTCAATCTATGAAATATTAAAAAGATTGACAATATTCAATGTCAGTAAAGACATGAGGAAACCAGCATTCAGACTAAATTGATACTTTCAAGGAAAAAGTTTGTTAACAAATGTAAACTAGTAAAACATAAATGTGATATCCTATTTTCCAGGAATTTATAATAAGAAAAACATCAAATAAATATGGGATAATACATGCCAAAAAATATTCATTATAATATTGTTTATAATAAAGAATTAAGCTAAATGACAAATAAAAAATTTAGGGGAGAAGTCCTAGCTAAAGCAATCAGACAAGAAAGAGAAATAAAGAGCATCCAAATTGGAAAGAAAGAAGTCAAATTATCCTTGTTTGCTGATGATATGATCTTACATTTGAAAAAACCTAAAGACTCTACCAAAAAATTATTAGAACTGATAAACAAATTCAGTAAAAGTGCATAAAATCAACATATGAAAATCAGTAACATTTCTGCATGCCGGCAGTGAAAAATCTGAAAAAGAGAAGGAAAAGATGTCTACAATGAAAACTATAGATCATTGATGAAATAATTGTAGGAAGACACAGAAAAATGGAAAGATATTCCACGTTCATGGGTTGGAAGAATCAATATTGTTAAAATGTCCATACTACCCAAAGCAATCTGCAGATGCAATGCAGTCCTTATCAAAATGCCAAATAACCGTCTTCCCAGTAATATAAAAACAATCCTAAAATTTATATGAAACCAAAAAAGACAGATAATGGCCAAAGCTTTCCTGAGCAAAAAGAACAAAACTGGAGAAACAAATCACCTAACTTCAAATTATACTAGAAATCTATGGTAACCAAAACAGCACAGTATTGCCATAAAAATAAGCACCTAGACCAATAAAATAGAATAGAGAACCAAGAAACAAATCCATACATCTATTGTGAACTCATTTTCAACAAGGGTGCCAAGAATATACATTGAGGGAAGGACAGTCTCTTCAATAAATAGTGCTGGGAAAACTAGATATTTGTATGCAGAAGAATGAAACTAAACCTCTATTTCCTGTCATATACAAAAATCAAATCAAAATAGATTAAAGACTTACATCTAAGACCTCAAATTCTGAAACTACTTAAAGAAAACATTGGGGTCACTCACTAGGACATTGGACTGAGCAAAGATTTCTTGGGTAATACCCTACAAGCATAGGCAATCAAAGCAAAAAAGGACAAATGAAGTCACAAAAAGTAAAAAGCTTCTGCACAGCAAAGGAAACAATCAACAAAGTGAAGAGACAACACACAGAATGGGAGAAAATATTTGCCAGCTATCTGTCTGACAAGGAATTAATAATCAGAATATATAAAGAACTCAAACAACTCTAAAGGAAAAATCTGATAATCCAATTAAAGAATGGGAAAAAGATCTGAATAGACATTTCTCAAAAGAAGACATGCAAATGGCAAAGAGATACAAGAAAAGCTGCTCAACATCACTGATCATCAGAGAAATGCAAACGAAAACTACAATGAGACATCATTTCATTCCAGTTAAAATGGCTTTTATCCAAAAGACAGGCAATAACAAATGCCGGTGAGGATGTAGAGAAAAAGGAACACTGTACACTGTTGGTGGGAATATAAACTAGTCCAACCACTATGGAGGACAGTTTGGAGGTTCCTCAAAAAACTAAAAATAAAACTACTACATGATCCAGCAATCCCACTGCTAGGTATATATCCAAAAGGAAGGAAATCAGTATACCGAAGAGATATTTTCACTTCCAATGTTTATTACAGCACTATTCACAATAATCAAAATTTGGAAACAACCTAAGTGTCCATCAACAGACAAACAGATAAAGAAAATGTGGAACATACATACAATGGAGTATTATTTGGCCATAAAAAAATAAGAGCCTGTCATTAGCAACAACGTGGATGGAAGTGGAAGTCATTATGTTAAGTAAAATAAGCAAGGCACAGAAAGACAAACTTTGCGTGTACTCCCTTATTTAGGGGGAGCTAAAAGTTAAAACAATTGCACTCATGAAGATAGAGAATAGTATGATGATTACCAGAGGCTGTGAAGGGTAGTTGTGGGGAGAGGGTAAAGCAGGGATGGTTAATAGGTACAAAAAAGTAGAATGAATGAGATCTAGTGTTTGATAGCACAATGGAGTGACTACAGTCAACAATAATAACTAAAAGAGTATAATTGGATAGTTTGTAACTCAAAGAGAAGATAAATGCTTGAGGGGATGGATACTCCGTTTACCCTGTTGTGGTTATTATATATTGTATGCCTGCATCAAAATATCTCATGTACTCCATGAATATATATATCAACTATGTACCCACAAAAATTAAAAATAATTTTTAAAGAAATATATTGAAGAGAGAGAAAGAGAGCGAGAGAGAAAGACATGTTTACAAGTTGGTTCAAAGAAAATATACACTGGTTACTTTCAGTTAATGGGGTGGCGAGTGAATTTTATTTTCTTCTTTGTATCTTATTGCTTAAATTTCCTATGTGAATATGTATTCTTTTCATAATTAGAAAAATAATCTTTCAATTTTATCTAGAATTATGGAAAAGATCATTAAATTATATTGTAAATTTGGTTCTCTTTATGTTTCTGAGTCTTTATTTGTCTCTAAAGTGAGAATTTGAGGATATATGATGAATTGTTTTCATGGCCCCATCAGTCTCCAACATGTTTACTCTACACACTGTTTCGAACCCTAGTATGTCTTCTTCAGAAGGAGAAATGTAATAAAATGTGGTAGGATTGAAAGAGGATGTTCACTTGGAAGGTGACTCCTGATTATTTCTAGAAGATCTTGTATGTGATGTGAAATCAGACACGTTAGTAAGGGTGGGGAACACGAGGTACCTCTTAGAAATGCAGTTCTTCTGTAAAACTTTGGAGTTGATGTTAAATGGCTGCAGAAGTCTGAAAGCCAACATCAATAACATTTTTTATTCTCAGATAAACTGCTGGGGAAGAAGTTGAGGTGGAACTCAAGATTACCAGAGAATTTTCAAAAGACATTAACTGACAAGAGATGAAATCTAAAGAGCCGATAAACATATAAAAACATTCTCGAATTTAGCCACTTCTGACATGACTTTTATCACCCAAATTTAGGCCTACCTCTATTTTTGTAAATAAAATTTTATTGGAACACACAAACAAAACTCAAAACATTCTCAGCCTCATTAGTAATAAAACACATGTAACTTTAAATTACAATGAGCTACCCTAACACATGTATTAGATTGACCAAAATTAAATAACCAGAAATACCAAGTGTTGGTACAAATATAAGGCAATGGGAACATGCATACTCTGTTGGTGTATTGTAAGCTGGTCCAATGACTCTGGAAAACAGGTTAGTCATTACCTAGAAAAATTAAAGATATATATATATATCTCCTATGACTTAGCAAACCCACTTCAAGTTGCATACTCTAGAGGAAAACTTGTTTGTCTACAACACGTTTATAGCAATCTTTTAAAATAATAGTCCAAACTAGAAACAACTCAAATTTGCATTAGTAGTAAAATTTAACATTCTGGTATATTCATAAAATAGAACACTATATGATACAATCCCTAACATGAATGGACATATACAAAGTACTGAGGAAAAGAAGAAAGTCAACAGAATATGTGCAGTATGATTTAAATTTTATATTACTGAGAAGACAGAAAAAATAAACTTTATTGTTTAGAGATTCATACAAAGGAAAACAATAATAAATTATTCATAGAAATCATAATAATGATTATCTCTTGTGGGAAGAGAGATAAATGTAACAAGAAAGGTCAAACAGGAGGCTTTAAAATGCTGACAACAATCTATTTCTAAAACCTGGGTTGGTTAAAATTGCTTTTGTAATTTACTTATGTATACATTTCTGATTTTTATCATATATTTTAAAATTAAAAACCTTTAGCTAGGCATGGTGGCTGTGCATGTAATCCCAGCTACTTGAGAGGCTGAGGTGGGAGGACTACTTGAGCCCAGGAATTTGAGACCAGCCTGGGTAAAATAGGAAGACCCTGTATTTAAAAATAAACAAACACAAACACACACACATATTTAAAATAGACCTATGGAGAAAAAATATGATAATTACTTCTACATGCTTCTCTTATGTTTTCTTTTTCCGATACTGGTCGTCTTTAGTAGATACACAAGAGTTGTAGGTTAGGGTGAGAGTAAGTGGTTAAAGTTATAGGAGAATGGTATAGCTAAAACACTCTGAGCAGGTGCCACATCTCAGTTGAGAAATGTGTAGATAAAGTCCTAATTTTGCAGCATCAGAGAACACATGTAAGAGGCATACAGCAAGATTGAAGCTGCAATACCTAGGAAAAATAAAAATCAAGAAAATAAATTGAGAAGGATGTGAATTCTACTATTGTGAGATGGAGCGTTCTATAAATCCAGTATGCTAGGTCCAATACGTTAATGACATTGTCTAGTTCTTTTATAACTTTGCTGAATTTCTGTCTCCAACTATAATTGTGGATTTGTCTATTTCTTCTATTGATTCTGTCAGTTTTTCCTGCATCTGTTTTGTAGCTCTTTGGTTAGGTATATACACATTTAGGATTGGTATATCTTTTGGTGAGCTAAAACTTTTGTCATTATATTGTTAGAGTAGGTAGTCAGGCAGACATGAGCAGCGCGGGAGAAGGCCCCCCCGGCCCATGCTCATCCCTGACCAGGAATGTCAGGCAACCATCAGGTGATGGTCAAGTGGTTGTAAAACTGCCTCTCTAAAATAATAATTGGTTGCAGCCAATGCCAGGTAAAGACAGTCTCCCAAGAGCTAGAAAACACCTGAAACTGGTGATCAGTAGCTTCCCAATAAGATCTCAGGAATTGGGCAAGTGGGCTCAAGCATGTGCACCAAGAGGCAAAATGGCTGAGTTTAACCAGTATACGACCTTCCTCAGGGAACACTTGACTGGTAAGGGAAAAATACCTTAAGCGAGCATGTGCACAATTTCAATAAACATACCGAGCATGTGGCCACTGCTCATGTGGACAGCCTGCTCCAAGGGAAGAATCAAGGGAGAAGAAATGCAAACCTGGGACGATGCCAATGTGTAAAACCCCAAGTCAAAGGCCAGACGAGGCGCTTGGATCTCTCAAGTCACCTGCTTGGCCCTCTTCCAAGTGTACTTTACTTCCTTTCATTCCTGCTCTAAAACTTTTTAGTAAACATTCACTTTTGCTCTGAAACTTGCCCTGGTCTCTCCTTTTGCTTTAAACCTACTTCTGTGCCTCAGCCAAATTATTTCCTCTGAGGAGGGAAGTATAAAGTTGCTACAGACCAGACCCATATGAATTCACCACTGGTAACAATATAGTGCCCTTCTTTATCCTTGATAATTTCTTTGCTCCAAAGATGATTATATTTTAATAAAGCCAAATATATTCTTTAATTATTTTTTCCAGCTACTTTTGATTAGTGTTTAATAGTATGTCTTTTTCCATTCTTTTAATTTTAACCTACCTACATTATATTTGAAGTTTTTTTTTAAATAAACAATATGTAGTTGGGGTCATGTTTGTTTTTACATTCTGATAATCTGTGTCTTAAATTATAAGTTTATTGATTTAACAGTATATGATATTTGATATGATTGAATTTAGATATATCACATTATTATTTGTTTCATGTTTCTCCCCTCTGTTTTTCATCCTTCTATTTTACGTTTCTGGCCTTCTTTTGAGCTAGTTGAACTTTTTTTAGCGTTTAGTTTTATTTATGTTTTGTGATTTTGACTATATCTCTTTGAATTTTTTCTTTTTTGTTTCAGTGGATGCTCCACGGATTATAAAGTACTTATTTAACTTTTCATTGTTTACTTAGAATTAATATTTTATTATTTCAATGGGAACATTTAGCCCTCCCATTTACACTATAGTTATGCTTACATACTATGTCTTCATAAATTGAGAATGTCTTTATTTCACCTTCATTCCTGAGGGATATTTTTGCTGGATAATGACCTGGATTACCAGTTCTTTGCTTTCAACACTTTAAAAATGCTGTGCCAGTAGTTCCTGCTCAAGTCAATATCATTGAAGGCTTGTAGGTGAGGGATTTTTCAGAAGCATTTTGGGAAAAGGAGTGGGGCTGCCTAGGCAATGGGTGCTTGCTGCCGATAGGCCGCAGCAGAGATTAAATCATAGCAGGTCAAAGCTGTCCTCTTGAGCTGAATAGCTCATTGGTGGGGCCACAGGGGGGGTTTGGTGGGTCGAGGTGGAGCCATCAGTGTCAGACATGCAAAAAACTTAAAAAGATATCTCAAAAGGCCAATGTACAATAGTGATGTTATCTGCAGGAGTAATTGGAGAAGTTGCCTATCTTGTGACCAGTCTACACCTTAGCAGAGTTCAGGCTCCTCTCTTCCCCGTAGCCTGGTGGTCTTTCATTAGCTTTACAAAGGCAGCTTAGTTTTGGGCAAAGGCTATTATCTTTTTTATTTTATTTTTTTTTTTGAGACGGAGTCTTGCTCCGTCGCCCAGTCTGGAGTGCAGTGGCGCGATCTCGGCTCACTGCAAGCTCCGCCTCCCAGGTTCACGCCATTCTCCTGCCTCAGCGTCCCAAGTAGCTGGGACTACAGGCGCCCGCCACCACACCCGGCTAACTTTTTGCGTTTTTGGTAGAGACGGGGTTTCACTGTGTTAGCTAGGATGGCCTCGATCTCCTGACCTCATGATCCGCCTGCCTCGGCCTCCCAAAGTGCTGGGATTACAGGCGTGAGCCACCGCGCCCGGCCGGCTATTATCACTTAAACTATAACTTAAATGTCTTCCAAAGTTAGCTTGGCCTAAGTCTAAGAATAATTAAGGCAGCTTGAAACCTAAAGGCAAGAGTGGGGGTTGGTTGAATCAAATCTCCCCCACTGCCATATTTTCTCTCTGATATAATTTTTGCGAAGGTAGTTTCATAATCAATCTTCCTGCATTTCTACTTCAATGATGCTATTGTAGAGACTCAGTATTGAAGTAAATATTACTGAAACTTAGTGGGATGGGAATTAAGACTGAAATTTCCAGCTCCTTCTAAATGTTTGAGTCAGTGTATCTGGACTATAGCCTAGTTATTATATGCATTTAAAATAATCTTCCCAGATAATCTAAACTTGGTGGTCTAAGATGCTACAGTGTAAATTCTACAGAAATGGGTAAAAACGTGTATAATATTTAAAAACATTATCAGAATCACCTGAAAATATTTTTTTACAAGTATAGACTTAATGCCTCCTACTACTTCTAGTACATTAGACTTTTTAGTGATGTGCTCCAGAGATCTGTCATTGCTGTTGCTGTTGTTTTCAAGGTCCTCAAAGGATACTGTGATTATCTAGATTTGAGAATAACTGCTTTATATTATCTTCTTAAAAATTACTGATTTCATTTAGGAGCTATATAATTAAAAAAAAACTGCTTGAGATCACTGGGGAGTAATAGATATTTTGGGTATTTAATTAAATGGGGAAATTAATACATTAAATATATAATAAGAAAATGACACTTTATTATGTGAAAATAAAAAAAACAACTTACCATTTTTTTGTTCAAATAGAAAGCATTCCATATTCACACATTATAATAAAACCAAATTGTAGCCAGGAGAATATATTTTGTTTTCCATTTTGCAAAAATATATGCCTTCACTTCATCCATTTTACATACAAAATGATGGAGCTCTAACTTAAAAAGGAAGAGAGTGAAGGAACATCAGTTTTCTTCATGTATTTAAGCCTTTAATATTGGAATCTTCTCAGTCTTCACTTGGGATATATATAGTCACAGAAGGGTTGAGACTGGGTTGGTGCCATCCATCTCAGTTCAAAGAATTTATTATTTCTAGGGTCCCTAAAGCTTTCATACCTAGCTATGAAACCTAGCTATAGTTTGCTAGGTTAAAACAGAAAACATTAAAACAGAAATTCACTAAAAAACACAAAAGGTAAATAAATTAAGAAAAGCTTTTATCTGTCATAGTGGCACAAATTAAAAGATTGATAATTTTTTTGACAACGATATAAACAAATGGACATAGTCATTAACACTGGTTGAGGTATAATTCCATATTATTTTTGGAGGGCAATTTGGCACTATGTATTAAACCTGAAAATATGCCTAATTTTTGATTCAACAATTCTACTTTAAGGAATTAATCCTACAGAAATACTGCCAATATTGCCTAATAAATTTGTACATGGCAGTAAATATATATTGTAGTATATTTTATAATGGCAAAAATTGTAAGTAAAGTAGGTTCATCAGAAAAAGATTAAATAAATTGTGGTACAACTATATGATGGTATACAATGTAATGAGAAAAGAATAAGATAGCTTGAAATGTTTGAACACAGAGGCAAATAGGCTGCTGATAATTTAAATAAAAGCATTTGTAGAACAATATTTACCATGTAAGCCCACTTTTGAAAAATATGAATATGTACAATCATAAGAGAAATAGGCAAATACATCTATATAGATACATATGTAACAAAATATTAAAAAATGTTACTTTTGGAAAGTAGGATTGTAATAGGACTATTCTGTTTCTAATATATCCATTCCTGTATTGTTTAAATTTTTATAGCAAGCATGTGTTAGTTTCATAAGAAAATACTTACAAAGGAGAAAAATGGAAAAAAAAAAAGAAAGATTAATGGCTTGCTGCCATCTGGGAATGCCACAAGGCTCTGTCTTCTGCCTTCATACTGTTGAAAAATGTTATCAATTATTTGGGTGAAGTCATATATGACAAGCTTATCATACTTTCAGATGGAAAAAAAATTGGAAGGGATAGTTAATAGCATAGTTGATTGAGTCAAGTGTTATCATAACCAGAACTAGAATGTTGTGTTGAAACTAACAAAAAATTAACAGGGATAAATATAATTTACTCCATTTAGGCATAAATAATTGGTTGATTTAGTTTAAGATATAGAAATATCTGGCTTGTATTTCGTGTGGAAGGAGATTTAGTTTCCCTCAGCTCACTACAAACTGAAGATTGACACGCTTACAATTTTAGGCTATCCAGGTCTCAGGAGTGTTTGTGGTGCTTTGTGCTTGTCCACCAGGGTGATCTTGTTCTATTCAGAGTGTCATATCTTTAGAGAAACATTGCAAAATTAGAGCATATACAGAGAACAGGGATCAAAGTGGTGAAGGATCTATAAAACTGTGCCACAAATTTGAGTTCTTTAACTTAGAAAAGAAAGAATTAAGGTGACACAGGACAGTGGAATTCTAATATTTGGAGGTTGCCTTATGATAATATTTTTCTTTTTGAGGAAAGACCAGAAATTATACCAATTAGAGAAACAACAATGTGAGCTCACCTTATGAAAGAAGAAACTCATTAGCCAGGCATGGTGGCGGGTCCCTCTAATCCCTGCTACTAGGGAGGCTGAGGCAGGAGAATCACTTGAACCTGGGAGGCGGAGGTTGCAGTGAGCCAAGATTGCATCACTGCACTCCAGCCTGGGCGACAGAGCAAGACCCTGTCTCAGGAAAAAAAAAAAAAAAAAAGAAACTCCCAGTTCTTGGATATCTGAGCAGAAACTAGCAATGTACACAGACCCTGGAAAATGTATTCTGAATTTGGGTGTGTTGAATTAGGTATTTTCTAATTTTTTAAAAAATAACTGCAATCTAGAATTCTAAAAGAATGATTATGGAATATTTTATGTAAGTGAAATAGATGGTTAAACTTGTAACATTTTTAGAAACATGCATTTTGTAAAAACATAAAAATATATATCAGAAATAATGAATGAAATACAGTTGGAATACAGTTCACAGTTGTTTAAATTTATATAGATACATGTTAGAATCATAGCATTTGAAAAATAAGCTTTGTGCAGATGAGTAATATCTTGTGTATCTTACTGTATGTATATAGTTTATATACTTATATATGTATATAAGATATAGATATATCTTACTATATGTAAGATAGTTCCTAGAACACAGTAGGTACTCTACTTTTTTTTTTAAGGATAAAAAGAAATGGCCTTAGTATCAAAATCAGAACTGGAGTGACAGAGGGATAAGATAGATGTGGCAGCAAGGGGAAGGGAATATGTTGGAATGTCTAAGATTAGAAATCTAGGTATGTCTGCAGTATTAGATAAAGAATTTATACCAGGAATATGGGAAATTTGAACACAGGTATTAAAATTAAATCTAAATTGATAAATTTCGTTTACGGAGGAATATATAGGCAGATTTTGAGGATTAGCCAATACTCTGATTTAAGTTCAAATCAAGGGTGTCAGTGCAGTAGGAAAGAGAATAGATTATAACTTTGATGATCTAGCATCTGCTTTTTGATATTTATCTAGGAGAAGATATTGCATATTTTTCCAAGGGACAGTCAAGCTAAAGATTAGGAAATCCAGTTTCTTAGTATCTTGAAGTACCAAATACAGACTAAGTCACCTCACAATCAGTGATTCAGCTATTAAAATTAAGAGAGGCCAACACTCAGGAGGGTTTAATGATAAATAATGACCCAAAGCTTCTGACACTACATCTTGCGCTAATAAATGGGGGTGAGGCCACTAAATATTCATGGGAATGTTAGTAATTCTAGTTTAGACTTAGAGAGCTATAGGTTCAGGGAATTAAGCAGACTATTATACCCTCATTTTAACAATGAGGATTGTTATATTCAGACTATCAATGGTTGGTTGGGCAATAATAGTTCCTGAGTTTTTGCTTTGTTTTCAATATGCAAAATCTTAGGGTGACAATTGTATGTAGTCTTTTGGTAAATTTTAAAAATTAGGCCGGGCATGGTGGCTCACGCCTGTAGTCCTAGCACTTTGGGAGGCTGAAGCGGGTGGATCACCTGAGGTCAGGAGTTCGAGACCAGCCTGACCAACATGGTGAAACCCAGTCTCTACTAAAAAATACCAAAAATTAGCCGGGCACAGTCATGGGTGCCTGTAATCCCAGCTACTCAGGAGGCTGAGACAGGAGAATTGCTTAAACCTGGGAGGCGGAAGTTGCAGTGAGCCAAGATCGTGCCATTGCACTCCAGCCTGGGTGACAAGAGCAAAACTCCATCTCAAAAAAAAAAAAAAAAAAAAAAAAAAAAAAATATATATATATATATATATATATAACTCAAATAAGAAAAAGAGTTTTTCTCTAGCTTTCTGGTCAAGTTCACACACAATATTAGTGACAAATTTATTATTCCAGTGAAGATTGAGATTATTCTAATTAAGTACTGAAAAAAGTAGAACAATTTGGTTATCAAGAGAAAATAAGATAGCATTTATGTGCTCCCTCCAATGTTAAAAATATAATGCTTTAATAAAAAGAGAAAATACATCATTGAGCATTTTGTTTTCCTGAAGGAACTAAGCTATGCAGTGTTTAGAGCCCAACAATATTAAAACACACTTTAATATCCATAGTAACCAGTGACCTATGGCATATTTTTGTTTGAAGAATATATTCAAAGTATACTCTTTCCAATTGAGACAGCAATTATCCATTGCACTAGAAAACAAACAAAAACACTAAGAAAAGGTAGCAAAAAGACAAAATATTATGAAGAGAAAAACTATAGAAACAAAATTTCAAATGTGTTTTCGAATTAATACCACCTATATTAAATTACTATGAATTTTTGATACTCAAAGTATGGTCCATGAAACACCCTGGACCTATTGAATCAGAGTCCACATTTTAACATTATCCCCAAGTGCATGCACATTTAGATTTAAGAAATACTGCTGTAAACAATTTATATTATTGTAAAATCTCACTCAATTTCTGCCATCTTAGAGAAGCTGTTTCAGGCTTTCACTTCATAGCTAGAAATTGTGGTACAACTATATGATGGTATGATAGAAAACAAACAGTGCAACTTGATTGAGTTCTGAATTTCTAGTTCTAATACCATGTCTGATTTGTAGTAGAGCTTACTAAATAATTTTCAAATGAATAAATAAATAAATGAGCACTCCCTTGGAGAATCTAACCGTCCGTTGTATCTCCAGCACCTTCAGAAGCTGTAGACTCTAGAAAGTGTCACAATGCAGAAATATAAAGGATCATAAGCAAATACTAAAAGCAATTATATGCCAACAAACTGGATGACCTAGGAGAAATAGATAAATTCCTAGACACAGACAACCTACCAAGACTGAATTATAAAGAAATGGAAAATCTAAACATAAAAATAACGAGTAAGGAGATTGAATGAGTAATAGTCTCTCATTAAAGAAAAGTCCAGGATCTTATAGCTTCACAGCTGAATTCTATCACACATTTAAAGGAAAACTACTCCCAACCCTTTCAAACTCTTCAAAACAACTGAAGAAGAGGAAATAATGCCCAAACTCATCTTACAAAGCCAGTGTTATTTTGATACCAAAGCCAGGCAAGAGCACTTCAAGACAAGAATTTTGGGGGCCAATATTCTCAATGAACACAAATACAAAAATCCTCAACAAAATAGTAGCAAACCAAATCAAACAGCACATTAAAAGGACCATTCACCAAGATCAAATGGGATTTATTCCAGGAATGAAAGGATAGCTTAAAATACACAGATCTATAAACATAATATACCACATTTGAAAGACAAAAACTATATGACCATCACAATAGATGCAGAAAAAGCATTTGACAAAATTCAACATTCTTTCATAGTAATAACCCAATATATTTGATATAGAAGGATTGTACTGCAACACAATCAAAGTCACATATGACAAACCCACAGCTGACATTATACTCGAGGTGAAAAGTTGAAAGTTTTTCCTCTAAGATCAGGAACAAGACAAAGATGCCCACTGTCATCACTTCTATTCAACATACTAATTAATATTCTAGTACTGGAAGTCCTAGCCAGAGCAATTAGGCAAGAGAAAGAAATAAAAGACTTCCAAATTGGAAAGGATGAAGTTAAATGGTCACTGTTTGCAGATGACGTTATTTATGTATAGAAAATCCAAAAGACTCCAGTAAAAAACTGTTAGAACAAATAAAAGAATTCAGCAAAGTTGCAGGATACAAAAATCACTAATGTTTCTTCGCAACAACAAAGAACTATCCAAAAAGAAATCAAGAAAACAATCTTATTTACAATATCTACAAAAAAAAATTATAAGTAAGTTTAACCAAGGAGGTGAAAGACTTGTACACTGAAAGCAACAAAATATTGAGGAAAGAAATTGAAGACACAATAATTGAAAAGATATCCCATATTCACGGGTTGGAAGAATTAATACTGTTAAAGTAGTCCATACTACCCAAAGTGATCTACAGATTCGATGCAATCCCTATAAAAATTCCTATGACATTTTTCACAGAAGAGACAATCCTAAAACCCATACAAAACCATAAATGACATTGGCCTGGGCAAGAATTTTTTGAAATAACCCTAAAAGTACTGGCAACAAAGGCAAAAATAGACAAATAGGATTATTTCAAACTAAAAAGCTTCTGCACAGCAGACAATCAACAGAATGGAGAAACAACCTATGGAGTTGGAGGAAATATTTGCAAATGGTGCATATGATAGGAGGTTAATATCGAAAGTATATAAGGAACTGAAAGAACTTTACATTAGTCCGTTCTCACACTGCTATTATAAAGAAATACTCAGGACTGGGTAGTTTATAAAGGAAAGAGCTTTAATTGACTCACAGTTACACAAGGCTGGGGAGGCCTCAGGAAGTTTACAATCATGGTGGAAGGCGAAGAGGAAGCAAGCACCTTCTTCAAAAGGCAGAAGGAGAGAAATGAGCAAAGGAAGAGCTTCCAAACACCTATAAAACAATCAGATCTCGTGAGAACTCATTTACTTTCAGGAGTACAGCACAGGGGAACTGCCCCAATGATCCAATTACCTTTCTCCCTCAACACTTGGGGATTACAGGTTTCTCCCTAGACACGTGGGGATTACAATTCGAGATGAAACTTGGATGGGGACACAGAGCCAAACCATATCAAACTCAATAGCAAGAAAGCAAATAACCTGATTGAAAAATGGGCAAAGAAGCTGAAAAATCTCTCAAAAGAAGGCACTCAAATGGTCAATAGATGTATGAAAAATGCTCAACATCACCAATCATTAGAGAAATGCAAATTAAAACTGCAATGAGATATTACCTCAAACCTGTTAGGATGGCCATTATCAAAAATATGGGCGATAATAGGCATTGGTGAGGATGTGGAGGAAAGGGAACCCTGGCTCCCTGTTGGTGGGAATGTAAATTAGTACAGCCATTATGGAAAATAGTATGAGAGTTCCTCAAAAAAATTAAAAACGGAACTACTATATTATCCAGCAATCCCACTACTGGGAATCCAAAGGAATTAAAATCAGTATGTTGTAGAGATACCCGTACTCTCATATTCATTGTAGCATTATTCACAATAGCCAAGATATAGACTCAATCCTAGTGTACATCATTGGATGAATGAAGACAATCTGGGACTTATACATAATAAAATATGATTCAGCCTTTAAAAAGAAGGAAATCACATCATTTGTAACAACATGGACGAACGTGGAATACATTATATTGAGTGAAATAAGCCAGGCCAAGTAAGACCAATAACACAGAATATCACATATGTGGTATCTAAAAAATTGAATTCCTAGATGTAGAGAGTAGATTGGTGGTACCAGGAGCTGGGGTGACGGTGGGAGGTTGAGGAGATGTTGGTCAAAACATACAATAGTGCAGATAGGAAGAATAAACTCAAGAGATCTATTGTACAACCTGGTGACTATTGTTAGTAATGATATATTGTATTCTTGGAAATAGCTGAACATAGATTTTAAGTGTTCTTATCACCAAGAATATGTATAAGAGGTAATGCATATATTAATTAACTGGATTTAGCTATTCCCTAATGTACATATACTCTAAAACATCATGTTGTATACCATAAACATATATAATTTTAATTTGTCAATTACAAAATAAATTTTAAAAAAAAGCGTTACAGAACTGATAGCCCATACTTAGCCATACTAAGAATGTGGTTAAACATACTGAAGGTATGAGGCTTATGTTGTACGCTTCATAATAATATAAAAATAGTAGTCATTTGTGAGTGCTATGTGCTGTTACAGCATCACATATGGGGGATATAATGATGAAAACCACTCTAGTCTTCGCCATTGTCAAAACTGCATTTTGAGAATCCTGTTTCTAATCTCTGGGATTTAATCCTGAGACCTTTCCCCCCAGGTGTTAATCTCTCAAAATCATTTCTAATTTTCCTACTGTTGATCTGACAATATTGTCTTTGCATTTATGAATAATACTAACAGTTTCTTTCTGAATTTCCTCCCCCCTTCTTTCTCCTGTGTTGGATTTTAATGTTTAAAACACTGTCTATAATTCCATTCAGGAAGTTGTTTTGCCTAAGTCTACCTAACGATGAATAAAAATGTCTTTAAGTGTTTTTTATTTCTATCCCAACCTCTATTTGCATAGAAAAGGACAAATAAGATGATAAGAATAGGGAAGAAAAGAATACATTTCTTTGTTCTAGTTCTTGGATCAAATATAAAACATCTCACAGGTAATATGGCTGTTCAAACCTTCTGCTGACTGTGATTTTTTTTTCTTGTTGACTCTCCCAATTGGCTTACATCTGGGATAGGGAAGCAAATGATAAAGTTCTCAATTTCCTTAAACCTAAATACTCCACTCATGCCTGGGGTCCCTTTTCATGAACAATTCTATTGCCTGACTATATTATGTACTGCATATTTTGTGTAGGATCCGTTTCCCTTAAGTGCTCATGGTCTTGCCTTCAGTGATTATTCTCATCTTTCTACAGACTTTCCTGCCCCCACCACAATATAAACATTTTCAGTTCTCTCTAGTTTTGGAAAAAGACACACTCCTTTTACTTTTCTTCCTGAAACATATTTTTGAATATGGTCTCAATTCAAGCAGCTTTGCTTTGATGGAAAACTACAATCATGCGTTGCACTGGTAACTTTCTGAGAAATGCAACATTAGGCGATTTTGTCATTGTGTCAACATCACACAGTGTACTTACAAAAACCTAGACCAGCGGTCCCCAAGCCCTGGGCCACTTCCGTGGCCTGTTAGGAACCAGGCCGCAGAGCAGGAGGTGAGCAGTGGGCAGTGAGCCAAGCTTAGTCTGTATTTGCAGTCACTTCTCATTGCTCGCATTACTGCCTGTGCTCTGCCTCCTGTCAGATCAATGGTGGCATTAGATTCTCCTAGGAGCGCGAGCCCTATTGTGAACCGTGCATGTGAGAGATTAGGTTGTGTGCTCCTTATGAGAACCTAGTGCCTGATGATCTGTCACTGTCTCCCATCACTCCCAAATGGGACCATCTAATTGCAGGAAAACAAACTTTGGGCTCCCACTGATTCTACATTATAGTGAGTTGTATAATTATTTCATTGTATATTACAAAGTGATAAGAACAGAAAATAAAGTGCACGATAAATGTAATGTGCTTGAATCATCCCGACACCATCACTACCCTCCCCTCCGCCCCCACTGAGTCCGTGGAAAAACTGTCTTCCATGAAACCAGTCCCTAGTGCTGAAAAGGTTGGAAGCAGCTGACCTAGACAATATAGCCTACTGCACACCTAGACTATATGATATAGCCTATTGCTCCTAGACTACAAACCTATACAGGATGTTGCTGTACTGAATACTGTAGGCAACTGTGGCACAATGTACATATTTACGTATCTAAACATGTCTAAACATAGAAAATGTGTAGAAAAATGCAGTACAAAAGATTTATCCCAGGCATGGTGGCTCAAGCCTGTAATCCCAGCACTTTGGGAGGCCAAGGTGGGCATGTCGCTTGAGCCCAGGGAGTCAGAGACTGGCCTGGGCAACATACAAAACCCTGTCTCTACAAAAAAAAAATAAAATAAAATAAAAATAAATAAATAAATAAAAAACAAAGAAAGTAGCTGGGTGTGGTTGCATGCACCTGGAGTCCCAGCTACTCAGGAGGCTGATGAGGATCACCTGAGCCTGGGAGGCAGCAGCTGAAGTGAACTGTGATTGCACCGCTGCACTCCAGCCTGAGTGACACAGTGAGACCCTGTCTCAAAAAATACAAATTAAAAAAAAAAATTAAAATTAAAAAAAGATTTTAAAAATGGCACACTTACCATTTACCATTTTACCATTAAAAAATGTATATCACTTTACCATTAAAAAATGTATAAGACACTTACCATGAATGGAGCTTGCAGGAATGGAAGTTGCTCTGGGTGAATTAGAGAGTGCTGAGTGAATGTGGAGGCCTAGGACATTACTGTACACTACTGTAGGTTTTATAAACATGGTATACTTAGGCTATACTAAATTTATTAAAGCTATTTTTATTTTCTAATAATAAATTAACCTTAGCTGATGTAACTTTTTTACTTCAAAAACTTTTTAATTTTTTAAAACATTTGTAATAACAGCTTAAAACACAAACACATCGTACAGCTGTACAAAAATATTCTTTCTTTACATCCTTATTCTATAAGCTTTTTAATGTTTTTGTTAAACACACACACACATATTAGCCTAGGCTTACACGGTGTCTGGCTCATCGATATCACTGTCTTTCCCTCTACATTTTGTCCCACTGGAAGGTGTTCAGGGGCAATAACATCCATGGAGCTGTCATCTCCTATGATAACAATGCCTCCTTCTGGAATACCTCCTGAAGGATCTGCCTGAGGCTGTGTTACAGTTAACATTTTATATATATATATATATATATATATATATTATATAATATTAATATATATTATATATTTTATATATATACACATGTATATATGTGTGTATATATTGTATATATATGTATATGTATATATATGAAGTACACTGTAAAATAATGATAAAAATTATAGTACAGTAAATACTAGGTGATATAACTTTTTCAGCTCCGTTGAATCTTATGGAACCACCATCATATATGTAGTCCAGCATTGACCGAAACATCTTTATACAGCACATGATTGTAAAAGTTAGTCTCCACTCCTCTCCACTTCATTGCTCATTCAATCCTCTACTCTTGTCAGCCTTGGGTTGGCTTTCACACACCCCTGAAATTCTCTCACTTTTCAAACCAAATGGCCTTTAGACTGCTAAATTTGGTAGACTCTTCTTAGTTCTTTTAAATATCTCTAAAGTACCTTCAATTTACATCTACAATGCAATTTTGTCCTCCAAACTCTTCCCAGAGTAATCTTAGCAAACACGTTTGATCATTTAAGTGCTCATGAAATACCTTAAATGTTTCAAGGATAAAATTTAAGCTCCTCTGGCTAGTATAATGAGCCTTCGTTATCCAGCCCTTTCTTCATATCCTCTTTTCCTCTATTCCATATTAATGTGTGTACACCAGCCCAAATATGTCAAGCTGTCAGTTCTTTGCATTTGTACGGACTTTTTACTCTGTCTAGAGTACCCTTCTGCTGTTTATATGCCTGGTTAAATTCTATGTATTGCTGAGGACTCAGGTCAATTGTCACCTCTTTTGAGGAGTCTTTAATCCCCATCCCTCCCCATAATCTGGGAAGGGAATGTTTCTCCTCTGGGCTTCCAAGGCATCTTGTGCATATTTCTATCACATCACTCATTTCTGTGTATTTGTTTGTTTATTTGTTTAATTTTATGTCTCTTTCACTAGAGGACAGGAATTATGCTTTTCAATTTCTGTGTCTCTAAATCAGTCCTGAGGACTTGAGCACATATAGCAGGCATGGCGCGTTGGAGAATATGGCACAATTATCTAAGTAAATGAATCAAAGGATGAGATTACTGGCTTCTAGTATTAATTGGTGACTGGTTTTTATTATTACCAGATTCTAGAGGAATATCATAGGAAGAATTGATTAGCCAATGTTACAGCTTATTAAGACAAGCTTTTGTCCTCAACTCCAACTTATTTTGTATATATGCTGCTGCTTAGTTATATCTGCCCCAAAACTTACCACAGTTGGCTACTTAATAACTTACAGCAATTTTAGGCTGCTAGATAGCGTTTTGATTTCTGTAGTTTTTATCTGCATATTGTTTAATCAAACATCTCTCATATTATGCCCCAGCATGAGCCTCTGCTCCAGAAACATGATTTATTTGGATATGTGGTTTATCACTTAGGATAACTAAGGTCAGCATCCTTATACTAAAACTCATATGAATAATGTTTTACAATGCTTAAAATGAAAGAAGTGCATTTCCCTATCGTGTTGAACTTTATTATGAGCTGGTGTAGACACACATGGTGGTTGCTCAAAATCATAGGGACCCAGATTATTTTCGGTGTGCTTCTTCCTCATCCCTAGGTGTGTTACCAGAGCTAGCCAGTGACTTGAGCTCTAGCCAACACAGACAACTTCTGGACAGCAGGACAGAGGCAGGGCATAAGATGAACATGTCCCCTCTCTCAAATAAATCCTCCTGTAAGATTTACAGGACATTTTTACATTTCACTGGCTAAAATTGACAATGAAATGTTAAAAAGTGCTGTTCACCCTCATAAGATTCCTACTAAATGTATGGCTTGGGGAAGTGACTTTATCTCCTTGAAAGTCATTTTCTTCATTTCTAAAATGTAATTAACATGCTCATCTCATAGAAATACTGTAAAGATAATAAGTGTGTATTTGAAACTCTAGTCCAGTGACAGGCACATAGCAGGCTTCCAATAATGGTAGTTGCAGTTGTTAGTGTAGATGACATTACTGATTCAGAGATATCATAGCTCCTGCAAGGTCTCATAACTAATGATGGTTAAACCAGTATTCAAACTTAGATCAGCCTCACTCTGAAGCTTCCTCTCTTATAAATACAGTGAAATATGGCAGGAACTTGGCCTGAGAGCTTCTACTTTCCAATTCAATTCCTCTATATCATGAATCATGATATACTTCTGGTCTGAGTTTTCAGGACCATTGAAAATAGAGTTAAAAATAGAAAGATTTAGTTTATTTGGTTTAACTTATCCAAATAATTGCCTTGCTTTCACTTATTTTTGTGGAGACTTGGCTGAAATCAACAGCATTAATTGAGTGTGTAATTCTGGAACCATCTAAGAAAGCTAAAATCATTTAAAATTAGTTGGGGTTTAGTAACTAGGTTGAACTTTGCCTTTGTCAGGCAGTTTCCAGCTGACTCACTGCAGCTGCAACAATTGACATCATTTTGTGCCTTTCATGCAAAGACTAATTTGGCAGGCAGCACTCCCAGTGGAGTGGGTTTCTGAGGCTTGGTGAATCTCAGGGTTGGAATGGACTTTAAAGGTCATGAAAGCTAAACCTTAATGTAATGATTGAATTGGCTTACATCAACCCCATCAAGAGGTTTTCTAACCTACATTTGGATAAGTCCAGTGACAAATAAATAGTGAAGATTTCCACATGGCCTGAATTGCATAACCCGTTCTGTATTTGAATAGCTCTTACTTCCTTATATTGAACTGCAATCTGTATTCTTAACCTTCCTGCCACCAGTACTACTTCTATCCCCAGTACAAATATTCCTTTTTGGAACCTTACAACCTTTCAAATATTTGAAGACCATGACGTTGCCTGGTCTTAGAGTTTTCTCACTGCTAAATACCTCCAGTTTTCTTCAACTTTTTCTCATTCAATATGCCTTTAATTTCCTTCACAATCCTGAGCTCATAGAGAAACCCATATGGCTTGGCTTGATTCTTCTTAAAGTGTTCATTCTCCTCTTATCCCAGGAATGAATGAAATCCTGCAGTGTAAATGGAGGGAATGACCTAATCAAACTGTCCTGGTAAAGTAAAAGGGAGTTGCTTGAAACATGATAGAGAATGGTGAAAATTTAGGGAATCATCAAATTGTTGAGATTTTATTGGCCCTCCTTACAACTAAGCAAATGTGACAAAATAATTTCTTGCTGTAAAAAGCTCAAAGGCATAACAAAGTCATAGTACTCTTAAGCACAAAGCAAGTTAGGTTATTTATTGTGATAGTTCAGACTCCATCAACTTTATTTTATTTGTATGGTTCCTTTATTTTAGTGCTGAGTGATATCATTAAGATAAAAAGGATGAACGAATGGATGGATGAGTGAATTGATGGACAAACTGCTCAGGAACAAATGTTAGTTATATTTCAATAGATACAGATTTAAAGGAAAACAAACCAAAACTTTTTCTCTGAATCTGACAAAATTTCAGGTTCTGTATGGAATTAAAATAGCAGTTTTGACTCATTCAATGTTGTACATATGTAACCCTTTAGTAGCCTCATAAATCTTGTTCTGCTCTTGAGAAAGAATGTTGCATTGATGTAAAACTTAATAACATTTTTGTCTGATGCTAAATAACTGTGTGCTATTTGAAAAATATCACTTAGCATCTCTGCTTATGAAATAGTAAGAACAAAATACCTTCATTGTGTCACAAACATGTAGTCAGGGTAAAATCGTATATTTTAATTCATTCTATGGGGATTTATGCAGTGATTTTCATATTTTATTTAATGTTCTGAGCAGTGAAAATTCAGTGAGGAAAAGCCTAGAAAAGGCCCATGTCCTCATAGAGCTTATATTTTATAACAAAATTTAAAATCAAACAGTTTTAAGAGCCTCGAAATACAAGGTACTTTTAAATGGTTCTGAATCTTTGATTTTTAAATTGATGTTGTTTCTTTGTGGTACATATTTTTAAACAGTCCCAGTTTTAAAACTAGGTTCTAATACATTTAATGCAAATTTTAAAAATTACTTATAGTTTTTTTTTCCTACACAGAAGGAAAAAACAACTTATGTTCAAGTTTTCATTTCACCCTAGAGGTAGATATTCTTTCGCTTTGTTTTGCAATTATTCTTAATGTTTGATTGCCACTATTTACTAAAAATATTGTCTCTTTCTCAGTCTCATATCCCTTCCAGAAGATATGCTAATATGCTTAAAATGGATTGTATTTTACAGAGTTTTAGGGTAACATTGATTATGTCAGTCTTGTGGATGTGGAGGCCTAATATTGCCAAACTTGATTGATTTCTACTTAAAATCCTGGAAAAATTCTTATCAAAGAAGAGCCACAAATAAATGATTGTTTTTATTTTCTACTTGGTTGTCTGGAAAGTATAACATACAATCTCTAACATATGGATCTTGTATGTTTCCCTTGTAAAAGCAAAATTTTGTGTTTGGGAATGAAAATTTATTTTTATTCTTATTGAATTAAAAAAAAAATATTTACAACCTTCAGAGCTTTGAAGGCCCTTTACATAACAGTATATAACCTCCTTAAAGCTTACCTAGTTCTGAAAATCATTCACTCATCAGAGATATCCTGAAATGGAGATTAGAATTGGGATAAAGTATGTCTTAATTCTTACAAATTTTCTTTAACACAAATAAAAAGCATTAGTGCTGCTCTCTTACTGTATGCTGTCAGAACCATATTTTTAATATATTAGCTTCTACATTACTTCTAGGATTTTCTATTACTCAGAACTACTCTCCCTCTCATACCTTGAGGTTGATGAGACAATTACTTCCTCAAGGAGAGTCTACAGATTTTGGACACCTGAAGCCTCTTTTAAGAAAAAAGAAAATGGCCGGGCACGATGGCTCACGCCTGTAATCCCAGCACTTTGGGAGGCCAAGGCAGGCGGATCAGCTGAGGTTGGGAGTTTGAGACCAGCCTGGCCAACATAGAGAAACCCTGTCTCTAGTAAAAATACAAAATTAGCTGGGTGTCCTGGCACATGGCTGTAATCCCAGCTACTCGGGAGGCTTAGGCAGGAGAATCACTTGAACCTGTGAGGCGGAGGTTGCGGTGAGCCGAGATTGCACCATTGCACTCCAGTCTGGGCAACAAGGGTGAAACTCCGTCTCAAAAAAAAAAAAAAGAAAATGATACTTACTTTCAAAAGCTTAAGCCCTGAAGAACGCTGGGCATAAAGTTCATCCCATGAAATATATATATTTGGAGAAGACAGGGTCTCACTGTTGCCCAAGCAGGAGTGCTGTGGTGCAGTCACCGCTCACTGCAACCTCCGCCTCCACCTCCTGGGCTCAGGTGATCCTCCCACTTCAGCCTCCTGAGTAGCTGGGACTATAGTTACACACCAGCACACCCAGCTAGTTTTTTGTATTTTTAGTAGAGATGGGGTTTCACCATTTTGCCCAGGCTGGTCTCGAACTTCTGGGCTCAAGGGATCCACCCGCCTCGCCCTGCCAAAGTGTTGGGATTATGGGTTTGAGCCACCACACCCACCCTCATAAACAATACATTTTTTTAAGAAATACAAAATAAGGCAGAAAAAGTTTCCTTCCTGCCTCCTTTCTTTCCAGATTAAATAAGACTTCCGTTGCTCTGAGAAAAAACAGAGTGGGAGTAGATATGGTAAGAAGACTTAATGAGGAGGGACTTACTTATATATTGAGGTGTGTGTGTGTGTGTGTATGTGCGTGCATGTGTGCACCAACACAGTTTTGCCTTGATCCTCTCCTATACACCAGCAAATTGCCACAATAGATGTGGTCTTCTCATTTTTCCTTTGATGAGGAGATAATACAGATGGACACTTGGTATAACTAGAGGGGCGTGTCTGAGGAAGCCAGAATTTCAAATGTTTTCTGTGTCCAAGAAAGATGTAGACATAGCTAAGACAAAGCACAACTCAAGAGGCCTGTGCTCAGAAATGTGGAAAATACATAACTGGCTTGGACAAGAAAATGAGTAAGTAACTGTGGGACCAGAAACATATATCTGTCAGCAACTTATGTGGGTTGAAGGGTGAGTACAGGACGGGATAATTGCTAGATTATCATCTACCTGACTTCAAACTGTATTAAAAGGCTACCACAACCAAAACAGCATGATACTGGTACAAAAACAGACACATAGACAATGGAAAACAATAGAGAACCCCCAATATAAAGCTGCATACCTACAGACATCTGATCTTTGACAAAGTCAAATGGGGAAAGGACTCCCTATTCAATAAAAGGTACTGGGATAACTGGCTGGCCATATGGAGAAAAATAAAACTGGACACCTATTTTTCACTACATACAAAAACTAACTCAAGATGAATTAAAGATTTAAATATAAGACCTCAAACTATAAGAATCCTAGAGGAAAACCTAGGAAACACCTCTGGATGTGGGCCTTAGGAAAAAAATTCATGACAAAGTCCTCAAAAGCAATTGCAACAAAAACAAAAATTGACAAATGGAAATCTAATTAAACTAAAGAGCTACTGCACAACAAATGAAACTATCAACAGAGTAAATGAACAACATACAGAATGCGAGAAAATATTCACAAACTATACATCTGAACAACTATGGATACAGCTGGAGGCCATTATCCTAAACAAATTAATGTAGGAGCAGAAAACCAAATACCGCGTGTTTTCACTTATAAGTAGGAGCTAAAAATTGAGTAATCATGAACATACAGAAGGCAACAATAGACACTGGAGACTACCAGAGTGGGAAGGGAAGGAGGAGGGCATGGTTGAAAAAGTAACTATTGGGTGCTATGCTCACTACCTGGGCGACAGGATCGATCACATCCCAACCCTCAGCATCATGCAAATACTGAGGTAACAAACCTGCATACATAACCTTTGAATCTACAATAAATATTAAAATTATTTTTAAAAAGAAAAGATGAATTAAAAAGATAATAATAAAAATTGCTGAATATTTGGAATTGAATTTACCACACCTCAATATTTACAACATATAACCAAGTGTTACATAGAGAGAAAGATATTGGCCTAAAAATTACCTGATGTGATGTCATTACACCAGAGGGACTGAGATAAATGAGCTGGGCCTTCAACTCCAAAATTAAGGGAAAGAAACACAGAATAAATCCAAATAATATAAAAGAAATGAAGAGCAAATATAATGTTAGACATTGAGGAAATAAAAATATACAAAGAAGCAAGCAAACAAAGAAAATTGTTAGTACAATTAAAATACATCTGCTAAAAATACTAATAAAATAGGTAAACATTTGAAAAACTGATCAAAGGGGAAAAAAGAGATATTATAAATAAAAATATTAGGAATGTGAAGAAGGACATGACCCCACAAACACTACAGATTAAAATAAATGACTGCATTATTTTGGCTAGATGAGTCTGAAGTCCATTAGTTTCAGGCATGTCCTGTAGTGTGCTAGGAATGAAAAGTCAAGCTCCATTTTTAAAATGTAAAAAAAAATACAGCAAGTAATACAGTTGAAGTATTTTCTAACTTTCACATCAAGGAATATGTGTCTCCCCAGGGGTACATATCTGATGGATCACTAGTGACCCAGCAAAAGATCACAGACTCCAGAATCTCTTTCATGATGCTCCCCAGAATATAGTGAAAATTCTACAGCAGTTTGCTATAATGAACAGTAGAAAGGCATTCACAGCAGTATCTTGGTAATTGTTATTTACAGTGCCTTCTTCCACCCAGAACAATCTCTTCCACCATACCTTCATATATTCTTGAATCTTGAATACTACTTGTTATGTAAACTAAAGATTAAATGTTATCGAAATTAAAAATTCAATTTCATATCAAATTATCATTTGGTTACAGTTATCAATCCAATTTTTCTAGGTTTGATAAGGGCTTTCTCTGTTTATAAACCTTAGCTATTTCATTGTTTTAGATTAAACAAACAAACATTACTGTTGAAAAAGTTGAGGGGTATATAGGCCTGGCCATTGAAAGTATAATAATCAGATTTTCTTTTTTTATATATATTAGAATGCACGTATTAATATAATTTAGAGGGAAACATAAGATTACATAATAATTTGCCTGAATGATGAATCAGATTTTAAAAAACAAGTAATATACCTATTGCAAGAGCAAATACACTACTTCAATATATACATGTTTCCTCATTTTTTTCTTTTTTTTTTTGAGATGGAGTCTCACTGTGTTGCCCAGACTGGAGTGCAGTGGCGTGATCTCGACTCACTTGCAACCTCCACCTCCCTGGTTCAAACAATTCTCCTGCCTCAGCCTCCTGAGTAGCTTGGATTACAGGTGTGAACCACCATGCCTGGCTAATTTTTTTTTTTTTTTTTTTTTTTTTAGTAGAGATGGGATTTCACCATGTTAGCTAGGCTGGTCTCGAATTCTTGACTTCAGGTGATCCGCCTGCCTCAGCCTCCCAAAGTGCTGAGATTACAGTTGTGAACCACCGTTCCCATCCCTTTTCCTATTTTTTAATTAACAAGGGCAAAAAAAAAAAAGAACCAAAAATATGCCCCCATAAATCAACAATATATTCCTGTTAAAAACAAATAAAGCCTCATTTCCACAGCATTAATGAAACAAAGACTTTGAGAATATAATTGCTATTTCTTCAAAGTTAAGAGAATATTTGTTAAAAGAACAATTTTGATGCATTAAAATGTTATAATTCAGACTTTCTTATTAGTTAATTTCAGGGTAAGTGAAAATACAGCATCAGTTCCAGAATGTTCAGACCAATGGAAGAAAAACAGACTAAATCAATAATTAAATTGTTCAATCAATACAAAATTAAGAGTCTGTTGTATGGTAAAGTAGGCAAGGACACAAACTGGAATGGTAATTAATGGCCAGAAATTTATCAGAAAAGGAAAATTTTGAAAAATTATTATTATTATCAATAATTAGTTATGTATAGAGCTGGTATTTGTTTCTGAACATAAATTAATGATTGCATTGTCTCTTTCATGCTTCTCAATAATATTCATAATTTCTCTTTTAATTTACTAAGTTACCTGTGGTTTGTAAGGTTTATTGTTTTGTTTTTCCCAAAAGCTAGGTAACTTGCTCTTCTGGAGTGGCTTGGGTACTAGAAGATTCCACTTCATTATATAAGAAAAACCACAGGGCAAATTTATTATTACAAGACCCAAATTGCAGTTCTACTTTATCAATTTTTGCCTAATTTTGTTACAGCATAAATATCATTCTGGAAATAATTTTAGAGGACTACTAGAAAAGAGAAGCATTTGTTTTTTATTTTTTATAATTTTTATAATTTTTTTTTATGAGTACATAGTAGGGGTATATATTTGTGGGGCACATTTTTTTTTTTTTTTTTGAGACAGAGTCTTACTCTGTTGCCCAGGCTGGAGTGCAGTGGTGTGATTTCTGCTCATTGCAACCTCTGCCTCCCGGGTTCAAGCAATTCTCTGCCTCATCAGCCTCCTGAGTAGCTGGGATTACATGCATCTACCACCGTGCCAGGCTAATTTTTGTATTTTTAGTAGAGACAGGGTTTCACCTGTTGGCCAGGCTGGTCTCAAACTCCTGACCTCGTGATCCACCCACCTTGGCCTCCCAAAGTGCTGGGATTACAGGTGTGAGCCACTGCACCCGGCCACATGAGATATTTTGATACAAGCATACGATGCGCAATAATCACATCAGAATAAATGGTGTATCCATCACCTCAAGCGCTTATCCTTTCTTTGTGTTACAATCTAATTATAGTCACATTTATTTAAAAATGTACAATAAATTATTGCTGGCCGTAGTCACCCTGATGTGCTATCAAATACTAGGTTTTTTCATTCTATCTAACTATATTTTTGTACCCAATGACCATCCCTGCTTCTACTCCTCCGTTACCCTTCCCAGATTCTGGTAACCATCATTCTAACACAAACATTAATTACAATGTTCTAATGTAACTTTAGAAATGCTTTACTTCTCAGTAATTTTGTGATGAGAATAAACATTATTTAAAAAACTATTTTTTTCTAATAAAATATCCTATGGTAGAATTTCAAATATTATGTTGGATCCTTTCACTTTTATTTGGATAAAAATAAGGCATGTTAAGTAGGTTTAACCATCTCATTTTTAGATTGATATACATTGTATACATTCTTTTTTTTTTTTTTTTTTTTTAATGAGATGGAGTCTCCCTCTGTCTCTGTGCAGTGGTGCGATCTCAGCTCATCGCAACCTCTGCCTTCTGGGTTCAAGCTACTCTCCTGCCTCAGCCTCCCGAGTAGCTGGGACCACAGGCACACGCCACCACACCTGGCTAATTTTTTGTATTTTTAGTAGAGACGGCGTTTCACCGTGTTGGCCAGGCTGGTCTTGAACTCTGACCTCGTGATCCACCTGCCTCGGTCTCCCAAAGTGCCGGGATTACAGGCGTGAGCCACCGTGCCCAGCGATTGTATACATTCTTGAGAAGGTCAGAACTATTTCTGCTCTGATAAAGACAATGACATTATATATACCTTCACAGATAACAAACACCCTCGTGGCAACTTATTTCAATGAATGTTTTTTTCCTCTCTTATTAGAGCACGTTGCCAAAATGAACAAGAATTTAGAAAACAGCAGCATTTTGCTGGTAGGATCATTTCTAGTGAAAAACAAACAAACAAGTAACAACTGGATATACCCAGACTGCTGGGATTGGATATCTTATTAGTAATTTGCAACATCTGTGGACTCTGAGATTTCCCTGATGTGGCACAATTTACACTGTAAAATACTTGCTTTTGTTTATTAGGAAATTTACACTGGGTTTTGCCAGCTCACTTTACCAAAACCATCTGCATTTTTCTGCCCAGGTCCACCCATATGATAAAAATAAATAGATAAGAGTAGTTTTTGTTTCCTATAAAAAAAATTGTGTAAGGAAATACTTTGGCAGACAGTATGGTGTAGTACAGGTAACATGGCTGAATCTCACCACAGTAACTGAAAGCTATGATATTGCAGGTGAAACGTCAGCGAGAGACAACACAGGAATTCCTGTGATTCACTTCCTCTCCTCCCTAACCCACGTATGATTCTGAAAGGAGGTGGATTCTGTCATTTCCATAAAATCATTTTTCCATTTCTATGTTTATCAGTCCTAGTCTAGGTCAACAGAAAATACCATTTTTGGTGAGTTCTTCTATTTTGCTGCAAAACAAAGGAAGAAATGTTATTTATCTCATAATACAAACACACTCATAAATTCCTGTGCAATTTCTTTGTTAACAATAAATAGGCGGAAAATAGACATAATGAAATATTTGCATAGGACATATTAAGGTAAAATATACATTCCTGTGATATATGTGAAATAAAAATTCACCAGCAAGGTTGTCTGTAGATGGATTTTACTTTTTATTGTAATTCCCATTGAAAGCAAAGAAATATACAATCCTATTGATAAAGTCCACTTTTATTCATTTATTCAACAAACATTCTGTAGTACTTGCTATGTCCTAGAAAATACATTAACTCCTGTGACAGATACAGGACAAATAATATTCTATAGGGCACTTCTTGTAGTGAAGGAAATGGACATACAAATTAATTGTATGTGATACTGCTATGTTGGAGGTGTGTGCTATGGAAATACAAAGGCAGAATATTTATTTCTCTCTGACATGTGATTTCCGGTCACTAAAGTGACGTTGGAGTTAAGAATTAGAGAATGAGTTATATACACTAGGTGAATAGTCTTGGAAAAGCCATTTTTATGTAGACGAACAGCTTCATTTTTTAAAAAGGCACTGAGTGTGAATATGCACAGTATATTTAGAGGATAACAAACAGGTAAGAGATGTGTGCTCCAGTGGAAAAATCTCCGCTGGGGCTATATTATTTTCCGGGGCCCTCTATCTTACCTGTAGATAGAACTCTTTTTGTCAAAAAAAAAAAAAAAAAAAAAAAAACATCTTAAAGATTGCTGAATGTTTCTGTTTCTGGCTCCTACCTTTAAATGAACTATACTATTATTTAGGGGAAAGCACATCAATTAATTAACAGCCTTAAGGAATTAGGATATTTTATCAGGAAAAATACTAAAGAGAAAGCAACTTAAAAGATCAGTTAAAAATAGAACATTTTGATAACCACCATTTATTTGGACTCAATAGGCAGAAACCTATTACGGGATTCGATACAAGTAGTGTAAATGGGGCATGAAGGCTTCAGTGTATATATAGAATTGGAGATGCTTTCACTTTCCATTTGATGAAATTGAATTTCTCAGAATGGACTCTATATCTTTTTAATTCCATGATTTTCAGCAGGCAGAAGGACGATATCCTGTAATTTATGAAGATAGTTTATTATTATTTTTTATTAGCTCTCAGCTTTAGCAACCACTTTCTTCCCCCTCCCTCCCCAGCCATGTTGCTGCTGGTGATCCTTATAAGTGAAGCTGCTTTTCATTTTCATCTTCCTCAGAACAGCTGGTGCTTACACTACCCTAAACATTCATTGAGTCATTTCCTGCTGATAAATGTCTATATGTAGTCACGATTATCACCTATGCGTGTGATACTAAACTGTCCTCTCTCTTTTTAAACCAAGATAGCATTTGTACCAGCCTCTAATCTTATGTACCACTTTCTCCCCTTTCAGAACCAAGCTGGCAATTCTCATCTTGAATAGCTTTAAAATTGCTCATAGCAATCAATGACAACTGAGGCATCACTAAAGAATTTCTTTTATCTCCAAGCTCCAATTTAGATCTGTCATTAAGCTTGAGTAAGCTTGAACTGTCAGAACATTTTCCCTCATCACATGCTCTAAGCACAAAAAGTCAACTTCAAAATCAAATTTGTTCTGTCTCTTACTATACTTTGTAATGGTTTCATGTGAACAATAAACTTCACCGAAATAGTAGTGTCAATCTTTAGTAACTCAGATCACTATGGTTTCAAAAAGTAGTGAAATGCTGCCAAAACTCAAGTATGACGTATGGTAGATCATTCACTCACATTCAATTGCTCTTTGTTGTGCTTTAATATTAGGGGAAGGGGGACTTGGCAGGGGGTATGGAGATGAGGAGTCTCTTTCCTCCTTTTAGAGGAAAGGTTGTGTCATCTTTTTGGCAAGTCACTTTCCCTCCCTACGCCTTCCTTTCCATGCCTGTAACATGAGATAGTTTTATTACATGAATTCTAAGTCTCTGCCCATTCCTAATGTTGGCCTCTTAATAAATTCAACTTTTCATTGTGTGGTGTTATTCTTCTTCAAGAAATGGATTAGAAATGTTACCATACAGAGCTAGAAGTCATGAATTAATTAGGAAGCCCATCGTCCAAATCTAACTGTAAAATGCCTTGGTTTCATCTTCTGGAACAAAACGATTTTTTTTGGGGTTCTGCTGATGAACAGAAACTGTCTTTTAAAGATCACAGTTTCTATCTTGGAGATCTTTTCCACTGACAGATACTTCAGCCTCATCCACATATTTAAATGTACTTTGATCTTTCTTTGTTTTGCAAATTCCCTTTTGAAACAGTTTGTGTGAACTTTAGAGGTGCCAAACTGAGACTAAAGACCACTAAAATCTGGCAGAGCTATACATGTGAAGTATTCAGCAGCTCAAATATGTTTACAGAGTCCATGTTCAAAATAAGCGATTGCTTTTTTACAATTTCTTGTCAACTCCAAATTGAATTGTATTTCTTCTTGTATCTATAAAGGAAATAGGAAGCTTGATAATAATCACTTTTTAAATTTTATAAGTACCGTTGTGTTAATGTGAAGTTATTCTTTTCTCGTTTATCTTCCTGTTAAAAGATGGCCTTAACAGAAACATAATTCAGGTCATTATTACCATGATGTATTAGAGTGAGAAGAAAATTGATGATTTTTTTTTCCTTAGACATGGAGGTCTCACTCTGTTGCCCAGGCTGGAGTGCAGTGGCACGAACATGGCTCACTGTAACCTCGACCTCCTGGGCTCCAGCAATTCTCCTGCCTCAGCCTCTCAAGTAGCTGGGACTGCAGGCACGCACCACCACACCTCGCTAATTTTTGTATTTGTTGTAGAGATGGGGTTTTGCCCTATTTCCCAAGCTGGTCTTGAACTCCTGAGCTCAAGTGACCTGCTCACCTTGGACTCTCAGTGTTCTGGGATTACAGGTGTGAGCCACCATGCCCAGCCTTGGTGATCTTTTAAACCCAGAAATCAAGATCTTAAAACAAATATTCTAGCAGATGACCAGTGAAATTGAGGGTACCATTCTGTGATTTTTTTTCTTTCCTTTTCTTTGGCAGATCTTCTTTGTTATGGTTCTGTACTTTAGCCCAGATTCTCTTGGTATACTTGAAGTTTTCTCATCACTCATCCTTCATTGATTTAACTCTTAGCCTGACCAATGTATTAATGTTAAAATCTGATGGGAATTTTTACAATCTTCGCCACATTTCCTTGCTCCTAATCAAAATGTGTGTTGTTTCTTAAAGAGTCATTTGTTAATGGCTAACAATCTTTATTTATCTTATTTTATTCTATTATTTTTAATTATACTTTAAGTTCTGAGATACATATGCAGAATGTGCAGGTTTGTTACATAGATATACATGTGCCATGGTGGTTTGCTGCACCCATCAACCCATCATCTACATTAGGTATTTATCCTAATGCTATTCCTCCAATAACCCCCCACCCCTCAACAGGCCCCAGTGTGTGATGTTCCCCTCACTGTGTGCATGTGTTCTCATTGTTCAACTCCCACTTATGAGTGAGAACATGCAGTGTTTAGTTTTCTGTTCCTGTGTTAGTTTGCTGAGAACGATGGTTTCCAGCTTCATCCATATCCCTTCAAAGGACATGAACTCATCCTTTTTTGTGGCTACACAGTATTCCATGGTGTATATATGCCACATTTTCTTTATCCAGTCTATCATTGATGGGCATTTGGGTTGGTTCGAAGTCTTTGCTATTGTGAACAGTGCTGCAATAAACATACGTGTGGATGTATCTTTATAGTAGAATGATTTATAATCCTTTGGGTATATACCCAGTTATGGGATTGCTGGGTCAAATGGTATTTCTGGTTCAAGATCCTTGAGGAATCGCCACACTGTCTTCCACAATGGTTGAACTAGTTTACAGTCTCACCAACAGTGTAAAAGCGTTCCTATTTCTCCACATCCTCTCCAGCATCTGTTGTTTCCTGACTTTTTAATGATCACCAATACTTAAAAATGGATTTTGTGCTGGAAATATTTTCAAATTCAGCTTTGGTTATACTGAAGCAGGCATACTTTTCTATATTATATGCAAGTGATAATTACTTGCATATAATACTATATATTATAATTAACTCTGAGAAGTTCTTTGTAAGATACAAATGGCATTAATATTAGTATTAGTATTGCTTTCCAATGAATGACTACTGCTCCAGTTTATTTGTGTATTCATATATAGCTCTCAAACTACAGAAAGAAGAATTCAGTGACAGAACAAATCTTTGTAAAGAGAATCTAAATTTGGGGACAAAAACAATGTTTATCTACATGGAAAATTTCTGAAATGTATATTATTATAAAAGTTAATTTCCCTCCTGAATAAATGATATGTGATTTTCATATTATCATACTAGTTTGAACAGCTGCAAAGAAGTGCTTAGATAAAAATTTAAAAAAAGTTTCAGATCCAAATTTTGCTTTCAAATTAACAGGCGCAAAATATTCCAGGATATGAACTTCTGTTTGAAGAAAGAATTTAGCTTGGGATACATAGACTGGCTATGATTGAAATGCATATATTGATAGTAAAATATTTTACAAACAAGGTTTTTACATATATTAGAAAGAGTGAAAAACTTAGCCCTCTTTACTGAGCAATATTAGTAATTGCAAGGAGCAAGTCACTGGACAAACAACCCTACCACGCAGATGGTTTAGGTGCTGTCAAAGCAGAATCACCCATTTCTATGTCTTTGAGTGTGTTTTAGAGAAGTGCTGATTGTCAAGGAGAATAAAACTTTAGTGAATGTTGTTTGTCTTTCCTGTGAGGAGACAGGAAACACAACCATTTGTGGTACATGAAACATTCGGAGTATAAAGATACAAATTCCATGTTGAATTCGGCTATTGATTATTGGCTTGTGTAAAATGGTAAAAGTACTGTATTTGTAATTTGTTACTAAGAATCATCGTTTAGACCATATAATAACACAATATAACAGTATAATAATAGTATTTCTATTATATACTACAATGAAATGTATTTAAAATACAATTTGAATTAGATTGCTTTCAAATATTTAAATGTTTGATCCTACGCTCATCTATAAATGCTTACATTTTATAATTTAAGGTCTGTTTAAAAGTTTATAAATAATACAAAACTTTGATTTCATTTGGCTGTCTTTTTGTGCTTTGCTTCTTGAAACTTAGCAAAAGATGATCAAGAGGAGCATGAAAAAATCCCCTGAATCCATTGGCTTTCTTCCCTATACTGACAACAGTTTACTTGTGTAAGGTAATTCTCTTTTGCCTGTGTTGCCTCATTTTGCTTCTCCTTGCTTGGCACCATTCTTAAGCAATTTATTTATTCATTCATTTTCTCATTCACATATTCATTGTTTCAACAAATGTTTATTGATGCTGCTATGTGTCAGCTCCTGTGCTCGACTTTAGGGATACAGAGATGAGCAAGGCAGGTATGAAACCAGGCTCTCATGGACTTTCTGGTTTTTGGAGAAGAGAGACAACTAAATAATTAAGTTTCACTGTATGTGAGAGATGCAGTGAAAGAGGATTATGCTATGCTGTGAAAGCAGCTAATCAAGTTTGGAGGTTTTGGGAAAAGCTTTAGTTTCTGTTCACCTACTCAAATTATAAATTGTTTAATCTTCAGTTGCTATTTGGTTAGAACATTTCTGACTTTATTGGCTTCCCATTGTAGCTGTAACAAATTACCACAGATTTAGTCAACTTGAAACAGAAATGTATTCTTTTATAGATTTGGAGGCCTGAATCTCAAAGTGGGTTTCTTTGGGACAAAACGAAGGTATCGCCAAAGCCATATTCCTTAGGGAGGTTCTCTGGGAAAATGTGATCCCTTATCTTTTTCATTTCTAGAGATGCATGCCTCGACTCCGGACCCCTTCTTTCATCTGCAAAATCAGCAGCACCCTCACATCATCTCCTGTAACAAACTCTCTCTGTCTCCTCCATATAAGGTCACTGATGGTTACATTTAGGGTCCATGATATAAGGTAAGATAATTGCCCCTCCTCAAGATCCTTAATTAAATCACATCTGCAACATTCCTTTAGCCATGTAAGAAAACATCCAAACATTCCAGAGATTAGGATATAAATATTTTGAGGGGCTATTGTGTAGCTGACCGTACTGGTCCATCGAAAATTAGTGTCTATAAATAGTTACCTGAATGTGTAACCTAAGAGAGTTTTTGTAAATGATATGAACAAATATTTTATACTCATTTTTGGGAAAGAAGTTCAAAATTTCTTTATAAGGTACTAAACCTTTATGGTTTAGTAAAGGTATAAAATCATATTTTATAATATTGTGAACTTTTGTATGTAACTCAAGAAAGCTAGGCTACATTCACGTAACTATTAGAAGGGCAGTGATAGCATGTGGACAGGATCAAAACTTTGAGATTTCTACCTGTCTCATACAGCAGTTGCAGCCCCCCTTGACCATCTCAACTTGAGTCCCATGTGCACAGATATCATTTCACAAAAAGAAAAAGAATAATTACTGATTTGGCTCTGAAATGCTTATGTATCCAGCCCTCCAGAGAACAAACCGGTACTTCATATGTATCATGAGGACTACCTTGCCCTAAATAATGTATGGGCCTCACTATCCTGTCTCTTAGTTCCTTTTTCCTGAACTCTTCCTCCAGAGTTGTGGGTGTTTCTCTTCCAATAAGAAAAGAAACCTATCAGCCACATGGAATTCTAAGGGGGAGAGTATTTAATGAGAGACAGGAGTGTGTTTGCATGGGTCTAGCTGCCATTATGATTCCTTTATTCTTCCCAACAGAAATTCCACCTTCTGGTACAATAGCCTATTCTTATTAATTCCATTTGTCTATTGTTCTGTTCTTCCCCCAGCCCTAGAGGAAGAATGGAGTGAGGTTGTGGGGAGAGAAGGTCTTGAGGTATTTCGAAAGATATATTATATGGTCAAACTGATGAGCACCTTGAGATAAAAGTAGAATATACGAGACTGAAGGCAAAATCGCATGAAGCAACTGAAGTTTTTGAACAGTAGCTAATAGCATAAAAATTAGGGTGAAGATAATATCTGAAGAAAAGGAGATGAGTGAACAAATAATTATTGAATGCCTATTATGTTTCAAAATATTTGCTGGGTACATGACCTTTGATGCCTCTGTTTGTTTAGTGAATTCTCTTTCTGTAGGAAGAACTAAGGCTGAGAAAAGTTAACTGATTTTCCAAGGTAACTCATGTAGTGAATGGCTATGCTTGTACTTAAAGTCTGGTTTGTCTGAATCCACAATCTATTGGTTTTTTGATATTCCAGGCCCTCTCCAGGGTGCCTGAGTTTGTTGTTTCATCACAGAATTACACGGAAGAGACTGGAAAGATAACTCTTCAAATGTCAAATCATTCCCCTATAAAAAATTTTGCCACAGCTGTTGAAATATGGCCTTAGGGTTTATGACAGAATTTGAACCAGCCCCATGGAAAATGCATCTTGACTCTGCTTTTATTCCTTTCCCTGCTGAGCTCCTAATAGAAGATGGATGTCTATTGCTTTTCTCTTGATATTCATGGCACTGCTCCTCTCCATCCATAGGATTATCTTATGTAAGTAATAGTTCTTTCAAATTTTGGGTGGATTTTAAAATGACTTGCTCCAACAGGGTTCACTCTTCTAACTAACACAACCTCTGAGTAGGTTTAAATTCAATTAGTTTGGCTAGTGCCAAAATGTGATCAGCTATTAATGAGTGGTCTGAAGATTTTTTTTTTTTAAACTGAAAGGGTGATTCTGTCATTCACTTCCTGAAAATTAGAAAAGCTCTTCTGATTTCATTTGCATGTTGAGATTTTCTATTATGACTTGTATTCAATTTAGCACACTCAAATATGAAGCAAATCTATTCATTTAATCTGCTGCCTGAGCCAATATCTCTGCAGCAAGAGATATCCTACCTTCGTGTGTGCATGTGCTTGAGAGCAGTTGTTTGGCAATAGCTCTTATTAATATAAATCAACATCTACAAAGAAAGCCTCCTCTATTCCTGAAATTCATATTTATATAAATAGAAAAGTAATGGATTTCAAAATGGGTCCAATAGGTTTGAGCTTCTAGAATTATCCCAAGAGTATAGACAGGACTGAAATATTTCAAGGTGTTTTGGAGAGGGGTGTTGATAAAGTATTTTCATGTTTGCTGCGTGCCTCTGAGCTGGCAGATTCATACTAATAATGGCAGAAGCCAGGAATAGTTATAATACGCTTAATTAACTCTAAGCTTATTTAATGCCATGGTCCAGATGAACTCTAGATAGGGAGACATAATACATATAGCTCATTAAAAAATAATTTGGACTTTTCTAATCTATATTTGCATAAAGTTCAGGTCCTTGTCCTGAGGTATTAATTATTTTTCTAATATTATTGTTGAAAAATGGATGCCCATGAAAAAATGGTAATTAGAGAAATGCTGGCTAACATAATTCAATTTCACATAACATGCTCATGCCAATTATGCCAGGAAGTTTCTTTGTCTTGAGGAAATACCCTTTTAAAAGAGAGTTATAGTAAAAAAAAAAATGTGTAAATGAGATCCTGCTGAGAGCTGTTAAAAATAAAACAATAAACAAAATTAACCTATTTGTCTCTGTTTATATGAGTTAGAAAGGTACTTGCTAGAGACTTTATGCTTCCATCAGAAACAGGTTATTTTTGCTTTGATCATATTTTAGAACTCATTTTCTTAAGGATACTACGTGTTATTTTGAGAAAATGTATGCAGAGAATTAAAAGAATCTGATTAATTGTTGTATTTGATGAGATCTTATATGACACACTTCTTGAATTTTATGGTGAGTTGCTAGCAGCGAACAATTCTAGAAATCAACATTCTAGCAAAGAAGCTATAATAGCATCCTAAATAAGAACAGCAACTTTAACTGAATGTACTACTGAAATGTTTTCTTCTAATTTTACGCATGGTGTTTGTTTTTATGCATTCTCTTTTTTATATGCATATAATGGATCTATTTTGTGCAGAGGCATAGGTCAGTGGCTCCATCATCCAATATCCTTCATGTGTATAAACAAAATAAGGAAAGATGAAAAGGTAGGCAAGGAAGAGATTGCAAAGTTATAGGGTTAGAGAAGCCAATGTTTAACATTCATCGCCATGTTCTGCTGGGGCTTTTCTCAATTCTACATCTTAAATCATATCTTGTTTTTTAAAAAATATTTATATGAAGAAACCAATATGGACTAAGCTTAAAAATGACAAACAATAGTTTTCCGTATCTTCCTTAATTTCTACTGTGGAAACTGTAGCCCATCTCAAAGTTCCACCAATTATTTTGGGACCTCTGTGTAACTTTTAAAATTTTCATTTTTGCCCTCATTGTTGGTCCATACTTCTAAGGCATTGTATGCTGCTAAAATAATCAAAGTCCACACAATCCTTCAAAGGAACTCTAAGGCTGCTGATATTGTCATAGTCTCTGGATAAAAATCACTGGAACTGAGCAATGTCAATATTCTATTGAACTGAAGCTGCTTTGCTGCGCCAAAACTGAAGTTATTGTTGAAGCTGAGGAATCACCATGTGGCCATTCTGTTCTATGCTTAGGGGAAGAGAAGCCCTTTCTCCCACCTTTGTGGTATGCTTGGATACATATGTCCCAGATATAAGCAACCAGAGTAGCCACTTCATGTTGGACTTCATGGTCCCAATATCTCATGGAGATTTTGGTGAAAACAGCTTTTATTTTCTCTGGAAGTCAATTTTCCTAGAATACAAATGTGAGGCCATGAAACTCACATAAAGCACCTATTGATAACTGCCTCCTCTTTCTAAATTGATGTCGTTCTCAAATTGAGCTTGCATGCCTCATTCTTTGGATAAACTGCTTTCGAGGTGGACATGTCAATGAAATAAATTCCTAGCGGGCTCCACCCATCGGCTCTCTAGGGAGTTACTGCAGCATCTGAATCTTTGAGCACAGTTTACAGCTAAGCTGGGAACAAGCTTCTCCTTTCCCTCCTAATATCTACTTTGTGTGTCATACCACTGATTTACTGGACTAGATCTAATAGTTTTGTGCCAGTTTCACTTAACTATGTTATTGTTATCAAGAAATGGAGTTAGGTCATGTCGAAAATGGGATATTTGTGTGCATCTTTTTAAAATTTATTGTGTGCGTGTTATTTAGAAGCCCCACGTGTTGGCTCGGACATTTCTACCATCTGTAGTTTAGGCAGAGTAGCCATACCCAAACGACTTCTGGAAAGTGCCGGATATGGAATGCATGGAGCAGAGTGTGGTTGTCTGAGAGTTAACACTGTAACAAGGTTCAAGAAAATGTCTGGATTTGAGTGCTAAGACAGAGGTACAAAGAAAATATCTAAGGTCAAAGCTGTGTGTACCTAAAGTCAGGAAGATAGGGAGTAAAGAGTTAGGGGTACCATTCTGACTAATATGAGGCTTCTGAGACAAGCAGAGAGGTTGTTGTCTGTAAACCTCAGATAAGCACCTAATCAATATGGCAAAGGGTAGCTTATTAATAGTAACAGATAGGATTTTTACTGGACAGTGACACATATGAGACTGTCAAGAGTGATGAATATGAGCCAATGCATGTCAAGCACAGAGGGAGGCTTCAGATGAGGTCTCCTTGGTAACAATCGAAAGGAGGTTCTTCATCTGGAATACTGAAGGCTGTTTTTGTTTGTTTTTTGCTTTTTTCCTTTAATACTACTTGTCTGATGAAAGTTTATAGGAACCTTTAGAAACTAATTTTTATGCATCCTTAGAGGAGAGAAAAATCAACCTCAGGTTAAGAACATGCATGGTCCACACCCAGAGATCAAATCTAGTTATGTAATCGTGGAAATAGTATTCACCACTTGAGGCTTTTAGAAGGTGAAGTTTTCAGAATGGAAGTCTTCCTGGCCACTTTCATCAAGGAAAACATAAGGCAAACAATAACCTTACTGCAGTTGGAAATTTAAACCACATTTTATAGATAACATCCTCTTGTCTATATCTAACCCCACCCCCAAAAAATAGCACCTCTACTTTTTGTACACTGTGTGGCCATACTAGAAATATTTCAAAGCTTGCTTGAAAAATAAAACTTGTTGCAAAAATATTTGTTGCATGCCAAGTATTGTGAAAATACTATAAAAATACAAAAAAATGCAGAAGATATTTTGTAAAATATATCTGTGCTCACATTTTAACTTTGGAGGCTGACAGATTGTATTATCCAAAGATGACCAGAGACCTCCCATCCTGTGTGCTCTTCTGCAATGTGATGTTCCACTCTCTCACCAAGACGTAGAGTTTATTTCTCTATTCCTTGACTCTGAGCAGGCTTTGTGACTACTTGACCAACCATATATGGCAGAAGTGGTTCTGAACATAGCTAGTGGTCAAGGGATATCTTTTCAACCCTGTGTAAGAGTTAATCTAGGAGAAGTGAAATAAGAATTTCTTAAAACCGTTTGGCTTCCATCATGGGTGTTTTTATGGCAGACGATATTAATCAGTTGAAGTCTTGAGAGTTATAGATCAAATACTGGTTGGGAAAAGTATGTTAGAGAATTATCTTATTTCATTTGTGTTTTGGTTTGAACTTTTTTATGACTAGTAGCTTAATGTACTTACTTTGATTTACATTAATGAACTAAGAGGGCACTTCAGCGTACCTGAGAGAGATGATATTATCTTATTAAGTGACATTTTTCTCTTAAGCTAAGTACTGTTTTAAAATATTGACTCATGATGGGGGAAAAGTTATACTTAACAGTGTATTAACAGTAAGATGAAAGACTTGGAACAGATTAATATGGTTCTGAAGGTTAAAAGTTCTGAGTTCTTATCCTGGTTAAATTCTAAAGAAAAATTGACTTGTAAATGCTGCCCAGCACAAACACATGCATTTTCTTTACACTTTCCCATTGCATTATTATGTTACTTCCAAGTGATAAGAAATAAACATGCTTAGATTTCCCGTTATGATGGGAGTTCATTGTAGGTTTACAGGAGAAGAGGGAAAGTACAAGAAGCTGCTTCAGTAATCAAATCCCAAGCCCTCAAGGAGTTCTTCGTGTCTCCGTAGATTTTTAGTTGTCCCATTGTAGGCAAATGCCCATTGCTCCCTTTACTAATCACTCTATTGTTCCACTTGTTTCTCTGCTTTTACTTGTGGCTACTTTTTGCTTTTCTATTTTTACCTCCTGGCTTCTTCTTATTCATGATATGCACTTTCTCATGGCTCTTATTTATTTATTTCTGCAAATCTTTTAAATCCTTCCACTATCTAATCCTTCTCTAATTGGTTTGGATAGTCACTATCAATTTAAACATGACCTTTTAAGTTCAGAATACACAAGTGAAGACACCATTTACTCTGCTGGCCAGCTGGCAACTTCATAGAATTACTTTTTGGAAACTGGAGCACATACATTATATCCATAGTTAGATATATCTCCAGGTTAAACTAAATTGTGGATATAGGAATGGTGAGAATTTTACGACAGATAAAAAAGAAGCCAATGGGATGGCTAGTGAAAAGTGGGGAATATTGTGCTAGAATATATGTTGGTAAGTCCTTTTTTTTTTCCAGATTCACCATGTATTATTTTATTTTTTCACCCGATTGAGTATTAGGCAACAGTCTTTCTAGGGACAAAACTGTATATTTTTATATATTTTTTTTCTTGAAGAAACATATAAACACATTAAAAACAAATAAGTCAAGGTAATCTCTCATACATCCAGGCCTATGTTGATGAATATAGTCCCACATCTTGATTCTCATTTTGCTGTGTCCTCTTTTAAAAAAAGTCAAAACGGGCGAAGCAAAGGCTAAATGTCTTTCCATTGCTGTTTTTACAGTCTCCTTTCTCTTTTATTATTCTCCCTCTTCTCATTCCCCAACTTCCCTTTCCCCGGAATCAAAGTATAAAAAGCATAGGATACTAACGTATCACCACTTAAATGTCCCAATGCCCTTGAAGACCTGACTGGGAAGCTTATCAAGTACTTTTACAGTTTTATCTCACTTCACCTTTCCTCCTCTCTGAACTTGTAGGTTTTTCAATCATTCATCCTTAATTCTGCAGTATATTCAGACACGCAATCCTTAATTCAGCTTCTGTCCTTTCACCTTACTCATATGAATCCTCACGGTGAAAGTACAGTAATGAGAAAATGGTGGTCTGGAAGTGAGAAGATATGGCTCCTAGAGGGCACTTCTAATGTCGTGGATAAGGCCTTTAAATAAACCCATCTAATTATTATGCTGTCTATTTCTCTCTCTGATTATAAGAATAATAACAACTACCATTCATATGATGCTTAAAGGATGTTTAAAGTGTTTAGCCAGTATTTCATTTGATTCTTTAGGACACTGAAATAGGCAGGATGGATATCATGCTCCCCTATCCACCCTATTCCTTTGATATGAATGAGGAAAGTAAGGCTTAAACAGTTTAAATAATGTGTAAAAAGTCTCAGGACTAACAACTAAAAAAGTAGGGACCAGAATTCTGATATTATTTCTGGTCCAGTCCTCTTTCTATTATACCTTGATGACTGTTGAGATTAAATCTGAGAATTTGCAAAATATTACAGGAACTCTTCTTCTTTCTCTTCAGAACCTAGGTTGTATTATCAAGTGCTATGACTAGGATCTGTGTCCGCACCCAAATTTCATGGTGAAAGGTAATCCCCAATGTTGGAGTTGGGAGCCTGGTGAGAGGCAATTGGATCATGAGGGTGGATTTCTCATGAATGGTTTAGTACCATCCCCTTGGTGCTGTCCTGGAAATAGTGAGTGAGGAGGGATCTTGTCCTTTAAAAGTGTGTGGTGCCTCTCCCATCTCTCTCTCTTTTGCTTCTGCTTTTGCCATGTGATGTGCCTGCTCCCTCTTTGCATTCCGCCATGATTGTAAGCTTCCAGAGGCCTCTCCAGAAGCAGATGCCAGTGTTATGCTTTCTGTACAGCTTATAGAACCATGAACCAATTAAATCTCTTTTCTTATAAATTACCCAGTCTCAGAGAACAGACTAATACATCAAAGATAGATAAAACAGAACTTGAGATCTTTCAGCTTCTCTTCACTGGTCAAAAGGGAAAGAGGTTGGATAAGCAAGTATGGGGAGGGGGTGGTATCTATTGAGGATGGGAGACCAGGTCTTCCAAACCTCAAATACTTGCTATTTGTGTGGGTTTATATGCATGTTGTGGGAGAAGGGGCCATAATGATAGATGATCACATCATACAAACAAGGATAATTTTGATTGTCAGAGGGGATGCTAACCAGTCATAAGACTGAGAAACAACAGATATAACTTGGGATAGTCCTTGGCAAATTGGAACATATGGTCATTCTAGGGAGTAGAAAGTAGGGTCCAGCAAGAAAGCCCTGTTGGTTTGTAAGGGTTGGTAAGCCTTAGGCTAGTAATTAGCATTTGACTTTGCCTTTCCTCCCAAGCTCCCACATCTATCTTCTGGAAGTGAGATTTCATATGTAGCCATATATAGCAATTGATTATTGCTCAGTTCATACCTTCCCCTTCTCTTCTCTCAAATAGGTTGTGAAACAACTTTTTGTTCCAGCAGAGTGATGCTTTATTTTGATAGTATAATACGATGACATTAATTTGTTGCTTTTGCAGTTGATACAAGGCCTACTTTTATTGATTACACAATTTTCTTGTACTGTTTGCAAATTTATTATAGTTTCTGAATATCTAAAGACCTCAATGTCTCTTCCTAATATATTTCCAAAGAAATAAAACCTCAGTTTTTTCAAAATTCCATTTTTAACATTGTGGGTTTCTGCGGCCTTGAAGTTGAGAAACTAGTTGTTATGGGCTGAAATGTGTCTCCCCAGTTTATACGTTGAAATTCTAACTCCTAGTATCTCAGGATGTGATTGTATTGGAGATAAGGTTTTTAGAGATGTGATTGCATTAAAATGAGATCTTTAGGGGGGACCTAATCCAATCTGACTGTTGTCTTCACAAAAAGAAGAAAATTAGACACTCAGGGAAACACCAAAACCCTGTGCAGGAACAGAGGAAAGAATGTGTGAGGACACAGGGAGAGAGTGTCCATCTGGAAGCCAAGGAGAGGGGCATCAGAATAATACCTTGATCTTACACTTCTCCAGAACTGTAACCAAATAAATTTCTGTTCCTTAAGCCACCCATCTGTGGTAATTTTTGTGACAGCTCTAGCAAAACGAATACATTAATTTTCACATATTACTTTGTTACCAATTTGTGAACTTTTTCTTCCTTTTTGTAAATCCACGAAGTCCTCCCTAGCCTAGTTGTTACTGGAGCAATACTTGCTATTCCCTCAATGTTTATCCTCATGATACTATTAAAGTGTACTCAGCAGAAGTAAAGCATTTTACAAATTTATATATTAAACAAATAGCCCTTGAATTATGTCTCAGGTGCCTTTCAAGCACTATGGTGGATTTCAGGATGTAATATGATTTTTAAATTGTTAAGATAACAATATCTAAAGATTAGGTATATATAAATATTACCACTTTTTTGATACCTGTTACTTAACAAATGAGAGTAATTTCTTCATGATGCTAACTTTTAAGAGGGGGAAAAACCCTGTGTTTAAAGCTATATTTACTTTAAAGTTAAAATTTTATAAGTATTCAGAAATGCATCTTTTTAAATATAGAAATTACTAAGTTCATTTAATGACTAATATAAAAATTAGTCTTTAGATATGTTGTTTTATATTTTAAAAAGTCAGCCAGTTGCGGTGGCTCACACCTGTAATCCCAGGACTATGGGAGGCCGAGGTGGGCAAATCACAAGGTCAGGAGTTCAAGACCAGCCTGGCCAATATGGTGAAATCCCATCTCTACTGAAAAATTAGGCAGACGGGGTGGCGCATACCTGTTGTCCCAGCTACTCAGGAGACTGAGTCAGGAGAATCCCTGGAACCCAGGAGGTGGAGGTTGCAGTGAACCGAGATCACACCACTGCACTCCAGCCTGGGTGACAGAGTGAGACTCCATCTCAAAAAAAAAAAAAAAAAAAAAAGTCAAAACTGGAGACTCAAAGCCCTCTGTTTTAGGCACTTTCTGATGGTAAGTGCTTCCCAAATTTAGGTTGAAAATATGAGCATCTAACTGTCCATTGACATCGTTATAATATCAAAATCTTGATGAGGCTATCAATGCCTTGGTGAAAATTGTTATAGTGAGGACACTCCCCCGCCAATCCTCCATTTAGCTCATGATGACAAAATGAGCCTTAAGTTTGTAAGTTTGGCACTTTCAGGGATACAATGACTGTATATTGTACTCCTCTGTTGTGTTCCGCAAAAAGTAAAGTGTGAACTAATCCTCTGGTAGTCTAGTAGCACTTTAGTAGCTACTGGATAAAATGACTTTCTAAGTTAATGTACTTTCTTATTAACAAATGTCAGAAATTAAGATATGGAGAGAGCTCGAGGTTGGAATTTTCCTCTCATAGGAACACATCTCTTAGCTCTTATGGGTTTAACAAACTTTTAATATTTTAATGAAGGCTTTTTATGTGCGTATACTACTTAATATTTCAAATTAAGGTCTGTTCTTTTCCTGACATGCACATGCCACTCCATTATGAACCATCAAGAAGAGTGTGGTAGAAAAGCCTCTATCTGTATGGAACAGCACATGCCTTAAGCACAGAAGGTCAACAATTGCGCTTTGACTAAGCCAGGGCTACTTAATGAGAACTTCAATGCTTCAGCAAAAGTGTTTTATATTTTAGTCAAAGCACCAGAGTTGGATAATGATAAGTTTCAATATGTTCCCATTCAAAAATAATTTCATAGTTATTTTAATGTCATTCTCCGCTTTTAAAAGAACAACACATGCAATCTGTGGTGTGAGGGTTACCTCAGGATTTTCAGAAAAGCAGATTTTAAACTTTAATGGGTAGTGTAACTTGGTTAACTGTCACAATCTGTTTCCATTCAGATGCTAATGACCTAAATTCACTGGTTTCGTTCCTTTCACTAAGGGTCAGTGGTCTACCACTAGGAAAGAGAGATTTTAAAATCTGAAGAAAAAAAAAGAAATCTTTAGCTATGTAATAACAATAATTAAATGAACAAATAACTAGGAATACTTGTTTAAGAAAGAAAAAAATGTCCTAGCAAACTAGAGTAATTTCTTCACTGCACTAACTTTTAAGAGGGGAAAAGAAGCACCTTTATTTAAAGCAAAATCTATTTTAAAGTAGAATTTTTAGAAGTATTCAGAAATGCATCTTCTTTAATATAAAAATTAATATAGGAATTAATGACGATATAATGCCATTTCTAGTGATGAACAAATGAATGCATTGGGACAAAATACTGCTTGAGTAAATCTGATCCTTAGGAAACTTCCCAAGCATTTTTATTTGCCTTCCAGAGGAAATAACTAGAAATACTTCTGGCCCAACATTACAGACACTAATGGCATTAGTATGGTCCTGAGAGAACTGCTTCTCTGAATTATTGTGAAGAAGGAAAGTACCTGGATGGTTCATCAAAAATCACACATCTTATTTAAGGAATAATTAGGGAAGAGATGTAGAGGTATACTGCTCCCGTTAAGAAAATGTTGAATTGACAGTCTCTTGACTAGAGTTAATGTCAGAGCAAACTGATGAGAATGACAACCTAATGATATATTTGAGAGATTCTAAGCTAAATATTTGAAAATTAAATTATGCATCCATGAGTGCTACCACTGGTGCTTTATTCTCTAAATTAAGGCACATCTCATGAGTCCTGCAAAGATCCAAAGTGAAAAGAATCCAGGAGACTATATAGCACATACTCCTGATTTAATAATGAGGAAGCTGGAGGCTCAGAGGCTTATATTGGGTTATCACCTATTAACACCTTACTGTAAAGTTTATCACATCCTTTACACATGATAACTGGCTGTCAATGTTTTGTTAATGAAGACGTTGTTCAGGAATCAAAAGCAACAACTAAAGCTTTGAAATGTGGGCCAGTTATCTATTTCTGTGTAACAAACTACTGCACAAGTCAGGTCTCCAAAGCTATAATCATTTTATTATGCTCATGGTATGACTCAATTACTGGAGGCAATTTGAAGGGGTGAAGGCTGAAACAGTTTGGGCTGGAGGACACCCTTTAAAAATGATCTCTTTATTCACATCTCTAGCAGGTAGAGTGGATGGCAAAAGAATGGACATAGTTAGGAATGTTGATGGGGGAATCTACATGACTCCACCCCAAGTCAGCAGTTTTACACTGTTGTTTAGGGCTCCAAGAGCAAGTGTACCAGTAAGGAAGGTGAAAGCCTGGATAGATATTTTTATGACCTAGTTGTGGAAGCCACATAGTATATTCTAGCGGTAAAAGCAGTTATAAACTTGCCCAGATTAAAGGAGAGGTGCTGTGGACCTCATATCACAATGGGAAGAGTGTCAAAGCATTTGTGTTTTTAAACTCTGTCAGTGTGGGATAGACTGGAGAAAGACAACAGTGGTCCAGGTGAAAGCCCGATGAGCAGTGACATTCATCGTATGCTTTCTCAGCTAGTATCTCTGGTTGTTATTTTTCATTTAGAAGTAAGTGAAAAGGAAAAAGAATATCAAAAAGACAAAATCTGTTTCTTAAAATTCTGTTGTCATTTTTGTTAAATAATGTCGTGGGGTATTTTTTCCCCAGCTTTTTTTGTAGAAAGCCGGGATCTAGTGTCTTCTTGACAACCAGCGGTAATAACAAGAAGATGAACATTTCGGGGAGAAAAAAAGGAGAATATTTAGATCATAGTGATTAAAAAAATTATAACTCAGGATATCTTGCCTAAAGATTTTACATTGCTATAAGCGAAAACTGGGCAAAATACTTTTTCTTTGTTGAGCTTGAAACTTTCTTTTCACCTTACCTTTCCATTTCTTTTCCACTATAAACACAAGGTTATAAATCTTATAGTAAGGCAAAATAAATTGGCATAGCTATTTAAAGAGAATGAGTGATGAATGGGACAAAGGAATTGATTTAATTAGAATGAATCCTTCAACCTAGTCAAGATTCCTTTTATTGCTTGAATGAGTTTGGATGTCCATTGGCAGTCTGCTGAACTAGGCAGGTTTTTTCGAAGTAGGAGATTTAGGCCTATAGTGAGGGCCATTTAAATGGTTAGGAAAAGACTTGAATAAAATTTGGCGGGTTAAATTTTTATGGCTGTCATTATAGCTAGGCCCAAGCCCCTAAAACTGAAATGGGTCAAGTGTTATTTGAGGGAGAGTTAAACTAGGAAGCTATGGATAGCCATCTTTTGTTATATAAATATGAAGAAGCAGTAAAATACTATATGGAGATGGATTAGAGATCGAAGGGAAGGGGTGGAGAGACAGACATAAATGAAAAAAAAAAATGTGCAGACAACCAGAGATGAAATATCTGGCTCCACAAAGATGTAGAAGGAGACCCTGTCTCACTTCCCAACATCATTCCAGTTTCCTGGTTTTAGTTGCTTATTAAATATGGAAAGTATATAGAAAAATTTTATTTCATTTCAGTGAAATAGTTATGTACCCAAAATTAATTTACACCATTTAAAAACAGTTAATTTGTTTGAATTTGTATTTTTTTTGTACCAAAATTGTACTATGACTTACCTCTCATGTGCAAAGCAAGATACTGAATACTGTGAATGCAGATGTGGTTAACAAAAATGAATCAGACACTGATAGTCTCCTCATGGAGTCCAAAAACTGAGAAAGGAAATAAGCTGTACACAAATAACAGTACTGCAGTGTGTATTGCATAAAATCACTTAAAAAAAGGAAAATTCAGTTAACACCAAGGTTGGAATTTGAAATACATTTGTGATCAAAATGCATCAAAATACCTGTTCTTGTAGATCTTATATTCTAGTAGAGAGAGACGCAAAAAATACACAAAAGTAAATTATATAGCATATTAGAAGGCCATTAATACCATGGTTAATGAATAAAACAGATACAGCTGATCAACAGTATAGGATAGAAAAAGATACATTTTTAAATAGATGGTCAGAATAGACCTCACAGAGAAGGTGGCATTTATGAAAATACTAGAGGTGAGGAAATTAGCTATGAGGATATTTTGAAGGACATTCCAGGCAGACAAACTAGTCACTGGAAATGCCCATAATGGAAGTTAGCTTGGTGTATGGGAGGAATATCAAGGAGACAAGTGCAGCTTGAGTAGAGTGAATCAGACAGAAAGGGAAAACCACAAGGTGAAAGAGGCAATGGGAATGACAGATCACGTAGGCCTTTGCAGACTATTGGCTGCTGTATGACGAATGGTAAGAATAGAATCTTGGCAAGTAGCTAGAAGGATGTTGCAAAAACCCACACAAGTGGATAATGGTGGACAAAACCAAGTGATAGTAGGGGAATTTCTGAGAAGCAGTTTGATTCTGGATAAAGTTTGAAGATAGAGTCAAAAAGATTTCCTGGGGGATTGGACAGGGTTTGTGAGGGAAAGAAAGGCAGATAAAATGTTACTGCAAGTTTTTGGCCTGAGTAACTGCAAGGATGATATTATCACTTGAGAGAGGAAAGAGTATTTGTGGATGGAAGATCAGGAGTTCAGTTTTGGACAGGTTATGTTTGAAAGGTATATTAAACATTCTGGAGGAGATATCAAGTATGCAGTTGGTACCATAGGTCTGGAACAAAGAAGAGAAGACTGGGTAGCATAAATCAACTTTATGAGACATTGCAAATAGATGTTTAAGGCCATTAGGTTGGATGAACTCACCAAAGAAGTGAGTGCAGATAAAGAAGAGGATTTATCAGGGATTCAACACTAGGGTTTCCAACATTAGGAGGTTGATTCAAAGAGAGAATGCTGCATGTGCAGAGTATAGAAAAATTCTTTTATGTAAAGTAAGATTGTTTTGAATAGGGAACAGTTCATGTTATTTCATGGAAGAAATAACATTTTAATTAAGTCCTAAGAGTAGGAAGGATTTTGAGTGAGTAAAATTTGGGGATTGAGAGTTATGTCATAGAAAAAAGGAATAGAATGAGCCATATATGAATGAGGACAACAAGTATGTCACCCTGACTAGTTAATAGTATGCATCAAGGTTTTGCAGTAGGTTATATAATTTATATAAAGTAGACTATGCTGAAACCAGTTGAGAAAAATGAAAGGCCTTTGCACACAGAATGATAAGGTGGGATGGTGCTTTAGAAAGACTAATCTAGCAAGCAGCATGGTATGGGTTAGTTTAAAAGGGGTTGAGTTTTGTTTACAAAAAGTGGTTTAAAGAATAAATAAAATTGTTAGAGTAGGTAGCTAGTCAGGTATGAGCAGGGCAGGAGAGGGCTCCCCACCAACACACACCAGGAGTGTTGACCATCACGTGATGGTCAGGCAGTTGTTAACTGTTTCTCTGAAGTAATAATTGATTGTAGCCAGCACCAGGGAAAGGCAGTCTCCTGATAGACAGAAAACACCTGAAACTGATCAGCAGCTTCCCAATAAGGTCTCAGGAGTCGGGAGAAGTAAGGCAAGGTCCCAGAAGCAGGCCAACGTATAAAACCCCAAGTCACTTGGTTTCTCAAGTTGCCCGCTTGGCCCTCTTCCAGGTTGTACTTTCCTTCTTTTCTTTCCTTTCCTTACTATTCTAAAACTTTTTAATATACTTTCACTTCTGCTCTGAAACTTGCCTCAGTCTTTTTTTCTGCTTTATGCCACTCAGTCGAATTCTTTCTTCTGAGGAGGCAAGAATTGAAGTTGCTGTGGACCTGCCGGTAACTCCGGGTAACTCTGATCTCTGCCAATGCTAACAAAATGATATATAAGAAAATGTATCAATTAGCAAGAAAAGCAGCCTTGAAAGTCAATACAGGAGGCACAGTTTACCTCTGCTACTCATCCTGGACAATTGCAGGCTGTGGTCTACTTTGCCTCATTATTGAATATTAATAGTAGGATAAGGTGTTCTATTAATACATGGTTTACAAAGATAGCATTAATTGATAATGTCTGAATCCACGGTTTTGGTCAGAATCATAGATATTAGGTAGATACATACATACATACATGTATACATAGAGAAAGAAGAAAGAGAAAGAAGGAGGCCACTGGGTGCTCATATATTTGGTCAAACATTATTCTGGGTGTGTCTGTGAGGATGTTTCTGGATGCGATTAACATTGGAATAGGTGGACTGAGTAAAGCAGATTGCACTCCCTAATGTCAGTCAGCATTATCTAATCAGTTGAAGGTGTGACTAGAACAAATTGTTGGCCCTTCTATGATTAAGGGGGAACTCCTTCTAACAGCCTTTGAGCTGGGACCTCAGTTTTGTTTAGGTCTTGAACCTGGGACTACACCATTGGCTCTCCTGGATCTCCAGCTTGCTGATTGCAGATCTTGGGACTTGTCAACCTTCATAACTGCATCAGCAAATTCCTTATAATTAAGTCGTATATCTATACATCTATACATCTATACATTTTCTATTGGTTCTGTCTCTCTGGAGAAACCTGACTAGTATACTCACTAAAAAATTGGAGAAATTATCAAATAGGTGTGATCAAAGGAAAAGTTATTCTAGTAGAGTGTGGCCTTGTACTAGGTGATAATTTCTTAATGCCATTGCTGGAATGGTAACTTTCATACTAGCAGGTGAAGACTACCAGTCTTTCACTTTGTAATTGCACTAGCTTGCACCTGAAGTACAGGCTCTGTTCTATAGCTGTAGCTATTGCTTTAACTTGCGTTCTACTGTGTTATGCTGTGTAATGCTGAAACTGAAAAAGTGTTTTTCTCATTCAGTGTGTGGCCTATATGATTCCTGCTATTAACAGGAAATCAGTTTCTCTCTAGGCCCTGTGGCATTTATCATTTTGGACCCTATCTCTCTCCTATCTATATTGGACTATGGTGGCACACAGAGTGTTGTAGGTAATCTTTACGTTACTTATTTTTTGTGTACTCCCTCAGTACCCCTAGAGTATAAGGATAATTCGTTTAAGCAGGTTGTCTGTTTTGCTTAGTAGTATATTCCCAGTGCCTAAAACAGTGTCTGACACATAGGAAGTACTCAACAAATATTTGATGATTAAATGGCTGAATGAAAGACTGAATGTGGGGGGATAAGGCTTTCAAGTTAGATGCAGCATGTTGAAAGCTTTTATACTATGAAGCTATTTTTAACCCTAAACTACTCCTAGTTTTGTATGATTAAGTATTGCTCCTAGAGAGGACAATCATAGTTCCATTTTAAAGTTCTTTTTTTTTTCTTTTTAGAGATGAGGGTCTCATCCTTTTGCCCAGGCTGGAGTACAGTGGTGTGTATGTAGCACACTGCAGCCTTCAACTCCTGATCCTCCAACCTCAGCCTCCACAGTTGCTGGGATTACAAGTGTGAGTCACCATGCCCAGCCCATTTAAATGTTTTTGTATCATCTTTAAGATATTGTAAATTAAGAGAAGATTAACCTGTTTAGGTTATGTGTTCAAAAGGAAAAAGCCAGGATCAAGAAGAGACTTGAAAAGGTTTTACAGAGAATACTCTAATACAGTGAACTATTTATACCAATGTTGACAAAACCTAATATAGTATAATGGGAAGGAGATAATGATGGCAGTAACAGTGAAATGGGGGTACATGGTGTAGATGTTAAATACTGCAGTGGGAAAATCAATATGGCCTCCCAACTGACTATTTTGATGGAGGCAAGGTCTATGAAGTTCAAAAAAAAAAAGAAGAAGAAAAGGCTGGATATGGTGGCTCAAGCCTGTAATCCCAACACTTTGGGAGGCTTAGATGGGAGGATAACTTGAACCCAGGAGTTTGAGACCAGCTGGGCACCATAGTGAAACCCCATCTCTACCCAAAATAAAAAACTTAGCCAGACACTGTGGTGTGCACCTGTGGTCCCAGCTATTTGGGAGGCTGAGGCAGTAGTATCCCTTGAGCCCAGGAGTTTGAGGCTGCAGTGAGCTATAATTGCACCATCACACTCCAGCCTGGGTAACAGTGAGACAAAAAAAAAAAAGAAAAAGAAAAAGAAAAAGAAAATCAAACTCTAAAAACTCTTAAGTTGAAAGCTTGGATGAGTAGAGAAAACGCCCAAGCCATTAACTGAAGTAGGGAATTAAACCGGATAATTCATTTTAACTAGGAATTTGGGAAATTCAACTTTATGAATATGGCCTTTGAGATTCTGTTATGGTCTCAAAATAGATTAAACAAATAAGTAATTTGAAATGAGAATGAAGGAGTAAAGTGATGGTGGATGTAGACTTGCTGGTGGGCCATAGAGAAATCACTTTTTTTTTTTGGAGATGGAGTTTCGCTCTTGTTGCCCAGGCTGGAGTGCAGTGTTGCTATCTCAGCTCACTGCAACCTCCACTTCCTGGGTTCAAGAGATTCTCCTGCCTCAGCCTCCCGAGTAGCTGGGATTACAGGCACCTGCCACCATGCCCGGCTAATTTTTTGTATTTTTAGTAGAGATGGGGTTTCGCCATGTTGGCCAGGCTGGTCTTGAACTCCTGAACTCAGGTGATCCGCCTGCCTCAGTCTCCCAAAGTGCTGGGATCACAGGTGTGAGCCACCGTACCTGGTGATAAATAATATTTAAAGCCACTAAATATTTAATATTTAGTGAGAGAGAGCTCGAGAAGAACAATAACGAAAAAGGAGGAGATAAGGGAATGGGGTGAAGACACATATATTGAGGAAAAGAAGCCAAGAGAAAAGACAGAGAAAAAATGGCTGTAGAAGTCAGAGGAAAACAGAAAGGGACAGGGTCAGGCAATCATAATTGGAAGGAGAATCTTCCATAATAGCTCTCAGGTCATAGAGGAGAAAAATTTTTAAAAATTTTAAAAAGTATATAAAAAAGTATACAAAAGTATATTTTTAAAGTATATAAAAAGTATATAAAAATATGTATAATATATAATATAATATAGAATATAGAATAATATATTTATATATAATTATAATATATATTTTTATATAATTATATATAAAATTTAAAAAGATATATATATTTGAGTTGATGACTATGTTATTGTTTGTTTGTTTTTTTTGAGACGGAGTCCCGCTCTGTCGCCCAGGCTGGAGTTCAGTGGCACGATCTCGGCTCACGGCAACCTCCGCCTCCCGGGTTCACGTCATTCTCCTGCCTCAGCCTCTCCGAGTAGCTGGGTCTACAGGTGCCCGCCACCACGCCTGGCTAATTTTTTTTTGTATTTTTAGTAGAGACGGAGTTTCACCATGTTAGCCAGGATGGTCTCGATCTCCTGATCTTGTGATCCGCCCGCCTCGGCCTCCCAAAGTGCTGGGATTACAAACGTGAGCCACCGCGCCCGGCCGACTATGTTATTGTTAAACTTTAAGAGAACAGGTTAAATTTTGTGGCAGGAATTACAAAGGGACAAAGAGCAAATAAGAAAAAAAAAAAGAGAGAGAGAAAGCTGGGGTAAATGAATCTTTACTGAAATTTAGCTGTAACAGCTGTAAATAACACTGGAGGTATGTACAAAAATACACTCCTTGATGAATCCCAGTAATTCTTTTGGAATGATTACCAACTTTTGATTTGAATCTGTGCTAAAATACCTGGAATACTTTAGGCCTTTTTGACTTTTTGGTCTATAAGTTCTTTTGTCTCAAGGAAGCTTGTTTTTGAGAGTCTCAATCAATTGTCCTCTTTGGTCAATTTACAGGATAGCACTGCAGAGTCCATCTGAATACACAGACAATATGTATGAGAGTTAATTAAGGAAAGTATTGATGAAAGCATAATTTGTTTCTGAAGCTTATCAACTGAAATGGATATTAATCCAAGGTCCTGCACAATAGCAGACTTGACACATCTATTTCCTGGGGAAACAAATTATATTTATTTTTGAAATATTATTCATAAGACTTTACTTGAACTTGATAAATGTAACTGTCTTGATGATATCATCCACACACTTTTTTGTTATGTGAGAGACTATACTGATATCTAGGCAATGATATAGACTTACAGTGGGTTATCGTAGCATGATAGAGGCTGGGGCTACCAGTAAGCAACTCAGTTTTGCAAGGTAACCTATTGTGCATCTGTCTGCACGGAGAAGTCAATCTTTTTGTAGATTTTAAGTATTCTTAAATTTATGTTTTCCATTTGTTCATCAAAGCAAATATTTATTGTTCAAACTTTCATTTTTCTGTACCATTACATTTTCTTAATAACATCTGGAAGACATTTCTTAATGTTAAATTAAAATATTAGCAAGAAGCTTACACATGTATGACCTAAACTGTAAGCTGAGGAACTGAGTCCTATTGCAGTAAGTAATATTTTGTGCGCTGAAGGGAGGATTTATTACTAAACTTGAACATTCACAATGAGCAATGTCACTCTCATTGGCTGACATATCCAGCTTTTTTTCTGGATTTTTCACTTAGCTATAAGTTCAATAAGAATTTTTCGTACATCTTCTGTCAAGAAAAATAGAGTAATCTCATCAAAACTTGGCATAGCAAGAATTTGAAGTGTTATTTTTTGACTATTATAGTAAATGAATGACAGAAATAATATATGTTGTCATGACTATTATTTCTTTGCTTTTGAGATAGGAAAATTTTCTTTTATAATTAGGTTATTTTAGTTAAACTATTTGCATGTAATTGTTTATACAACTGACTCCTAAAATACATTCAGGGAATTCTTAAGTCATTATTAATAAAAAATGCTTTGCAAAATAGAGACATATGATGTGAAACCTCATAAATATCCTCAGTCTGTATCCTGATAAAATAAGCAGAGAAAGATTAACAAATACATAAACTTTACATAACATATACATAAACTTTATTTTTTAGCCATCAAAAATCTATGGATATGCATTGTTTTTCTGAGAATTTGTATTCAGGAAAAGATGCTTTGAAAGGTATAGTTTAAATGGATGTTCCTATAGAAACCATGTTACCATAGAAAGTCACTTTCCTGACCAAAGACATGATGCCTAACTTCTAGAAGAAATGATTACTGGTATCATAGATAACAAATTAAAAGTAATATGAACTGTCTTTTACTTGGAAGACTTTCCAAAGATATACACATCAGCTAAACAGAGTGGTGCAATAGCTAATCTTACTTCTAATTAATGAATGAAATGATCAATAGAAGTGAATGTGCAGGTCAAGGACAGAAGGTGGGGACAAGAGAAAACAGCCAAAGTTCCCCTGGGAGTGAAGGCCAGACAGTTTCCAAGATGGAGCCAGGACTTGGCAAGGCTTCATGGAAGAAGCTTGTGGGCAGATGGCATGAGACCGTTCACAAATCACTGCTGGTGGTGCCTTTAATATTGTAGATATTTTTAAATCTTAGATGTACCCATTATGTGGTAGATACGCATGTGTTTTCGAAAAAATACAGTGACATCTTTATTTGTCTGTATGTGTGATGATCCCCTTCTCTTTACCTAAATGACATTGTGCTTTAGTTAGGTATTTTTCCATTTCCATTTTTTTTTTAACTCAACGGTATGTTTTTAAGATTCTTCCACAATGCTCTCAGCAATCCAGTTCATTGCTTCTACAAGCTGCTTGATATATTAGGATATTGATTTAATGCCATTTACTCTTGCCTCCATGGTATAATCAAGCTCTGGAAATTGAGTTGTTTTTTTTTTTACTTCAGTGAATTCCTGGACTGTCTTATAAACCTAAATAATAATTGAAAATTGTATTACTCTTAATTCTACTAAAAAATATTGAAATACAGGCAGTCCCTAACTTATGATGGTTCGGTTTACAATTCTTTTACTTTACAATGGTGTGAAAGCTATATATATTCAGTAGAAATTGGACTTTGAATTTTGAATTTTGATTATTGGGCTATGAATATGTGGTATGATACTGTCTCTTGATGTTGGGCAGAGACAGTAAGCCGCAGTTCCCAGTCAGCCAGGCAATCATGAGGGTAAATGCCAGTACCCTATGGTGTACTGTGTTGCCAGATGATTTTGCCCATCTGTGGGCTAATGTAGTGTTCTAAGCATAGTAATGTAGGCTAAGCTAAGCTATGATGTTCAGTAGGTTAGGTATATTAAATGCATTTTCTACTCATGATATTTTCAATTTATGATGGGTTTCTCAGGATGTAACCCCATCATAAGTCAAGAAGCATTTTAAAATAGGGACTATTTAGATAGAGTTTTAAAATATTTTGCAATCCTTGAAGTTACAAACCAAGTTTTTAATTTACTGAAATTGATTTAGAACCATCTGCATAAGATCTATCTTGTTGGTCTTTTTTCCAACTTTTATTTCAGATTTAGGGGATACATGTGCAGGTTTGTTACATAGACAAATGTGTGTTCCAGAGGTTTGGTGTACAGTTTATTTCATTACCCAGGTTATGAGCATAGTACATGATGGTAGTTTTCTGATCCTCAGCCTCCTCCCATTCTCAACCCTCAAGTAGGTGCTGGTGTGTCTCTTGCTGCTTTCTTTGTGTCCAAGTGTACTCAATGTTTAGTGCCCACTTTTAAGTGAGAACATGTGGTATTTGGTTTTCTGTTCCTGCATTAATTCACTTAGGATAGTAGCCTCCAGCTGCATCCATGTTTTTGCAAAGGACAAGATTTTGTTAATTTTTATGGCCATGCAGTATTCCATTCACCTTGTTTTTATATTATACATATAAACAAAAGCATCTCTAAATGATGTTTCTCAAGATACACAGTGAACTACAGGATGGAATCAACAAAGGATTTTACTGTAATCTATGTTTAGGAAACATAGGAGGTTACTTATTAAATATATTAGACATAAAAGCTCTGAAAAAAGAACAAAGCTTTTAGCACTAGAGTGATGCTTAAGAACATTGCCCTATAGTAGTTAGATTCTGCAAACCCAGGTGGAACCTTATTTCATATCTTAGCTCTAACATTTGCTACCTGTGTCACATTTGGCAAAGTTCTCTGCCTCTGTTTCTTTATCACTAAAGATTATTACTAAATTAAAATATGTTGCTTTTGGTAAAATTCTTAGGACATTACCTGATACATTATAAACCATACATATATGGATGATGAGTATAAAATCATTCACAAAAATACCTTTAACCTATTGTGGTTGATTCTAATATTTTTTTACTCAGTTTAATTTTCCTATGAACAGTGATGGTCATATGTACTACATTGATATAATGACTCATGATATACAATTTTAAAAAATTAACACAGATTGTTATCTTCTTGGAAAATCATAATGTACAGAAACCATTTAAAAATGTGGAGATGTCCTGCAGAGAAAAGAAAACCCTACTTATCATTTCTTAGACAGCACTTCTAAAGTTTACTTGTTCATAGAAATCTTTTCATCTAAACCAGGTTTAGCAGATCAAATTCTAAGATGGACTCCCCACAAGATTTCCTGCCTTAACCTTTTGATTTGTGAATGTAACAAAAGAGTATGCCCTGGTTGTGTTACCTTACATTGAAAAAGTGATTTTTCGGATGTAACTAAAGTCACTGAACAGTTGACTTTCAGCTAATCAAAAGGGAGACTATTCTGGTGGGCCTAACCTGATCACATGAGCCTTTTGATAGCAGAGTTAGTTTTCTCTAGTTGGCAGCAGAAAGAAAATCAGAGAGATTCAAAGTGTAAGAAAGATGTTGCATGCTGTTGTGTTCATGGCTTTAAAAATGGAAGGGGCCACATGCAAGGACCAAACAATTGCCTTTAGGAGCCTAGGGTAACTGCCATCCAATAGCCAGCAAGGAACTGAATTCTACCAACAACCTGAGTGAGTTTAACAGTAGATTCTTCCCTACAGCCTACAGATTGGCTGATACTTTGATTTTGGATTTGTGAGGCCCTGAGCAGAGAATCCAGGCATTTGCGCCCAGACTTTTGAACTAATGAACTGTGGGATAATAAAGAGATGTCACCTTCAACTAATAAATTTGTGGTAATTTGGTACACAGTAATAGAGAATTAATACACCAGAACACAACTCTAAATCAAAATACGCCAACAATAAAAGAGTAAGTGCAATTTCAACATGAAAAGAAAGATGTAAGAGAGGATTTCATGTTGTTTTCAAGTTTGGTTATGCCTTACTGGTACAAGAAAGCAAAAATGTCAGTTTGTGAAGGGGTAGCATTGTTTTACATACACTATGTTTTAAAAACAACACCCTATAAAAAGTAGCAGCAATAAAGCAAGGCAAGAACAAATAAAATTACCAACTCCTTTTTGTGGACTTACTCTGTTTCTTGTGTCTGGAAAGACTTTTCCACTATTCCACCACCTCAAAAAGAAATCCCATAAACCTTTAACTATCAAACCCTTACCCCTTTTTCCTTCCTTGGCTGAAAACAACCACTGTCTCCATAGATCTTTCTATTGTGGACTTCCTATGAATAGATTCATATCATATATGGACTTTTAAAACTGGCTTATTTCACTTAGCATAATGTTTTCAGTCATATCAATCTTGTAGCATGTATCAACACTTCATTTTTTATGGCCAAGTAATATGCCATTGTATAGATATACCACATTTATTTATCTATTTGTACATTGATGAACATTTGGGTTGTTTCTATCTTTTGGCTATTATAAATAACTGCTATAAACATTTGTGTACAAGTTTGTGTATGAACATATGTTTTCATTTCTATTGGATATACCCTAGGAGTGAAATTTCTAGATAATATCTGAATTCTGTTTAATCCATTCAGGAACTACCTGACTTCATAGAAAATTCACCATTTTACATGCCCATCATCTCTGTATTTCATTCCAGGATGTTCTTACCCCAGAATTTACTAACTAGGTTTCCTTTCTTTGGAAGATTCTTAGTCTTCAATAAGCAGCATCATGACTTTTCCATGATGCTCTTCCATCCTGATGCAAGTGCAGTTATTCCATAGCTTTCCACCTTATGATCTCCATCCATTTACCTCCCTATCACACACACAGTTCTATAGCATGATCATTGTGTTAGTTAAGGTTTCTGTTCAGAAAAAACAAAACCATGCAGAAAGAGGCTTTCTACAGGGAATTACTTTTTTAGAAAAGCATTGCAAGCAGATTATCATTAGACTTTTTGCTATAAGATCGCAAATCCCTGCTATTCCCAGGGCTACTTCCACTGCCATCATATATGCTGATGGTTGATGACAAGGGAGCAGAACGTTCAGCCTGTCTGAAGCAAAAACCTTCCTGTCAAAACTTGCTTGCCAGCCACCACTGCCCCTAAATGCCATGTGAATGCAGCTAATTCACATCTAGAAACCCGGTTTCCAAAGGAGTCTATGTTGTATGATTTTTATCCTCCTAACCTCTCCAAATAAGAGAGTAAAATGATGTATGATAAAACAAGTTCAAGTAACTACCAGTTTATATGTAGTTGAGTTCATTTCTCTGGTTGTTCCTCAGTGACTTTGGAGTGTCTCATCCTCAAACCCCACATCCCTTCACACTTGGCAATAGCTGCAGTTCTACCTTGGTCTGTTAAGAATTATGCGGGTGGTGGTGGGGGAATTGGGGGGAAATGTGCCTCGCCTATGGAACAGTATCGTTGACTATTTATTTCTTTTATTTCCTCTCAGTCAAGTTGGTGTGTATCTGCAAAGGCGATGGAAAGGAGTTCTTACATATGCATATTCTGAAGAAGGATGTTACCCTTACTGAAAAACTTATTCCAAGATATGTTTAATCAATCATGAGAAAAATAAAGAGACATCCTTATGAATGGAGAATAAAGTCCTCAGGGTTTTTTTCTAATTCCCCATGTGAATGAAGAGCTGTGTTATTCTAAATATAGTGTTTGTCATAAGGCAATTGTGTTGGTTTGAGTCCTTAGTCGCTGTGACACTGATAGAATTCCTATCTCCAATTGGAAGGTAAGTTGACCTTGCCTCACTTTTGGGCATTTACAAAGTAAAAGTGTCTTCATATTCCAGGTTACAATCCTCATAGAGATGCAGGAAGAGTCCAAAACTACCAAGGCAGACAGAAATGCACCATTGAGCTCTGCTGTTGAAAGCATCTGATGGTGGCCCATTCTGATGAGACATTGGACTTCCCTAGTAGGAAAGTTTGGTTTGGGGACTCCTGTCTTTCTGGCTCAGATTTTCTTAGAGCTGCACTGCAGTCTGAGACTCTACCTGCCCCACTCTCTTTCTTTCCCTTTCTTGTCAACAACATCAGTTCTGCATTGCAGTCTGAAGGATTTCTCTGCCTGATCCTGCTTTCTCCTCTTTATTCTTTGCAGTTGTTTCTAACTGCAGAATCTCTTGAAAGTCTACTCCCATCTGGCCGGGCGTGGTGGCTCATGCCTGTAATCCTCGCACTATGGGAGGCCGAGGCGGGCAGATCACGAGGTCAGGAGATAGAGACGATCCTGGCTAACACAGTGAATCCCCGTCTCTACTAAAAAAAAAAATACAAAAAAAAAAAAAATTAGCCGGGCGTGGTGGCGGGCACCTGTAGTCCCAGCTACCTGGGAGGCTGAGGCAGGAGAATGGCGTGAACCCGGGAGGCCGAGCTTGCAGTGAGCCGAGATCACGCCACTGCACTCCAGCCTGGGTGACAGAGCGAGACTCCATCAAAAAAAAAAAAAAAAAAAAAAAAGTAAGTCTACTCCCATCTTGCTGTCTGCTTTTCAGATGACCTAAATAAATACTTTAAAAAATATAATTGGTGAAACCCCGTCTCTACTAAAAATACAAAAATTAGCTGGACGTGGTGGTGGGTGCCTGTAACCCCAGCTACTAGGGAGGCCGAGGCAGGAGAATCGCTTGAACCTGGGAGGTGGAGGTTGCAGTGAGCCGAGATCACGCCACTTCACTCCAGCCTAGGCAATAGAGTGAGACTTTGTCTCAAAAAAAAAAAAAAATAAATTGTTTTGAAGATGGTGAATATGGGATTATCACCTCACCTGAGAATAGGAGTGAGAGAAATTGAATAAATATAGAGAAGTGAAGTTATTTCAATAAGAATTTTTAAATTTAAAGTCATGTAGATTCTGAGATGAGATCATATTAGAAGACAAGTTAGAAATGGACTACTTAGCTTTAAGAAAGAGTTAACATCTAGGTACATATCAATAATGGCTAAATCTATGAGCATTCTCCTTGAATGATGAAACTCCATCTTTGTTTCAGTCATGGAATTGCGCTGTTGAACTTTTTGTGTCCTGTCTAGGGCAAGTCTTAACTGCATCAGCCCTCATTACAGGTTAAATACACCCAAAGTCCCTAATCAACATTCACTGCATGTGTTTGTAAGTAAAAGCATTTGCGTTTCAATTATGGAAGAGTCTTTACTGTAATATGGAGACTATCTGAGCTTACTTTTGTTATTTCTGTAAAAGTAAGTTACCAGCCCACATTTATCTATTAACTTTTTGCAATAATTGTAGTATAATTTGTGAGCTTATTAAGAATGTGATTGTTTTTTAAATATTTGGAAACATTCTTTCTACAAAATACTAATAGCTCAGATGGGAAATATTTTGAATAATTGTATGTTTTAAGTATAGTCAATAAATCAAATAAATTTCAATTCATAACATTTTTCATTAGATGACAATGTTATATAAACTTAATATAGTTTCAGTGATAGGTTATATTTGTTTTTTCTTCCTATTCCCTTAGTTCATCTTGAAGCTCATTCTGGGTGTGTAACTGATTCCAAAGGCAATTTCCCTTCATCCTCAGTTTTAGGAACTCCCAGGAACCAAAGCTTAAATATCTATTTTCTTAGGAAGGCTACATTTATATAAATGTATTAAGCCTGATCCCTCTCTGAGAGCAAATATAATTACATTTGTTTTTCCCAGTTTGTAATAAAACTTTAAATAAAGATCTCTAGATAAAGGACTTTTACCCCCCTGGTTAAAATCTGCTTTCTTGTTTACTTAACATTTGGTGGTGATGCAATGTATAAGGTATCGGCCAAGGAATGACTCTGTCTTTTCCTGTTGTTTTCTTCTACAGGTTGTGTTTCACATGGATGTGGGTATGGTATGCCACAGCAATATGACATCTTGATTATGTGTATCTGTCAAGACTGTTTTAAAGAACATTCTCACCTCAGATTTCTTAGGTCATAACATTATATTCTTGGTATTCACAGCCTAAACTGTCATGCAGATGGAATACACTTTGCTTTCTTGGTGATCTGTGGTATAGAGAATGAGTTCCAGTTACCATGGGAAATGTATTTGTTTGTTGGCTTGTTTCTTGTCTTAATAGTGGTTTGTATTAAAAGTAAAATCAGAAAAATATCTAAAAAATCTATTGAGATGGTGGCGAACATTACGAATCTTAACCTTCTTATAGAATACCCAAAGAACAGATCTAAAGAATTTCAATAATGACCATAGGTTATGTCAAATAGTACATTAGCTATATATATATATATATATATATCTGTAATAAATAATATTTTGATTAATTTTCCACCAGATATATACATATGTAATTTTCCTGCTAATATATATTTGTACCAAATCTGTACATTTGAACTTTCCCTTCCAAACGTTTTTTTATTTGGGTATAGTTATTAGCAGTCATCTGTAGCAGGTCAGAGTGCTGGAAGAGAGGCTGGTAGACATCAAAATAAATGACTTCCGTGCCACATCTGAGATGCCCTAGAGGCCGAGATCATGATTCCCTTTGTCAAATAAACTAAAAGTTCTAGAATTTTCAGACTCCTGTTAGTTTCTGCTACCACTTAAGTGTTAATAGCTAATAATAGAGCAAGCTTGATTACTACCTTGGTGTCCTAAAACGGATGTTGGCCTGCCAGGTAATGTCCCTCCATTTGCATCTTGTTTTTTCTATCTATGTAGCCATGGAGAACACGTGCCACAATTTACAGGGGATGGTCATCTTATCTGTAAAATAAAGTGTTCCCGTCAGATGATCCCCAGTATGCTGAGTTGTGTTTCTCTGGTATTTTAATTAATTTATTATTATTATTATTACTGTTAATTTTATGTCTGATGAAGTGGCAAAAAAGGAGCTCTACCTGCTTTGGTTGCCAAAACTATCATGAATATTTTTAAATAGTATCAGAGGTTGATGAGCGGCTGGGTTTTTTTGTTTTGTTTTTTGTTTTGTTTTGTTTTGTATGAGACAGAGTCTCACTCTGTCACCCAGGCTGGAGTGCAGTGGCATGATCTCGGCTCACTGCAACCTCCACCTCCTGGGTTCCAGTGATTCTCCTGCCTCAGCCTCCCGAGTAGCTGGGATTACAGGCACCCACCACCACGCTGGGCTAATTTTTGTATTTTTAGTAGAGACGAGATTTTACTGTGTTGGCCAGGCTGCTCTCAAACTCCCTACCTCAGGTGATCTGCCCACCTTGGCCTCCCAAAGTGCTAGGATTACAGACATGAGACACTGTGCCTGGCCGAGCTGCTGATTTTTATTCAAGAGTCTATAGTTGTTTTTCCTTTTTTTCTTATTTTCTACTTAACTTCCAGGAGGCATGAGTGTGGACTGAATGGAACACTAAGATTTCTTCCAGTTCTATGATTTTATGAATTATTACTTGATAACTCTATATATTGGCAATGACATAGATGAGAAGTTTTCCTGATTTCTATTCCACTTCTTTTTTTTTTTTGCTTCTCTTTCTCCTAGGAAAACAATATTTTTTTCCCCAGATTACCATATCTTACTGTAGTAAAGAATAATTAAAATATTCAAAAGCAAAGCGTCACTGGCTGCCAAGGCTCTTAAAAATGCTCAAACATATTTTAGGTCTGTAAAGATTATCTTTTCTCATTCTTCATACAACACTAAAATATTAATCCTGACCATAGTGTGACTATATTAGTATTAGTATGAGTACTTTTAGATGCTTAGTAATTAGTTCTGCAAAAGATTGATAAAAGACACTATCATATCTATGAGAATTCGAGAATCATAACTTGTCTTCCTGTTTTAAATGCATGCTTAGATAACTAAAAATAATTTTAAACTGTTATCAGTCTCATTATTTTTAGTGAAAAATACACCTTTCTCCAGATACATATTCCTTTATCTGGGAAATATAGATGGAATCAGTGATATACCTGTTGCTGAGCACATTATTATATCATTAATGCTTATATATTTCAAATTATATGCATATTCTCTCCAGAGTGATTAGATCCCTTCTACAGTTAGGGTAATGAAGGCTTTATTTGCCTGAGGGGACACAGGGAACCATTTAGGAGAGTGAGGCAATTAAGCAATTATATAACATTTTGAAAACATTCAATACTTCCCACCATTTGATTTGTACTTCTGGAGAACTGCTTTTCTCATACTAGCTGGTTAGAATAGTAAAAATCCTCACACCCTCCCCTCCCATCTGTCATTTTTTTTGGTCATGAAATTATACCTCATTTTACAAAATGCATTTTTCTGAGAAACTAATGCTTACATTGAATTTTGCAAGTTTAATAATTAAGGATTGGAATGTTTTATTTAAAATAATTAAGATTATTTTTTAAAAGTATCACGTGTGAAAGTAATTATCACCCCCAAATTGTATTTTGCAAATTGTGCCTATTTTATCACTACTATACATTTAGGACGAAAAGAAAAAAAGTTGGGGGTGGATAATCTATCATAATACAAAAAGAAAAACTCTTGAGTCAGTGTTACTTTTCATTGGGGAAAAGGCAGGTGGGAAAAATAGATAAATACAAGTTAGAGTTAATCCTAAAATCTCATTACAGCTTAAAATATCAATCTCTAGAAATACAAAACATTTGCCAAAATAATTGTTAATATGTGCAACACTACCCAAATTAAAAAATGCAATTCTCCCTTCTGCTAGTCCTCCTTCTGTACCAATATAATTAGCAATAAAATTGAAGGCAACAAAAATAAGAAAAGACATAATGATCCTGGAAAATCTACAAAATGGATTATCATTTTCTAACAATTGTTAATACACTGTGTTTTTTATGTGGTGGTGTGATAACATTTTTTTCTTGCTTTCTTGTAAGTTAGGTACTGTGCTATATTTATCTTTGACAGGGCACCTAGCATCTGATAGAAATTCTAAACAGCAAATGGTAGTATGATATTTTTATTATCTATGCCTCTTAAAACTCTGGCCAATAGCAAGTAACACCATTTCCACCTCCCAGAGGAGAAAGATAAACACAAAAGGAGCTTAAGTGGATAAATCACATAGCATGGACACAGAATCTTTTCTAAATAAATAACCTATTAAAATAGAAGTTGGCAGTCTTATAAAAAGAAAATAAAAGTTCTGATGAGGAAACCTGGGTTGTTTCTCAGCTCTAACTACAAAAATAAACATCCTTGAGAAATTGCTGAACCTCCTTGTTCTTGCTTAATGTAAAATGAGAGGGCAAGATTAAATGATCTCAAAGCTCCCTTTCAGTTCAGGGACTGTGAAATAATATGGTAAATAGGCTTACTTAGGACCTTCTCGGGCACTAGCACTTTAAGAGTTTTACGTGGATTGTATAATCATCAAAATAATCCTGCATAATAGACACCATTGTTAGTTGCATTTTATGAAGAAAGTGAGGCTTAACCATTGAAGTATTTTACACAATGTCATGTGTTTAGGGAGCAGCCAAGGTGAAGTTTTCAACCAGGCCGACCAACTTCAGAGTCCACTGGCTTCAAAACAGTGCTTTACATCCTCCTTCCAACATTATTCACAAGCCGATCAAGACTGAGAGAGTCACAAGTGTGTGAAACCTGTATTCTTTCTGACTTCATTTTCCCTGGTAAGATGGTTACTTGCCCACCAATCTGGCTTATGCTACAGTGAAACACAACTTCTTTATGGTTAACGTTTTTGTCTGTGCTCATTCTTTAGCTGTAATCAAGAGGGTGGCACATCTTCCAATAGGATATTTATCCTGTGTATTTTCCAAAAACTGGCCATGCAGTCACTAAACATGGATCAGAGAGAGGTTCATGGAAATTATAAATGAACAGTCAGGAGAGAGTCTTTTGTGGCAAAATTACAGGAATGTCTCCTCAGGTCAAAGTCAAAGTAAGGATGAATTAACTCCCGAAGCAATTTTGAAAAGGTGAAATTCAATGATATTGCAGTTGTTGGACCAGGTGTTAAAATGTTATTGGGTGTTAATTTAATTTTCATCCTGTCAACACTCATCTGAACTGTAACAGCTGCTAAACACAGTTCCACAAGAGCAAACTATCCTCACAGAGGAAGCAGATGCCTAATCAATAGGGCCAATAGAAATGTATGGCTCAGCCAAGCAACACACACAAGGGGGAATGAATCCCATAGGACTCTGTCTAACCTGAATGAAAAAGAACTTAATGATGGTGAGGCTATTGAAGCAGTAAGAACAGGAGACTGAAAGTCCTGGATTGGCTTCCCATTGACTCTTTTTTTTTTTTTTTAATTCTGCATGACCTTGGATGGGACAATGCCTTAGTTTCTCTGTCCCCCTGAGCTTGCAGAGGTATTGTAGATGGAGTTTCAAATCTATTGCTATTTTTACTGCTATTATCATTTCATAGGTCTTGCACAGTTCTGAGTAAAAATCAGCTTTTTCTTAACAAAATGTAACTTTCTTGAGCTTCTAATATTAAAAGATAATAATGATGAGGTAGTAATAGTTAATAGCTGTCCTTCATTGCAACCTAGGGTGGAAATGAATAGATGACTTATCACTGAGAAAGGGAATTTTTAGATTTGAATAGTTTTTGAGTACTATAATTTAAAACATACTAAGATATGTTACCTCCCCTTCTGGAGATTTTCAAATAGAAAGTAGATCGTTGCGTTTAGACGAAATATAATCTTACCTAGAAACAGTGGTTTGACTATATAACCTCTTAAGGTCAATTAGAGCATGCATTTAATAGTTTTCTATAAGCTAGTATACCTCATCCAGAAGGTCAGCTTTATTTATGCATCTCATACTTGGTTATAGATCCCCCTGGGAGCATGTGGTGGTGTGGGGCTGAAATATTACCTGGGATGTTTTTTTTTTTTTTTTTTTTTTTTTTTTGAGAAGGAGTTTTGCTCTTGTCGCCCAGGCTGGGGTGCAATGGCGTGATCTTGGCTCGCTGCAACCTCCACCTCCTGGGTTCAAGTGATTCTCCTGCCTCAGCCTCCCAAGTACCTGGGATTACAGTTATCCACCACCATGCCTGGCTAATTTTTGTATTTTTAGTAGAGATGGGGTTTCACCATGTTAGCCAGGCTGGTCTCAAACTCCTGACCTTAGGTGATCCACCTGCCTCGGCCTTCCAAAGTGCTGGGATTACAGACATGAGCCACAGTGCCTGGCCAGGAATTTTTAATAAATGAAAATAAGTTGATATTTATTTAAGGAAGTAAAATGAAAATTTCACATGAATATTAAAATAATGCATATTTCAAATAATTTGAATGTTGAGATAGACCTTTTGGCCTACATACAGACACTTGGCAATTGTTCTTTCTTGAGGGGTCATCAGGGAGAGGTTCACTGTGGCTACTTATGTAGGATGTTCTCTTGAAGGAGAGATCTTTCGTTTTTCTGGACTTGTTAAATGTCATACCAACCAAAACAACAACAACAAAACACCCGTCTTTGACTTAGAGTTTCACAGTGCTTCTAATATTCCTTCTCTTCTGCTCTCTACTTCTACAGAAAGTGAAATATTTAAGGAGGCATGCAGTAGATGTTATTTCAGAATATATAGAAACTGTCCAGTGACTTTATGACAAAAAAAAAGATTAGTTTTGAGAAGATAAAATAATTGCGGCATATGGTCTGATGAACTGGATTTTTTTTTTTTTTTTCGGAGATACGTCAGTTTTTAGTTGGGAGAATTCAAAAGGCCATCAGGTGCATATTGAGAATTTTGTATCATAAAATTCTTATTCCAAAACATAAATGCAAATAAGGTTGATAAGAGGAACAACGCCAAGCTTTGGCTCTTTGGAGCTCTTGTAGAAAAACAAATACACAAAAATAAGGTCATGAATTGTATTTCTTAGCACTTAACTGAAACTGGGGACAAGAGCCATCATTCGTTGTGTTTAGTATGACAACATACTAGAAGGTTTTTTTTTTTCTGTTAGGTATTTGAAAAGCTTAAAATTTGGCACAGGACTGTAACATCAGGAATCCCTTCATTCCCACCTCTCTCTCGTCTTTCTTCTTCTGCCCCCTTTTCTCCTTACCAGTGGGAAACGAATTTAGATGAAACAATTTGATGAATGGATTTTGAGCAATTTCAGTGAAGAAATATGTACTTACAGGTTCAATTGGGTTTCTAGTGTGTTAATACATTATCAGAGTCATTTATAACCTGCATTCTTATGGCTGTAAATTAATTTCATTATATAATTTATATAAAAAAGATAATAGATTGATGCATGTTATTATTTCCTTACCTTCACTAATTAGGTTATTACTAAATGAGATCAGCTAAATTCTGAAGCTTTTAATGGAAAATTGATGTAGCTATTGTGAGCTCTGGAAATCTTATTTCTTTGTTCTATCACTATAATATGTGTATAAGGATTCATCACCAAAACTTGATATTTAAGTCAAATTAAAGGGCATTTTTACTGTAGTGATCAACCTTATACAATTTATGAAGATTTGTTTTTAAAAACAAAGTTCATAGAGAAATTAATGTTTCACCTTTTCCCTTATAACCAGATGGCTTCTGGAGGGAAAACTGCTTACAGCTTATTCACTGGCTTCTCAATGACTTCAGTGCAAGATGAATAATTTCAGGGGCCACTTTATCTTGACTATGCTGTTTAGTAACTAGTGTGATTGTTTGTAATGAAATGAAAAGAGAGACTGAAGAACGTAAAAAATGAGAAACTAAGGAGGAAACAGGGAGAAGGTTAATAACTCATTCTGAAAATACCTGTAAGATTTAGCCATGCCCTAAAGTTTTAATCGGTTGGGCCACATTTTATTCAGAAATTTAGTGAGGAGCCTATTAACCACCAAGACTTCATTTCTTTTCATATATAATATTTATTTGAGATTTGGGGATTATTCTATATCTTCTGATATGAAATTATAATAATGTGACTTTCACTACTGTTAGACAAATACTGATTGTCTTTCTTCCAGGGAACCTCAAAGAATTCAAATATGCTACTTAGTATACACACTAATGTTTGCTCACCCTTTGAGCATAAGCTCAAATTTTATTGTGGCTTATCTTCTCCAAAAAATGGGTAGGTCTCCACTTTTCTAACATGTATAATGAATTATTTAGTGTTTGTCTTCCTTGATGAACCCCCATGCTTGTCACAGTAGCTGGTATATTAGGAATTGAATCGGATAGAAATTCACAAATACTCCTCTATATGTATTTGAAAAAGCTTATCCACATTTGTTAGTTGGAGGAAACCAACACAAAGAGATTAAGATTTGCCCATGATCTCTTGAATCTCTAGAATCCTCATTTACTGAATTTTATTCTAATACTCTTCTTAAGGTAATACTATAATCCTTAAAGTTAAATGTAACCTATGGCTAATGAAAGCTGAAAGCTAAGGCATACATCTAAGCACAAGCCTAGAATTAAGAAAATGCTAGGTCTTACACTAATCCTGCTACTAGTAAGTTCAGAGAAGTTACTTGTATAAGTATGTATATGAATTATCCCCTGAAAAGTTGTTTTCTTGTTTTTTAATTCTAACAATGTTGTACTGAAGCTGTTTTAATGTATATTTTCAAGAGATGTGGTACAATATGGTCGTTTGAGAATGTGATATATTGCTTTTTCCTCATAGCACTTATCACTACCTTAGGTCTATCTATCTATCTATCTATCTATCTATCTATCTATCTATCTATCAGTTGAGGAGCTCCTCCTCCTCCTTGGCTTCATCTATAATGGAAAAGCCATGACAGCCTGAGAAGAAGGACTTTGTCTATGTTTTTCACTACTGTATCCCACCTTTAAGAACAGTCCCTCAGTCAGTAATGGTGCATAGATAGCATTGGGTTTGTCAGTGAGTGAATGAACCATAAATGTATGTCATCAGCACCGGCTCTATAGCTTAGCCTCAGTCTTAGTGAACTCTATGACCTACCTTAAGTGACCTTATTGAAAGCCTTGAACCACAACTTTAATAACAGTTCTGGTAGTATCTTTATTCTGCTTTTGGCTTTGATTGTTTCTTTACTTGTGTCTTTTGCCCAAATGGATTAACTATTTGAATGTATTGTTGCTAAACATTAATGTAGAATCTCCTTCCACTGTTATTGTAGGATTTTAAGGTTGTGGCATTTGTTGTTGTTTATAGGTCGAAATTTTTGTAGAATAGACAAATCAAGAATGATGACTTCTTAAGATGCAGTATTCAAGTTCAGAAATCTATACTCAGATGACCTTATGTAGGTCATCTGCTTCTGAGGTTTATCTCACCAGTGGTAAGTGAAATGGTATGAATATATAGTACTTCAAATAAATGATAGTGTAATAAACTAACCAGTCTCTGAGAAAGATAACCTGTCTTGTGGAACAGCAATCACTCAAATATAAATGAAATAGCTTACTCTAAGGTGTAATTATTACTTATTACTGTAATTTAGTTTTGACTTCAAATCCCCAAGCCTGAGTATCTTACTCATCCTGGATGTTTTAATAGTATTAGAAGTCTCTTGGTTTCCTAAAAATTAAGACTTTGTTCCACATGCAGATATTGGAAATTTATTTAATAGGCCAAGTGACTGAAGTGTTAATTTCTGTTTTGAAATATTACAAGAATCATGTAAATATGGCATGTTTCTAAGAAGTGAATTGGGAATAGATTTTATTGAACAAAATCTATTCATAGCATGTGGCTGCTCTATAAATCCTGGACGATTGTAGTAGAATGTGTGTTGGTTTGCAGATGTAAGGAAAAAAACATAATTCACTGCTATGCTATGGTAATAATAAGTTCCTAGAGGGAGAGCAGGCTAAAAATAATTTATTGAAACTGCCCTCAATTTCTAAAGACATTTCTGAATTCTATTTAGAACATAGCCATTGATTACAAAGTGTGATTTGAGAAGGCAAAAGAGGCCAACTTTCCTGCAAACAAATTAAGAGATGCATATTGACTGCAGGGAAGTATGTCATCACTGAGAAATCGAAAGCAATGGGACTTTAGGAAATCAATCAGCAGTCCAGTCAAATTAGATTTTTTTTTTCCTCATACTTGCTGGAACCCTATGTAGAATGTACATATTTTCAGCAGATACAAACTTTTAATTTTTTTAGTAAACCCAGTTCAACAAAATAAATAGAGGATAGGTTACAGGTTCTAGTTCATTCATATTGCATATTTTCAGAGCCCTGATAGAACACAGAAGTCCCTTGGAATCCTATGTAGGTGTATATCATCTTATGATAATTTTTGTCCCAGTAACCCATTTTTCTTAATGGTCTAGTTTGAATGCCCTTTGGGAAGACATGACTCTAATCTGAGACCAATAACCAGCTTTCCACATTTATTTTGACCCCTTTTGGGGACTAAAAAAAATGCGTATCTTTTCAATACATAAAAAGACAATAGCACTATATGCTAGTCAGTTCTACTTGATTCTCTATGCTTATAAGGTCAAGGTCATTCTCCTTTCTGAAATAATGATAGGAGAATGTTCCTAAAAGTAAAAAGTCGAATACTGGAATCAGTTAGATCTCAAGCATATAATGATTCATGGAAGCATATGTATATTGTCACAGAGTTTTTTTTTAAGATAATAAACCAGAGACCTTATAATAAATAAGAGCAACATATATCCCGAATTTATTATTTTCAACATGATATATATTATTTTCAGACATCTTTAAAATATTTTTAGAGAATTGAAAACATATCCTCTAAATATATCAAACTAGGATGTGATTGATAAAATGGGGTTGAAGTGGATCTTAAGTCAGTCTTAACTACTTGTGTGTTTCATTGTGTGCTTGTGTAAGGCCCTATGCTAGCCGCAATGAAGGGTATAAAAATGCATTTGACACAGTGTTTATCCTCAAAGAGATTATCCTCTAATACTGTGTGCAGTTAACACAATCTCTGTGGAATTTTTTTTTTAGAGAGTTGAAAACATATCCTCTACTTATATTAAACTAGGATGCATAAGAGGGTTGATAAAATGGAATTCAAGTGAACAGTAAGTTAGTCTTAAATACTTGAGTTTAATTCAAACTTGTTTAAGTGTATTTCTTACTAGAAAATGTCCACTTTCTTTCTATAAGTGGTCTAAGACAATAAAAGTGAAAGTATTTCAAAACTACTTTTAATTTTTCTTCATTTTTATTTCAAAAATACTTTTAATTTTTCTTCATTTTACCAGATATTATTAGAGATATTAAAAACAGAAACAAATAGTATAGATTTTATGATTGTAAAACAATATATGCCAAGAGTGAATAATTTGGATAGCATGGATTTACTCAAACAAAGAAAATAAAAAGCATTCATAATTCCACCACCCAATCATGAACACTGCAAACACAGAGATAAGGCAGTCTTGACTGCCATTGCCAAAATTTCTCCAATTTTGTGTCAAGATTACAGAATAAATGCATACTGTAGCTTTCCTTTCCAGCTTCAAAAACTTAGCAATGGAAGATATTATAAAATGAATAAATGCATACATATACATAAACATGTTGGTAAAAGCAGTGGGGAAAAATTATAATTATTCCCTTGAAAAAAATTATCAAGAATCAGATTGAAGAGAAAACATAGCAATGCATGGATGGGGCCAGTTATGAAAGGTGGAGGTTGCTCAAGGAGTGTTCCTCAAATAAGATCATGAAATTGCCCTCTTCATTCCCGTCTTGGGAGATTTATCTGCCCCTAGGTAGGAGCAGTGAGAGTTTCAAACTTTTTTTTTCCTATATGTAAATATATATGTATTATATATATATATATATATTTCCAGAGTGTTTTCAAAATAAAAATCATTATTATAACATACATACCATTTTGTAACTTATCTAACAAATTATTGTAAGAAAATAACTTGCCTACAAAATCATAAAGTTCAGATGCAGTGTAATTTATTTATTTAAACAATTACATCTTTCTCTATTTTAAACAGTGCTGCATTGAACATCCTTATAGTAAAATCTCTTAATTTATTTGCCTTTTTTCAATACATGTTTTGATAAATTAAATTTTAGTATTATTTTATAAGTAAAAAATTGGGATTTTGATTAGATTTGCTTTAAATCTAAACATTAATTTGTAGAAATGTCTTAAATCTTTACAACATTTAAACTTATGTATGGTAATGTCTCTATTCAAGTGCTTATATTATTCAATACTTCTGAGGTTTTCTTCACTTTAATCCTAAATATTATGCATAAGTATTTTTATGTTGTTCATATAGTTCTTTTTAATCTTTGAAGATATTGATATATATATATATGCAAGTTACTGGCTTCTGCATATTTATTTTTAAGTATTTTAGAAATTATCTTGTTAAATTTAATATTTTTTTATTTGACTATATTCATTATAATTCTTCATGTACTTTCAGGTTTTCTTCTGATTGCCAAGTGTTCTTTTTACCCCCAACAGGCATCCTGACTCAAGCTGTATACATTTGCAATATCTGATTTTTAACCACACACTCTTCATCCTATTGACCCAGAGTGAAAATTGATACTCTTAGCTGAAGGACTGTTCCCTTGAGTATATTTAAACCAGACCAATCTCTGTGTTTAATCTGGGTTCATCAGGAACCATTAGCCTTGATTGGTTTGTTTTTCTCCCCCTCCATCTCAGGACTTGATTCTATTGAGTTAACAACTATTCTCCCCAGAGAACAGCTACCGCAAGCCTGTTTCAAGTAATTCCAATATCTGGCTCTTAGAAATTGAACTGATCTTTTTTTTCTTTAGTTTTATGTGAAGAACTGCAGTAATGAATTCTGAATTTGTTCAAATCATTGAAGATGTGTGAAGACAAAACATTCACTCAAATCTCTATCATGTTAGCATGTTATTTATCATTGCTCTGTTCTTCATTGTTGAATAATGCAATTGAGTTAAAAAGAATAAACATTATTTACCGAAGACTCATATGTTGATATCCAGTAAATCCTCATTAATCACAATTTGACAAGCTTGCAATTTCTGGTATTTCAGGAAGGAACTAGGTATATGTTTATCTGTGCAAAATATCAAAAAATGCATTAGTAAGCCTTTTAGTAATGTAAATAAGACTGCGGAAGAATTATTAGAGCAAACTATATTTTGTTTAAACTATTCCGGCATAACACATAACTCAGAAAATAAGACAATCTATCGAAGCCTTACAAATTACAATCTGTGAGGCCTGTCATAACTTTCATAAGAATGCTTAATTACATTGTGCTGCTGATATAAAGAACCCATCTCTAAATACAGTTAAAACATTATCCAGATTTTCAAACATAATTTCAAGGGGGATAATAAGTAGAAAAACTACGGGGTTATTTTTCAGATCATATATTTCTAGCTCTACTTTTGAATATCTGTGACTCATGACTTCAAGTAAATATTTTACCTCTTCTGAATCTAATTGCTTATCATTTAAATAAAAATACGTCATTGTGCACATTTCATGGAGTTGCTAGTGAACATAAGGAGCTTGAGACTGAAAGCTACCTTAAAAATTATAAATCAACAAAATTCTGAATACTCATTACTATGTTCTGGATTACTCTTATTATAAATTTGCAAAATAATTTTGTCTTCAGTTTTTGAATTCTGTATGGCAAGGAGCACAATGGCTTGTGTTAGCTTGTCTATAAAATTGTAATTGGTATGAAACAGCTTTGATAATTACCTCAGCTACAATATTCTGAATAATTTTCAGTTTAGCTTAAAATATTAGAACAAGTGGCTATTCATGAATAAATATTACTGATATCTTGAAAGAAATAACAAGATTCCTTCTTTAAGCTCTTAAACTCTTTCCATGCTGTAAATTAAACACATCAGTAATAGCTAAGAGAGAATTCTGATACACCATCGTTTACCACTATTATAGCACAAATTTTGGATGTGACAAATTTTAAATTAGTAGATGTTATTTTCCCAAATAAACAAAAGGAGAATCTAACATGAAGCAAATTCAAACTACATCTTTATAAGACGTTTTATAGCCATGTAACATAAAGGCTAATACTAAGCTGTCATTAGTTAAATGATTAAGTTTGGAAAAATTATTATTGATGACTAGTATTGCAAAGTGTTAAAGTATTAAACATTACATCTCCTTGTGTCACTAGGTACTTTCCTTCCTCATTCCAGGCAGCAACACAAGAAAGCATTCATTATTTTAAGGGAGGACAGTCTCAGGAAAACAGCAGAACAAAGGCATAGACCTAAAATTCTTACCTTTTAGATTCGAAGTGGTTCTCAGGTATAAGACAACAAGATTTGAGAAAAACAAGCAAACAAACATGATCACACACAAGGAGTTCTTTCCCAAACTATACTAGACCAGAGACTAGAGAAAGATCATTAAATCTGAAGGAAGGAGTTTAGCAATCCAGAGGCTGGTATGTGTTTCTTGCCCTCTCCTCTCTTACTTGAGTTAATTCTAAACTGATGGGGACAAAGTGGAATCCCTTAATAATTTGAGGGATCTGCAATTAGATAAAATCTGTGCTGCCAACATTCTATGTTCCTTCTTGGCAGTAGAGGATACAATGAAACGGCTAAATCAGTTCTCCATGCACCAACAAGACTTACAGTACAGACAGATAGTTTTTCTGGATAAGGTTGGCATAGCTTTGCCAGTCAAATTGGAGGAGAGTTGCAGTAGCATACATGGCATGAATCATATGATAAGAGACCACATGAGAACTGTATACCTCAATTGATATCATCATGAAGGTATTAATTCCAGAAAGCAGATGGAGGATATATTTTAGTGGATGTCACGATAGGCAGGTAGTGATGAAGGATGAGATGCCACCTTTCACCTCATGTCACATTTCACCTCAGTGACCTTGGCGTTTATACACAATACCAAGAAGAAAGGGAACAGGAAGAGGAATCCTCTAGACTGCTTTGAAGTGGCAAATTATGTTTCTGTTCTCCTGAGCAGAATGGAGTTAGGGTTAAATTAGACTGAGTTATAGAAAATAAAAACTACAATTTTTCATAATTAAGTTTGAAATTATTGTAGCAGATACACTGGTCTTCCTATCATGATGATTGTGTTCTCTTCCTAACATGGCATTCACCTTAGTAACTCACTGTTAATATGTAAAACACAAAACAGAAAGATAAGGAAACTGGTAAATTCCATCAGCCTAACAAGTTTCCTCCATGTTTTCCTTTGACTTATGCTGAAGTTAACTGCAGGGGATGTCCTGGTTCTTTCTAGCTTCTCTAGTTTTAATGTCAAGAGCAATTTATTTTCTTTCTGTCTTCTTATCCACTTGAAGTGGTAGAAAGAAACTTTATTCATAAATAAAATCTCCCTAGGTAATAAATTTTTGGTTTAAAATACCTTTAACTATTGGCAACTCCTAAATTTCTCTCAACAAGGAGCTTAGGGGCAGTAATCCGGCTGGAAGTGGTGATGGTGGCTGCATTTGTAGGCGGCACACTGGCACATTATGCATTATTTGGAGATAGATAATGGGAAAGTTAACAAGGTTTACTAATCATCCCCGCAACAGCACCCACAGATCTGATCTCGGTGATACAATCTTTACTGACGAGCCCTCCTTGTATGCTGCCTTCTGCTTATTGCTTGCATATTTTATTTTATTGCTTGTCCATTTGCTTTAAATGTGGTCAAAAATTAGACAGAGATGATGATTCTCAGTGGTTTTATGTTGAGTAATAGGCTAACAAAAAAAAATTCATACAAAATTATTGGATGTGTTAGAACTGAGTTTATATCTAGAAGCCACAATAGCAGAAATAAGAATTTAAACCTTTTTGATCTTTCATTTTTACTGTCAAGCTGTCTTAAATTATGTCCCAAGAGGAATTTTGGATCTACCTTTCGCTGCTCTTCAGTGCCTTGTGCATTCCTGAATCCAGTTCACATCCCTCATTCTTCACTTGAATGAAACGCAAGCATATCAATGCATTTAATCTTAACATGGCAAGACAGCATTCCCCTATTTCTGTGCTTGTCTTCTGTAATTCCAAATCTTAGGCAAGGATATATAGTAAGGTTTGGAAACCACGTAACTTAGTGAAATGGATTTAACTCTTTAAATGAAAATACTGAGGATTATGGTCCAAGTAGTAGAAAGTTCACCAACCTATACAACCACAAATATTCATATAATAAATATCTATTAAACACATGCTATCAAAAGAACACTGTTCTAGACGTAAAGATGGGATAGTAAAAAACACCAACTCTCTCTCAAGATGTTCAGATTCTAGTAGATGAACAGACCGCAGATAATAAGCTAAAAAATAGCCACAAATCATATTGATCATTAAGACTGATGGTCAATGAATGTCCTTCTGAGAGGTCAGCATTTAAGCTTATTCCTAAATAATAAGGTGAATATAGCCATGTGAAGATTGCGTGGGAGAGCTTTGGTGGCAAAGGGAACACTAGATGACCAGAAATTTCAGTGTTTCAGGGTCTATTGGATGCAGGTGACAGCAGCATGAGAGAAAAGCATTTAGAGAGGTAGGTGTGGGCTGATACTATGGATATCAGAGAAATTAGACTTTATTCCGGCAGCAAAGGGAGCCTATCGTAGGGTACCAAGAGCATATGGTGATTTGTTTGATGATTTTAAAATATTATTCTTCTTATAGTATAATACCAATGATGAAATGTTGTGATATCTGGAATTCCTTTAAAAAACTGTTGGGAAGTAAAGTGAATGAGGTTTAGTGAAACAAGATTAGCTGTGAATTGGATAGTCATTAAAGTTGGGCACATAGAATTCATTATACTATTCCCTCTACTTTATATATAATTGAAAGTTTTCATAACACAAAGGTTTAAAATTATATAAAAACACAACTTTCCTCCAGTATAATAAGCAATCCAGTGCCCAGATTTGACTCTGTAAGTACTAGCCTTTAGTGATAGGATACACTGCTGGGGAATAGTGCTTGGGAACATAGACTGGATAATAGTGCCATTTACTGAGCTAGGAAAGACAGGTCAGTGAATTGCAGCTTGGAGGGGACACTGGAAATCAAAATTTCAATTTTGGACATGGTAAGGGCAAAATGTTTGTTAAACATCCAGGTGGAGTTATTAAGCAGCTCTAATGTCCATATGAACCTTGAGTTCAGAAAAAGGGTAGTGCTGTAGCTGGGATTATTTGTTCATGAGTATTCGTCCCCTTCCTTCCCTTGCCATGTTTATATGCAGAACATACTTCCTATCCCACACGAATGGCTCTGGGTAATAGAATATGAGCAAACCTGACATTTGCTATGTGTAATAAAAAGCTTTAAATTGGCTTGCATGTTTTAGTTTGGCCCCTTTTTCTGGCCCATTCACCAAGAAAGTGATATGTTCCAGTGATTCTATGATCCTTAAGCCTGGCATCTGAGATGAGAAGACACATGACACCGAGCTGTTTGAGTTAAGGCCACTGGAGTTGAAGCACTGGAGTGCTGTGCACAAGAAATCCATGTTGCTGAAATCCACTATGTTCCATTTATTTGTTATCCTAGAAAAGCGGACTTACACTGTCAACGAGGCAGATGGAGGTTTGAAAGTCATTGGCTTATTGGTTGTGTTTAAAGCCATTGGACTAGATGAGATGATCTAAGGGAGATGATAATCTAAAATTTTTTTTTTTTTAATGTGGACAAATGAGCTCAAAAAAACAAAACAAATCAGCAAACAAAAATTGCCCTAAATTAAGAAGTTCTAGGAAATATATGGGTAAAAGAACATTAATTTTCATTTCCATAACATTTGAGTTATATTTCAGAAACTGGCAAATGAGTACTTTAAATAAGCATTTAAGAAATATTTGTTCTTGATTTATATGCCAATCAGACAAAATGTGAAGGCCTTACTCAGATTAAATATCACCATGAGAGAGAAATTTCTGATAATTTTTCAAGTTTTAACAAGGTAGCTGAAATTGGAGAAAGTTATCACTTGGAATGAGTTGATCTATCCCATCCTAAAATATGTCACTTGCTTTAAAACATAATAAATATGATTTTAAATTGTATCGTTTCCTGGTATAAATTTCTGTCATAAAATGTATGAAGCTCTCTTTTAATTAGATGAAATAAGGCATTTCTAATTTGATGATAAATGTTTCTTTAAAGTGCATATGACATTGCACTGGTGGTAATTTGTTAAATTATTATGAAAATTTTATACTTCTACAGTAATTTGCTTTTTATTTAGGATAAGAGTTCTGTCATAAACTCCCCATTCACTCTCCACATCCACTCTTTCTTCTCTCACACACATACTTGTGTTTTCCCTAATCATGAGGGTCCCAAACAAATCATAGTCAAGGTAGGTTGGTGGGGTTAGTAGAAAACTGTTCTTGAACCAAACACATCTCTTTAGAATTTTCATGCTACATTATTTCCTCTTGAGTATGTTTTCAACTATGGTTTTAAATTTTATTATTATTAATTAGTATGCCTCTTTAAGGCATTCCCTCCCTTTAATCATTTTTATAACATAGATTGGATTCTTTTTATTTCTTTATTTCCATGTAGTTTATATTAAAGTCCCTGGCATAATACTAAAATGCAGTTTTATACTGCTATAATGCATCCTGTCCAAATCTATTTGACTAAAGTCATGGCTTGCCTCAATCCTTGCTCTCACATACAAAATTATCATAAATATTTCATTAAGGTAAGGAAAGATTTGGGGGTGACCCTTATGAATTGTATATTTTCAGCTATTCAACTATTTAGCAACAATTGTAATTGCTATTTTTAGGCTTTTACTATGCTTCATATGTTATTGTAAAAGCAGCATATTATTTAATCCTCACATAACCATACTAGGTAGGTTCTGGTAATATTTTCTTTTAATAGGCAAAGGAGATAGCTAAGTAACTGGCCCAATGTTATGCAGTTAGTAAATGTGGAGCCAGGATTGAAACCTTTTTCTGTCTCATGCTAAAGCCTGAATGCCTAACTCTATTAAGTACAGCCCCTTATTAGTTGGAGTAGTCTAAGAGTTCCACGAAACAACCTCCAAATCTCAGTTATTTAGCAAAGTAAAATTTCATTTCTAGCTCATATCACAGTTCAATTAAATGACCGGCATGCAACATTTCAGGCTCCATCTATCTAGTGTCTTTGCCTTCCCCTAGAACTGCACAGTTCAACATGGTAGCCATTAGCCATACGTAGATATTAATTGAAATGAAAAATTCAGCTCCTCAGCTGCAGAAGCCACATTTGAAGTGTTCAGTAGCCTCATTTGCCTACTAACTATTTTATTGGTGTGTAAAGATGTAAAACATTTCCATCATCACAAAAATCTAGCTGGACACTCTGTAGAGCCTCTGGGTCTTCCACTAGGAACTCTGTTTCAAGCCTGCAGATGAGAAAGAGAGAGCATGTGAGATTGGTAGGGGGATTTTTGTGAGCCAGGCTGAGTCCAGTATATCACGTCTGTTCACTCTCCATTGGCCAGAATGCAAATAAATGGCTGCATCTAAATAAAAGAGAAACTGGGAAATGCAATCAAGCTATGTGCACAAGAGCAAAAGGGAAATGGCTGGTGAACAACCAACCAGGTTCTGTCTCATAGTTACACTAAATATCTCTCTTCTTCAAGCATTCACTGAATACTTACTATATATCCCTCTCTAAGCATTTGAAGTGCAGTTTAAATCCCTCACAAGACATTGATAAAGGTTAGATTATTGTTTAGATAATGATTACTGTCTTTCCCCTTACCACCTCATGAGGGGGAGTTTTCTTCCACATCTCCTTGATGTTGGGCTTGGCATATGACTTGGTTTGGCCAATAAAATGTGAGCTGAAATGACATTGTTGTATCAAACTTGAATCATTAAGAAACAGTACATTTCACTCTTCAATCCCCTGGAAGCTTGAGAACTCTACTATGAGAAAAACGTGTCTCCAGGTAATCACTGTCTTTCTAACCCAGGTCCCAGAAGGCTGCATATGGAACTGACCTGGACTTAATCTACAAGATAGATACCCCCAGCTAACCTGCAAACTCACAGAGTGATGAGTGAGAAAATAATGCTTCTTCTTCTGTGCCTATGTGATTTAGTGATTCTGCTATGCAACAAAAGTTAATGTAATTTTTTAAAGCAGAAGCTATTGTAAAGAAACTGAGACCAAGAATGGTTAAGTAAAGCATCCTAATTCACATGATTATAGAACAAAAGAACTGGGACTCAAACTAAGGCCCTCTGATTTCAATACACATGTTTTTAACTGTTATGCCATGCTGTCTCCAAGTAAGCATATTATTAATATTATTATCAGGTACAAGAACATATTATGTAGAAAATGCCAGGGTTGTTCAGTGCTTCTTTTCAACATTTCTGTTATTAATAGTTTAATTTTCTCACTGTGCTCTTTAAGCTCCCTATCTATAAACCTGTTTTATATGTGTGTGTCTGTACATGTACATGCAAGTAACAACGAATAAAATTTTGAAATTTTATAAAGAACATAATTTCGGCCGGGCACAGTGGCTCACGTCTGTAATCTGTAATCTCAGCACTTTGGGAGGCCGAGGTGGGTGGGTCACCTGAGGTCAGGAGTTCGAGACCAGCCTGATCAACATGGCAAAACCCTGTCTCTACGAAAAATACAAAAATTAGCTGGGCGTGGTGGTGGGTGCTTGTAATACCAGCTACTTGGGAGGCTGAGGTAGGAGAATTGCTTGAACGCAGGAGATGGAGGTTGCAGTGAGCTGAGATCACACCATTGCACTCCAGCCTGGGCGACAAGAGCAAGACTTTGTCTCAATAAATTAATTAATTAATTAGATAATTTGTTCAGGTGAATTGTTAGACTACTTTCCAATAAGTTCCTTTTTTAGGTAAGTCGTTTCTTCAATAGGTGATCTTTATGGACAACATTGTGGCAATCGTAAATGAATACACTACAGAAGATCAGGTGGGTATTCATCCAAGTTAGGTTTGAACAATGATACCAAAAAAATTGGCTTCTTTTAGTGAGACCCCAAGAGAGATACTTTTAAGAATGCTCATGTTTCCATGTGTATAAGCAAGCTTTGCTATTACTTAAGTGGCATATGGCTGTGAAATCAGAGATCGGATCTTGCTAGGCTGCCAGGAGTACGTGTGGACACTGAAAATATGAAAAATCAATAAATGAGCAAGATACGAGGAAACCTTGTGGTTGAGAGAGTGTTAGCATAGTTTGTGAAGTGCTAGTATAGTTGAGAAGTGTTGACTATTGAACTAGCTTGTTGCACAGTTACAATATGCAAAACATATTCAAAGAGTATAAAACGGGTTTAACACATCTAAAATTATCCTATTTCTGTGTGTGCTTCCCTTTGTGTGACTTTTTTTCTTTTTGAATATTGTCATTTTAGGTTAATAGTATGGTTTTATAGTCATTGAAGCCAGTAAAAATTTAATAAAATGAAAATTGAACATTTACCTGATGCGACCGCAATTTGCTATTCAAAGTCTGGTCCAAAGACCAGCAGCATTGGCATCAACAAGGAGACTATTAGAAATGTATAATGACTGGCCCCACCCAAGCCCGACTGAATTAAAATATTTGTTTTAACAAGGTTTTAAATTTTAACGAGAGAGAATAACAGAGAAAATGTAAAGTTATTGTCTAGAAGCCACCAAATTGCAATCTTATTATTAACCAGGTTGATTTTTTTAAATACAGTCATAAGGAAATAGATTATTTACTAAAATAAAATGGAAAATAAGATGAGAGGGAACCCAGATACCAGCTATTTTATCATTTAATATATATCTGACTTGCAGTTAATGTCCAGAGCAGTGTGAAGAAAGATTTATTTTTAATGGTCAAAATAGATGAGAAGATGTAGTAAGCCCACTACTATTTTTCAGTTGATAATCCTATTCTGAAATGAGCATATTTTTGGAATTTAATGCATTAAAAAGGGAAATATTACAAACTTAGACTAGAACCTTTAATCAAAGCGTAATTAGCAAATACAATAGCTTTGGAAATAAGAACAGAATGAACATTAATATCAATAACGTGCTAATTGTCTTTCCTTTCTGTTGACTTTAGGAAGATTTGGACCGTAATCTATTTATAAGAATGAGACTTAGTGCTGCTATTTGATGCCTTCATTTCATATCTTTACAATAAGCCAAAAATATATTTGTTCAAATAACATTCAATTTAAAATTGATATTAATTTACATAAATTTTGATAGGATTCATGTCTGGTGAGATATCTATGGTGAATATGCTGCCAAAAATGCTAAGTATAATAGAGGCTATGATGAAGTCCTTGAACATTTTCTTTTGGAGAGGATTTTTATGAAACTAGTTGTCATGTCTGTGTTCAAATAGCTTTTAATTTATTGTTTAATTAAATATAATTAATTACAATTCAGTAATTAATTACTAAATTAATTACTATTGAGTCAAAGAATCCTCTGTCAAATAACTTCTTAATTTATGTTGTTGTCTTTTTTTCTCTTATTTTGATGGGCCAGTATAAGGGACATGAGTCATGTTATTCTAAATGTGTGTGTGTGTGCGCGCACAAAGCTTTGCATTTGATCCAACATCATGCTCAGTGTTGTTCGTCAGTATTGTGACTTCTGATATGTACTTTTTTCTGTGTTTTAATTTCTATGATCATTGATATTCAGTGACTGAAGAAGTTATCCTTTATGGACACACTCTGAAGGAAGAGTGTGACCTACTGATCTTTCCAAAATGAGCATGTATTTGGAAATTTGGCAGCTTTTCACAAAGCCAGTCACTACTTGATATAATTTCTCCAAACTTGGAGGCTGCCTGGGCAACTGTGTTCCTCAATATCTAATTCCTAGTATCAGAGACCACCTTTCATCTTCTTCAGTGCCATCAGCCTCCCAACATCATGATTTTAAGGATACAGGAAAGCCACCTTACTTTCAGGAAGATTCTCTACTGCTTACCAATAGATAGAAGTTTTTTTTCTTTCAATTATTTGACATTTTGTCTTTTATAATACTTCTATTTAAATGTGAAACTTTATATAATTAGGAATGAACCTTAAAATGACAAATGTAATTATTAATATTCACATGTATAGCATCTAAAATCATTTTGGTTACTACAATTTGTGAAACATTGACTTCTGTTTTGGAGAGTTATTTTTCCGAGAAAAAAAGTTGCGTAGAATAGCTTGAGAGCTCAATGGACTGAATAAGCTAAATGCTCCTAGTGAGTTGAATTGGGGCGGGGGGGCTAAATCCAATGACAAGTGTCATTGGAAAAAATGTCCAAGGACAAGTGTCATCTAGAAAAGCAGAGGAATATTTGAGATGCACACGCAGAAACAGGGGAGAAGTCAATGTGAAAAAGGAGGAAGAGATTGGACTGATGCATCCTCAAGCCAACAAATGCCAAGAATTGCTAGCAGCCACCAGAAACTGAAAGAGACAAGGACACTTCCCTAGAGTGTCCCTCTTTGGAGGGACCATGACCCTGCCAAGCCCCTTGGTTTTAGATTTCTGGCCTCCAGATCTGTGATAGGATAAATTTCTGTTTTTTTAAGCCACCGAGTTTGTGGTCATTTATCATGTCAATCCTAGGAAACTAATACACTGTTGTACCAATAGATTCCCAAATCTAATGAGTTAACAAAATATATGTTTATTGCTTATTCACATCATAATCTGACGTCTTGACAGGTAGGACTCTGCTCCGTGCAGTCATTCACCGACCCAGGTTATGTCCACAAGGTGGTCCTGCCATTCTCAAGAACTGGCTTCTAACATCTCTGCAAAAGGGAAAAAAGAGAATAGATGATCATACAGATGTTTTTTTGATCATGTGAGAAAGTGGCATACATCACTTTTACTCACAGGCATACTCAGATGGCTAGGATTCAATCATAGAAACTCAAACTAATCAAACTGATGTATGAAAAAATGTACTCTTCTTGAAAGCCAAGAAAGGTGCTTTTGGTGAACACATAGCATTTTCTCTGCCAAAGTCTGTACTTCCAATATGAAATATCTACTTCACTCTTACTTCTACACACAGAAAACACTAATGACCTTTCCAATGAGGTGGAAAAAATTCATTCAGTCACTGCCTCCAACTCAAAGTCTAGAATCTTCCGACAATGTGTTGTCTTTTTCATTGGGTCAGCATCCTATAACCTGAAAAGTCTTTTTATCTGGTTCTATCCCCAAAACCCAATAGCATGACAACATTGTCATGTGAAAAGGTAAAGAATGGGCTCCATGTAACAGACACTGGTATGGAAAAATTCTAAAACTTGCTTGGTGAACATTTTAAGCACTATGTATTTTGGAAGAGGGAGAAGTTTATTGATTAGATGCTAATTCCGCTCTCTGCAAGAAACTCTCCTAGGGGGTGCCTGGCTCTGCCTTCTCTGAGGACTGCACAGGTTTTGCAGCCAGCCTCTTAGTCTGCTAATGGTTAACATTACCCCCAAATCCTCCAGTGTTTTAGACTAAGCTTATGATTTCCTTTTTTAAAAAAATAGTTTTGTCACAAACAGTATCTTCTAATCTATCTTTCTTGTCATTTACATGGCCTAGTAGCCATACCTAAGGTTCTTTCTCAGATATCGTTCACAAATATACTCTTTCTTTTAATTCCTCATTCACGTCTCTGACTCTATGCTTAATGCCAGCTCTTTTGAGGCTATCAGGAATTTTAGGAAGGATGGATCCCTGATCTGAATTTGGGCACAAAGCTGAGTCACCTTGTTCAACTGAAAAGTTTCACTGGGTCAGAGACTTTCCTCAATTTTATTTCTTACTCTTTGGGATCTAGAAGGGGTTAGCAAGGCTCAAAAATTCTGGATTCTCATCCTCATTTATTTATGCTTGTAAATTTAGCCACTTTTTTCTTAGTCTATCTCTTTCTTACAACATATTACCAAACACAACAGAAGCAACCAACCTATACATTGATGGCTTTGTTTTCTAACCTCTTCCCTTAGATCAAGTTCAGCAGGCACAGGCTATAGGTGATAGTTTACCAAATGTGTTCAATGAACACTCTGATGCCTGTCATGAGTCATGTCACAGTCAATGTAAGTTGCCCCACCTAATCAATTCAAGACCTAGCCTTCTCCCGTCTTCAGCATGTAGCTCCAGGAGAATGCAGGAGAGTAGTAGTGAGAATGCAGGATTGTGGAAGAAGCCTTCTGGCTGAGTCTGGGAATAGTATACATCAATTATACCCAAATTCTATTAGCCAGAATGCAGAGATATGAAATGTGAAAACAGGATAGGCTAGGCATTATAGTCTTCTTGTATGCCCAGGAAAATGGCATGGTTTGGGGAAGCACATAACATTGTTTCAAACCTAGGCTCCAGAAATCCCTTTTCTTTTTCTCTGTAGCTAAACAGTCTAAGGTAGTTCCAGTTCAGAGACTGGGGCTAGAAAAGAGTCATGATCAATTCATTCAGACATTCAGAGACCAGGCTGCCAGCAGCCATGTTATCTTCCAGGACACCCTAGGCTTTGATATTCAGCCAACAGATAGTAAAAGAGAAGGGAGAAGGCATGCTCATTTTTCAAATATCTGGACCATTAAATAATATACTTTGCTTCCAGCCATTTTATCCCATTAAAAACTAGTCATACAGCCCCATTTTGATGCAAATGGAACCTAGAAATGAAGTCCTGAAATGAGTGCCTGCTTCCTAGCAATTATTCCATATGATGGAAGGAGGAGTATTTGAGGAGGGACAGACAAAGGGCCAAAAGTGCCTAAACATGAGTGAAGTTTCAGGAAAGGAGAAGACAGCAAGGCTGACAGGCTTGCCCACTTTATATTTTTGGCTAGGATTTGTGATTGATTCTTACAAAAGTAATATATTTTAGTCATTATTTAAGGCTGTGATTACATGGATTAGTGACATCAATACATTTAATTTAATTATTTATTTAATTTGCTAATGTTTTTATAATCACATTGCCTCACTGTTTAGATGAATGGGTGATTTGCCTCATCAGTTAGCCATGGGTGTGCCTTCTGGTGACCTGGGTGTAAGTGCACATGGCAATAGTGTGGCCTTTTTAGACCACACAGTGAATCATTTTTTCTTTGCATTTTATTTTGTAAAATGTAAATAATGATGAGCCTCTTCTGGGACTGAGACTAAGATTCCCAGCAGCAGTAAATACCAGCAACAGTGGCAATTTCCACTTAAAAAAACCCCACAAGGTTAGCCCATGGTCTTAACTTCATTGGTAAACATAGCACCTAATGTCCAAGGCAAGCAGAAAGCTTGATGATTCATCTGCCTTAGCCACCCAACCAGCTAAATTGTATATTTTCCAAGAGTCATATCTATTTTTAAGAAATTATTTTGTATACAGTTGAAATATTGCAGAATGAAATAAAGTTGTTGTTTGAGTTGTTGGGAAGGTTTATTATAGAACATTTCCAAAAAGCATTCTGTAGAATTTGTTGAGGATAAAATGATTGTAAAGGTTTGGGAAAGTATATAAAAGTATGAAAAAATAAATCACCTAAAGGATTCTACACTTTTCTTTCTAAGTATTTTTAATTTCTTACTTCATTTTAAGGGAACATAAAATTATATTTATCAAAAATAGGGAAGAGTTGTGGGTTAAGCAGAAAAATGATGAGAAATTCCAACCAGGAGCTCTCCTCTACTGCCCATAGTAGTAGCAGACACTGTTGACGCTTCATGCTCCATCCACAGCTTTTCTGTGATCACCTGCACTTTCAGTAGACAGTGCCCAGCAGCTTTATAGCTTGCCATGCCACACACATGCATTCCTTTGACTCTGCCTGAGGATTTCTCTTAGAGATACAGAAGCTTGCTCAGTCCAGTGCCAAGGCCACCTAAAGCGCTAGGGGTTTAATGCTCCCAGGTAAAACTCTGATTCAATGAGGCATGGACATCAATGAATAAATATATAGCCAGCTTTCTATTTTTTTTTAAGGGTAGTTTTGAAATACCACACAGTTCCTCAGAGAATTTCAAATGTGATTGAATTTCAGTTTCCATAGCTAAACCTACACCTTGATGACTTTTCTCCCCTTCTCTAAATCTTCTTCCCTACTTTATTCATTGTGCTTTCTTGGAGCACTTTCAAATAAGCCACTTGTACTTTATCCTTATTTCAGTGTGTGCTTTGTGGGGAGCACAAAATAGGATACCCACCAAAGAAAAAGTTTGGCCATATATGAAAATATCTACAGATAAATCTGTTAATGTATTCATTTCTTTCTCCATGTCTGTCTGTCCTGTAAATTGTTTAAGACAATTTCTTACCTTAACTGATTTCTTAGAGTAAATGATCAACTTCTAGTGCCAATCATGTTGGATAAGGTTTTGTTCAAAGGCTTTGTGGGATTCAGATGGTCAAAATGACTAAATACTCTGGTTCTGAATTCTTATCCCAGCCCTGCTATTCTTAGGAAATATAATTTTGGACAAATTATTTATCCTTTCTGGACCCAATTTATATTTGTAAAATGGAAAATAAGTAATGATTGGCTCTAGTTATTAGTTTGTGTTATCATGAAGGTTAAATTGGCTAATGCATGCAAAAATACTAGTACTATTTAGTTTGTAAATTGCAGAGAGTAGATTGCTAGTTTTGACTTTTGAAGATGCCTTGAGCCTCCCAAAATGCATATTGACTTACATATACCAGATGGATCTTTCAGAGCCTGTGTACATGTCATAGCATTTTAGGACAGCAATCAGCTTTAAATTCTAGGGAGACATTTGATTAAAAACACCCGATGAAATGAATGTCTGTGGGCAATTAATTATATTCTCTTTTTGAAATCTAACAGGATATTGTGGGATGGCCCCTGATAGGCCTAAAATTCATTCTTCTTTCCTTTTTTTCCCCTCTTTTTTAAACCCTCTCATTCTATATTTTATTTTCTGGTCAGTGTGAGAGTCAATATATTTGACTTCCTTCTCAACTTCTAGGTTTTATAATTTACTGACATAGAATTTGATAAGTGTATTTGTTGTAGTTTTGTTTTTTAAAACTATGCATAAACAACATGAGACATTCATTTCGTTTGGCTAGTGAATCTCTGCTGTTGGTTTAAACCAAGTATAATCACCAGCACACCCAATTTAGCTCCAAGTCTCTGCAAACTTTTGGATATTGTGCTGAGCAGATTTAGTGCAAATTCTATAGCGTGCTGTTTTTTATGTCATATGAACATTTTCTATGGGATCCTCAGACTTATTTCAAAATGATGATGTCCTTGATCTCAAGGTATCTCAAATGAAGAGAACTTTTATGGATTAACATATAAAAGAATGTGGTTATATAAAGCCGAAAAAGCCACCATCTATTTTGGATGAGGCATTTATAGCTCATTTTATGCAAGCACTGATAGGAAAGTGCTAAAGTACAAGCACTAATCCAGGAGTGGTTTTGCTGCATAGTAGAAATGTGCTAGTGAGAAAAAAATTAGGGGCAGAAAGATTAGCTTGCTTTCTTTTGTATTTCTTAGTCATAGAAACCTGTATTAAGAAAACAGATTTCAGGAGCCTTTGAACAAGAAGAGAGAGGAAGAATGACATAACTGAACAAGAGAGATGGCGAGCAGAGTTTCCTGAATGCTGTGAGCAGAACAATTGGACAGATGAGGGAAGTCTGTGACAATCCAGTGGAATCACGCAGTGTGTTTAAGTAAAGCTCCCTTTGCTCAAAATAAATTTTAAAAGGAAATTAAATTCTAACCACGTCTTAGGCATAAAATGACCCTCTTTTCTTATCTAGCCTCATTCTCTGAAGGTATACAAGAATGTTTCAGGTACCTGCAAAACTGAAAGAGCCGACTATACTTTCCTTATCTATTACATGTTGATTTTTACACAAAAATAAGAAAAGAAAGCCTTCAAATTATCACAACATTTCAGTTAGTAGATTTTGATAGTCCTTGGGTGGGATATTTGGGAACAGAAAGTAGACAGTTTTTCTTCAGGACGATTACAGCCCAGAGCAGCTAAGTTCTTTTCAAAATTTCAAAATGCTGGATTGCTTTAGGTAAGTTATCTAAGCTACCAATTATGTTTTAAATGTAATAAAAGCCAATCCTTCTACTCTTGGAGGCAGAGATGCTATAGCTTGTTTAAAAGTTCTTGCCTTATTAACGAATGCTAATTATGAGTAATGGAAGTCAAATTAGTTTTCATTTCTTGAATAGCTGTACTGTATTTGCAAAGAATTTTAGAGAAATTGAATTAATTTGTTTGTTTTAATTATAATTTGTTTTCATAACAGCCAACTGACAGGTGATACTTGCACTTGCTTGAATTACATCCACAGTTAATGTTTTCATGTTTGTAGCTGTATAAATTATTTTAGCTCAATGACAATATTTAGTCATAAAATAAAACATATAAATACTTTTAAAACAGACTGAAGTTGTTTATTCCCTAAATAGATTATTACCTATTGGGCATGCACTTAACATCTGTGATATCTAATATAAAATCCAAATTACCTTGAATACTACTGCTACATTTCATAAAGAGCTTACATTTTCCTCTTGTGAATCAGATTGTCTCATTTAACAAATAAAAATAAAGAATGCCACTATATTTTCCCCTACCTCACTGTTCCTTCAATTGTTATGTTATATATATTTACTTTCAAAAGTGGTAGAACCTTAAAAAAAAAGGAAATTTACTTTTCTGGTCAACTCACCATAAAGCTACCCGGGGGTAGATATGCCTTATCCTAGATTTAAAAACAGAGTCTCTCTTTGGGAGGCCCAGGTGGGAGGATGGCTTGAGCCCAGGAGTCTGAGGTTATAATAAGCTATGATCACACCTCTGCACTCCAGCCTGGATGACAAAATTAATTAAAATAACAATAAAGAGTCTCTCATTGGATACACTATGAATGCTTATAGATCTAGTTCCAGCTCTATTCAGGTGAAATGCAGTGGGGAAAGCAGAAAGAAGTGTAATTATCATGAGGGCATATTACATGCTTAGAACTAGTAATCTGAAAGGTACTTTGCTTCTTTTTAAACTCCCCTGGAAGCAGCGTCTCATGGAAAGAAAAAATGAAACCTTAGATTATAGAAATTAGAGGGAGATACCTGGTTAGAGATTGTGGGATAAATCAACACTCATCTTCCTTGAAGTTTAAGTAGTATTTCTGGGGTGTCTAGGTGTTTTTCTCAATCAACATTTAATGTTTAACCCATTTCTATACCAAACTGGAAGATGCTTACAAAGACTCAATCTTCATCAGGGGACTCTAACTGATTTCTAATTCTAGTACTGTATAATAAAATCGCAATTCTGTCACATATTAACTATATGACCTTGGGTGGGCCTTGACTTACTAATCTATGATACTAGACTTGATTAATTTATTTTTAACTAGAGTTAACACTTCTTGCTGAATTAGAGTCTCAACATGAATGAGTTTTTCAGATGAATTACATTGACATTTATATCAACTTATCTTTGGGATCTCTTTTTGTTTTTTTCATGTCATTATTTCATCTACCCATTTTAAGATGTTACCTTGATCAGATGTGTGAATACAGAGTTGATAAAAATGTGAAATTTGCTTTTCCCACAGAGTAGATATTTGGCATGTAATAGCTCTAATAAGCACTTCTGAAAACTTTGTCCTCCTCCATCTTCTTCTTTTCCTCCTTCATCTTCTCTTGTTTGTTTAACTTCATACTCCTAAATAAGAGATTACCAGCAGGTCAGTTGATTTTATTATTTTTTGCTAAATGTTTATTTACTTATATATTTTTTGTTAGTTTTCCCTGACAAGTAGGAAAGGAGCTCAAATGGAGCTCCTGCTACAGGAGTTTTCTCTTTTGCTTATTGGATCTTTCTTTTGAAAACATTTCATTTCGATCCCTAAATACATTTCAAAATAATACTACATAAAAGAAATTGTAAACCATTAACTGGATAGGCATGTAATATATAAATTCATTACCTATAGACCTGGTATAGTGTATAATACTTTGACTCCAGATGTATACAATATTGCTTAGTAATTGGACATAAACAATTTTTGGAATACTTACAATAGCCAAATAAAAGACATTTCTTATTTCTAATATTGTTTCATTATTTTAAACAGATGGTATATGATAGCATGAAATTCTTTTTCTAGGAGTGCTACTTTCCGATCTCAAATGGCTGTTAACAAAATATTTCTTATTATTCCTTAGAAGATAGTTTTAGTCTCACTCTCCCTGAAGTTTGCTTCTGGCACCTGCAGTGAACATCAAGAATATGTGTTTTTTGAAGACAAGAAATTGATCTCATCAGTCTATGCTGTGGCTCACTGCAGGGTCCTTACTTACAGGGTTGGCTAGACACATTCCCCTATCCATGTGAACACCAGGCTTCAAGAATTCCTGTCTGAGCAGCATTTGACTTTCTCCAGAAGAAGGAGTGGATAATGTTTAAGGACAAGAATAATGGAATCATGATTAACAGTGGATTACTTTAATGAATGAAAACAAAACTTCCTGGAGAAGAGATTTTAATAATGTTTTTGTTTCTAAGTTTCTAAGGCATTTCAGAAATATTAGTGGCACAGCCACTTCCTAGTGAGAATTGTCTTCCCAATAAATGCTCTCTACCCCCTCCATAAAGGCACAGCCCACGGGTTTTATTATCAACTTAATTTCATGAAATATAACAATGTTTAAAATTGTCAAATTTTTTTGTCCACATGTTTTTCCAGGTCTATCAGAATCTTATTTCATTTGAGACAAAAATATGTCTCAAATATATGGCTGTTTCATTAGGGAAAAAAAGGCAATATATTATCATTTTTGGATTTCTTTATGATTGCAAAATTGAATAGAGAGCTGAAATTATAATCTGGGAATTCTGCCAAAATCCTATTCTTGAGACAAATATTTGGGACCTGAGTTATCCCTATTGGTTGCCTTTATTGCTCACATTCATTTCACAACTACTTTTCTGCCATATCATTTTTCTTGAATTGATGTATACTTAAAGACACTCTTATGGCAGATAAATGTTTCTTTCTTAGTAGCTAGCTTTCAGACGTAGTACTATGTGCTTACACATTCACCTAAAAGCCCATTTATGAAAATAGGCATTCATAATACATTGGACCACCAGTTTTTTTTTCTTTCTTTTTTTAATGCTACTGCATGTCAATGGGATATTTACTTTGCTGGAAAAGGTTCTTGAATACTATTGAAGTTTTATCAGTTTCTGTCTGACAAGAAATAGCTTGGGTTGCCTATGAATGGAATGGGCCAATAACCTAGATAAACATCAGATAATATGTGAGCCCTTAAGACACTTTTGAGATATGATAAAACATGTCAAGGTATGAAGGGAAACTATCTCAGTAACCTTCGAACCACAGAGTATTAGTTTTGAAAGATTAATCTTAATAGATTTTGAATCAATTTATGTCATTTGAACACACAATGAGACAGGAAGATGCTTCTCTGTTCTATTTATACTTCCTGAAGGTTAACTTTCAAAATGTGTGTGTACTTTGCATTTGGAGAGCTGTCAGATGATTTTTAAGACTAAAAAACAGATTAGATTTTGGGATTGTATTTCCTATCCCCACAGAGAGTTTACAGTTGAGCAGAAAGTTGAGTTTTATATGTAAAAGTGAAATAAATTTTACGTTTTTATTTAATAGCTTTTGGAAAGGTAAGTAACACAGATTGCATTAGCTAAGCCACAGGTAGAAAAATAATTCTTTAAAGTATTTAAATATATCTTAAAAATGCTATACTCCCACATTACATTGGGTGTACAATTTAAAATACATGATTTTTAAGTCATGAAAAATATTCTGGGGCACATATTTTTACAGAAATTCTTGAGTTCAGCTTGTATGTTTTATGCATGAACACTTGCAGTGGCAAGCCAAAATGACTTATTAGAAAGGGTGAATTTTCTGTAAGCACCTGAGCATTTGGGTGATCTATGTTTTTGGAACAGCACTAGCTTAACTAGATGTGAGAGGGTTAGATATTTTGGGAAGTAGGGTCATTAGCATAATGTGGGTTCTTCTGAAGCAGGGGGAATGTAGGTGATCTAAACGCAATCAAGGTCACGAAGCAGCAGCTGATGTTCAAGTCAGCTAACATTCTTTTTGATTTAGGCCACCTTGATAGAAGGATTTTTTTTTTTCTTTCAAAATGTGTGTAATGATGCTAAGTCCATTACCAGATTATATAAGGAAAGCGATCATTATACTAGCAAATATGCCTTTGTAGAGCCTATCCTGTGAATGTTTGTGATTTCACACATATGCAATTAAGATAGCAAATAAGCCAGTTTAAAGAAAAGGCAAATTCACTGTCACAGTATGAAGTCAATCTTTTTAGTTCCTAAAATTTCTTTCTAAGCAATGATCCTTAATGACAGTGGATAAGATGTTGTCTTTCCTAAGAGAGAAGCAGTGACAAGATGAGATGGCTATGGCATGATTTGTGATATTTTCTTTCAGGAGCTTTTATAGTTAATAAATAAACCTAATTATAACTCACCCACAAGAAATTCTGACAATATAAAGTTGACGACTGCTAAAACTCAGCAGGTTTGTAATGTTTTCCAGCAGCTATTTTGGGCTACTTTATGAAGGGTGTGAAACGAAGATCAGTCAATCAAATCAGGGTGACATTCATTTATAAGACTTGTGAGAAGACTAAAGATAAGGTTTAAAGTGCAGTTCAATTATAAAATTGATTCAGAGAAACGATGTGGGCTAGCCTATTCATTTTCACTCCTTGTCCTCTAGGTCAGACGTGGTTTGATGTGTAAGTCCAAAGCTGCAATTTGCAATTTAAAGAATTACTAATAGAAAATCACAAAGAGTGGAAAATCCCAGTTTTTCACCTCTGCCCTCTGACATCATCGTGAGAAAAACATAATTTATGCCATTACCTTAAGATAATATTGCATGATTACATCTGAGGCTCATACAAAAATTAAAGATTGATGTAGATATAATATTTGAAAGAGGGGTTCAAAAGTTCCTTGAAGCCTGTCTCAGGTTTATAAAATTTGCTTTAGAGGAAACTCAGCTGTAGGCTATTCTCTAATTTTTTTGTTTTTTTACCTGAAATAGTTTATCTGTAATTCCACACAATTTTATTTCTACACCCATATCAATTCTTTGAGCCTTTTCTCATAGATCCTCTTTCCCAATCATTTCCATTGCTCTACTCTGGGCACATTCCAAGGTTTCCACAACTCTCTTAGTAGTACAGGCACAAGCACCAATAAGGATCTTTTTAGGAGCCAAGCTGAATGGAATCCCACTTGTTTTTCCCTCTGTTGCAACAACTCTGTGGGACTGCCAAGGAGAAAATAAATATTTGTTACTTTTGGTAATGAAAAAAGTATGTGTGACTCAGCAGCACATGGGGAGCAGATGTGTTGAGTAAGAGGCCACTCCTGTGCAACAGACCTGTCACTAAGTGAGGCTATAAATAGAGAAAAATTAGGAGAGAATAAACTGCATCTCTGATTCGGCTCAATCGCGTTTAAACTAGAATTACTAAAGTTTTTGTTTCTGATGTAAGAACAATTCTGCTCTGTATAGATGTCTGGTCAACATGTGCTTAAATGAGCCAGGCAGTCCCTCCACCCCTACCACCCCACACACAGGCAGTCTGAACAATGGGAGTCCTGGGGATGTTGAAACACATAGAAGTTCAAAGAGTGGATATCTTGCTCTAGAAATTGCTGGATTGGCCTGATTATGTTGACCATCTCTACCTTTTTTGTCCTAGCAGGTGAGAGCTGAAATTTTACCTTGGACTTGCCTGGGTGTTTTTCACAGGGGAGGGTACTGAGCTCCCAGTTGGTAAAGTAAATGCTTGTAAAAGACATGTTCTACTGGATCAAAGTCAGCCCTAGAAAGTTGGCCACATCTCTTCCCAGATAAAATTGTTCAGCCTGGGGGTTGGTAAGAAAGTGGATTTGGATTAATAAATAACTCTAAGAAATCAAATGTGTAGAGTTTACTAAAGAGCTACCACTTGGACAGTAAGTATCCTTTTTGCAGGTGTGAATTTCCTAGAAATAATTCACTTGCAATTTTGCAATATGACTTTTTCAAGCTCATATTAATACTTTGATACTTACATCAGGGAAATTCAATGGAAAATATCTGCTCCTGTGTCTCATAATTTGCCAGATATATTATCTGTACATATAACGATGGACTAAAAAGAAGGCAGGGCAATTCTAATGGTTCTAGGACAAAGCCAACTATATTATCATCTCTTGAAGTCTAGAAGCCAGCCTTAGTCATCTGTGCATATGACAAAACAATATAATATTGTCTAGAATATAATCTATGCTCACTGTATATTTGTAGGATGACATAAACAATTCTCTCATAACTACCTACCATTAGAATGAGATTTTGACACTCTCTCCCAAAACCTAATTCTGGAATGTTATTGTCTCAAGACAATTCTTGGTTGCTTCCCAAGGAAGTTCTCCTTAGACCTATAACTTGAAAGGAAAAAAACTGAGAAGGATGAATATTAAAATGATATTTTGTTATGGTATCTCATAAGGTATGTTAGTTTTTTTTTTTTTTTTTTTGAGACGGAGTCTCGCTCTGTCGCCCAGGCTGGAGTGCAGTGGCGCGATCTCGGCTCACTGCAAGCTCCGCCTCCTGGGTTGACGCCATTCTCCTGCGTCAGCCTCCCGAGTAGCTGGGACTGCAGGCGCCCGACACGACGCCCAGCTAATTTTTTGTGTTTTTAGTAGAGACGGGGGTTTCACCGTGTTAGCCAGGATGGTCTGGATCTCCTGACCTCGTGATCCGCCCGCCTCGGCCTCCCAAAGTGCTGGGATTACAGGCGTGAGCCACCGCGCCCGGCCCCTCATAAGGTATGTTCTTTTACTTCAAAATAAAAAATAGTATTAAATGAAATAAATAGCTGTGGTGACTACATTGCGATGGAACATATTCACTGTCTGAAGCCAATCAGTAATGGAAACATTACTTTGATATCTATACTGCAATAAAAAATTGACAATTTTTTTCTACATACCACATACAAAATGCTGATTAACTCTCATGTTATTTAGGTAGGAGTCTCCGCTCCAAGGCAGAATTGATTAGAGTGGCATTCTTTGCTTCTGCCCTCCCCTCTCCTCCTGCTTTTTTCTTTGTTACTTGATTGCCAAGACTGCTTGTTCACTGAAAATTACACTTGTTTGAGAATGCCTTACTGATAGACATAGCAGGAACAGATAATTTGCAGAATCACTTAACTAAACTGCATTGCAAAGAAATCTAGCAGCCAACTTTTGTCAATGGCAGACACCTGAGTTATTATCCTAGGAAGAATTCTTGCTCCTCAGGCCTGTGAATGATAGGCGTTTTATAAGCTCTTTATCCAAATGCTATAAAGCTAAGGTCAATAAACCTTTGGGTGAACTACAGTCAAGAAAAATTTTATTTTCATGTACTTCATGGAAATCAAAACAAAAAAAATACTCATTCTTTATAAAAGCAAGTTTCCCTTCTTATGTTTTACTGGTTTTATAGTCCCCAATTTTTCAATCCCCTTCCAATATCTTGAGTTAACTTCCAATCTCCCAGAACCTCACTCTTCTTTCCTCTCTCTTTCCTCATTTATCATAGACACCAAACTATCCTAAATGAATATCTCTTTCTCATAATTTAATAGACAATTCCACTGGCCTTACTTACAAATACCATTTTTTCTTATTACATGGAAAAATAATAATAGGTCTCTCATTGAGTAATAATACAAAATATTTATCCATGTACAAATTACTTACATGCAGTATGGAAACACATTCCACCATAATTATTGCTTATTGACATAAAATGTCAGTTCCAAATCCAAAGTTTCACCTGCAATTTTAATGGTTGTTTTAGTTTTCTCTTAAGAATAAATACCCTGTCTCCTCACTGCTTCATTCTTAGCTCAGTTTTATTTTCAGGTGTTAATCTATTACTGAACCTTGCTGACATATTCACATGTGCTCTCTGATACCCCCATATTCTGTGGTACATAATATGTGACAACACCAGTTCCCCATCTGTCTTCTGTCTCTTCCCAAACCAAGCCTTGCTCATGTTAAAAATTCTATAACTGTCATCATCTTGGAAATGTCATGACATTCATGGATCAATAAAATCTTTTCCCAGGGAGAATGAGAAATATATGAAAAGAGCTTACTAAATACTAACAATTTCCTTTAGAGGTTCAATGAATGAGTAAGAAATCTGTGTGAGAATAATTTCAGGAAGGGGGTGTTGGATGAATGCAGAAAGGGACTGAGAAGGCGGGTTATAGGAGTGAGAATATGGGGAGAAAGGGAGTTCAATTTCAGTTGCCTGCAAGACTTCTTCATCTTAGAGATTATTTTCCTTAAGGAAGTGCACGTGAAAGGATGAAGAAAGTGCAGAGGCTCTTTCTTCATCAGGGACTGTGAAGTGCAGAGGCTCCTCAGTGGCCACCACGTCTCTGCAGTTTACTAGGCCATACCGAGATATAATGAGGTGCTTTGTATGCGCTGTGCATGAGAGAGAAAATCAGCTCACCAAATGACTTTTTTTTGTGGGTAATGACTTACAGTCAGGGGGCAGTTTTGTGAATCTGAGGGAACATAAGGATTCTGGAAGGAGTGCTATGTGTCCAGGGAATGGAATAGAAAACAAAAAAGGATTTTGATGTTCGTACTCTGAATGTCACCCTAGAGCAAATAAAGAAGGGGAAGAATTGTGTTATAAAGGCTGTGACATCAGAAGGATGAGCAAAGCAATTTTACAGTTATAGTTAGAAAATCATTAAACGCTGATGTTTAATAGGTAGCTGAAATGAAGAAGGTAAGCAGAATGTCAAGGTCCTTTTAAAGAGCTTAAAGATTACAAAACAAATAAAAGGTTCTGGCAGCTTCTCAGACACTTGCAGGCTGGAGAATTCACAGAGCAACAAGGTGTATGGGTTTTCCTCTTTTCCTTTCCTTGAACTCAAACAAAATGTGAACAAAAAGGGTGCAAGTGTGTGCAGCAACAGTGTGTCAAATGTGCCTGATGAGATCTTTTAAATTGACACATTTTCTGGACTCAAAATGAAGTATTTTAGCTTATTACTTTCTGTGAATTTCAATACAAACAATTCAGTTAGATGTGTTTTGTCGAAGAAGTAAAAAAGAGTTAAGGTCAATCAAAGTCATAAGGTAGTTCTAAAATTCAACAAGATTTTCTCCAAGAGGCTAAGTTAATATCTTTTACTTATGTGCTAAACATTATGAAATACATACTCTCCTACTTATATATTATTGATTAATGATATATAACAAATTTTTAGAGTAGGAAAGAAGTTACAAAACTAATAATCGAACTAAAATTAACTTTGATTTTCTCAGGGTAACATAAATATAGATACAAATTTTGCTTTTCTATCATATGGTAAGTGGCAGTATTTTTATTTTGGAAGAGGGTCTAAAATTTGTAAGTTTTGAAATTTATGTCAATGGAAAGGCTATATCCTATCCCTTGTTTCTTTTTTAAAAATAAAACTGTAAGAAATTATTGCTTAATTTTATTTGAAGCAATAAGTTATAAATGAGAATATGTTTATAATTTTATGTAAGACAGAGGCACTTAACTTTGTTAGGTACTTTGGCATATTTTGCCTCTTGATTAATCTGGGAACTACATTTCCAGAATCCCCTTCTGCTTATGAGTCTGGTTAAGAATTGGCAAAAAAAGGAACTTATGCAAAGTTGGGAAGGTGGAGGTTAAATGCTCTGAACGTGGGTGTGAAACTCTCCAAAGGTCATTCTGTGGTTAAATGTCCTTGCAGACAGACACAGGGGGGCCGGCTAAGTTGTAGCTTGTCTTTTCTTTCTCCTGCTAACTGAGCAGGTCTTTTCAATTATTGTCCCCATTAACTAACAGGGTGGGTCCATGGCTACTACCACATGTATAGCTGTGGACTCATGGAGGTGATAACTATACAAAATACACAAGTTCTCATAGATTTCCCCATAACCTTCCCCTTGGTGGACCCACTCATGCTTAGAAGTACTTGGCTTAGCAGACTGTTTTGTTAGTGACTCTCTGTGAACCTCTGTCTCCCATATCCAGTCTTTACTTCTCCAGGTTCTCCCACAATTGTGGATTATATATTTGAAAATAAGGTGACCAATATTTGCTTTATTTGAGTCTGAATAAACGTAGACATTTTATTAGCATGTAGATATTTTCTGTATCATTTGCCATTTTTAGTCTATATTTTAATTTCTCCATCTATCTCAAAGTACTTTGTGATTCTAAATGGCTGTACACCAAGATCTTCTTACAGATCGTTTCGTTCACCAAGTTTGTGGCTTTTACTACAATATATGTAGAACTGGATATTTAGAATATCATTAAAACAAAGTACTTTGTGATTCTAAATGGCTATACACCAAGATCTTCTTACAGATAGTTTTGTTCACCAAGTTTGTGGCTTTTACTACAATATATGTAGAATTGGATATTTAAAATATCATTCTACATGGACAAATTGTATATGATCAGAATTGCTTTGAAGTGAATTGGTGTCACCTTGTAAACCAGGTACTTGTTTTGGGTAAGTTGGAGCCTACTACTATTTTTTTTAAATGACAAATGGAGCAATTAATTAGGCAATACTGATCAAAATTCTTAAACATCTATTTGTGCACTAGAAATTCTTCCCTTTTACAAATATGCCATTTGTCTCAAAAGGGAGACATATCTGAGTCATACACAGTCATTTTACTTAAATTTTGTGAAATTTACTGTTATCTTTGTCACCTGTGCATTCCATGAACTATATAAAATCTATACCTTTCAAAGTGATAAATAGTGTGTAGGTTTTACAGTACACATGGAGCTCTAACAATACCTAAACTAGAGCATCTTTATTGACAAGAATTTGCTCTCAATCATGTAGGAAAATATACTATTGATGCAACATCACTGGGGTTCCATTTGAATCCTTGTAGTAAGTATCAATGATTTGACAACTCTAATAGAATTTCTAAGTTCAAAGTTAATGGGATTATTGTGTATGTCTGAAAGGCATTTAATAGATTTCATCGTATATCTTAACCACTCTTTTAAAGATACAAAATAGTACATTTTATCTAGCTATGATGAGACGAATGAAAATTTGCTTATTAATGGCCGTAAGTGCTTTCAAATTACTTTTCTGTGAATGACCAATGCTATGTAATTCTCTGTGGAGTTGAGCTTCTTTCCTGAGAAATGGGAGAAATAGGAGAAAGATTTGCATTATATTAATAATAAAAATAAAATTCAGATGCCAGAAGCAGACCTACATATGACCTAGATATAAAAGTTGCCAAAGACTTTTAAGCTAATTGTGATGGAAATATTAAAAATTGAGACATATATGAACAAAAATCAGTGTAAAAGATAAATAAAAATAGCAATCAATAAGATGTACAAATTAACTCATAATTTAAAAAATATTATATAGAACTGAATAACTCAAGAGATGAGTTTAATAGTCAACTGCGCAAAGCAAAAGGCAGGATGAATTAATTCAAAGATGAGTCAATAGAAAATACTGAATGCAGAGAAAACAGAATAGAAAGCAAAATAAAAAAAATAATAGCATAAGAGACACATGGGCATATTAAAAGCCTTAATATAATTATAATTGGAATTCCGGAAAGAGAGATTAGTGTCTTTCTGTGTCAGAGGCAATATTCAGAGAACAAACAATAAAGAATTTTCCAGATTTGGTGAAATATATTAACCTATTCCAAAAACTTAGCAAATCCCAGGCAGGACAAATAGAAAGAAAACCATACCAAGAGCCATCATAGTAAAATTGTTGAGAATCAAAGGCACAGAAGAAAGAAACATTCAGAAAAACAAACAAAAAAGGACACGTGGCTTTCAAAGGAACACTAGACTGATAGCTGATGTCTTAACATAAATTATTCAAATCAGAAAAAATTTAAATGATATTTCTAGAAAAAACTCTCAGCTAAGGTTTCTATCCCAAAATATGTTCCTCAATAAACACGATAAAATAAATTTTGAAACAAATAAGACAGGCAATTTATTATTAGCAGACCAACACTAATAGACACACTTTTCAAGGGAGAAATGATCTAGATGGAAATGTGGAAGTGCTGTATAAGAGAATAAAGAACACAAGGCAAGAGAAACATACAGGCAAATATTAAATTCTACAGACTACTGAAAAATAATAGTAATATCTTGTGGGTTAAATTATATGTAGAACTAAAAAGCATGATTCTAATAATATAAAAGGTAAGAAAGGTCAATATAATTTACAAGTACTGTGTTTCCAGGTAGTATCAAGAAAGTAGTAGGAATACAAATTTTATTAGATTATAATAAGTCAATGATTTATGTTGTAGTATCTAGCATATACACTATATGAATAGTAAAAAACAAAACCCAAATAATCACACTACTTGAAAGAAACAAAAGAACAAATAGAAATATTTGATCTTATCCAAAAGAAGTTAAGAAAGCAAAAGGAAACATAAAGTAGTTGAACTAAACACAAAACAAATAATTAAGTGTATAGATATAGACCAACATGTAATTATATTTTATGTAGATGGATGACATAGTCTAAATATTAAAGACTGTTCAGGTTGGATTAAAAAAAATGACTTTAGTATTCTTATAAGAGAAACATTCTTTTTTTTTTAATCAACTTTTAAGTTCCTGGGTACATGTGCAGGATGTGCAGGTTTGTTACATAGGTAAACGTGTGCCATGGTGATTTGTTGCACAGATCCACCCATTGCCTAGGTATTAAGCCCAGCTTCAGTTAGCTATTCTTCCTGATGCTCTTCCTCCCCACTTTCTGCCCAGACAGGCCCCAGTTTGTGTTGTTTCCCAACATGTGTCCATGTGTTCTTATCGTTCAGCTCCCACTTATAAGTGAGAACATGTGGTGTTTGCTTTTCAGTTCCTGCATTAGTTTGCTGAGGATAACTGCTTCCAGCTCCACCCATGTCCCTGCAAAGGACATGGTCTCATACGTTTTATGACTGTGTAGTATTCCGTATTGTATGTGTACCACATTTTCTTTATCCAGTCTACCATTGATGGGTATTTGGGTTGATTCCATGTCTTTGCTGTTGGAAATAGTGCTGCAATGAATATAACATGTGCATGTATCTTTATAATAGAATGATTTACATTCCCTTGATTATATACATAGTAATGGGATTGCTAGGTCAAATAGTATTTCTGTTTCTAGAACTTTGATCTTTGAGGAGTCAACACACTGTCTTCCATAATGGTTAAACTATTTTACATTCCTACTGACAGTGTAAAAGCATTCGTTTTTCTCTGCAACTTTGCCAGCATCTGTTATTTCTTGATTTTTTAATAGTCACCATTCTGACTGGCATGAGATGGTATCTCATTGTGGTTTTGATTTGCATTAAGATAAACATCCTTAATTTAAGAACACAGAGAAGTTAAAATAACCAAATGCAAAAAAAAAGTATCATAAAAATCCTAAACAAAATTAAGTAGGCCTAGCAATACTATCAGACAGTCTTTAAAAGCAAGAGTTGGGGCCGGGCGCGGTGGCTCACGCCTGTAATCCCAGCACTTTGGGAGGCCGAGGCGGGTGGATCATGAGGTCAGGAGATCGAGACCATCCTGGCTAACAAGGTGAAACCCCGTCTCTACTAAAAATACAAAAAATTAGCCGGGCGCGGTGGCGGGCGCCTGTAGTCCCAGCTACTCGGGAGGCTGAGGCGGGAGAATGGCGTGAACCCGGGAAGCGGAGCTTGCAGTGAGCCGAGATTGCGCCACTGCAGTCCGCAGTCCAGCCTGGGCGACAGAGCGAGACTCCGTCTCAAAAAAAAAAAAAAAAAAAAAAAAAAAAAGCAAGAGTTGGTAGAGCCGAGGAGAGATATTCATAACAATATAGGGGCTAATCCAACAAGAAAATATCACAGTCTTAAATCTGTACATTACCAAAAACATATTTTCAAAATTTACAAAACAAAAGTCGACAAAACTAAGAGGATAAATTAGCAAATCTACTATTATGTTGGGAGATGTTAACATACCTCTCTCAATGGCTAATAAGGCAAAAAATATTAAGCATATAGCATGCTGAGCAACACAATTAACAAATTTATCCTGATTGACAGACATATATAGAAAGCTGCAATGAATAATGACAGAATTCACATTTTTTTCAAACACACATGAAACATTTACCAAAATTGTCCATTTGCTGCCACAAACAAAACCTCAATGAATTTGAAAAGATTAAGATAACACAGATGATGTTATATGACCATGATCATATTACTAGAATAAATAACAAGAACACAACTAGAAAAACTCCCTGGAAATCATACAATATACTTGTAAATAATTCATGAGTCAAAGAGAACTTAAATTCAGAAATGTAAAGTATTTTGAACTGAATATGAATGATGACATAGCATCATAAAACTTATGAGATGTAGATAAAACAGAACTCAGAGGTAAATTGATAGCCTTACACCTAGGCAAGCAATAGCACTTCAAAGGTAAGGAAAGACCTAATAAACATAAGAGCAGAGGACAATAAAATATCTCATGCCCTTTCTGTTTCACTATCCACTACCTGCATCTGCCAAGAATCACTACTCTTCTAACATTATATGCTAGTTTTGTCTGTTTTTGAAATTTATAGCAAATGGGATACCATAAACTATGTGCTTATGACTTCTTTGCTCAATATTATGTTCATTAGATTCATCCATGCTTCTGTAATGCATCTGTAGCAGTATCAATATGATAAATTAAAATCATATTCTTTTCTAATGCTCATTCTTGAATTCCTAGGATGCTCTCAGTTCAGTTGTAATGTACTCTTTTGTACACTGAAAGAATCAGGTATTTTTTCAAATGTTATTTTAGTTTTGGGGGTACAGGTTGTCAAATTGCATGTCATTAGTGTAAATAACATGTCACTGGGGTCTGGTGATTTCATCACTCAGGTAGTGAGCATAGTACCCGATAGGTAGTTTTTTGACCCTCGCCTTCCTCCCATCCTCCATCCTCAAGTAGCCCCCATTGTTTATTTTTCCCTTCTTTGTCTCACATGTACTGAATGTTTAGCTACCACTTATAAGTGAGAACTTGAGGGATCTGGTTTCTGTTCTCACGTTAATTTGCTTAGGATGATGTCACCAGCTGCATCTATGTTGCTGCAAATGACACGATTTCATTTTTTGTGTGGCTGCATAGTATAGCATCTACATGACATGCAATTGACAACCTGTAACCCCAAAACTAAAATAACATTTGAAAAAATACCTAATTCTTTCAGTGTACAAAAGAGTACGTTACAAAAGAGTACATAGTATGGCATAGTGAATATGTACGATATTTTCTTTATGCAGTCCACCATTGATGGGCATCTTGGTTGAGTCTATATCTCTGCTATTGTGAATGTGCTGCAGTGAACATATGTGCGCATGTGTCTTTATGGTAGAACGACTTATATTCTTTTGGTATATACCCAGTAATGGGATTGCTGGTTGAATGGTACCTTTGTTCTAAGTTCTTTGAGAAATCTCCGTACTACTTTCTGTAGTGCCTGAACTAATTTACATTCCCACTAGCAGTGTATAAGTGTTTAAAGAATCAGTTTTCTAATATTAAGAATTTTTCTTCCATTTTAAGAAATCACACCTACTTCTCATTCTGCCCTTATGTAATTTTCACATTAATGTAAGGCCCATCGCATAAAATAAATTCTCTCTTGAGTCTCAGGGACAAATTTTTAAAGGAGGAGATTATTTGTTAATTTGTGGTTTTGGAGAACCTGTACAGGCACACCTCAGAGATACTGCAAGTTTGGTCAGACCACCACAGTAGACCAAATATCACAGTAAAGTGAGTTACAAGAGTTTTTTGGATTCCCAGTGCATATAAAAGTTATGATTACACTATACTATAGTCTAAGTGTGAAATAACATATCTGAAAAAACAATGCACATACGAAAAATTGCTAATAATCATCTGAGCCTTAGGCAAGTTGTAATCTTTTTGCTGGTGGAGGATCCTACGTCAGTGTTAATGGTTGCTGACAAATCAGGGTAGTGATTGCTGAAGGATGGAGTGGCTGTGGTCATTTCTTAAAATAACACAACAATGAATTTTGCCACGTAAATGGACTCTACCTTTTACAAAAGATTTCTCTGTAGCATGTGATGCTGTTTGAAAGCATTTTACTCACAGTAGAACTTTTTTCAAAACTGGAGTCAATCCTCTCAAACCCTGCTGGTGATTTACCAACTAAGTTTATGGAATACTCTAAATCCTTTCTTGTCATTTCAACAATGTTCACAGCATCTTCACCAAGAGTAGATTCCTTCTCAAGGAGCAACTTTCACTGCTCATCCAAAAGAAGCAACTCTTCATCCATTCATGTTTGACCATTAGATTGCAGCAATTCAGTCCCATCTTCAGGCTCCACTTGTAATTCAGTTCTCTTGCTATCTCCACCACATCTGCTGTTACTTCCTCCACTGAAGTCTTGAACCCCTCAGTCATCCGTGAGAATTGGAGACAAAATTATCACAACTGTGAGGCTGCTACAGGCATCTAGTGAATAGGGACCAGATACACTGCTCAATATCCCACAATGTATAGGGCAGCTTCTGAAAACAAACAATTATTAGTCCAAATCATCAATGGTAACAAAGTTGAGAAATACTGGTGTAGACCAATTCAATTTCTCTAATGGTTATAGGTCTTTTATGAAATATATTTGCAAGTTGTCCTCTTCTAGTAAGTCTTTTAATTAAAAGTTTATATTCATTGGCTAACTTTGTTATTAGTTTTTTCTTAGCATTTTAAATCTCTGCTATAATTGTATCACTGTTGCTATTTATTGTTAGTATTGTTCATTTTAGGTGTCTGCATTGGCTAATGCCATGTGCTAAAGGTATTGTAATCAAACTGGTGCTGTTTTAATATTAATTTTGTACTTTAAGCACCATAGAGTTTGATATTTTGATTTGAATTTCAAATCCATGTTAGGTTCACCACTATTTTGGATTCTCAGATCAGTTCTTTATTCACCTAAATTTCAGGGAAAAGCATAAGCTTACTTATAGTCCCTCTTTACCTACACGTGTCTACCCTTTTACTGAGGGCGAGTGTCTCAGCTTTGTGGGAGACTATCACTAATAATCCGTTCCTTTCTCAGACACAGAGTATTAGCTACATCTGGGCATTAAAATCCAAGATCAGTTGTTAAGGAGAGGAATTAACCGTAGCCCACTCCACCCCAGCAAAATTATCAGCTCATGTAGTTCTCCCCTGCTTTTCGTTCCTTTTCCAATTTTGGTTTCTGAGGATATCTCACAAGTGTAATTTAAATATTGGCTATGCAGTTAAAATATGCAATAAAATTTTATTCCACATTTGTAGCTGTTTGGTAGCAGCTGAGTTTTCAGATTATTTTGATCATCATATTGCTGGAATTATATCATCATTTAAAATAAATATTTGCATTTTCATGAGTTATTTAAAGTACATTTATAATAATTCTGACTCAATTTATATTTGGCATGTTACATGCCATTTCAAGAGGGTTCTTTGATTTTATAATGTATAGCTTCTGTAATAAAATAACACCTATGAAATGTTTGTTGGTGGAAATATTTTTATTAATGTTCTAAAACAAAAAGAGTCATCATCAGGCCCTATTCGTTTTCTTATGTCAAATTAAATATACATGTAAGTTACCTGATGTTGAAGCCTTTGTTTTTTTAACTTGTCTGGAGAAATTCCCATTGTAGTAGGCAACCCCCTTCTCGTTGTGAATTTTGGTCAGTCCTGAAAAATACAAATGATGTCGGCCGGGCGCGGTGGCTCACGCCTGTAATCCCGGCACTTTGGGAGGCAGAGGCGGGCTGATCACGAGGTCAGGAGATCGAGACCATCCTGGCTAACACGGTGAAACCCCGTCTCTATTAAAAATACAAAAAATTAGCCGGGCGTGGTGTCGGGCGCCTGTGGTCCCAGCTACTCGGGAGGCTGAGGCAGGAGAATGGCGTGAACCTGGGAGGCGGAGCTTGCAGTGAGCCGAGATTGTGCCACTGCACTCCAGCCTGGGCGACAGAGCGAGACTCCGTCTCAAAAACAACAACAACAAAAAAAAACAAATAATGATAAGATATTTTGCTATTCAATGAATTTATTTAGAGATTGAAAAATGAAGTCCTTATATCATTAAGGTTTTTGAGTTACCAGCAACAGAAAATTAGTCACTAACTTAAGAACAAATGAATGAATTTAACTAATGTGTGTTAGCTCAATAGAATAAAGAAAAATCTGAAGTCTTGGAAAATTCAAGATCCTTGGCTGTTTTAGGAATTTGGATTTTAAGAAGTATTGCATAATCTCTGCAGAATTTCCGGGATGAAACAGCTTCAACTGTTTTCTGTCTTTGTTACTCAGGTTGATTGAAATTCTTAGGAGAGAGAGTCAGACTGACCTAACTTTGGTCATATGCCCATCTCTTTTTAGTGGAAGAAGATAAACTTTACTGAAAGTCTCACTAGAATTCATAAGGGTACGAATTTGTGTCTGTTATCACTCAGATATGCTGCCAATGATATTGAATACTAGAACTACAAACTATTATCCTCATAGAACCATAAGCAATTATTGCTTGCTCATATTTCCGTGGGTTTGCTGGGGTTTGGCTGATCTTAGCTGAACTCACTCTGGCTTGGCTACAGGCGAGGTGTTGTTTTAGCTCATCTCCACATGTCTCTCATTATTCTAGGGCCTGTGTGCCACCAGGGGTATCTTCTGTTCATAGCAATGGCTAAAGAACCCTGGAAGCACGGGTTCAAGTACATGTGAAGCTTCCGTGTCATGTCTGCTCACACTCTCATTGATCAAAGCAAATAACACAGCCAATCAACGAGGTAGGGAAGTATAATCTGCTACTGTTGAAAGAACTGCAAAAGATTTAAATGTAGAGAGGGGGAAGATTGGGAGTAAAAACATAATGTAGTCCAGTTTCCTGAAGGGAAACCTGTGTGCTTTAACAAAAGATGGACAAAAAGGTATATTACTGGAAAATAAAAAACCTCATATGTACACTGCAGTGTCTAAGACATGTCTTAATAAGTACATTTGGTTACAAAGTGAGTATGGACAAAATTGGGAAAATCAATTTTTATTAACTATATTTTAGAAAAGGAAAACATTTTATTTCTTTTTAGTCACACATAATTTAATTGTATAACACATACAGGTTCCAGTTAAGCCTCTTTGAGTAGGAGAATCTGGTAATAGAATTATCAAAGAACAACTTGGCACAGATAGAGCTGAACCTAGAAGGCATCAGAATACTTTCGCCTTTGTTTTATCCACGTGACTTCCTTTATTTTGAAAACATTTATACTGAAAAAATCAGATTACAATGTGTATGATTTCAGTCATAATGGGGAAAAGGGATGTTATTTATTTTAGGAATCTCTGATATACAATCTTGAAGTTTCTTCACTCACTAACTTTATCAACCAATTCTCCATTCTGCTTTAGTTTTCTAATTCATAATAACATACAGAAAAATCATGGGGCCATTCTAAAGAAACTGCTTGTGAAAAATGGCAGGTTACATTTAAGATAATACGTAGATACTTTTCCCTTAAGGGAAGTATTTCAATTAAGTAAGGCGAAGGGAAATAATCTAAGAGTTTAGGTGGGGAGGGATGAACAAGTCAGAAATGTGAAGACTAGCACTAAAGAGTATACCTCTTTAACGAGAAAGCAAAAATCTTACATTCTTACAAATGTATATTCATCTAAATTCACTTACATGCTTATAAATTAAACCCGTGTTAGTTCACTAAACGGTGCTTTAATTGCCTAACTTCTGTATACTTGAGGTGTGTTACCCTTGTTAGAATTGTTCCCTATTGGACTTCTTGTTCACTCACCATTTCCAAAGTGATGGGTTCTTCCTAAAACAATTTCTTAGGGGTCTTCTCCTCTTAGTCCACCAATATCTGGAATCTAGACCTAATGTCTAGGAAAGTGCCTAGCACAATTAAATGTGCTCTTTAAATTTTAGACAAAGAAGCAAAGCAGAAAGGAAAGTATCCGTTTACAGTGTACTGTGAAGGGAAAACATATGCCACAAGTGCCCATCTGTGGAGAGTCTGAGTTTCCCCAGGAGTTCACAACACTGTGCACTGCTAGCTGAGAGGACTTGGCAGTCGATTCTCATTTCAGAGATCCAGAGTTCTTGTTTGTTGTGACTATCTCCTCTTGGGCTTGTCTGCCTTTTCCTTCTCCTAAGCATGACAGTGATATCAGCTGAATTTCATTCCAGCTCTTCTGAAATTGGACAGCTTTGTATTTCCCCCTTGGTTCCAAGGATCAAATTTAAATGCTATTTTAGCCTCTTGCTGCATAGGGAGCCTACAGGATATATTCTGCCTTTGCCATAGAGAACAGGCCTTTCAAACATGTGGTAGAAAACCTAAGGGGGTTGGTTGTACACTGGAATTGGCCAGCGTACCCAGCAGCTTGCCTAGCCCTTGTAGCAAACATGTTAATTCAAGCTTAGTTATGCTAAACCTCAAGGCTTGTTCTTTGAAAATTAAATTGGTACTTCCACACAATTATTGGCTGAATATAATTTACACTGAGGTCCTAACTAAAGCTTCGCCATAGCTGTGAGAATAGTTAAGCACAGACCAGCTATTTTAGTCTGAAAAACTGCCCCTGGCATGGGAGAAGTAGAACTTTTGTTCACATGTGTTTTGCTTTGCCATATGTGAAACTGCTGTTAACGGCAAAAGACTGTTTCCTGAGTAATATTTCAGAGCTCTGGACTACTGTCTTTTGGGAATGTTCTACCTGCAAACTGGCTTATCAACTTTGGTCAGAGAAATTGTGTGGGTCAAAACTTGTATTTTACATGATCCAGAGTTGTTGCTATGTTTGAATTCTCATTATTTTGGTCTCCTCCTATGTTTGGATTGATGTTAACAACCTAATATGTTAGGTTGAACCACACTAAATTGTCATTATTCAACCGGTTTTGATAGACAAAGATGACATTTTCACATGGCTCAACCTAATAGCTTTGATTTCTAAAGCCATTTAAGTCCTATTTTATTCTAGCAATCTAGATATCATAATCACTAAATTATCAATCAGCTGGTGAATATGAGTGAGAAATATAGTGAGAAAACTGGCTCATCTTGAATTTTCCCTTGTTGAAGTCCTAGAGCTTTAGGCCACATTTTTGTTTTGACTGCTGGAGTCCTTCAGAGAGAAAGGGGGTTTTCATGCTCCTTTTTCTTTTTTCTTTTTTTCTTTCTTTCTTTATATTTACCAGGGCGGGCATCCTGAGAATTAAAGACTCCTTTCCCTTCCCTTTCTCTGGCTTCTCTCTTTCAAAGTCCTCCTTCTGTTCTGTCTTTTTAATTGATAGTTTTGAAATGGATTTAAAAAATGATTTTTCAAGACAGAGTTCTGAAGAAGAACCTCGGTTTCTCTTTTTGTAAGTCCCAGAAACCAGAATAAGCCCAAGCAGATGGCTCTTGCTCAAGAGCCAGTCTACTTCAGTACACAGTTCAGCGAAGGCTGCCACTGAGTCACACAGAGCCCTCTTTTTACTAACGGTGTAATCTTGAAATGTTGCCTAACCTTTCTGAGTGTCAGTTTCATCATTGGTAAGATGGGATAACTACCACCTACCTCACAGGACTAGTGCAAAGATTAAATATATAATATATAAGCCATGAAGTGTGTTTTGTTTGTAATGTACACTCAGTAAATGTCATCTCCTTTTCATTCCCCTAGGTTCTTTAGCCTCAAGACAAATCTCAAGGGGAAGGCTATGTAATTCCAGAGTTTGTCTTCTTTTCTGTTACTAGTGGGGACATTACAGGAAATCTTATCTTCTGCACTTTTTTTTTGTTTGTTTGTTTGTTTGTTTTTTTGAGACGGAGTCTCACACTTTCACCAGGCTAGAGTGCTGTGGTGTGATCTCAGCTCACTGCAACCTCCACTTTCCGGGTTCAAGCAATTCTCCTGCCTCAGCCTCCCAAGTAGCTGGGATTACAAGCACGTGCAACCACGCCCGGCTAATGTTTGTATTTTTAGTAGAGACGGGGTTTTACCATGCTGGCCAGGATGGTCTCGATCTCCTGATCTCATGAATCGCCTGCCTCGGCCTCCCAAAGTGCTGGGATTCTGCACTCTTTTGATGAAAAAGTTCATTGCCCTAGTGGGGGGATTGTGTTCTAAGATGGTTATATTTTATGCCCTTGTTGTTTTCTAGGGACTTCCCTGAAAAATTTGAAGTAGATTGTGGGAGTGTGAAGGAAAGGGGACTCCTGATACTACTTTCAAAAATCAGGTCCAAAATTCAAGAAAGAGTATTTATGAATATGCACGCTCCCTTATTTTAAAACACTTTGCAATATAATACTTTATACTATTAAATTGAAACAGGTAGTTGTAAATATTAACATTTTCCAAATGCCCGGGGTTGCACACAAATGCTGATTTGCATGTAGATGGGTGTGGGTATGTCTAGTTTCTAAATTTGAATGTCTTCTTGCAGATTGTTAAGGACAAAGGGAGATGAAAAACTCCTAATTCAGTGATTCTGATTATAGAATGTATGAGATATGGAATTTTTAAAAATTAATTAAATATTTTTTGAATATCTGTTAAGAGCCCAGTGCTATGCTAAGAGCGCTTTTTCTCTTTTGCTGTTCCTTTTTCTGGTCTGCAATTGCCTGTGCTTCCTTACCCAGTCTCTTTTGGAAAAGCCCTGAGAGACCTCCTCTGTTGGCTATCTGGAAAGTCTCTGCTAAGAAACAAAGAACTCCCTGTGTTGTACCTCTAGGGAACAGAAATGTGACGGATGATGGCTAAACTGGGTGCAAACACAGCTATAGAGCTGAGTGAACTGTCAACTGGAAATAGCTCCTTCCTAATTCTAATGAACTTTATTTGTGGAATATTGCCTCAACTACCAGTATTGCTTTGGGAAAATTCTATTCTCTTTGGCAACACAAAGGAAGCTCAGAGTATAAAATGTAGGGATGGAAAGTCCAAAAATCTATTATGTTTATTGTTCATGTCATACTTTTTTTTCCTGCAGACTTTTATTTTCTCAGCCCACAAGAAGAGCTGAAGAGAAGCAAATTTTTCAATTTAAGGCTTGAGAATACAATTTACACATGTTATATATAACATTGCCAGAGGCAGGATTTAAACACTCTTGGATTTCTGTAACTAGTGTCATGGTAACATAGTGGAGGGCTTCTGTGTAGTTTCAGGTATTTTACTTGTATTTGCTTTTATTTTTATTTTTCTCACAATGGTAGATTCTTGTGAAAAGTCCCCTTGTTAAATGAACTTTGGTATAATATGAAATTTACTACCCAGTTCTTCCCGTAGAAAATACAGCAATTTTGTCACTATGTGAGTATTATTGCCAGAATATACCTGCTAATTTGCTGATGGCTCATTTTTAAAAGATTCTATAATATACCTTCGATTATTGCTATTGAATATAATACTGTGTCTCTTACATTTTACATAAATGACTCGAGAACATCCACTTTTGTGCAATTATTTTACTAACACAATTAACTACAATATATGACATAGAAATAATTTTTTACATAAAATCAAGGATATATTTTCAATCAAAATCCTTTCTACATTTAGAGAAGTGTATTCTAACCAAAAGATAATGGAACCAATTGTGCTCTTACCTAATTTGCCAAAATATATTCTTTAGATTGATCATTTTATGTTTAAAAAGTGAAAATATTCCTCTGTAGACATTTTCATTAGTTGTTGTTTTATAGAAACTCTTGGTACTATTGTTGATCTCGTTTTGTTACTAGTGCATTAAATATATATGGAGATTTGCATGTTAGTTAAATGTTGCTTCGTGGATTTGTGAGGGTCAGGTACTAGAATATACACACATATTCTTCATAGGAAAACATTAATTTATTCTACTTCATTCTTTTCAGATTATTTATAGTTATTGTCTGTTGAACAAAATAAAAATAATTGACCGTTATAAATGATTTTGGTAAAATTGCATTCCTATAACTTCAGTGTCTCTGTAGCTTTTGGTGTGTAACAATGGTAATCTCAGGAATGGGAATATGAAGGTCAATATGATCAGAAAGAAAAAAAGTCAAAATGATTTGTGGAATGGTTTTGTTGTGGGAGAAGAGATAACAAGGAGGCTATTTTACTGACAGAGTTATAGGATGGATGCAAATGAGAACAAATTTTGTATTTGCTATGGACAGATATTTGAGAATGATGAATCATAGAACATTAATTAAGTAAAGCAATGGGACTCAAAAGAAATGGGAATTTCAGAGAGAAATGAACAGATATGTGTGGTTCCCTGGGCTCTTCTGCTTTGTTATGGTGGCTTACAATGATTCCATTAAATCCCACTGAGAAACGAAGATAGAAAAAAAAATTAGGTCATTTTGTAATCTAATAATACTCATTTTATTTTAGTATCTAGTATTCTAGATCTAGGTCTTGGACTAATTCCCAGTGGGCATTCTACATACTTTTGTAAACTCTACATCATTCAGCAAGAATAGCCTTTGTGCAGCTAAGGCCGAGGACATAGTCACAAAGGTATATGACAAAAATGTATGTTGGGTTGGTGAGGCAGAACCTCTAGCCATTACTAATTTCGCTTAGAATAGGAATTCCTCCAAAGAACTCAGTCTCAGTAGTTAGGAAGCAGAATCAAATTTAAACCATAAATACTTGAAAAAGTTCTATTAAACATGATATTTATAAATAAAACAAAAAATTGGGTGGATATAGCTGAGCACATTATATGAAATAGTCTACATGTTGATGCTAATGTTGATTACTAGGCTTTCATTACAAGAATATTGCTGAAGTCCCTGTCCAAGTGTAGCTGAGACATTAGTATATGGGAACCTGGTTCCATATTTGGTTAGCCTCTGATAAAAATTGTCTCTTAGCATCCCATACTATTTTAAGCTTGTTTTTGTCACTCCTCAATATGATGCCAAATTATCTATCAGAGAGAGCCTAACACCTTTAAGTGTCATCTGTATAGGCATTTACTTATCAACAGAGGTTTCATAAATTCTATTAATATAGTTTAATGTTTACCAATGCCGTTTGCTATTTCATAAATTCATACAGTGCAAGAAATGCTGGAAGTATGGAGGACTGTCTCTCCTTACCAGAAAATAGGCTAATGCTTACTGTAAAACATTCTTCTAAAAATATTCAGTGCTTGTGGTTGTAGTCTGAAGTAGGAGTTTTAAGAGACTTTCCTGATTTTTTTTTAAAAAACACAGTGGAAGTTTATTTCTCGTTCACATGAAATCCCCCTCGTGTTTCCTAAGAAGCTTCCCAGATGAGTTTTGCAGACACAACGGACCTTTCTTTAGTGTCTCTACCTGAATTTTCATGGCAGAAAATAGCCTCTAGTTGTTGTATAGCTCTAAAGGTTCTCATTTATTCAGATATACATTATATTGTATATCCATGATTCCTTGCCTTCTAGTTTAAGCTATCATTTAAACAATAAGGGCTAGGGTTAAAAATGCTCTTTTTACAGCCCAGTGGTGTCTTATTTGGCTTTTATTACAGAACTATTTTATTTAAGCTTAATTATAAATATTTACTAATGACTTACCTATGTGCCATTTGATGCCAAAAGTATATTAAGGAGTATTAATATGAATTGTATAATATAACAACTGGAGTTACTAAATGAAGCATGATAATGAGACATATCAAAAAGAGTATAGCAGAAACAGACTGGAATTTGTTGGTAGTCTCAGTAGGGAAGCATGTGTTTGTATCTTGTAAGATTTCTGTACTCAGTGTGGAGTGTCACAGATGAAGTGATACCAGGCTCTTGTAAAGCACAAGAGAAAAACCATTAAGATGATAAACTTAAAATATAACACATGAGTTAAATGAATATATAACTAGAGTCAGGATATCTGGCTTTATATTATTTTATTAGGCAATAATTTAGTTAGTCAATAATACAAGAGGCTGAGTAGCTGTATCTTGACAGGGACATGTATGTTTCTATAGTAGAACTCTCTAAGATTCTCATAATACTGGGAAAAAATGTGGTTTTTTTTTTCTAAGTTTGAAGGATGGGCAAATCAGTAAGCTCGAACAAATAAAATTGTTGTTGGAATCCTAATATTTGCAATTGTTATAAATGAAGCGGAAAGAGAGGCCAAAAGACTCATATCTTGTTTCCTCTTCCCCATGGTCCACCTCCTTGTTCCCACTCACCTGAGAAAATACAGTTGATCATATCTGTATCAAGGAGAGCACTGCCAATATTTTGTTCACAATGGTTTCTTAGTAAAAAGTTGCTGATGATAAAAATGAGATCTGTTAATGCAATGCAAATTGCATGGAAGGCCTGTGTTCTTGGTGGCATTTATTTATTTTGGCAATGATTGTTCAAGCATTGCTGTTATAATTAATTAAATCTCCATTCAGAAATATTTATTACAAGTTTTGCTGCCAACAACTTTTTATTATGATTATTTCAGCTAAATAAAGAGGGCTTATGATCTAAGATCACATGTTTTGAAATCACTTATATAAATTAATTTTATAAATACATACTGACTGCATGTTCTAATTTGTAAATAGGTCAAATGATTCTTATCTCCTGAAAGCTCAGATTTACTATTCTAGATTGTAAGTTTTCATTATTTTGTGTTTGATAGCAGCTATCAGGTGAACTCAATTGTTTTCTTTTACTGGATATTTGAAAAGAAAATTGTTGGTTTTCCCTTCAAGTAAAGTAAGCAAGCTAAGTATCATTTAGTATTCTTAAGCTTCTATGTGAGGTTGAGAGTTGTACAATAGTGTTCTGAAATCATGATTTCTGCAGCACGTCATCATCATAATCATTCATATTTATTAAGTGCTTCTAATGTAACAAGCTGTCAATCTATCTTCACGGCTATATCTATGTATGTGAAACCAGAGTTTATATAATCACAAATTAGGTAGATAAGTGATAGAAAAAAATCATCCCAGGAAGAGATGAGTAATAGCACAGTGGTTGATACTGTGGTCAGTCTTAATGATTCACTTTCCTCTTTGGGGCCTTTGAGGTCTGTGGGCACGTGAACACGCATTTTTACTTTCTGCTTTCTCAGTTTATCACTATAATGGGAACAACTCTTTATTTTATTTTATTTATTTATTATTATACTTTAAGTTCTAGGGTACATGTGCACAACGTGCAGGTTTGTTACATATGTATACATGTGCCATGTTGGTGTGCTGCACCCATTAACTCGTCATTTACATTAGGTATATCTCCTAATGCTTTCCCTCCCCCCTCTCCCCACCCCACGACAGGCGCCGGTGTGTGATGTTCCCCTTCCTCTGTCCAGGTGTTCTCATTGTTCCATTCCCACCTATGAGTGAGAACATGCGGTGTTTGGTTTTTTGCCCTTGCGATAGCTTGCTGACGATAGTTTGCTGAGAATGATGGTTTCCAGCTTCATCCATGTCCCTACAAAGGACATGAACTCATCCTTTTTTATGGCTGCATAGTATTCCATGGTGTATATGTGCCACATTTTCTTAATCCAGTCTATCATTGTTTGACATTTGGGTTGGTTCCAAGTCTTTGCTATTGTGAGTAGTGCCACAATAAACATACGTGTGCATACTCTGGGAACAACTCTTAAAAATCATGGCAATCACCCGGAGCAGTGGCTCATGCCTGTAATCCCAGCAGTTTGGCGGGCCGAGGTGAGTCACTTAAGGTCAGGAGTTCGAGACCAGCCTGGGCACCATGGCGAAACCCTGTCTCTACTAAAAATACAAAAATTAACCAGGCGTGGTGGCGCACTCCTGTAGTCCCAGCTACTCCAGAATCTGAGGTGGGAGAATTGCTTGAGCCTGGAAGGCAGAGGCTGCAGTGTGCGGGGATTGGGCCACTGAACTCCATCCAGCCTGGGCGGCAAAGGGACTCCTTTCCAAACAAACAAACCAACAAATAAAAAATCATGGCAATTTTTTTTTCTACAAAATAAACTTACTCAAGAAACAGAATAAACATTTACAATTTTTTTAAAAAAATTTTGTAAGGAGTTAAAAAAGAAGGAAACAACATGAGATAAGAGTGCACAATGCATAAAACGGAATCAAAGTTATTACATTAAAACAATGGAGCAATGAGGCCGGGCACAGTGGCTCACACCTGTAATCCTAGCACTTTGGGAGGCCGAGGTGGGTGGATCACGAGGTCAGGAGATCGAGACCATCCTGGCTAACACGGTGAAACCCTGTCTCTACTAAAATTAAAAAAAAAAAATACAAAAAATTAGCTGGGCGTAGTGGTGGGCGCCTGTAGTCCCAGCTACTCAGGAAGCTGAGGCAGGAGAATGGCGTGAACCCGGGAGGCAGAGCTTGCAGTGAGCTGAGATTGCACCACTGCACTCCAGCCTGGGCGACAGAGCGAGACTCCGCCTCACAAAAAAGTAAAATAAAATAAAAATAAAAAATGGAACAATGAGTAACAACCATGACAATGCTGAAAAATTAAATCCGTGAAGAAGATGAAAAACTGGAGAAACTTTCTTCTAACTGAAAGGGAAAATATGTGATGTGGAGGACAGACACAACATATATGATTTAAATATATGTTTAAAAAAGTTTTGAGTGAAAACACAGAACTGATGGAGTAGTGATCAATGCTAAACTTCAGAAGACTTAAAACTTTAGATTGAGAAAGTTTACTGAACATAAATGAAAATCTACCTGAGGAAACATATTTATACCTGTGCTAGATTTTTATTTTACATTTAAAAATAGGTTTAAAATGTTTTTCAACCGTCTAGATCAGATTAAAAAATAGGTTAACATAAAAAGTAAAAGATAATCATGCTGATTTCAGATTTCTCATATCAGAGATATTGGATTAACATCCAAAGAGTTTCCTCAGATCTCAGAACTCTATATCTGTGTTTGAGGACCAAAGAAGCACATTCCGTGATTACTCACATCTTCTGTAAATAAAGGTATAAAAATCACAACTCGATGAGAAATAAGTTGTGCAGGTGAAGCACATTAATCCAATTAAATGGAGAACTGCCTTTGAATTAATGCAATTTTCAAAGAAATCCCTGAACTTGAAAACAGATCATTCTATAAAATAAATTATAAGATGCTAATATTTCACGTTTAAAAAAAAGGGAGTGAGAGGCGTCTATAAGGATGAGTATCCTAAATATTAGGTGCTCTACTTGGAGATTTAACAGATTATTACTAGGGAAATAAAAGAAAACACAATTGGAAAAAGTTATAAAATGATATAAGGAGTCACCTCAATTTTACAGAAACATTTTATGCAAATATAAATATAAATTATATTGTATATATTTTCAATATATTCCAGTGAAAGAGATATTTAGATGTTGAATGAAAGATTATTAAATTCCCTCATGTGTTTTTATTTTACATGTTTTCAACAATGACTATCAACTACATAACAAATAATAAAATAATGATTTTGTATTAACATAAAATTTAAAATATTTTCATATACATACAATGACATTATCTAGAGATTTTTAGCTAATAGAGTATTTTCAGTGACAAACTTGAAGAGATAAATTAAACCTGATTATATTTGAATGACTTAAGTCAATTATTTTATATATATGTATAATAAAAGTGGCATTTATTAAGGGGAGATTTAGTTGTATATTTATTATACATTTAAATTAACAAAAAAGTGGAAATTGAGAGTGGTTAACCTGGCAAGTGAGAGAAATAATAGCCAAGGTGAGCCTTAAAATAAGTGCCATGATAGAAATGCATGTGTTCAACTTTATCTTAAACAAAAACCTCAAGGAATGAAACTTTTGGGAATAAGCATATCTGGTTTTTTTAAATTTTAATAATTTTCATCCATAGATCAATGATTGAGTGAGATATGATGCTAAAAATTTGCTCTGCTGTTGCAATTTTAATGTGAAGAATTAGAGAAGAGATAACAGATGTCTTTGCACTTTTGGCAGGAAAGAGCTTATTTCAAATTCTGGGCTGATTTAAGGCCTGTTTAAAGCTGATTTGTCACCTGGATGATGATTTTTTACTAAAAAGTAGAAAGCTCATCTTGGGGGAAAAGTTAATCTGATGTACTGGCTTAACTGAAAATCAGAATACGTTTGTATTTTCAAGTTATGTTGCAATAGAAACTAGGATTATATCTCAATCTTTGTAAAAGTTATTTCTTATTGAAAGAAAACTTTGTATGGTAAACATTTTTTCTTCCAAAATTTCCTCAGAAAGTTAAATAGAAAAAATCTTAGGAGCTAAATGTGCCAGAACCTATTTTGGTCCATGGAAATTGCATTTGTCACCCACTTTTCCCTTTCCAGCACCCACCCACCACAAGGCTGACTCAATAGGTGGAGCAGGTGTCACGAATTCCAGTGAGCTCATGAAGTGTTGAATGTGTTCCCGTTGCAAGTCACTTACTATGCTATTATTCCTCAATCCCTGTGGGAGCTCGTTCCTCTGTGTTTACTTACTTTAATGTATTTGACTTACAGAAGAATTAAAACAAAACTCGTCTTTACTTGGTTTATTTTGACTTTTTCTGATTACTAAGGTAAATACGTGGGAGGTTAAGAGAGATGTTGGCTCTTTCTGACCAAACTTCAGATACAGAAGGTCTCTTGCAATTTATGCTGTGTTACATTGGCTAGATAGGTACTTTGCACTTACTAAACTTAATAGTTTCTAAAATTGGAAACTGTTTTCTTCAAAATTGTATCGTATATGTTTCTCTTTTGTCCCAAATGTTTTAGAAAAAGATGAGGGGATTTTTTAAAATATATTTTCTTATATTTGTTTATAACAAGTTGTAGTGAATTCAGGGCTTGAAATCAGTTGATTTTTGTTCTACAAATGAATCTCTTCCTTCTTCTGTTAAACTACATTTATTAATTATTTTATCTTAGGTAGGCTAAACATTACTGTTAAATTTTATTGCAAGATCTAGAAAATGAAGCCAAATTACAAATGTCTGTATTGTCGGTAATGTATTTTTCTTAACCATTCCTAAACTTACTTTTAGCCTCTGTTTTATTAACCAAATTTTCTGCATTTATATTAATTGTGGAGACAGGCTGGTGTAGTGGATGAAATGTGAACTTTAGAGAAAGATTCCTTCAGTTTTAAGCTGAGCCCTTCAACTTTATAACACATTAGCAGAATATAACATTAAAAATTTAGGAAAAATTAAAAGGATCAGATTCTTCATCTGTAAATGGGGACAAGTATAAATAATGAATGGAAATATTTTCAGGGTTTTATGGGGCAGTATAATTTAAATGCCTAATATTATTTAGTTCATGATTGGTGTGAGAAACATCTCTGCTTCTGATCATCCTTTGTTAAAATTTCAAACCAGCTGTGAAATAAATGTTGTAATGCAGGCATCAAGGGAAGAAATCTAAATAATTTATAGACACAAAGAAATGAGTCTTTGGGTGATCATCTACAGTTGTAGTAGTTGAATAGATGCTGTGTTTCTCAGTCTTTTGCAAATGACTTTTGGAGAATTGTTAACCTCTCAAAAATATATTCAGTTTTAAAATGAGCACTTTATGGCATTTAAGAACATTAAATAATTATTTAAGAGAATACTTGAAAAATGTGGTAAAACAACAACATGTTATCCAGGTTACAGTTCATGGTGTTAACTCATATTGTTATACCTGATTTTAAGAGATTTCACAATTTTCTCAATATTTATCCAAAAGTATTCCTATGCGGGTAAAATGTTCTTTTAAAAACGATATACAGTGAGGTCCTTTAAAATTATAATTGCTCACAGACACCAGCTGAAGCAGAGACTGATATGTGTCTGAATTAGTTAGCTACTACTACAGTAATGATATTTAACGAACTGTGTCTCTCTCCCTCTATTCTGCATCTTACAGCAGCAAACTGATTCTCACCTACCAGGCCAGCAAGCCACTTGTAGTTTAGCTGATCTAGGATGGTCTACACTGAGTGGCTCTGTCTCAGAATGTGGGTTCACTGGATGTGGCTTCAAACTCATATCTGCACAAGTTTTGGTCTACTTCACACCTTTCATCCTTCCTGAGGCTTGTTGTTTTCAAGATTAAGGGAACAAATTGCAAGGGAAGGTGAAACTTGCTCAGGACATTTAAAACATTTGCTATTGTCAATTCTGCTAATTTTCCACTGACAAAGCAAATTTTATGGCCAAAGCCAATATCAATGAGATGGGGAAATAGATATTGCTCACTCTCCTGAGAAGTACTGCAAAGTCACATGGCAAAGGTATGGGTGCATGGAGAGAATGAAGAAATTAGAAGGATTTGATCTACTATGGTGTTCACCAAACTTTCCTTCCTGAGAAAATACTTAAATTATGTTTCTCTTGCCGATAGGGTGTCACATGGGAAGGGGTGATGCCAATGAAAGGTAGTTAGAAGTGACAAATGCCAATTCCATGCTTGGTTCGTAAAACCTCTCACACTATGCTTCTTGCTCTCTCCTTATTAATTTGCTGGCTGAGTGTGGAGGACTCTTGGACCTGGAATAATATGTCCAAGCTACACAGTCACAATGGAAGGAAACTGGACTCTAATTTTATACAGGAGAGCCTCTAAGTAGTCTCACATTGATGTGTGACATTAGAGCTAAATAAACTTTTGTTGCGTATTAATCTTCTCAGATCTTTGGCATTATTTGTTATAGTAGCTAGCCTGTGATACTAGACTCTTCAACTTCTTAACATCTATCCTAAATATTCAAGTGTCTAAAATAATTCCACCAAAGAATCAAATACGTGTTCTGGAGAAGAGATCATCCTCAACACTTCCATCAGGACTCAGATGAATGTAAGTAGGGCATACCTATCAAGGCACTTCATTTGGAATACTGAGGGGGAGATTGCACTTCTGAACTGAGAAGGCTGTTATTTAAAATGGTAGGATGGATTTCAGTGGATGTGTTTGAATAGTGAAATTTACTTTCAGATTGAGGTATTTGAGAGAAATTATTGGGGAAAAATTGAAAAGCTGTGGGCAAACTTAATTTTTATTGTTTAATTACTACTTCTAACAAAGCTAATAAATGCATATGGCAATAAATTCAAATTGTATAAAAGGATATATAATTAAAAACTAAATCTCCCTGTCTTCTCTCCAGCTATAACTAAGGTAATGGTTCCCTATGTAAATCCTCAAGCATTTTTTTCTGCATATATACTCTACATAGGAGCTGTTTTGTGCTGGTTCTTGATGCTGGTATGAGTACTGACTCCCACCCGTTTAAGAACTGGGTGCTAGGCCTACACCTTTTCTATCCACTGCTGTATAACTAATGCCAGATGGTACCTTGACAATATCTGAGGTGATGCTGTGTGACAGTACCTATTGTGATGATCAGAATTTATGCTTCAAAGATTTTATGACTTGCAGAAGATGCCAAATTTCTATCTAACCAAAAATATTATGTTCAGTCTAAATGCAGTGTTAAAATATTAGAGTTAAATTTATTTCAACTTGGGATTGCAATCTGGAATTAGGAGTTAATTTTTTTCGGTAGCAAAATGGTGCATGGTGTCAGGTGAAATTATGTAATTTCTTTCAGTAAAGGAACAAAGGTGTACAATCTGCATCTAAGCTATTCTGCTCACTTTTCTGTATACCTTGGATTAGAGCATGCTTTTTTCTTGAAGTGATGGGGTCTTTTGTGTACCTTTACCTCGGCCCTCAGTAATTGTAATTGTGTGGGGCCCTGAGAGTCCAGTTTCCTGAAGCTGAAAAAAAACACACTTTGTATGAGGAGGGATATTGAGAGGTCATTTGTACCAACGGTGACCAGATGGCTTTGAAATTTTGAAGAAGCTCGGTGTGGGGGCTGTTTGGAATCAAGGGCAGATTTGAAACCATATGGGATTGTTTTAGTCCAGAAAAGTTAAAATTTATAAAGAAGAATGGCTAAAAATAAATCCAGTCTTGGGCAATGGCTAGAGGACGAGCAATTCCTCGGAGTTGGGAATACTGGGTTCTTGGCTTCTTGCTATAAATATGTGAATCCCTCCTCTCTCCTCCCCATTCTTTGTCTCCTGTGACCCTCCATCACTTTGTTTCCTGTTTGCTTTTTTTCTCAATGGGGACTTTATAATTTTGTTGTTTACTGTCTGTGGTGCAGGGAATGTTACTGTCAGGTCTGTTGAAAGGCTGCCATGGAAAGGGTCAGCCTCGTCATTTGTTTTTTTATGGAACCTCCTGCTCTAAGCTAGCAAAGCCCTAAATCATACCCTTGTTCTGGGAGACAAAGTAATAGACGAAATGGTTATTTAAAACAGGGGAAATAAAACGTCACTCAAATATCCCTAACAGAATTGTTTATTTTACTCTCACCTTTAATCACAAGTAGAATTATTCTTTATTCACAAATACAGTGAATCTAAGCTTTCAGCTGAGCATTTAGTGGAACATCTACCCAGTAAGCCTTGCTTATGTTGCAGACAGCTACCCTGAGGAGTGATTTGAATTTAAATGTGATTCCCTTATTAGTTTCTGCTAACTGCAAATATCCCAGGCACTTAATTAAGTGGCTGAGTAATGTATGAATGCTCACTTCTGCTTGTCATGCAGAACAAAGTGATGTATTTATATTCCATGCACAATATGAAATTTAATGACACGGGCAACAGTAATTTAGAAAACCTTTGTTTTATTGTCCTTGTTTTTGCTTAAGCAATTTCTTCGCTTTGTTATAGTTTGGCCAGGACAGTGATATAAGACTTGGTCTAAATGTTAGCTTCTGGCAGGTGACATTTCCTAATAAACCATAGGTTCTTCTGTGCCATGTAATGACTGTAAACGTCGGTGGGTTTTTGTTAACTATGCTACTTTGGCTTTTATTCCTAACTCTAATTTTGATTTAATAGCAGAGAACAATTAGTTTACCTGGCTGGTTAGCCACTGAAACAAAAGAGAAAATGTAGATTCTGCTTGGATTTGAACAAATGCATTGCGTTGCAAAGTAAACAAATATAAAAACAACCAGTACTTCTTTTTTGAACACTAGATCATGGAGAGGAATAATATTGAGGCAAACTCTCCTGATAAGTATCAGGGGACGAGTTTCATGTTTGTTGTTTTTCTAATATTGATATTTATTTTTTTACTTCAGGAATGCAAAAATCCAAGATATTTTTGTTTGTTATTTAAGGTGAATGCCAAAGCTTTGGCACTAGTTTCCCTCTATCCCAGTCTCTCTGGATTTCCCTTAGGCTCACATAATACTTCAGATACCTCTAAATTAAGTGTGCATGTCTTGTCATTTTAAACTGGGATGTGCATATGTTTGGTCATTTGGACAGATGTTTGACTTGTCAGATGGTGCTATTGTCGTGCACAACAGAAGGAATTCATGTCCTTTCTGTTTCAGCTCCTTTGCTCCACGTGTGGGGTTAGGAAGCTTCTTTAATTAGAGTCTCAACTCTTTCTGTTCTGGAAATCCTAACCTCAATTAGTCTAGTCTCTTTATTTAGACTGTTTCATTTGTTTCCTAATGGATTTAGGTGGGTGATGAATTGGATCAAAGTTGCAACATATTACTTCCTGGTATAAAATGTATTTTATATGCTGAATTCTGTGCCACAAGAAAGCTGCAACTTTGATCTGAACCATAATTCCTGACTTCATGAGGAACTGTGTGCAAATTATGTACCCTTACTTTCACATACCTGCATAATCTCTTTCCTGTCAGCTTCAGCCACGCTCTGTCCAATCTCACTCCAACCAATGCAGAATGACGTCAAGCTGCTGGGAGAACATTGCTGCGCAGTTCCTGTCAGAGAAGCCCTACTGCTCAGTAAATTCTTGGCAGTGCTATTCCTTGGTGCCTTGATAACCATAAACTGCTGTTGTGTTTAAAACAATTATTGCATTCTGCAAAATTCTTAGTCGTATTGGACAATATTTCAGTCTTACTTTTCTGCTCCTCTCTTATCACACCCTCAATTCTAGGTGTGCTGACAAGGCACTGAGCAAGGGAATGGGAAAATACTGGAAATGTAGCAAGAAATGCAAGGAGCTGTTCTGATCTCCTAATTTCTGTGCACCTGCATTTGATAGGATTACTCTCTCTGGCTCTGAAATCAATCGTCTTCTGTCTCATCCCCTTCAGCCATTGTGACCTCACCATATGCCCCTGACTGGAGAGAAGCCCAGGTTGGCTGCCTACAATCAGAGTCCACATATGTTCGGGGGAGGGACCCCAGAAGGCGGCTGACAGTATTCCTTTAGCCAGAAATCCCTTCAGGGAAGAGAAAGGTGCTCCCCTTTGCCTGCTTTTATACTACAGACTGTTTCCAACTCCAGCTAGAAGTGACTATTGCCGATTATGGTAACTTACCTTTACCCTCCAGCTGTAGAGCTCAGCCAATGGATCTTATCTATCTTGGCAAAAAAAATCTTCCTTTATTTATCTTTTTTTCTTTGTTTTCAGCTAATCAGTGGCGACAAGCTCCCTTTGACTGCTCACTTCTCCAGTGAGGCTTCAAGCTTCTAGGCATCAAGATTAGTAAGGCTGTCTTCTGGGTGGGCCAGTTTGTTTCTCAGTGACACGAAAACATTGCCTGGGGTGTGCACTGGGTGAGGCTTGTCAGTCAAGATATGATTTTGCACTTCTGATGGATTTTCCAACTATTCACTACAAGTTAAAGATACTAGAAATATATACTTCCCTATATCTCTTCTCCTAACCACATTGAATTGTTTTTATTTGAACAGTTGCATGCAGCATGACAGCAGTACATTAGGGTTGGAAATACACTTAAATGTTCAGTCGATACATCCATCTGGTGCTTAAATTCTAGCCACAGTTCCTGACTTTCATCCAGCCTAGATTTGAATCCTTTCAGAAAGAGGAGACTCATGTTCTTCCAAAGCAAGTAATTCTGTCCAGCACACAAGCACGTGTACACATATTTTAACATACACATTCATACACACAGACTGAGCCCTTGCCACTAAATCACCTCTGTCCTTTTCTTGAGTCATGTAGTTGAAGTTTGGAGCATAGATGTAGGTAGGATAGGGCAATTATTGATTCTTGGTGAGGTCCAACACCATCTTCCATACCAAGCTATCGAGGTATTCATTCACCTGCCGGATTTGACATCTGCAAGTTTAATTAAGCATATATATATATATATATATATATATATATATATATATAGAGAGAGAGAGAGAGAGAGAGAGAGAGAGAGAGAGAGAGAGAGAGAGAGTATAGACTATTACTCAAGTGACATTATTGTAAGATGAACCTGGATTCCAAGCCCAACAATAGCATTACTAATTGTTAAGATTTGGGATTTGTTACTAAACCTCTCTGAGCATAAATTCCTTATCTGTAAGAAATAAGGATAATAGTATGTATTTCATAGAGTGGTTATCAGTAACACAGAGATAATACAGAAAAAATACTTTGCAAAATGCTGTAGCACATAGCTGAGAGTTAATAAATGCCATTATTATTGCCATTATTACTTCTTAACCTATATTCAAATTGATGGCCAAAATGTTTATTAGGGGTGACACAAGGCCAGACACTCTTAACATATATGGCTTGATAGTTTTCCTATTGGTGTGGATCAGTTTAATAACAACTCATCTGGGCATTTTTTCAAATAGTAATTGCACTGATATCCAGATATCCAGATATTTTTTTTTTCTCCATTTTGCTCACGTAGTTATTCTGAGAGTTTTCAGTAGGCAGTGAGGATTTATAAGTGAATACAGACTGTTATTGTTTGCTTCTTAGGTACCTAGATTATTAGGACTCATGTATTCTTTAATCTAAGTATTCCTTTTATTAATTTCCCTGCAGTATTTTCCAGAAAATATTTCAAGCAGAATATACTTATTTTCCAGTTTTGAAAACAACTAGATTGCCCATCTCCATTTCTCTCTATCATCTACTGTATTATTCTATGGACAACTGCCACCCTAATAAGGTATTTTGCAAGTCCTCTCTATATTCTCATAGGCATTTTAAAGCTTATCCTTCATGAATGTTGTTTCAGGATTCTGATAGTTGTTAAACTAATTTGGCGTTTTTAATTGATAAGAAGACAGATGCAACAATTATATCTCAAGATGCAGACTGTATCTCTTCAGAACCTGAGATTTAGATAAGACACTCAGTTAAATAAATGGTCAGAAATGGAAAATAATTTTATGCTAGCCCAGGACATACAAGTACAAGCACTGCTTGTCAAGTACCTACTTTAAACTATTGGCATATAAAACAAAGTATGGAAAAATGTATTGCATACTATATGCCATGTGTTACTTGAGTGAATTTTAGAAACCTTATTTTGTTTGCTTTTCAAAACAACCTCATGATGTAGAATGACATTATTGACATTTTATACACAAACAAACTGAAGTTCAGAGCAATTAAGCAACTTGCCCAAGACATTTATGTAAGTCAGTAGCAGAGTCTAGATTCAAACTATGGTATCAAATATTTCATTAGGTATTGCTGCCATGAAAAAAATGTGAAACTTATATAAATGAATCAAATACAACATACATATGAATTTGATATCTCATAAATTAGTATCTGCAGTTAATTTCATTTTTACTAAATCCTCTGGGGGAAGCACACTAAACATGTCAAAGATCTTTAGGTAGAAGCTACTTAGAATCAAATATATATACATATATATATATGCCATCAATTTAGGGACGTGGTTCATTTTTCCTGACCTTTTTGAGATAACTCTGGCTTAGGTAATTAAAATGTTGTTAGTAATGGTGGTGTATCTGATGGTAAATATTTTAGAAGAAAGTGATGCTTATATAGCAGAGTGTAGTAGTTTAAATACAATTTCTGTTTACTGAAACATTCCGCATCAAACATTATAAAAGTAAGATTGGTTAGTGTTGTGCTGAATCACAAAGTGCTTGACAGTGGTCTACCTAATTTTGATCTTCTCTGAAGAACTTTAGAGAACAGACTAAATTCAGAATTATGAATGCCATTGGACTAAGTACAGAAAGTATTTTATCTAAGAAGACTGCACCTTCACTAATCTAAACCTTCTGTCTATTGGAGAGAGAAAAATGGTAAAAAGGCATCCTATCTGCTAGGCCAAGTGTACTCTACACCCCTGAGATGTCTCTGCAGAAATGTCACTAATCACATGTTGGTAAAAAAACAAAAGCAATCTTGGCAACGTTGCTTTTCCCCCTTCTCATGATGCAACACTCTTCATTTGGAGTAGCCTATGGGGGTATAATATAAATGCCTGGTCTTATTTAACGTTTATATACATACATTTTGATACACTGTATTGAAATTGCTAATGCATATCCAGTGTTAGCAACTTGGCCTGACCCTGATGCATATTTATATTTGATAATCCAAAAGGAACCTCACATTGCTATAGAGAAACAAGAGGTTGCTTCTCAACATGTGGAAAGTGCTGAAGATTTTTAAAAACGTTTGATTGTTCTGCTTAGTACAGGTACCTCTGACGTTGTAAGCCCAGTTAAGTTGCAAGTTAAGAGCTCAGTAAGAGCTCAATATGAGCTCTTAACTTGGAAGACTCACAGATGCATAGAGGGAGAAAGCTTCATTTCTGTTTCTCATAGCTTTCTTCTTCTATTAAGAACAAGGGATGAGGCCAGTCAAGCTATACATTTTACTGAACATGATTTCTTCATAAAGATTTTGAAATTAGTTTAACTCCAGTTTAACAGAAATATATTGTAGAAGTGTCTTAGTCACTATGTCTGTCAAAACTCCAACTTTTGTGCTCCTTACCAAAGATCTGAGGTGAGGACCAATGTCATCCTCCAGATGAATTTGGAATTTGGAACTCTGACCCAGTAACATTATTACCTAATCTAATGGGTACAAATCTGGAATATTAGAAACACCTGTGAATCTTTCTTTTAAAAACTACTCAGATTTCTAATTCTGTGGATTTTATTCTGGTAATCTGTACTTTTAAGAAGCATATCAGACAATTCACATGAATAGTTACATTTTCAATTAATAGCCTGAATTTGGACAATTTTATCCCTATTCTCTAGCCAAGCATCAGGAAGGGATTTCTCTCTCTTTTCTCTCTGTCCCTAACTCTCTCCTTTTCCCCTCCATAAATACATTTTAAACACTTAGTGTACACCAGGTACAAGAATGCAAAACTAATAAGATCCTCTTCCTACCCTCAAAAAGATTATAGCCTTTTAAAAACTATGCATTATCAACTTCAGGAAGAATTTTCATTCTGTCATCCTGAATAAAACTTCCTTAGTCTGTATGAAGAGTGACAAATTAGACATATAGCTTTTGTGTCAATCAAGTCATTCTGCATCCTAGTTTCTCTGTTACCAAACACAAAAGAAAACAAAACAAAAACAGCTCTACTGAACCTTTTTATGTGAACTATTCCTTAGCCCTGTAATCATCTTTTTGGTTTTCTTCATGACCTGTTCCATATGCTACAGATGATTACATGGCTGATAATTAGATCCAATATGCATATTTATAATCATATTTTAAGCATGTTAATTGTCATTACACAGCTAAACAATGAGAGCAGTGTTAGTGTATTGACTTCAGCTCAGTTGTTTCATATCTGCTTTCAACTTTTTTTCCCAAAATATTTCTAAGTTGTTCATTGTGTAATCAAAATGTCTTTGTAGGCTCATGTCTATTCCTCCACACAGTAACTGCTATCATTACTTAAAGGTCCACTACCTGTCAGGTACTCAATTAGGGCATCTCACAAATGTGTGGAGGAAAGAATTGAGGAGGTGATGCATGTACATCATAGATGGAAGTGTCTCAAACATGCAATACAGATTATGGATTAATACTACAAATTAATAGCTATAATATTTAAGAACACTGTATTTTATACTTACAATAAAAGACTATACATTAGTTACAGTAACGATATTATAGCAGAGCAAGTTGATTGTCAGAGAATGTTATTTGTCTGTTGACTCATGGCTAATAATTGTTGGTCTTGTACTGGAACCCAGATCTTAGCAATTCCATAGTCTGTGTTGCAAAGTGATATAATATATCAGCTTGTCATAGGACTAATAATTATGACATATCTGCTTTTAGAGTCCTCAAATTTACACCAGCTTTTTTGCAGTGGCACAATCTCAGCTCACTGCAACCTTCACCTGCTGGGTTCAAGCGATTCTTGTGCCTCAGCATCCTGAGTAACTGGGATTACAGGAACATGCCACTGTGGCCAGCTAATTTTTTTATTTTTAGTAGAGGTGGGGTTTCACCATGTTGGCCAGATGGGTCTTGAACTCCTGACCTCAAGTGATCTGTCCACCTCAGACTCCCAAAGTGCTGGGATTACAGGCGTGAGCCACCACTCCTGGCCTATAACAGCCTTTGAATATCTAGAATGTTTCATAAATCTTTGCATTTTATTAAAAAAAGACAACTTAGGGTCTAACCACACATACACCTACCCTAACACATATAGTATTGATTTCATAAAGAAATAGGGTAAGTTGTATAAAGATGAGAGATGCATTTCCATCTTTGATGCTGTTTATCACTCACTTATCCATTTATTTAAAAATATGTCTCAAATTCTTACAATGCAGAACAAACTACTCTACAATTAAGTTGATAAGGTTACTTTTGCATAGGAAATAGGTGAACTCAAACTATTTTTACTTAACTCTCACTGTACTATTTAATCATACTGAAAGCATTCAGCACATACTTGACTTCCAGGTGTTGCATACATAAAATATACATTTCTTCAGATCCCTGCCCTCTTCTCAATGACCTTGTTAACTTTTCATAGTGAGTACATGCCTACATTTATTTTATTTAATTTGAAATGGCAAAGAATGGCCAAAGAATATTTTTTCCCAATAACTTTTAAAAAGGATTGCAGAGCTTTCTTCTTTTGTTAATTTACGAGCAGACTTGCCTACAAAAAGAAGGGGAAGTTAAATGTTTGCTGATATCTTTTCCAGCCCTGGTATAGTATTGCTGGGCCTATTAGAGATACCTTTCTATAAAGTTCAACACATAATCACACATAGAGTTCTGCCTGAATATAGAGATATTAAACTTACATGATCTATCTACTTGTCCTCAGGGTCAAAAACAGTCTCTCTCTCTCTCTCTCTCTCTCTCTTCACATTCTTCTCCAATCCCCTCATTGTGTAAAATGACTTGCAACATAGTTCTTCAAAGATTGATGGAGTTCACATTGTATATATTTTACAGGAATATTTTATGCATAGCTAAATGTTTGTTCTTAACCAATCAGGTACACTACAATAATTTCTCTACTTCCTAAGTCTTTCTCAAAAAAAAGTCTAGGACTGGTATCCTGGAAATCATTTATTTTTAACATTGTTCAGTTTGCTACTCTGTCTTATCAAGGTGTGACTGAGTAGAATAGAAATGCTTGGTATCTCATGTGACTACTCTTGTGGCTGATGTAGAGCGCCAGGTATGATATAATCCATAGTTTTGTCCTTGCTGCTCCACTATCATGTACATTTCAGATGTGATATCTTTGATATGCCTTTAGAAATTAAATTGTGGCTCTGTAATATTTCTTTTGTTTCATAAGAACTTAACAATTTCTTAACATTGGCTCATAACAAAATTGACAATTTCCTTGTTCTGTCTTTCTCTCCCTCTCACTCTTTCCTTCCCTACCTTCTAATCCTGAGTTACATACTTTATTTTGACAAAGACTTCATCAGTGAAAATATGCTTTGACATCAAAATATTAAATATGGCCAGGTGTAGTGGTTCACGCCTGTAATCCCAGCACTTTGGAAGGCCGAGGCAGGTGGATCACAAGGTCAGGAGTTTGAGACCAGCCTGGCCAACATGGTGAAGCCCTGTAGCTACTAAAGAGACGAAAAATTAGCCGCATATGGTGGCATGCACCTGTAATCCCAGCTACTCAGGAGGCTGAGGCAGGAGAATCGTTTGAACCTGGGAGGTGAAGGTTGCAGTGAGCCAAGATTGCACCATTGCACTCCAGCCTGGGTGACAGGGTGAGGCTCCGTCTCAAAATATATATATATTTAAAAGATAAAATTAGAAGGACATTATTCATAATTTTCAGCTGCCCTCCCCAAATGAATGGAATACATTTATGGCTTTTACCTGAAACCAAACCAAACAATACAAAACAACTTCATGTCCAAAGACTGTTCCATATTGATTCAAGTTTTCAAAAACATATGTGAAAGTTATGCTTTTAAATTTTTATTTTTAAGAATACAATTTTTTCACTTTTTTATCTCAAAATAACCATGCCTTTGAAATGTAAGTTTTTTTTACCCTACGTTCCTTATATCGTAGAGAAATAAATATAAACTTTAAGACTCCTTCTTAAACAAATGGATTATTTCTCTTTACAATAATGTGTTTGTTGTTTCTGTTTAATTCATAGCTCAAAGGAAACCATGAGAGACTGTCTAACTAGACTTTTTGCTTGATTTCCTGGACCCAAGAGCAGGAGTGAGGAGCTTTCTCCTGGTAATTTTGTTATAGAGCAATCAATGAGCTTGCTTCCTCATGCACATGGAGGCCAACACCATGACAAAGGCTTTTGAGAAAAGAAAAGCTTTATGGAGACCTGACTGGCAAGGAAACAGAAGAAAATTCTCATTTCTGTCTCTCTGAGCTGGGGTCTGGACCAGATTTTATATGCATAGGGTAATGAGGCATGATCTGATTGGATAATCGGGCAAGATCTAGAACCCAATCACATAAAGCCCCGGTGTCACCTGAAAGCTTTAGGATCCAGAATCCAGTGGTGACACCAGAGCTTTATCTGATTGGATTCTGGATCCTGCCATACAATGTTCACTTTTCTTTTTTCTTTCTTTCTTTCTTTTTTTTTTTGGGAGACGGAGTCTTGCCCTGTCGCCCAGGCTGGAGTGCAGTGGTGCGATCTCGACTCACTGCAACCTCCGCCTCCCAGGTTCAAGCGATTCTCCTGCCCCAGCCTCCGAAGTAGCTGGGATTACAGGCGCGAGCCACTATGCCCAGCTAATTTTGTATTTTTAGTAGAGACGGGGTTTCACTACGTTGGTCAGGCTGGTCTCGAATTCTTGACCTGTGATCCTCCCGCCTTGGCCTCCCGAAGTGCTGGGATTACAGGCGTGAGCCACCGCGCCCGGCTGGTACAGTGTTCACTTTTAAAATCAGTCCCTGCACCTCAGTCTCAGCACCTGGGTTCCTCCACTGGTTGCATGCTTTGTTCATCTGGCTTTAGTAGTAAATAAAACAATGATCAGGTTATGTGACCTTTTACCTGGGAGTCCATGGCAACCGAAGAAGGACTCACTTTGTTACTTAAATGTTAAGCCAGATTGGTTTGGTGCAGTTACAGTTTCCTACTGGATATTTGAGTTCTCATGAAGAAATATTCTATATTAATTTTCTTTTGGCTTAGAAAAGTTTCGTATAACTTTTCCCAAGCCTTCCAGACAAAGCAGCCGTTTTCTCATACTGTTTTCAATGATCATTTTCCATAATTAAATTCATGTTTTTCTTCTCCTGTGGAGAGATTTTATAAAATAAGAGGCAGCCTCTATAAATATTTATCACTTTTATTTCATGTTAGCAAACACGAACTTATGCATTTAAATACACTTCACTCCCTATATTTTACCTCTTATATTATCTGTACTTGTGCTTTTTCACACACTATTTTACATATTCAATAGGTGTTTTTGGTTTTATTTTTCCAAAATTGAATCTTAATTTGCTAATATTCTGCATTCTGCCTATCCAGGTTCGTGGTCACCTACTCTCTGGCAGTAAATATTTCTAAATTCTTAGAATATTTCTCTTTCAAACTCACTCAGTGAGTTTGAAATTTTGCAGCTCTATCCCTCTCACCTGGCTATGTCCTCTTATCCTCCAAGAGCACTTTCAAGGCTATCCCTCTGAGAAGTATCTCTTCCCATTCTAATTCTCTTAAGTCTCTCTACTCCTTGAATCCCTTTTGCACTTAAGACTCTGAAGCACAGAATTTAATTCTTTTGTATCTTTGGTTTAACTTCAAGTAGATGGCATAATTCTGAAGAACCAACTAAATCTCTCAATGTGCTTTTGTGATCAGAGTAGCAAGTGCAATGTAATGTAAACATACTAATATTGATTGGGGTGTTACTACTTAAAAAATATTCAGAATATCATAGCATATTATATTGTCAAATATATGAAAATTTTTGTTATTTTACTTTCCAAAGATTATTTAGAATATAAGTTTTTTGAGTTCTTAGAGAAGGAATAATTGAGCCATAGAAAAATAAAATGATTTGAGCAAGAACTCATTGCAGATCATCGTATTTGGGATTGTACATTGCAATTTCTTAGTTGCAAGCGTTTTAAAATAAAAACAATCTCTCCCCTTTTCTTAGATTAAGCATACATTACTCTCTAACACAAAACAAAAAGGAAAAACAGAAGAATGACAAGACAATAAAACACCAACATGCTCAGTTATTCAATACTTGCTATGACCCAAATATTTCTGTTCCCCCAAAGTTCATATGTTGAAAACTAATATCCAATGCAATAGTATTAAAAGGTGAGGCTTTTGAGAGGTCATTAGGGCTCAGCACTCATGAATGGGATTAGTGCCCTTATAAAAGAAGCCTGAGGAGGTTTGTTTACCTCTTTTACCATGTGTAGACATAGCTAGAAGGTGCCGTCTATGAGAAACTGTCCCTCTAGACACCAAATATGCTGGTGCCTTGAGCTGTGAGCAACAAAATTTTGTTGCTTATAAATTACCCAGCCTAAGGTATTTCGTTATGGCAGCAGGGACAGGCTAAGATAATACTCCTATTTCACTGGAAGGAAAGAATATTTCTTAACCACACAGTGCATTGATCATTAAAATTCCTTTATCTAATATTAGTCATATTTTATACTACATATCTATTGTGAAATTATATATTGAAATATATCAGTACTAATATATCTAAATTACCTTCTATTTTTAAAAATACTTGTCACCTAGTCATAAATAAAACAATTATTCTTTTTAAAAATAAAATTAATTATATACCAACTATAAGTTTAAGTATATTATATTATAATAAGTCTTGAGCATCTTCTTGACTTGGATTCAGCACAAAAACACAGTTTGAATTGCATCAGTTGGAGCTGGGACATAGTTTTAAAAAAATTAGCATCATCTATGGCAGGTAATATTTCATGGAAAAAGTCCTAAATTAGATAACCTTTGTTAACTTCACCTGGACCCTCACTTTGCGGGAGGAATAGGAAATTTGATACAGATAGGTACAGAAGGAAGACCATGTGAAGACACAGGGAGAAGATGGCTGTTACAAGCCAAGGAGTGAGGTGTCAGAAGAAATCTACCCTGCTGACATCTTGATTTCAAACTTGTATCCCCCAAAATAAATTTCACTTGTTAAGGCCATCAGGTTTGTGGTTCTTTGTGATGAAAACCCTAGTAAAGTAATACACAAGATATATATATATATATATAATGATTAAGTTTTAACTTATTTTCTATGTATATTTAAAGTGATAAGCAATAGAGAATTTGATAGGTTATATATACAGAAGGCAATATAGAGTTGGGTTTTGCTTTTCTATCTAGTCTGACAATCTCTGCTGTTTATTGGATCTTTAGCCCATTTATATTTAATGTGAATTTTTATACGGTTAACCTTAAGATCATGATCTTACTATTTTTATAATTGTCCCATTTTTTCTTTCTCTTTTCTCTTTTGAACTGAGAATTTTTTATGATTTAATTTAATCTTTTTTGTTGGCTTATTACACATGACTTGTTATTTTAGCGGTTGCTTTACAGTTTATAGTACATACTATTACTATATCACTATCTAGCTTCAACTGATATTATATCACTTCACATAAAATATAAGACCTTTACAAGAGTAAACTTCCATTTCTTACCTCCTGGCCTTTATGGCACTACTGTCATATATTTTGCTTTTACATGTTATATGAGATTCACATCACACTGTTATTTTTTAAAGTTACATTTTAAAGAGGTATAGATAATAATACAATTCTTTTATAATTACCCATGCAGTTACCATTTTCAGTGCTTTTTATTCCTTTGGGTAGATTCATATTTTTATTTGCTATCATTTCCCTTCAGCCTGAAAGATTTCTTTAGTGTGCGGGCTTGTTTCGGGTGAATTCTTTTACCTTTCATATGCCTGAAATATTATTTTTTCACCTTCATTTTTTGAAATACAGTTTTTATTGAGTATATAATTCTTTCAATATTTTGAGATGTTGCTCTTTTTGCTGGCATTGTTTTAGCAAGAAAGACATTGCCATCTCTTTTTTCCTCTGTAAGTTTCTTTGTCTGCATTTAAGATTTTTCTCTTCTTTTTATTATGGTAGAATATATGCAATATAAAAATAACCATTTTAATCATCTTAAGTGTACAGATCTGTGGTATTAAATACATTCACACTTGTTGTATAACCATAGACACAACCTATCTCTAGAACTTTTTCATTTTCCTCCACTTAAATTCTGTTACTATCAAACACTAACTTCCCATTCCACCCTACATTTATTTATTCCCTGGTAACCACTGTTCTACTTTCAGTAATGACTACTCTAGAAATCTCATTATCTCATTTAAGTGGAATCATACAATATTTGTCCTTTAGTTGTTTAAGTGAATTTTATTTCACTTGGTGTAATGTCTTCCAGGTTCATTCCTGTTTAGCATGTGTCAAAATTTATTTCCTTTTCACAACTGAATTATATTCCTGTGTATGTATGTATCATATTTTCTTTGTTCATTCATTCTTCAGTGGGTACTTGTGTTGCTTCCACATTGTAGCTATTGAGAGTAATGCTGCTATGAATGTGCATCCTTGCTTTCACTTCTTTTGTCTATAAACTCAGGAGTAGAATGGCTGGATTATATAGTAATTCTGTATTTAAGTTTTTGGTGAATCATCATACTATTTTCTGAAGGAGGAGCACCATTTTACTTTCTAACCAGCAATGCTCAAAAGTTTCAGTTTCTCCGCATCCTCACAAACATTTGTGTTTTTTTGCCGTTTATTTATTTTTATAATAGCCATCCTAATGGGTGTGAAGTATTATTTCATTGTGGTTTTGATTTGCATTTCTCTAATGACTAATGATATTGAGCATCTTTTTATGTGTTTGTTGGCCATTTGCACATCTTCTTTGGAGAAAGATTTATTCAAATTCTTAGCCTATTTTTAAAATCAGTTTGTTTGCTTTTGTTGTTGAGTGGCAGGAGTTCCTTATATATTATGGATATCAATTCCTTATCAGACATAAGATTTAAAAATGTTTCTTTTCATTTCGTTAATTGCCTTATCACTCTGTTGGTATTCTTTGATACACAAAACTTTTGAATTTTCATAATGTCCAGCTTACCTCTTTTTTCTTTTGTTGTTTGTGCTTTTGGTGCCATACATATTCAATCAATCATTGCCAAATCCAATGTCATGAAGTTCTTTTGTTATTTTTTTTCTAAAAGGTTTGTAGTTTTAGCTCTTACATTTATATCTTTGATCTATTTTGAGTCAATTTTTGTATATAAGGGTCCAACTTCATTTTTTTTTAATACATGGATCTCCAATTTTCCCAACACCGTTTTTAAAATTTATTTATTTATTTTGAGACAGAGTTTCACTCTTGTTGCCCAGGCTGGAATGCAATGGCGTGATCTCAGCTTACTGCAGCCTCTGCCTCCCAGATTCAAACAATTCTCCTGCCTCAGCCTCCCGAGTAGCTGGGATTACAGGCACCTGCCACCACGCTTGGCTAATTTTTTTGTATTTTTAGGAGAGACAGGGTTTTGCCATGTTGGCCAGGCTGGTCTCAAACTCCTGGCCTCAGGTGATCTGCCTGCCTGGGCCTCCCAAAGTGCTGAGATTATAGGTGTGAGCCACTGTGCTCGCCCCGACACCATTTGTTGAAAAGATTGTCCTTTTCCCATTGCATGGTCTTAGCATCCTTGTTGAAAATCATTTGGCCATACCTGTGAGGGTTTATTTCTGGCCTTTTAATTCTATTCCAATGGTCTGTATGTCAGTACCATAGTCTTTTGATTACTGTATATTTTTATTTTTTTTTTCTTATTAATTTTCACTACTGTATACTTTTAGTAAGCTTTAAAAAATCAGGCAATGTAAGGCATACAATTTTGTTATTTTGGTTTTTTTTTTTTGCAATTTTAGGTACCTTATATACCATATTAATTTTAGGAAGAATTTTTCTGTTTCTGTTAAATATGTCACTGGGACTTTTATAGGGATTTCACTGAATCAGTAGATTGCTTTGGGTATATTGACATCTTAACGATAGTAAGTCTTCCAGTAAATGAACATTTGTTTCCATTTATTTGTATCTTTAATTTCTTTCAACATTGTTTTGTAGTTTTCAGTATATAAATCTTTCACTTTCTTCTTCAAGTTTACTTCTAAGTATTTTATTCTTTCAGATGCTATTGTAAATAGAATATTCTCTAAGTTTTCTCTGTTAGATTGTTCATTGTGATTGTGTAGAAATGTAACTGATTTTACATATTAATTTTATATCCCGAAACTTTGCTAAATTTATTTGTTCTACTAGTTGTGTGTGTGTGTGTGTGTGTAGTCTTTAGGGTGTTTTACATTCAAGATCATGTCACCTGCAAACAGAAAATTTTACTTCTTCCCCTTTTTTCAATTTGGTGGCATTTTATTTCTTTTTTTGTCTAATTTTTTCTCTGATAATTTTGATACTATTTTAAGTAGAAATGTCAATAGTAAGCATCCTCGTCTTGTTCTTGATCTTAGAAGAAAAGCTTTAAGTCTTTCAGCATGGAGCATAATGTTGTCTGTGGTTTTATATACATATACATATGTATTAATACATAGATGTAAATGTATGTGCTTTTGTTATGTCTTGGTAGTTTCTTTTCCTCCATACTGAATTTTTTAATAATGAAAAGCTGTTGAATTATGTCAAATGGTTTTTAGATATCAATTGAGATGATCATATATGTTTTCCTTCATTCCATTACTGTGGTAGATCATAATAATTGATTTTCACATGTGGAACCGTCCTTGCATTTCAGGAAAAACTTCCACTTGGTGGATAATCCTTTTAATATATTGTTGAATTCGATTTGGTAGTGTATTATTCTAGTTGAGGCTGCTCTAACAAAATACTTTAGACTGGGCAATTTATAAATAACAGCAATTTATTGCTCACAGTCCCAGAGGCTGGAAGGTCCAAGAACTGTTGCACTTTTGAGTTGTTCCAGCATCACCTCAAAAGTCTAAAGTCCAGAGTCTCATCTAAATATTAAACAAATCAGATAAGAGTGTGAATCAAGGATATTTCATTCTGAGGCAAATCCCCCTCCAGCTGTGAGCCTACGAAATCAGACAAGTTATGTATTTTCAAAATGTTATGGTGGGATAGCCATAGGACAGATATTCCCCATTCCATAAGGGAGAAATAGAAAGGAAGAAAGGGTAATAAGTTCCAACCAAATCTAAAAATCCATCAGGGTAAACAACATTAAAACTTAAGAATTGAGAACAATTTTTTGACTCCATGTTTTATTTTCTGGACACACTGGGGAGAGTATTGGGTTCCCAAGGCTCAGATCAACACTGCCTCCATGGGTTTGCTGGCCACAGACCATATAACAACTCTCAAGGGTTGGAGTCAAGTACCTGTGGATCTCCCAGAATGGAGTTGCACACTGATGGCTTTATAGTTCTGGGCTCTCAGGGCAGCCCCACCTCCATGTCTCCATTAGATACATGGCAGCCTTGCTCTCGTGATTCCACTAGGCACTGCCCTGATGGGAGCTTTCTGCGGTGGTTCCACCCCTGTGGCCATTCTATGCCTAGGCTGTGAGGTACTCTGAGGCATTCTTTGATATCTAGGTAGAGGTAGCCATGTCCCCATAGCTCATGTACTCAACACACCTGTGAGGATGGCACTGCATGGATACCACCAAGGTTTACAGCTTGTGCTTTCCAGACGGTGGCCCAAGCTGCAATCTGGACTCATTGAGCAATGGCTGAAGCAGCCAAGGAGTGATGCACCAGAAGGTGGGGAGTGAAGCCTTGAAATAGTTCTGTCTCCAAGGCCCTGGCTTTCTGGGTTTGTGATGGGTGGAGCAACTTGGAAGATCTCTGAAATGCCTTTGAGTTCATTATTCCACTGACTTGATGAATAGCATCTGGTTTCCTTCTATCCATACTAATCTCCATTAACTGTTTCCTTGGCTGCATCCTTGGTATTCTTTTTCAAACATGCCTTTCATTCTTTATAATAGGGGCAGCCTGATGATTTTCCAAATCTTTAAGTTCTGGTTTTCTGTCAATTATAAATTTTATATTTATTTTGTTTCTTCTCCCAGATTACCATATGCAGTCAACAGAAGCCATGCTGTACCCAGAATAATTTGCTTAGATATTTTTTCTGCCAAATATTCTATTTTATCACTCAGAGTTTCTGTCTTCCACAAAGCACTAGGACGTCAGCATAATTCAGCCAAATTCCTTGCAACTTTACAACAAAGATTACCTTTCCTCTAGTTTTCAATAACATATTCCTCATTTACATCAGGAATTTCATCAAAATGGTCTTTACCATCCATATTTCTACCAACACACTGTTCAAGATCTTTTTGGCAATCTCTAAGAAGATTGAGACTTTTTCTATGACTGTCTTCTTCCGAGTCTTCATCAGATTGTCCTTCATGCTCCAGTCACAGAAATGTAAGCATTTTTTCTAGAATAAACTTCCAAATTCTCCAGCCTCTCCCCATTACTCAATCCAAAGCTGCTTTCACATTTTTAGGCATTTGTTCCAACAGAACCTCACTTCTCAGTACCAGTGTCTTAGTTTATTCAGTTGCTGCAAAAAAAAAAAAAAAAGAAAAGAAAAAAAAAGTACCTTAGGGTAATTTATAAACAGCAGAAATTTATTACTCACAGTTCTGGAAGTAGGGAAGTCCAAGATCAAGACACCAGCAGATTTGGTGTCTGGTGAGGGCTTGTTTCCCAAAGAACGTGCCTTCTTACTGGGTCCTCATATGGTGAAAGGGCAAAGGGGCAAACAAACTTCCTCAGACTTGGGGCACTAATGCCAATCACAAGGTTTCTCACCTCATGATCTTGTCACCTACCAAAGGCCCCACCGTTTTGTACCAAAATATTATGAATTAGATTTCAAAATACGAATTTTGGAGGGGCAAAATCAGATCCTAACAAGTAGCATTTTATTGAGATTTTTTGCATCAATATTCATAAGCCATATTAGTCCATAGTTTTCTTTTTTTATAGTGTCTGTCTGGCTTTCACATCATAGGGTAATGTTGGCCTTATAGAATGAGTTAAAATGTTCCTCTTCTTCAGGGTTTTTGGAAGAGTTTGAGAAAGATTTGTGTTAATTTTTTAAATGTTTGATAGAATTCACCATTGATACCACCTAGTCCTGGATATGTTTTTTTTTTTTTTCTTTTTTCTCTTTGGATGTTTTGTATTACTGATCCAACACCCTTACTATTTTGTTCTGTTCAGATTTTCTATGTCTTCATGATTCAGTCTTGATAGTATATTTCTAGAAATCTGTCATATGATCTGCATTACCCAGTTTGTTGGCATGTGGTTGTTCATAGTGCTTCCTTATAATCCTTTTCATTTCTGTAAAATTCATAGTAATGTCCCCTTTCATTTGTGATTCTAGTTATTATATTTTCTCTTTATTTCTGAGTCAATCTAGCTAAAAGTTTGTCAATTTTTTTTTATTTTTTCAAGACTAATTTATAATTTCATTGATTTTCTCTATTTTTTCTATTCTTTAGTTTATTTATACCTGCTCTAATTTTTACTATTTCCATCTTGAATGCTTGATTTTAGTATTCTATTCTGTCTTCCATATCTCAATTTAACTTTTAGATTATATATAATGTAGTTATAAAAACTGTTTTGGTATTCTTACCTTCTAATTCTAACATTTGTTTCTGTTTGGGTCTGTTTTGATTGGTTGGTTTATCTCTTCATGATGTCTTCCTATCATTTGGCATGCCTGGTAATTGTTGACTGGATGCCTGCTATTGTAATTTTTACTTTTAAAATAACAGATCTTCTTTTCTTCTCAGTACTCTTGAGCTTTGTTCTGTATTGCAGCTAAGTTGCTTGTAAATAATTTTCCCTTTTTTGTCTTCCTTTTAAGATTTATTAGGCAGGATTAGAATAGCGTTTAGTCTATGCCCAGTTATTTTTCACTATGAAGGCAAGGCTCACTGTAGAGTCCACCCAGTGACCTACAATTTATAGGATTTTCCAATGTTGCTGGTGGAAGCAGACATTATTTCTGGCCCTGTGTAAGTGCTGGGCGGTGTTACTTCCAATCGTTTTGGCTGGTTCTTGTCTTGGCTATCTTCACATAGTTTCCTACCATGTATCCAGTGATTAGTGTTTGGCTGAATATGTAAGAAATACCCACCCAGTGCAGAGCTCAAAGTGCGGATCTCTCATCTCTAGCATTCTTTCCTGTGAATTCTATCTGCCTTGGTTGGCCTGGACTTGTCAGATATATCTCCTCAACTAAGGAAGTCTACAGGTATAGGTTTCCCCCCTTCTTTGTTATATGTGAATGCTCTCTCAAGGTAGTAAGCTTGGTCAATCAAAGGGCACATCACATTTGTGTTTTGTCTCAGGGATTACTGGCCTCTGTTACCTGATATACAGTGTCTTGAAAATCATTGTTTTAGCTCTTCTGTCCATTTTCTTATTTTTTTTGGTTGTGTGATGCAGGAGGAAATATTACTCCCCGTTACTTCACCTTAGCCAGAAGAATTGTTACTTCTTTTGATTAAACTCTCTGTTAGCTGACGGGGATACTCTTAGTTTTTGCAAGAAAAAGGTACATGATTTATTTTATAAGCACTTGTCTATGTGAGCATGTCTCTAAAAACTGCCTTTACTCATAAAAAAAAAGAATTACTTGACTGCATAAAATGCTTGTATCACATATTTTTGTACTAATATTTGAGTATTATTATATTGTCTTTGTCAGAGTATTTAAAAAAATTCTGTCTATTTTTCCCAATGTTTAGACATTTTAATTTTGTTAGAATACCCCCATCTTGTATATGTCTCATTTTAACAGGAAATTTATTTCAGTGTTCTTAACTGTGCCTTTCAATATAAGCTCTAAATAATTTGCTGATATTTGGATACATTAGGCTGAGAGATGATCGATTTACTCTTAAAGATGTTGATATAATTCTCTTCATTCCTCACTCTAAGCAAAACACATGCAATTCCCATCTTCCTACCTTCTCATTATTGTAATATTCTAATTCTGTTATTCCAGTATTAAGTGTTTATTGTGACTTTATGAACTCCATTTACAGCTGTGCCATGTTAAGTACTATAATTAATTTTTTTCTTTCTTGCAAGACTGTTTTTGTCTTCCTGCAACATACATCATCTTTTTAATTTATATGCTTATTTGTTTACTTTTAAGTATGTATTTATCACCAATTTATCCATAACCTCTCCCCAAATAGTGTAAATATTTACTTACCATATTAAAAATGATCAGGGATTCTATCAATTTTAACTACTTAAAACTTTCCTAGAAAGTTCTGATATATGCCAATGTTGTTGGTCTCTTTTTAAATTATTATTATTTTTTGATTTATGTTTTTGAGACAGGGTTTTGTTCTGTCACCCAGTCTGGAGTGTAGTGGTGGGATCATAGCTCACTGCAGCCTCAAATTCCTGGGCTCAAGTGATCCTCCTGCCCCAGCCTCCCACGTAGCTGGAAACATGGGTGCATACCACCAAGCCCAACTAATTATTTAAAAAAATGTTTTGTAGGGATGGAGTTTTGCTATGTTGCTCAGGCTGATTTTAAACTCCTGAACTCAAGCAAACCTCTTTTCTTGGTCTTCCAAAGTGCTGGGATTACAGGCTAGAGCCCTTGTGTCTGGTCTGATTGGTCTATTTATTTTATTTTATTTTTTAGGTCTGCTTCATGGTTGTAATCCTTCGGGGTCTTTTTTGATAAATAGTCTTGTTTTTCCTGTATCCTATATCTTTCTAATTTTGGTTTGTTCTTTTATTTTTGTGAGAACATTCTCCAGTGGCTTTCTAAGTAATGGTGCATTGGAAGTAAGTTTATAAGATCTTGGACTGATCATGTTGTCTTTATTCAGCCACTTTCTTGGTAATTTGTTTAGACCAAGAATTCCATGTTGGAAATTAAGCGTTCTACTAAGCTAGAAGGCAGGGTTGTTGTTGCGAAGTCTAATAGCATCATTCTCTTAATCTTTTTAACATTTCTTTTTCTCTTTGAAGCTTTTTGAATCAGCTTTTTGCTCTAACATTCTGAAATATAATGGAGATGTAATTATCACTAGTCTACTTTCACTGCTTCTTTTGGGCATTTATTCAGTGAATCTTTCTGTCTACAAAGTCCACAAAATTTCTTCAACATTATGATACAATCCTGCTAAGTTTTTTCTTTCTGCTATGTTTTTCTAATTTCTCATATATGTTTTCTATTTTTTTCATGCTCTTTTGAAATGGATTCCTTTTGTAAAATGGATGTGATATCCTTTTTCATATTTCTGAAAATATTAATAATAATTTTCATTACCGGGGGGGTGGATAATTTTACTGCATAATCTGTTTTCTCTAATTATGTTTTTTACTTGTATATTTACATGGTCTCTGTCTTTTGTTTCGTTATCTTTTTCTGGATATCTAATTTAAATCTCTGTGTGCATAGATGGAGTTGACCAATGCTAGCCTTCAGTGTAGGGAGACACCAGTTTGATTCATTGGGAAATCTCCATAATTTTAATTTTAATTTGTATATCTTCTTTTGGTCACATTTTTCGGAAAACATTTTGGTATCCTGCATGGGAGAATATAAACCTTGTTGTGTTCATTTGAGAAGTGAAAAGAGGAGACTACTGGATATATCAGAATTCCGTGTGAAGAGTCAAATTTCCTGTTTTCCGTGTGGTCCCATTACCTTTAATTTTGCTGGATACCTAATAGTGCAGAAGGCCTCTAGTTTAGTCTCTTTAGAGAATAAATCTTCTGCCTTCTTCCTGGTCGGGGGCAGGGAACACACATTGATTGAGGAACTCTGGTGGTTCAACTTCTTTTAAAATGGATTTTCAAATAATCTTGTTTATCAGGCTCGCTTTCATAAATATCTAATGCCATCAAAACCAGTTTTCTTCGTTGACATCTTAAGACCAAATTTCTCAGGACAGTAAGTTACCTCTTGTGTTTTTCTGCATTCTACTTTGGGAACTTCTGTTGCTGTTTATCGTCTTTCCTGTTCTTTGGCTTTGCACACTAATGATTAAAAATAAAAATACTTGGCTCTTATTTTATTGGTATTTGGAGAAGAATTGGAGGAAGGCAAGTCCAATCTTTCATTTCTAATCAACTTTCTTCTCCAAATTTTCTCTTGATTTACAATTTAAATTTTTTTCCAAAATATGCCTTTTTTATTTAATTTTCAAATGTTTTGTTTGAAGTATATAGTAAGCATTGTCAGTCTTAATCTCAGAGTATTTTATGTCAGGAGATTTTTTTTTGCTTTATTTACTCTGCTGTACACTTTTATGATAAACCAGTAATCCTTGGGCCAGCCATGTGTGAAGCATAAGCCCCAATATGTACTTCTAAGAATCTTCTTATTCCTTGCCTCCACCTGAAGTGTTTTTCTCTAGAGATAAAGCATAAGAGAATTAGGAAGCCTATGTCTACCCTATCTTCTTCTTGCTCCTTTCTTGAAGTTTTAGTCTTTGAATAGATAAAAATATATGAAGCCAAGAGGCCTAAGAACAATGCTCTAATCACTTCATAAAATTTTCCCGTCATAGTAGAGGAAGGAATAGCTAATTAGTTTTCTATTTGAAACAACCAAAAATGTATTGAAGGGATATTTATAACATGCAAAAGAAAAGAAATATTCCTACCTTCTCTTATGTTATTAATGTTATTTAGTTTTGTAAGCATGAGCTGGACACTTTGTTTTTCTCAGCAGCTCCTTAGACTTAGCAAAATATCCTTTCAAATTTTGAATACTTTTTGTCATCTCAGTTTTGATAGTGAATGCTTTCATTTATTTATTTATTGCTGATTTTTCATAGTTTTCTTTTTACAATGCCAGGAGATGTGTCTGAAGCTAATTAATTGGACCTTATTTAAAAAAGAAACTGAGTTGTTAATATGTCTTCTTATTTCATCTTTGGTAATGATATACTTACATTTATCCACAATTAGAATTGTATATACAAAGAATATATGTATCAAAATATCATTATATGTCCTATAGTAATTAATTCCTAATTTTTCTGTAATTATTTGATATTTTCAATTGTATAAAGTATGAAAGGACAAATATTTAAAGCATTATTTCTTATTCTCATACTTAGGACATAGTATTTATATATTTTTGAAGTATCATGTCTGAAATATTTCCTAATTCAATATTTGAGCACGGGAGAAATGAATTTCACTCCCAGGCTAGCTTGGGAGCTTTGTGTTAGCACCTTCTGCTATTGGGTTTATGATGTAAGCAAGGAAAGCCTTGCAGAGATTAATGAGGGATGATAGCTTACAGCTATTTTGAAAGAAATTATTTTGCTTATTTATATTCAACAGAACCACATCAATCAGCAAACAGAAGTAGGGAGTCATCCTTTCCTTGTGTTTAAATGTCTGCATTACAGTGTCATTTACTGAAATGACCATTCACATGGAACTGGGCAAAAAAATTCTTACATAATCGCAGAGATAAGAACTAAATTTGGCAGATTTCCGTTGTTCCTTTTAATTGAATATTATAATCAGCATTTTTATTTTATAAAGACAAATAGCTATGATGAAAAATTATTAGGCAAATAGAAAGTGAATGCTTAATTTCTGTCTGAAACATTAAGTACACAAATCAACAGGTGTTGATAAAGTTCCTAAAACTGTCGATTTATGAAAATATCTTTTTTATGAGTTTACCTGAATTGTTTTCTCCATTAAAATGCAAATACCTCAACTTATCTCTCAAAACCTTAAATAAGAAGAGAAAATCCTATTTTGGGGAGAAGAAAGGAAGAAACATAGCTACCCATGAGAAATATAAAGGTTTTTGTTTCATTTGCAAACTAGGTATGGCCTTGGTACTAAATTCTGATCAGTTATTTGAAATTTCCAGTACATGTCTTGATATGGAAAAGATGTACCACCTCCATTTCTTTCTTATTTTTGCTCACTGAAATAAAAAATGCTTGGAGTTCAAATTGCTACTTGGACCAGAAAGTGGAAGGCACGTATTGGGGGTCATGGAGAACAAAGTAAGAAGGACTGGCTCAGCTGTGAACCACTTATCTTTGGATTTCATTTATATGTGAGAGAAATATATTCTTTTTCTCCTTTTTTGGCACCTGCATCCAAACTCATTTCTGATTGATGCAAAGTGTTTCAGCCTTCATTCTATTTTTTAAACCTTATCTTTTTCTCTATTACTACAGTCCAGCTAGATTAGATGTTCAATGTTCCTTTAGTAAGCATTATGCCTTTTCAGGTTTGACCTTTTGTTCAATCTCTTCTTTCTGCACAATACAAGATATTCCCCAGGCTATAAGTTTGGAATTCTCTTCAAGCACATTTTGATTTCCTTAGATCACCCTAAGATTATCTTTTTCTCAATTCCTATATTATCATTCTATGTAATTTACCATAAGTATATTATATAATGAGTGTTTTGAGGGCCAGAACCAGTTCCCCATTGCAACAAAGCGTATTGAGCACCTATTGTGTGTCATGTGTTATGCAAGAGATGACCGAGGTAGGAAGGATGATAGAGACAGTATCCATTTCCTAATTTAGTGAAGTAAAGGTATACAAACAAGTAATACTAAAATAAGAACTCAGCTTAATGAACAACACATTATAGAATTACAGAAGAGGAAGTGATTAGTTCTTCTGGAGATGGGATGAGCAGGAAGCTCTAAATAATTTCTCCAGGGGGAAGATATTTGGGCTAACCTCAAAGGATAAATATACATTTACTTAGGAGGAAATGTCTGAGGAAACTTAAGAGGGCTCTGGATATCCAGCTGGAGCAAGGTATTGACTTTGTGTTAAAGAGTTGAAAGAAATCAATGCTACTCTTCATTAGAAAACGTGGCACTGTCAATGAATATAAGCATGGGACAAAAGGACAGATGTTTACATATGTGACATTTATATGCTTTTTGTTCAAAAAAAGAAGAAAGCTCTGATGAAAAGATGAGAAATAGATTTAATGAGGGATAATTGATGAGAGTAGACTGAAGAAAATGGATCTAACAAATTGGTCAATGGAGCAACAAATGAAACCCAGGCAATGGAAATATGTCACTAGGTAAGAAATTTTGAATGAAAGAGAGGTAAGAAGAAAGACTACTCTGACTATGTTCTTTGTAAAGTTGTGCATATACGTAGTTTGTAGAAGAAAGTTGCTTATGTGATTGTGGGCTTGGAAATTAAGGTAAAGGTGGAGAACAGCAGCTATGAAGACTGGGAAAGAGAGAAATGGAGGGGGCTAGTGTGAGTGTGCGTTTAAAGCAAAAGGCAAAAGTATTCATGTCCAGATTTGGAAGGGGGCCACGAAATGACTAATGGACTGAAGAAATAAGTAGAGATTAAGAAACTAGAGATTTCCTAAGAACTGATGTGGTAGGAGTATTATACTTCTTTGCTTTCCTTCATAGTATATAACACAATGCCTTCTACTGAGTCCTCATAAATACTTATTGCATTAATACACTACAATCCATCCCAAATCACCTTCTTATATTGTTATTTAAACTTAATGAGTTTTTAGGGAAGAAAACAAAATGAAATTATTCTGGAGAAGAGCTGTGGGGTATGGTGGCATAGGTAGCTTTATCTCCATTTGTGGGTGTTCATTAAGACCTCATGGGATAAATTTACTCAAAGTATTCCTGATTGTAGCTTTCTAATGGGGTTGACTGTGTCTCTTTTTAAGCCTTTTTTAAACGTAAATATGCAGAATATAGATTTTTACTTATGTTTTGAATAAAAATGAGCTATCTTAGGGGAAACATAGATATGGAGAAGAAAACAGTCTAAGTTCAGCATTGGATAAACAGCCCAGAGGCCCAAAGATTTGTCACAATATGTGAGGTTTCTCCAAGATCACAGGATTGTTTCTTATTAGAAAAGATGTAGCATTTATAGAAAGTGCCATTTAAAGGATTGTGTAGCTCAGAGGGGGAAAAAGCAATATTCTGGTAGGCTGCCTTTTGAAGCAGTAAACACCTTTCATGTCATTTAATAATGGCTTGGATAGGTTTGAAGAACTGTGTCAAGCATTCTGAACACAAGGAATGTAAATTTGGTGAACTCTTTCAGCCATTTGAATCTTAAATCAACCAGTCACAGTGTCTTAAAACAGCTTGTTTGATTCATTTAAGCTTGTAGTTACAGTAGGGATAAGATTCTCAGGCCTACTGTTGTTTCATCTGTAGTTGTTGTGGAAGAAAAATATACACCAGTTTTCTCCTTTCTAGGTCACATATCAAACTGATATGTGGTTTTAAGCAAAAGAGAAAAAATGGCTCATGTTTTCCCTGTTTATAAGGCGAAAATCAAGCAATTTCTAAATAATATAGAGATCATGACCCCAACTGAGCTCAAGGCCAGAGACTGGCGATTTCTTGTTTGAGTCACAAATTGTTGAATAGTTTATAGTGAATGTTTAGAATATGTGATTTAACTTTCAATCTACAAAGCCTAGTCAGAAAGGGAAACTTTTTTTTCGATATTTTTTGCTAGTTTCGCATATTTGGATGGTGTTGTCTTATTTGAGGAATTATTTCTGCTAAATTCTTCCTAGATTGAAAGTAGGAAATTGCATTTATCTAACCTATCTTCTAGTGGTTTTAGTTTGCTGCATTATAAACAGGCCAACTCCTCCCTTCCCATAGCAACCTGTGCTTCATTTTCTTAATATTTCTTTAATGTTTTTGAAATAATCTTACTCAAGATATAGATTCTTTGGGGAAATCCTAATTATATCAATCAAGTTTCATGTAACAGTAATGTTATACATCAATCATTTCATTGACTATATTTATTATTTTTCATAGGCTTTGCACTAAAATAATCAAACTAATTTCATTTAAAAATATTCTGGATGTTCTGAAATTCAGGCTGGAGGTGAAAATTTGGCTGCATGAGATTTTTATTGGGTTTACAGGTTAACTGCTGTCATTGGGAATACTGAAATAATATTGCTTAGTCAATGACCTCATTGGGTTAAACGGAACACCAAAAGACAGTCTTACAGGAAAAAATAAGTAGTTAGAATTTTGTTTTATTTAAGAGGATTATAGATATATTTGGAATGCCTTTTTAACAAAACAAGTCAATATTAACACCTTAGCTCATTTACTTTACCACATGTTAATCAGAGATAATTCATTTAGCATTCATGTGGATTAAATAAATTCTATCACTAACATTGGTCTTGTCTTTGATTATTTTTTCTCTCTTTTTTTTTTGTTTTAAACGTATGTACAAGATCTAAAAAAGTGAGACTCTTGTTCAATTACAATAGGGTTAAAAAATTCGTCTATAATAAATGAAAACTCCAGGTATGTATCTCATGTAAGGAAAATAAGGATTTATGAACCTGATACTATGAAGATAATAAAAACAAGGGAGTATGTGTGTGTTTATGTTTTTTGAAACATAAGTTATTAAGAAATTTCCAACTATATTTCTACATCTGTATATGTTTTCATAAGGCTAGAAGGACTTTAAAATATTATCTGATTTATTGTTGTGGATAGCATGTGCTTGAGTGCATCTAGACTACCATATATTTTCCTTGGATAAGAGTCCAGTGGGGTTTAGAATAAGATTTCCTGGAATTGAATCTCAGTTCTGTCATTAGTTATGGGCCTGAATAATTTTGTAATATTTCTGGACCTATTTTATCATAGGCGAAAGGGACATAGTTATAAGCCAGTTGTGAAGATGATGTAAAACCATCCATTTAAATGGTCTAACCTCCAAAGTCTACTCAGTAAGTAATAGCTATTATTGTTGGATGGTAACATACCTAACAACTCTGGTAAAGTAGATTTTCCCTAACACTGCTCCTATTTCCTCAAGCTAAAATCTTGTGAAGCCTAACCTAAATCATTTCTACACAGTTTAAGTCAATATTCATCACATGCGAAAATTAAAACACACACAACTTTTATATATGCTTATTTTTTCATCTTTCTATATAAAAGTTATCACTATTCTTATACTGTAGTTTTTACTGTTCTACTATTGTATCTCTCACAAAACTTGCAATTTGAGTTTGTTGCAAAGAAAACTTAATTAAAATATATTGACCCTCAATAGTAGTGGAGCAGAAAAAAGTGTTGGTCTCTATGCCTGTATTTAACAAGCTAGATGATTTGGCCACATCTTTGCATCAACACAACTAAAAATATATAAAATATTTCAAGATTTTATTTTTTCAAACCACTGAGACAGTGTCAAAAATTACCAGGCAGTACTCTAAAAAAAAAGCAGGAACTAATACAGCTAAAAAGACCACTGAAGATTTGCTGGATCTAATGAAACTGACTTCAGCTTTTGGTTGCAATTCAGGTCAAAGATGACAAGAATCAAAGCTGAAAGGTCAAAGTCTAACAGGCTACACTTTACCCCTGAAACTGAGGCCCTAAAAGACTATACTCTCATAACGAGGATGACACTAAACAAACCTGGCTCCCTGACATTGAAGTAGAACAGTGCATCTTAGAAATTGTAATCACAAACCTTGTACTTTACAAATGTAGTCAAGTTAGCATTTCCCTAATGTACTCAAAATTCTTAAACTAGAAATTCAGTTTAAATGATCCCAGAAACATGGTCTTCCCAGGTCCTCAGCAGAAACAACATAAATCATCCCTAGAAAAATACAGTCCATCCTTGACCTTAAGGAATTTGCATGAATAAATTCCTTAAGGAATTTATTCCTTAGGGATATTATATCCCTAATGAGAAAAATAATATATTAAAATAATAAATACACATAACAAGAAGGCATAATGAGTTAGAAATAAGCAAAAGCAGCAGACAGCAGAAATAGAAGCATACATCTTCAAATTCGGAAATAATCAGACACAGATTATAAACTAACAATGGTTGTATATTTAAAGGGGACGAAATCAAATTTGAAAGTATTTCTAGAATAATAAGCTATAATATATGACCTGAAAACACAGTAATAAAAATTAAAAACCCAATGGACATGTTTAATAGCAGATTGGACACAGACATAGAGACAATTAGTGAATTGGACAGCAAATCAGAAGAAATTATTCAAAAAAAGTACAGAGAAGCAAAAATAAGAAAAAAATATGAGAAAAGGTAAAAAACATGGAGGGAGAAAATATTTAATGAATAATGTGGAAAGAGACAGCAGTAAAAATATAGCACAAAACAATATTTGATTACCTAATATCTAAAAATGTCATAGAGCTAATGAAAGTCACTAATGACAAATATACAGGTTTAGAGGACCCCAAGCATGAGCTATATAAAGAGAAATCTACACCTAGACATACTGTTGTGAAACTACAGGTAGATAACAGCTGGGGTGGGGTGGGGAAGGAAATACAGATTAACTTTAAAAAACAGCAGCTGCATTCTCATCAGTGAAAGCTAAAGGACAGAGAAAGTAACTTTTTCAGTGTTCTGCGAGAAAATACTTATTAATGCATCATTCTATACCCAGCAAATATATCTTTCTTTTAGCATGAAGATGAAGTAAATCAATTCTCAGCCACCATCCCCTACCACCACCAAAAAAAAAAAAAAAAAAAAAAAAAATCCAAATGGTTGTATTCTTGTCTATGTAATATTTATGTACACTTTTCCTATGGTTTGAATGTGTCTTCCAAGGTTCATGTGTTAGAAACTTAAGATGGTATCTTTAAGAGATGATTAGATTATGAGGGTTCTGCCCTCATGATTGCAGTGGTATCTTTATTGCAGGAGTGACATTGTTATAACAGTGAGATTGGCTCCTCCACTCTTTTCTTCCTCCTTCCACCATGGGATGGTAACAGCAATAAGGCCCTCACAAGATGTGAGTGCCTTGCTCTTGGACTTCCCATACTCTACAACTGTGAGTGAATCCATTTCTGTTCTTTATGAATTACCCAGTCTCAGGTATTCTATACCTTTGGCAGCACAGAATGAAGTAAGACAGGTGTACTTTTTTTATTAGGAATGTATTTAAATTCCACTTTATTTAAATTCCGATATTACTCAAAGATTGTGGAAGTCTGTCTTTTATCATAGAAATTAGTGGAATATAATCATAGAACAGTAAGTTGGTGTTCTTTTCTAAGGAAAGCAAGATTCTAGAGCAGAGACCTAAAAATTTGTTACTTTTCCTGACACCTCTGTATCCCCATGGAGTGTTTCTCTAGTTCCTCTGGTTAGTTTGATAAGCTATTTTAAGAGTGATGGCAATTGAGTGAAGATCATGTTCTTATCCCCATGACAGCCAGTAAGCTTAGTGCTCTTTCATGGCCATAGGCCATCACTCAATAATAGCTAAAACATATTACCCAACAGAGAGCAAGGGATGGAAATGTAAACAGATTAGAATGAACATGTAACCTATCCACCATAGCAAAATCTTCTTAAAGAGCTTAAAGTGCTGATGGTAAAGAAGTATTTATACTATATTAGATCAAGGGACCATGAGGTAAATGCCAGCGTCATAGTGTAAGTTAGAAGACCAAGCTTTTTCTGGTGTTAGATGATTTTTGGACAAATTTGTCTTCAGTTTTCCCATTCAGCACTCCAAAATTGACTTGTAAATAGCAACTCTTCTGTAGCACCTTCAGGTTATTTCAGATAGGAGTTTCTGGTGCTATACACAGTATTAAATGCATCCTACAGAGTTTGAAAGTGAATCAAATACAGTAATGAGGAAAGGGGGGAAGTCTATGAGTTTCAGAGGTTTCCTCGGAGACTTGTAAAATATGCATTAGAAGTAAGCAATTTAAGCACCATGAATTTTATTACTAGCCCAAAAGTTACCCTGAGTCTTATATTTTAGCTGATTTACATTCATGCTGTCTTCAGGGTACAATAATGAGTTCGGTCTTGCTTATATCTGAGTTCAGTTTGTAAGGCAAACTCAGGAAAAGTGCTTAAGTAATACAAGCAGAACCCTAAATTATTGTTTTATAATTTGTCCTCTCCTTCTAAAGAAAAATGATTGGTCAAAAGTAATATTTTTATAAAATTTTCCAAAACTGTTATCCTCCTATTAAATTTATTAAATTCTGGTTTATTCTCCTTCTTCATTTTTATCACACATATCTTTTACCATCTTTTACTTTCCCAGATAATCAAACAATGCCAATTGGTTACACTGCATTTACTTATTTTTATTTTGTCTATATCTTTATGTGTACATATTCTATGTATGTAGGTATATATGTATGTATGTATGTATCTATCTATCATCTATCTTCCTTAAGATACCTTTATAATACCATTACTTATAGTAAAGAGTTTATGAAACATTCAAACATAGTCATTGATATTATATTGTGAAAAGTTTAAATTAGTGCCTTGGTGAATCATATGCATTATTTATGTTTTTTTCACCTATTTCTAAGAAGAATATCAAACAAAACAAGAATGTCAATATTTCTGAGAGTAAATTCTTCTATTTTACCAAATTCCTCTTCTCTCTATGGCCAACATATATTCCAATCACATACAAAGCAAAAACAAACCCAAAATCTCTGCAAAACTGTCTTTGTTTCCTTACAAGAAGAGATAATAAATACTGTCGATGTTATGTGGAGCCTCCAATTTGTAATTGCTCAATTGTCACTCTTCTTTTTACTCAGCTATTAAAAGTAATAGCTTACTTTTTCAATCTCAAGTCCTGTAACAAACAATAATATTCTGATTTACATTGTGGTGCATCTCAAATTGTTTTAAAATCTGAACTAAAATTACCTTGAATATTTTGTGTTGGACTTTTATTACTAGCCATGCAATACTATTCTAAATACCTGGGGGGTAGACCAGGAGAACAGGCCCAAGAGGAGTCATTTAAATATCAATGGTGAGACAGAAGCACAATTCAAAAAATTCATAATTAAGGCAGTATTTTCCTTTTGATAGTATGTATATTGGCATAATGTTGTTTTGAATTTTATTGGAAATATTTGAAAATAATACATAAAGTATGTAATGTCAGTCTAGTTAAAACTTGTATTTTTGTGGTATATCCCTCAATCTGATTTTTCCAACTGATTTGATAATGTTCAAAAAGCCAACATTTAAGATTCTGTTTCTCCAAAGAATATAAATAATATTCTCTTTCTCCAAAGAATATAAATAATAATGTCATTATAATCCCACAAAACTAGTAGAAATAATTGTACAATGATTTAATGAAATCTCCCCTGTGGCTGATGTTCAGCATTAAAATGTCACTATTAGTTGAATGCTTACCCTTACCAAGTATTCTAGTAAGCACTTTATATGCATTATCTTATTTACTGTCAATCATCCCAGTAGTACCATTAATATATCTTTTGTGTTAATAAGGAAAATTCTATTTAGAGTGGTTAAAGACCTTGTGTCAGCTGCTTAGCACTGGAGACTCTAAGTTCACTGGAATGAACTCTATTTTGTTTGATTCCAGAGTCTGTGTTCTTACGCTATAAATTATTCTCTCTTTCAAGATGCTATTGAGATCCTGGAATTGGTTTATATATTTGATCTGAATAGGACAATCTGAATTTTTAAGGTCATTTAATATTAAGTATAAAGTGAATTTTCTTTTTACATGACTGTAATTTCTCAAAGTGAATTCTCTTCTTCTCCTCTGATATTATGCTGTGTTCACCCCATCTTTAATCATAATATGTTTGGTTGGCTTCTTAGCAATTGTCAGCATCTTTGCCACATGTTTGGAGGCCTGATATCAGTTTGTCACCATGTACTGTATTTTTCCTGTCTGGTTGGGAGCAGAGAGCAGGTGCTTGGAAATCCTGCTCTCATCCATTCTCCACACATGACTGGTCTATGTTCAGCTGAATTATGGTGAATATCACTTGAGAACTGCTGTAGTAACTGCACTTCAAGACCTGCCTGTAATCTTGCCCTGCTATTTGATATTCATTCAGCAAAGCACATAAATGAAATTATTAAAACTATTTAAGGACTCAGATATGCTCATATCATCTTCAAGACTTATCATCTTATTATAATACATGAGAAATCAGCGTAATTCTGAAGAAGTTAAGCTTGACCCAGAGTTTGGAACACAATTGAAATACCTAATTGATGGTTTGTTATTAAACTATCAATTAAATGTATTTTTACATTTAATTTTCAATGTTGTTGATCTGCTGGTTTACAATTGGGAAACTCACTCAAAAGAGAAATGAAATTCAAAACTATAATGATCTATCATCTTACACTAGTTAAAGTGGCTTTTTTCAAAGAGATAGGTAATAATGGATGCTGGCCGGGATATGGAGAAAGGGGAATCCTTGTACACTGTTGGTGGGAATGTAAATTAATATAGCCACTATGGAGAATAGTATGGAGGTTCCTTACAAATCGCAAAATAATACTATCATATAATCCAGCAATCCCACTGCTGGGTATATATCCATAATAAAGAAAATTAGTCTATTGAAGAGATATCTGCACTGCCATGTTTATTGCAGCACTGTTCACAATAGCCAACATACGGAATCACCCTAAGTATCTACCAACAGATGAATGGATAAAGAAAGTACGGTACATATACACAATGAGATATTATTCAACCGTAAAAAATAATGAAATCTTGCCATTTGCAACTTAGATTGAAATTGAACACAAAGGTTTATGTAAACAGATACTCATGTAAACAAACTTTCAAAAGACAATTTTTGTTAATGCAAATATTTACATTAAACCAATCAATAATAAAAGTTTGCCTTGCTTTAGCAAATGTTTTAAATAAAAATTAAGATGTAAAAATATGAATAAGAGAAGCCCTAATCACTGGAAAATAATTATGTGTAAAAATTTTTAAAGATACATGTGAACACTTAAATGACTTAGTTGAAATAGATTTACAACTGTCTTGTATTACATACCTATTTTATACCGCAAGCGTACCTATATGTAGATTCTGGAAACCTCATGCCGAGGTAGAGATTTTAAGATTAATAGCAAAGCTCCAGATATAGGTAGATTTTCATATATTTCAAAGGCATGTATGCTCTGATACAAAATACGTTATTAGAGGAAAGCTTGCTTAAACTGTATAAGAGAGAAGCTTTTCTTGTTTCTAAGCACAGGTTTGAATTTTCTTCTGTTCATTTATTTCCCAGCAGGTGTCTCTATACAGCAGCGATATTCAGAAAGCACAAGAAGACAAGAACTAATTATATAAAAAAGAAAATGTAGCAAGGAGAGAAATGAACTGGTCATAGAGTATATCTATGTTGACAATATGAAGTCAAACTAAAAATATATACTCTCCATAAATAGTTGTATAGCATATTTTATTTTCTTCTTGATTTTATTTGTTTAAACAACTTTTTGAAAAGAGTCCTAGGAAAAGCTTTTAAAACAGTTTGTACTATATACAACCTATATAGGTTGGTTTTTTATATATATATATATATATATGTGCAGATATATATATATATATATATTTATATGTGCAGATTGGACCAAATACAAACCTCTAACAGTATCAGTTTACTCATTGCCATCTTGATCTGATAACTTCAGCATTTCAGATGAAACTTAAAGGAAGTAGAACTGATCTGTGCTATAATCATCAACAATGATTTAAAGGTGATAGTAGACAGTAAGATATTAAAAAGCAGAAAGATAGTGTAAAATAATATCACTCAAAGATGTAAATTATCCAGCTTTCCTTGATCAATGCATTACAAAAGTCACTATTTTCATTTAGAATGAGATGCAAAAGAGTGAATATTTTTAATGCTTAATTGTCAATACATAAGCTTTTTAATCAAACAAAATTTATGCTTTGATGGATCCCAGTTGAATTTCTACCCTAAAATAGATTAAATAAAACATTTCAACTTTACAGATTAAAGGAATTGAACTCATGCCTTTTTTATTGTAATTGCAGATTTAATGCATCACAACATTCTGAGATGAAAACACGAAATCAATACATGCTTAAAACTTAATAGCGTTAACTGAATTGCTTCTAAGTTAAACTTAAGTTTTAACATGTAGAGTTCTTATTTCCCAAACAATAAACATTCACCCAGTTTAAAAACACATGAAAACTATAAATTTGTAAATATAAATATAAAATGATATATAAATATATAAATATATTTATATATATATATAAATATAAATATATTTATATATAAATATAAATATAAATATAAATGATAAAATATAAATATAAGAATATATTCCACAAAATGGTTAAAGACAGAAAAAAATTCTAGCTGGATGGATCTCAAAGACAGTTTGCTCAACTTTTACATCTATTGGATTTTTTAGGACGTTAATAGAAATTTATAAAATCTTAGAACTAAGTATGTCACAAAAATGTATGTGTATTTTGGCCAATTATAGAGAGGCTATGGAATAATTGTACTCAATGAGGTCCCAATTTTCCTTTCACTCTGATGTTATATTTCTTTTATCTTATGTTTATTTTAAAAAATTAATACGTTAATCTGAAGGGCCACTAAATAAATCTTCCAGGCTTCCACGATACTTTCAGAAATGGATTGAACTGGCTGGGCGCAGTGGCTCACGCCTGTAATCCAAGCACTTTCGGAGGCTGAGGCGGGCGGAACACCTGAGGTCGGGAGTTCGAGATCAGCCTGACCAACATGGAGAAACCCTGACTCTACTAAAAAATAAAAATAAAAATAAATACAAAATTACCCAGGCATGGTGGCACATGCCTGTAATCCCAGCTACTTGGGAGGCTGAGGCAGGAGAATTGCTTGAACCTGGGAAGCGGAGGTTGCAATGAGTTGAGATCATACCATTGCACTCCAGCCTGGGCAACAATAGCAAAACTCCCATAAAAAAAAAAAAAAAATAGAACTTTTTAAATTCATTCTATTTAGATTAACAATCTGATTTCAAATTATCAGATAATATTTTCTGGTTTAAGATGAACAGAAAATACACTTGTCAATGTTTTCTCACAGTCTTTTTTTTAAGTAACAAAAACAAAATTATAAGAACAAATTAATGATAAAAAAAAAGAAAGAAAGGAGGTAGTGAGAGGCCACAAAAATGGAGAATTCCCAGTAAAGGAGAATGAGTACATCTTTAAAGAGAAATCAGAGTTGATAGGGTATATCCCAAGAATAAACATGGTTTTGTCCAAGGAGCCAAGAAGAAGCTCCAGGTTCTAAATCCACAAATTAAAAGAAAAGGAATGTGTCATGGGGCAACAAAAATGGGCTACTGAAATGTAAATCCATGAGAGCAGGGGTTTCATTGGTCTTGTTTGCTGCTGGAACTGACATAGAATTTTGCCTGGCAATAAAGAGTTCAGTACAGCATACAGAAATTTACTACCAGTAGAGTAAGGAGATCTGTCATTGTTTTATAGTTATTTTTTCCTCTTTATGGCTAACCAAGATATGGAGTTAGAATAAGCTCAGCTTTGTTGCACTCTCAGGCTTTATTTTCTGCTGTGGGAAGCTTCCAAAGGCATAAGACCAGTGGTGTGCTGGAGCTGCCTTCTACGGTCTATTAAAAGCCAGCTATTAAATTTTTAGGAATTTTGCAAGACAGGTTTTAAATGCACATATCAGTTTTTAAAAAATCTACAAAATAAATCTATACTTCCATATCTTCCATATATTATAATAAAAACATGCAATATATACTCAATATTCATTACTTTCTAATTATTCCACCATATTTTAATGCTATTGATGATCTTGTGGTTATTTACATCTGCGTGGGTGATGGAAAAGCTATCCAGTTGTCCCTCATTATCCCTGGAGATAATTGGTTCCAGGATCACTCCCACTAAAACAGAATCCATGAATGCTCAAGTCCCTGATTTAAAATGGCATATTACTTACATGTAACTTATCAATATCCTCCCGTATACTTTAAATCCTCTCTAGAATACTTACAATACTTAATACAATGTACATGCTATGTAAATAATTGTTATGCTTTATTATCTTTTTACTTGTATTATTTTTATTGTATGTATATTGAGTTTATTAGAATATTTTTGATCAGCAGAGGGCTTTTTTATTGTTGTTCTTTCTGGATATGCATGTGTACATACATGTTTTTCCACCTGCTCTACCATATGGAAATAGTTTGCTGACATTCTTCTAGATAGCCTCCAAAACCCAACCAATAAATTTAGCCCATATTATACACAGCAGAAAACAATAGAATTTATTTGTGCTTGCGGCACCCATATACATGGAAGAACTCAATGATGAGTGACTCAAAAGAAGTAATTAGAATTTGGAGCTTATAGATAATACAATTTTAATAGGTGAAAGGGAGAGAGAGAAAGGCACCTAGGGAAAACAGATGACTTTTTGGAAAGATAAATGGGCTTTCAGAAGAAAAAACAGGAGATAAAGTTTGTGATAATGTTTGTCTATATAGTTATGAATGTTTTTTCCTGTTTCCTTCAGGGCCATAATACTCCCCTGGAGAAGGGGTTTGAGGTAGGTTTTATTTACATTTTCCCTTCTGGGATTAGATCTACCCTGAAGTGCAATTTATAGCAGCCTTATTTCCCATAAGTTTCTACTTTTACTCAGATAAAGAAAGCTCTAGGAAGGCTTTTTTTTTTTTTTCTGCATCTGTTGAAAAGTTTTAAATAGTTTACTTAGATACATTTATTAGATTTGAATGAAAAGGTTGGTGTACTTTACTTTTCAAAGTATATACCAATTTTACAATTCTTTCTTCTTTACAGTAAACCTCATTTTTGACAAGTGGTTGGCTGTCTTAGCTTAACTTGAGATATGAAAATATAGGTAGAACATTTTTCTAGCAATCATCTACAAAGATGAAAATTTCCCTCTCAGATAGGCACTTGAACTTTTTCTTAATAATATAAGTACTTTATTGGAGAGTATGTGAACCCTCTTTTCTCAATAGATGGTCTTGTTAAATATATTTTTTAAATATGACAACAAAAGAACACAAGAAACTTTGATAAATTTTATTTTATAAAAACAAGAGTATTTGTTCTGCAAACACAATGTTAAGAAAAGAAAGAAACTGCAGACTGGATTAATATGTGCAAAACAGGTAACTAATACAGACTTGTATTTACAATGTAAAAAGAATCTGAAATACTTAATATGAATATATATATTTTTGAGACAGAGTCTCACGTTGTAACCCAGGCTGGAATACAGTGGCACCATTTTGGCTCACTGCAGCCTCAACTTCCTGGCTCAGGTGATCCTCCTACCTCAGCCTCTCAAGTGTCTGGGACTATAGGCGTGTGCCACCATGCCCAGCTAATTTTTTGTATTTTCTGTAGAGATGGGGTTTTGCTGTGTTCCTCAGGCTGGTCTAGAATTCCTAGGCTCAATTGATTTGCCCACCTCGGTCTCCTAAAGTGCTGGGATTATAGGTGTGCACCCACCCTTAATAAGACTAATTTTAAGAAAACAAACAACCAAATAGAAAATGAGGAAAGGATTTGACAGGTATTTCACCAAACATATATGGATGATAAATATGCATAATAAGAGTCTCAAAATCAGTAGTCATTAGGGAAATACTAATTGAAACCATGAGATACCATAGGTTGTTTGCAAGAATAAACGTGATATACCATTTGTGAAAATAAATTAGAAATTTCTTATAAAGTTAAACATAAGCCCATGACTCAGTAATCCTACTCACAGTATTTAACCAAGGTAAATGAAGACTTAGGTTCATACAAAAACTTGTATGGAAAGGTTTATAATGGTCTTATTTATTATTGTCAAAAACTGGGAAAACCTAAACATCCTTCATTGGTTAATGGATAAATAGTGACATATACATCCAATGAAATACTAGTCAGCAATAGAAAAACCTGATTAATAATATACACACAACATGGATGAATCTCAAATGCATGTGCTAAGTAACAAGAGGCAGAGAGAAAAAATTTTATATGGTATGTTTCTATCTAATGACATTCTGGAAAAGTAAAATATAGGAACGGAAAGCACATTAGTGTTTGCTATGGGCTGGGCGGGCAGGAGGTGTTGACTATAAAGTGCAGCAACAGGGGTTATTTGGGGGGTGATGAACTATTTTGCAGTTTGATTGTGGTCATGGTTTTATATGACTGTAAGCATTTATCAAATTTGACAGGGTGGTACATCAAAAAGTAAAATTTATGTGAATTTGAAAAGTGAATAATAATAACAGTGACAACATTAATCATAAAATCCTAGATGAGTAACAATGCCAAAAAAGTGATATAAAGACGAGAAGAACTTACAGCATTAGCACAAAACATTTTTTAAAAATTTAGGTCTCAGCTTCATTGTTATCTCCTCAGAAAAGTTTTTCCCTGACCATTGAGTATGAAGTATCTACTCGTCATTCTCAATCACAGCATCTTAATTTAATTATCTCCCTTGCACTTAATTCTAATCCAATGTTTTCTCATTTATTTAAGTTTTTATTATTTTTTGTTGTTTGTATTCCTGTGTTAAAATGTAATCTTGTTTTCTGTAATGCTCACAACTGTGAGCTGAGGACGTCGAATAATTCCTGGCATGAAGGATTACTTGATGCACATTGGTTAAATGGGGATAATGTCATTAGTCTTTGAACTGCAATGTAGGAGTTCCAAGTTTTTAAATAAGATTAACATGTCATATAATAAAAAACATTGATCAAAATTGAAATACCAAACAAAAGTCTCTTAAAAGCCACAAGTATTCAATAAATATCAATTTCTTACTAATATGAGTTGGGAAGTAAAACAATAAGGGCTAAAACTGACTAAAATATTTAGGTAGTATCTTTGGAAAAATAGGTAAAAACATATAAAGTATAAAAATGTTTTGAACTAAAAGAAAACTGTTTAATATAAAATCATATATAAGAAGAAAGAAAGAAAAGGCTGTGATTTTTTGCATAATTTGGATAAGAAACTCATCATATAGTTTTCACATTCTTAGAAGAAAAGTGAATAGCTTCAAGATGGCACCAAGAAAGAACTGCACAGATGCCAAATATACAGCTTAGGACACAATCAACTCCTTGCATTAAAACGACATGCCATCATAAGTTGGTTGCAAATTCCTGATTTGGGCAAAAGAATGGATGGCAATATAGAATCCCCCAGTTATGAGTTACTCATTAATTTATTAACTTGTAAGATTAAAATTAAGAAGCAGGACTCAAAAATGTTGTGTTTAGGTTTTTGTCTTAGTATACAAATTTAAGCTTGCTTGTTTGAGAACATCTGTTGTTTTATATATGGACTTTTTTTCTCAATTACCTATCTGTATCAGTCTAACTGTGAATAAGTTGTAGAGAACAGATTGATGTTGCTTCGACCTCTTTACCTAACAATATGACTGCAAAGACTAATTATTAGATGGGAAAGCTGACAGTTTATTCTCTGGAAGGGCTGGTGATTGGGATTGTAATGATCTTGAAAGATATTGTTGCAACTGTACCACTTCCACTGTTCCTACTATTCCTTTTTGCCTCAGATGAGGTGGCTCTGAGATAGGAGTTACAGCAAGGAAGTGTTAACATGATTATTATTACTAAGTTACTTAGCTGAATATGAAAAATGACCCACTGAGGATTTTTATATCTTCTAAGATCTGAGTGAGCCAAAAGGTAATCAAGAACACCCTGCACTGATGTAGAATATGGCCTGCTTTAAGTCCACTTTAAATAGCTATTCATTTTCTCATCCTTTCATTTATCCAGAGGCACTTATGGAATATCCGTGGTGTAACTGACCTTGTTCTAGGTACTTGTTCCCTGTTTTGAGACATCTCCTGGAGATCAAGGTCTTTGGAAATGTGGCACTGCTCTTGCTACTTCATTGTTCTATTCTTGATGTGACATTTTTGACAAAATTTTAAATATTCATTTCTAAAAGATATAATAATTTTGTGGTAAATGAAAATAATATGAAAGCCTTTGCAAAATACTAAGGTCAGTGGTTTTTCTATGTAAAAAATAAAATCATAACTTAGGGGTGGGATAGACAAGGTTCCCCAAAGAAAGTACACATGCTGAACTGTTAAGATGTTTGAAATAAGAAATCTCACTAGCAGTAAGCTGGAAAGAGTAGCGATACTATCTGAATATAGATTGGAACTATTTTAGAATACAGGGTAAAGAATACGGTTTCTTAAAGAAAGAGATTGGTCTTTATATGTTTGTATTTCAAAACGTCAAGCTTAATAAAGAACCAAAACTAGTCCCATTGAGGAATAAGAAGTTGTCTGTTATTTTGCCAGTATTCTAATTATTATATCTATTATATCCAAAAATCACATGATATCTGTACAAAAGAAAAGAAAAAGACAATGAACAATACCTGAACTACAATTCTACATGTCTTTATATATATATATGTATATATATAAATAACAATTTTCTCTCTATAGATTACAATTCTACATGTTTGTATATATGCAAATATATATACATATATGTTTTATATATACACATACATATATATATATATATATATATATATATACACACTACAAAAAGGGAGAATTCACTTCAGAACACAAGCAAATCTCTTATGGTATTGAACACAAATCTGAAGCAAAAAAAGTATCATTCAAAAAATATTTGAGACCGTTAACAAGAAACTTGAGTAAAATGTTAAAACACAAAAAACAAAACAAGATTAATACTCAATACATTGGCCAGCCAAACAATAATATATTTTATGAGATAAATATTTCTTACATATTAAACAATAAATAATAAAAATTAAAATTAACCAGGGGACAGAAATTAAAAAAGAATTACACCTAAGAATGCTTTCAATAGGATTGTTATTGTCAGACTAACATAAAGAAATTAGAAAACTTTGGGCTATTTAATGAGCAGGATATACACATCATTATAACCACTATGCATACATACGTGAGTTCAATTATTTCTCTCTCTGATATTATCAACCTCATTTCATGATGCTAGCAATTATCATAGTAGCTAGCATTTATGTTTACTTACTATGTGTATGTTCTTTATACAGTATAAACGGCATGCCAGATATTCAAATAGCAATGCCACCTTGGCAATTCTGTGATTAAATCTGTGTTTTTTACTAAGGTTCAGAAGCTTTGGAATATTCACAGATGATATACTGTACCTTATATCCTTATAGATGATTAATAAGCATGTTCTACTAAATGAAACAGGATAGAAAGGAATAATTTTAAAATTTGAGTCAAGTATATTTATGTAAATTTAATTCATATATAATTTCTCCTGAAAACTAGGCACTGCTCTTAACTTTACTTAGTATTTTCCTCTTTCCTTGACTCTCTCTATGCTAGACGATTCCTTATTTCTCCATAAAACTAAGAAAACATATGCATCAGCATATCTTACAACCAGTGGATACTAAGAGTTAATTTATTGGCACATTTCATGCAAAATTAATAAGAATGGAGGAGAAATAAGAGCCTGAGTGTATTAAATTTTCCTATTAGACTACTACCTGATTTTTGTAGGCCTAGTCATATATTTCTTGGGGATAGAGCAGGGTATAGGACATATTTATAGCTATTAAATATTTATATTTAAAAAGAGAAAGTAAGTACATAAGACCACTGTTAGAAATTTTAGAATTTGTTAGTTAAAAAAAAAAGAAACTTTAAGAAACAGCTGTTTTTGTTTATGGTTTCATTCTTCCAGGAGATAAATCAGATTTAGTGTGGATCTGTGAAAATAGCATTGGAAGTGGAATCAGCAAGCCTCAGTAGGAGCTCTAAACCCTTCAGGAAATTACTGAAAGTTTAGTCAGGGTGCTTTACTTCTCTAAGCCTCAGTTTTCTTATATTTTATACAGAAATGATTATTTTTGTTCTGAGAATCTTAGCTAGTTATTATGAATAATGATAATAATATAAATGAATAATAGAAATGGAAACTTCATGCATTATAAAATACTACAGTAGATTCAGAGCAAGTTAAATAATAAAGCTGATTGAGAAGTTTTGCTGAAAGTGTAGCCTTCCTGGTCCAGAATACACCAGCTGAAATGTCTACTCAGAGAAGCTATAGACAGAGTAACTAAAAGGGTATATATCATTCTTAGGTCAAGAAGGGAAGCCAGAAGTCAAGGCCACAGAAGACACAGGAAACATCATTTCCAAAGTGGGAGACAAAGCTGTTAACAGGAAATTATTTGTAAAGTCAAGAGCCAAGCAAAACAGAAAAAGGACAAGAAATCTATCACCTGTGGGTATGAATGGTTCTAGGGAAGTCTGTTGACAATTGGAGGGTCTCAAAGGCGCTTTATGGTACTTATTTTATGACCCTGAGTCTGGAGTCTGATGAATTAAAGAGGAAATTCTGCTCTGGGCAACATTTAAGAGATAGTATCTCCAGGCAGTAACTTTCGTATTAACTCTCATAAGATTGATGCCATTCTGTCATCTAAAGTGTGGACAAAAGTAGCATTAAAGCAAAATGAAAGGATATACTAATCTTTGCATAGTTAATTTATAGCAATGCGATCTTTTAATCTATGTTTTTCTTTTTGGTCTCCTTGGAAAGCATGGTCATGCAGAGCAGTGGTTCTCCAAACTTTTCAGCACCAGGGACTGGTTTTGTGGAAGGCAACTTTTCCACATTCTGGGGTGAGGATGGGGGATGGTTTCAGGATTCAAATGCATTACATTTATTGTGTACTTTCTTTCTATTATTATTACATTGTAATATATAATGAAATAATTATACAACTCACTATAAGTGGGACCCCTGAGCTTGTTTTCCTGCAACTAGATGGTCCCATCTGGGATGATGGGAGACAGTGACAGATCATCAGGCATTAGATTCTCATAAAGAGCAGGCAACCTAGATCCCTCACATGCACAATTCACAATAGGGTTCATGCTCCAATGAGCATCTAATGCTGCCACTGATCTGACAGGAGGCGGAGCTCAGGTGGTAATGCCAGTGATGGGGAGCTGCTGTAATACAGATGAAGCTTTGCTCACTTACCCACTGCTCACCTTCTGCTGTATGGCTTGGTTCCTAAGCCGTACGGGCTATGCACTGGTACTGGTCAATGGCCCGGGGGTTGGGGAACCCTGATGCAGAGTTTACCTGTAGATTTAAAATAATCTATACCCCACAATTTTATTTTAAGATGAATGCTTCAAGATTACAAGCCAATTAATTTAGCCACATAGGGCACTTATTTTAGTAAGACAAAAAAAAAAATGACAACACAAAAACACCAAACTCCTTTTATTTTTAGAATCCAACAACTATAAACTTAAGTACACAGACAAGTTTTATATTTTTATCCAGTCAGAAAGCAAGTTCATGATGTTGGTTCTAGACATTAAAACTATTGGTTGTTACCAATCACATGAAATAAAAATAATATCAGCAAATATATGAGTTAAAGAATTATACTTTATTAGGTACTAAAGGCCACATAAAGAAGGTCAATGCGATAGTTCTGCTTCTCATTTTAAAGAAAATACAAACAATTCAAATGTCAGTTCAAGCTAAAAGAGAAAAAGCACAAGACTGCACATCATTAATTACTTTGTAAAAAAAAGTACTCAAAACATTTTGCATTCCTAGCAGCCAATTATAAGAGTTCCGATTGCTTTTCATTCTCATCAGCATTTAATACTATCAGTATACTTTAGTCATTCTTATAAATCTAGTAGTGGAATCTCACTTCAGTTATAATTTGCATTTCTCCAATGACATTAAATTGATGTTCTTACATTGAACATCTTTTCATGTGTTTATTTTCTATCCATATATCCTCTTTAGTGACGTGTCTGTTCAAGTCTTTTGCCCATTTTTTAGTCAATTGTTTCCTTCCAGTAAAAAGTGTAGTGAGTATATATATTTTCTAACAAACTCTTGGTTAGATATATGCTTTCAAAGTATATTTTTCTTCTCTATAGCTTGTCTTTTAATTTTCTTACTAGGGCCATTAATGAGGGAAACATTTTTAATTTTCATAAAACCCATTTATCAATTCCTTTTCTTTTATGTGATGTGTTTTTGTGTCATCTTTAAGAGCTCTTTACCTAACCATAGATTATAATGATTTTCTTCTATGCCTTCTCCTAGAAGTTTGAAGTATTACATTTCATATTTAGATCTGATCCATTTTTGAGTTTTTTTTTTTGTATATGGAAAGAGCTTTAGGTTGAGATTCTTTTTTTTTGCATATGGTTGTCCAATTGTTCTAACATTATTTATTGACAAAATTCATTCTCTATTGAATAGTTTTTGCACCTTTGTCAGAAATCAATTGGACATATTCGTGTAGGTCTGTTTCTTGACTTCATTTCATTGATCTATGTGTCTATCTTTTCACCAATACCACAATATCTTGATTACTATAGCATTATGCTAAGTCCTAAAATCAGATAGCATCATTCTTCCCACTTCATTTTTCCTTTCCAACATTGTTTTTCCTGTTCTATTTCTTGTGTCTTTTCAAAGAGATTTTAGAATCAGATTCAGAGTTGCATCCCTTTGAGCTTCTAATCTCCTTTTTTTTTTTTCATTCTAAATTTCTACAGTATTCATTAGGTGAATTGACTACAAAATGGACTGCACTGAAAACACATCACATGATTTCATCGAGGAGATAGGAAACTTGAATCCTTACTAATGAGAAGGAAGTTAAGTCATATTAATAAAACTAATAATATATCAAAGTGATTTTCAAAAATTGCACTTAAGTATTAAAATTTATCCCAGGAGATATACTACAGAATAGTTTCCTGAAACATGAGAGTTGTTTTTTAAGAAGGGAAATTATGAAACGCTTGTATGCTAGAATAAAAAGCTCTGTTAATAACAGAACAAAATGAACATTTAAAAAATGTTTGAAAGTACTGTGAACCCCTAGGGAGCTTATGTGTATGAGAAGAGAGGAAAGAGTAAGAAAGGGAGGGGCTTCCAGTAAATTGACTGAAGGAAAAGTACTAGCCATTTAATCTGCCAAACTAAACAGGCATCTGATGTCCAACAGCTTTGGGAACATTGATCCCCTTATTGCACTGGAGCCCTTGAGTCATTTGCAGAGATTTGATGACTTGCTTTATCGCCCCCTGGAGACATATAAATAGAACAACAAGTGCTTTCCCTGAGAAGATTATTAAGGGAAGTGAAGGGTATTTTTGACAAAGAAAAGTACAGAAATAATAAAGGCCAGATTACTTACTATCTACCTATCTATCTATCTATCTATCTATCTATCTATCTATCTATCTATCTATCTAGTTATATATATATATATATATAGTTATATATATTTTTTTGAAATGGAGTCTCACTCTGTCACCCAGGCTGGAGTGCAGTGGCTTGATCTTGGCTCACTGCAACCTCTGCCTCCTGGGTTCAAGCAATTCTCCTGCCTCAGCCTCCTGGTAGCTGGGACTACAGACACATGCAACCATGCCTGGCTAATTTTTTGTATTTTTGTAGTAGAGACGAAGTTTCACCATGTTAGCCAGGATGGTCTTGATCTCCTGACCTCGTGATCCACCCGCCTCAGCCGCCCAAGGTGCTGGGATTACAGGCATGAACCACTGTGCCTGGCCATACTTTATCTATTTTTAACTATCGCACCTTTTTAGCTGTCATTCAGCTTGGTCCATGTGATGTTTTACTAGATAGACTAGGACATATAAGCAGAGATATTTTAAAGAAATATGCAAATGAATCTTTCCTGGAGAAGCAAAGGTTAAAAATAAAAATAAAAAAACAGTAAACTCTGAGCATACTTTAAATTTTCAAGTACTGTAAAGCCCCCTTTACATAATGTCCTAATATATCGTATCCTCACATAAATTTTTCTGAAAATCAGTGTAGGCATAATTTTGTGATTAGATTTTTTTTCTCACAGGAAGCAGAAAGTACATAGTTCATTTTTCCACTTTGTAAGTACTATTATACATACACAAACGTTTTCAGGCAATGGTAACTTTCATCCTTGTTTTTCTAACCCTCTTCTCTTTTGCTCTGCAGAGATTAGTTATAAATAAAGAACATATAGCCAGCTACATTACATTCCTAGATGCCTGAGTTTCTATCAATAGTGCAATTTTTTGATGAAACACATAGAAAATATCAACATGGCAAACTCTGAGATGTTACCTGGCGCCCTTCCACCAAAAAGGATTTCTACCTCCTTTTCAAGACTGATTCATCTCTAGTTCACAAACAATCTAGCACTGAAATATTTCAGGTACCCACTCCTCTGAGGTCATTGTAAAAGCGAAGAATGAGACAACACCATATAAAAGAAAATTGTGTCACCTTTTCAGCAAATAAAAAGTTCAGTCTCAATTTCGTGCTGAAGTATGAAGCACAGTCCCTGAAGAGACAGCCAGTTTGGTTTGTTATAGCAGGATTTGTAACTGTGGAGGTGGAAAACTTTTTCAATCTATGAAAGATATTGTGAAACATTTACTGTGAAAAAGCTGGAATAATACCAACCAAAAGCTATAAAAGTAAGAGGGGGGAGGCTTAATTTGAGAAGTTTTACACTCTTTTATAAGAACGGCTCCATTATTCTTAATACAGACAAAGGTTGAGTCAAGTTTGTGATGCAGTAAATGAAAAGTTCAGCTCATCTCTTCAAGCGAATCCATACAGATTCACAGCATTCGTTTCTCTCCCTGTTCTTCCTTGCCCTGCACTTCTTCATTTTGATTAGCTCGTTCCCTTAACTGGTGAAGCAAACATTTGTCCTTCAAGTCCAATAAGTTCTAACTGTCATTAATCACAAGTTTCTTTAGTGAGTGTTTAAAAATTCTAATCAGGAGGGGAAGAGTGCTAAAGAGAAAATACGTGGCACTCTCCAGAAGAGAATCAGGGTCAAAAACTAGACAGCTAAGTTTGGAAGTCTCAGATAATTGAAAAACAAACAAACAAAGAAACAACAATCAAACTATAGCTCTCATAGTTTTGTTTTCAAATAGATGTATACATTAAAAAGTCACTTATGTTCCTTTTTTGTGTAGATTAATTTGGGTAAACTGATTGAGTGTATAAATTGAATTCTGTCCCCTTTGTCTAGCCTGCACGCCATCTTTAATGGTAGTAAAGATGTATGAGGCATTAAACAAGAGGCGATAATTTTAGAGAAGAAATCAAATGTCAGAGATTTCAAGAATTAAAATGCCAAACACAAATTAACATTTACAATTTTTCTGTATCTTCACACACAGATTATTATTTAGTAGTTATAATTCTATTAGTGCCTAAGTCTTAGGGGCTGACAATTAGGCTCTAAGGGAGGCATAGTATAATTAGAGTCATGGACTAGTGGAGTCAGGATTACCTCTACTTTAGCTGGAATCTCTTTATGATGTATGAATAGCCAGAATAAGAGGCATTTGAATATCCAAATATTTCATGTGTAGGCATATTTCTAATCCCTTTACAAGGCACCCCATGTAAGCTTCTATTTCTTTTCCCATTTCATTTCAGCCATCATTTATTGAGTTCTATTAGGCATTAGGTAAATATCAGGCTGTGTTAATACAAAGAAGAATACAAATGCTTTTAAGGAATCTCTGTCATTAGGAGAAAGGAGTAAAAAGAGAGAGGGGCATAAAGTAGTATTTTATTGCAATATTCAAAGTGTCATTAAAGGGTTGTATAGGATATCATGAAAAATAGATGAATTGTGTTTAACCTTACAAAGGAGAGGTGTTAGAAGACTCTCTGGAGGAGGTGACATATGGTGCTGAGTCTTAAAAGACAGGGTGTTGATTACCAGGGGAAGAGAGAATGGCATGAGTATGTCTATTTAAGGCAGATGGAAGAGTTTGGATAAAGGCATGTAATCATGGCTTAGTATGATGTGTTTAGTGCTTTCTAAATAGTTGTTATTGCTAAAGTGCAAGGCACACGGGAGGAGGCAAAACTAAAAAGCAGATGGGATGAGGCCATGCAAATCATCATATGCACATTAAAAATTTTAAGTTTTTAGATAAGTTGGAAGTATTGAAGGATTTTAACCAAGTGAGTAATATCAGGTCTATGTTTAAGGTAAATCAATCAATTGGTAAAGTGGAGAATGTATCTGAAGGGTATAGAAGACAAATATCAGAAGTAGATTCGAACATCCTAGGCCAAAGACGATGAAGGTCTAAATTGGAAGGTTGGATCCAGAAATAAGTGGTTGCCCAGATTTGATGCATAATAATTAAACAAAATTGACAAGACTTGTAGATTATATATACAGGTAAAGGTAAGGTCCTTATAAACAAAATACCTGAGATTTCTCACTAGGTGTCTGAATTGTTGGTAGAGCTATAAATTAACGTGGGATTTAGAAGGGAAATGATAAGTTCCATTTTAGATATCTTGAATTTAAGAAACTCCTGAGACATAAAAGTGGAGAGGTTCAGAAGTAGAGTAGATATACATGTTTAATTTTCTCAAGAGAGATCCTGGTTAATGCTGAGTTTTGAAAACGTAAGAACATACAGCTAGAGTTAAGGTAAAAAATGTGGTGATCTTTCAAGGAGAAATTTAGTATAAGAAAACTCACTCAGTGGAGAGGAAAAAGTTGAGTGCACTAGCTTTTAAGAAATAATAGAGTCAAAGTAAATTAAGATTATTTAGAAACAAATTACAGGAGTTTGGTGTTACAGAAGTGAGAGAAATAAAATGTTTTAAGCAATAGAGAATTATCCATAACATTAAAAACAGCAGAGGGAGAAATAAAAATTAAGACTGAAAATGTCTGTTGCATTAAGGAGTCAGCATTGACTGGGTTAGGAGCACAGGAACGCCCCATTTTATTGTGCTTCACACATACTGTGTTTCATCTAAATTGAAGGTTTGTGGCAACCCTGAGTTGAGTAAGTCTGTCGGCTCCATTTTGCTGATAGCATGTGCTCATATTGTGTCTCTGTGTCATATTTTGGTAATTCTTGAAATATTGGAAACTTTTTCATTGGTATTATATATATTTTAATGATCCGTGATCAGTGATCTTTGATGTTACTATTGTAATTGTTTTGGGGCACCACAAACTGCATCCATGTAAGAGAGAAAACTTAATCAATGCTGTGCATGTTTTGACTGCTCCACCGATTCACCTTTCCCTCATCTCTTTCGCTCTCTTTGGGCCTCTGTATTACCTAAGATGCAGCGATACTGAAATTCGGCCAATTAATAACTCTACAATGGCCTCCAAGTGTTCAAATGAAAGGAAGAATCATGCACCTTTCACTTTCAGTCAAAAGCTAGAAATGACTGAGTTTAGTGAGGAAGGCATATCAAAAGCCAAGGTAGACAAAAGGCTAGGCCTCTTGCACCAAACATTTGGCCAAGTTGTGAATGCAAATGAAAAGTTCTTGAAGGAATTAACAGTGCTACTCCATGAGCTGCTCATGGAGCAAGGAGTAATTTTGACTTTCCACTCTTATTACTGAAGAAATACATTTTGTAAAGTGATGGTTGCCATAGATAGTGATTCCTCGGATGAATCTGGGTAAATTTAAAATCTTCTGGAAATAATTCACCATTTTAGATGCTATTAAGAATATTTGTGATTCCTGGGAGGAGATCAAAATATCAACATTAATAAGAATTTGGATAAAGTAGATTCCAACCCTTATGGTTGACTTTTAGGGGTTTAAGGCTTCAGTGGAGGAAGTAACTGCAGATGTGGTAGAAATAAAAAGAGAACTAGAGATAAAATTGGAGCCTGAAGATGTGACTGAATTGCTGCCATCTCATGATTGAACGCATGAGGAGATGCTTCCTATGGATGAGCAAAGACAGTGGTTTCTTGAGACAGAATCTACACCTGGTGAAAATCCTATGAACATTGTTGAAATGACAACAAAGGATTTAGAATTTTACATTAACTTAATTGATAAAGCAGTGACCATGTTTGAGAGTATTGACTCTAATTTTGAAAGTTCTACTGTGAGTAAAATGCTATCAAACAACATAGCTTGCTACAGGAAATCTTTTGTGACAGGAAGAATCAATGGATGTGACAAATATTATTGTTTATTTTCAGAAATTGCCACAGCTCCCCCATTCTTCAATAACTATTACCCTGATCAGTCAACAGCCATCAACACTGAAGCAAGACCCTCCACCAGCATATCATTGTTGTTTATTTTCAGAAATTACCACAGCCACCCCATCCTTCAGTAAGCATTACCCTGATCAGTCATCAGCCATTACACTGAAGCAAGACCCTCCACCAGCAAAAGGATTATGACTTGGTGAAGGCTCAGATGATCATTAGCACTTTTAGCAACAAAGTATTTTTAAATTAAGGTATGCATATTTTAAAGACATCATGCTATTGCCTACTTAATATTAGTGTAAACACAAATTTTATATGCACTGAGAAACCAGAAAGTTCTTGTGATTCATTTCATCTGCAGTCTAGAACCGAACCCCTGGTATCTCTGAGAAATGCCTGACACTTTCAGTGGAGGCAGAAGCCAGGTTGCTGTGGATGCAGAAAGGAACAGCATGAGGAAGGCAGGCTGCCATGATACAGGCAGACTGCATTGTCAAAAATTTAGCATAAGAAGGATGTATGACATGATATCAGTGAGGCAAAGGAAATGTAAACCATTTGTAAATTATGTCATTTTTCTGCTACCTAATATCCAAAGTTTAAAAATTAAAGTACATTTATTTGGTACATGAGCTTTTCTATAAAATGTAACCTTCCACCAAGAGTGGGAAATACAGTGAGCTATGTAAGCTGTCATTGCCACAATATTGGTTTTATTTTACCCTTTTGTGAAAGTTCATTTTGATATTGCTGATAGAGGGGGTTGAAAATAATTCTACAAAATCTTGACGCTGTGCTTTTGAATTAATTCGAGTCTTCTTTTTGAAAATCTGAGCCTGTGAGACCAAGCTATACTTTTTCAATATTTATTAAATTACATTTCTAAAATCTAGGAACTATAGCTGGCTATAATGGATATCCCTATTGGTTAACACAAAGACGATGTGTTTGATTTCTTACAAGTTTTTTTTTTTTAATTATCACTTCAAGAAATATATACTTGGCAGCCAGAACTGGATTCAGAGTAACATGTTACCTTATTACTCCCTCTGCTTGTTAATAGATGAAAGTCAAGTCCACAATTTGTCATACGCTTGATACCCCTAGCTAAAGTGAATCTCATTATCCCCATTTTGCTCTTCTTTCTATGCAATTCTGTTTCTAACCCTCACTCATCACAAACCCCTCTCAAACCTCAAATTTAATGTTAATATTATCCAATCTGTTTTAGTTGGAGTGGTCTGTCATTGTTTTTACATAATACTACTTTAATTTATCTAAACTTATTTTTTAAAACTTGTTTAAAAGAGGCTTTTTATATAGAAAATAAAAATATAAAACAACTTGTCAATCTTCCATTATGGTCTATATTTATTTATTTATTTGGTCTGGTAAAAAACTCCTCCCATATTCTCTGGCTTAATGTTTACTTCTAGTTTTTTTTTTTAAAAAAAAAGGTTAAAGGGAATGGAAGTGACTACAAAGAATAAGAAAATTTTTTAAGGGGATGGTAATGTTCTACGACTTCATTGTTGTGATATCCTGTACATTGGTAAAACTCATTGGCTGTACCTCAAAAAAATACATTTTAGTGTCTGTGAGAGTATGCTTAAATAAATCTGAATTTTAAAATTGCCTCTTAAATTTAGATAATTAATATGGATATTAAAAATATGTGTAGGCTATTGACAGAGAAATTGTCCTACCAAATATTAAACATATTATAAAAGTGCAATGAAAGCGTTATAGACGTGACTCATGAATTGATTAACAATAAAACTGGCTAGATAGATACAGACCTATATAAATGTAATAATGCATGCAATGAATAAGACTTTAGTTTAAAATTAAAAAAAATGAAAGCAAATATGTTGGGAGTCAGTTTGCCTCTGTTAGAATCCTAGCTTCACAATTTCTGTCATGTGATATGGGGGAAAAGATTCAAACTGTCTATCACTCAGTTTTCTCATTAGTTAAACAACAATAATTCCTATTTCACAGGGACCATGTAGAGATTAAATAAGATAATACACATAAAGCAAAACTTCTTAACCTGTGATCCAGTAACACCCATGAGGTCCATGGGTAGGCATTAAGGGCTTGGAATTTTATGGAAAAAATTACATCTTCATTTTGATAAGCTGTGACTGAAGTGTACTATTTCCTCTATCATGAATGTAGGCAGCAAACCACAGTAGTATTAGCAGGAGCTATGGTGTTACCGTTAGAAATCAGATATTTTTATACACTACATTACTGTTTTTGTAAATATCTCAAAATCTTGTTTGATATTAGCCAACATAATAGTGTTATTAGCTCAACTTTCAGAACATATATTGTTGAATACATAGCCAAATATAAGGCAACTCTATACCTAGTAGCATTTCCTCCACCAAGTGATGAAGTCCCATTGTCTTGTATCAGTGACCCAAACACCTACACTGTTTTACAGTTCTCTGTATGTATACAATTGTTTGTTGATCAATACAGGGAAGAACAGATAAGTTACTTTTATCATTTGTCCAAATTTTGCAAAACTGAGCAATTTAAATGAGAATTGTCCATTCTGGGAAGGTAGTGTGTCATTTTTTAAGATAGGCATTCATGTAAGCTACACTATCAGCTTATATATTTATAGCTCTGTATTTGTGATTCCTCTTCATTTCAGCGCCTGCTGATTTCTCTTCTTCCGTTTAAACTTGGTTAGTATTCACTTACTGTTTTTATTTTACTTATGAAGCATTTCCAAGTATTTTACAGGAATGGGTTAAAATATTATCTTAGTGTGCCATATTTTCAGACCCAGAAGAACTTTCATTGTTTTATAACACATAAAAAATTCTTTATTGAATTTCAGGTTTTGTGGATTTTCATTCAGTTGGACTTTTTTTTTTTTTTTTTTTGAAACATGCAACTTTATGAATCGCTTGTCTTCCTTGAGGTCCGTTTCTTTTGAAATATGTTTCCTTTTCTGTTTTCCTCCTCTGGTCATGAGGTACTAACTCTTATGGGCTATTCACCCCTTTGCTGAGAAAAATATAAATGTATAGGTGATATCAATTTGGAATTAGGGCATATTTGGTTTTCTGTAAATCTTTTCTCTAGCAAATAGAAACTTTGAAAACTATTGTTATTATTATTTTCAAAACTTTTCAAAACTTTTAACAATCTTTCATTACCAAACCCCACGTAGGGCCAACTCTAACCTGGCTAACAGCAAAAACAGCATCACTAACAAGATCAAGGATGGAGGTGCAGACCCCAATAAAGATTGTCTCTTAAAAAAAGGATTGGAAATATATATATACATATGCATGAGTACTTTTTAAAAAACTAAATCTTTCCAGTGTTGCAGAAAAATATCTCCCAAAGTGATTTCAGTTGATAAAAAACAGCATTTGGTAGTCTGTGCTGCCTTAAAAACCCCAACTTGAGATAACCCTAGGAGAAAAATCACCCCCACCCCATAAAGATGAAATTCCCTTTTCTCCTCTTTCTTGTTCAAATTTCACTGCTTATTCCACCAACACCCAAAGAATAACAAGACCCAGCTCACTTCTCCCGGCACCTGTCTGATAAGGTTCACAGCAAGGGCTATTCCTTAAGTATCTTTGCCTCTACTACAGTCAGGAAATTGAGCCCTAATTTCTGGGCCAGATTCTGGAAACTTGCAAAACATCCTTATGCTTCGAGAGGCCTGAGGACTCCTTCAAAGATCAAGGGCCAGCGGACCTGGCAGAGACTGGCATGCCTGCCCTGCAGGGCTGGGACAAGGGGACTTTTCTCAGCAAAAGCACCCCAACACCTGTCACTGAAAGTCTAACGAGGCTAAACCATGGAGCAGCAGGCACCAAACTAGGGCTGTGCCTAAAAGGTGCACATCTCCCCTCTTTAGCCATAAACGCAAGGGAGATAAAGAGAATCAAGTGAGTATTTGACCTCATTGTTATTTTTAATTCTATAAATCTGAGGGCATTCCTAAGAAAGTATTCCTTGCTGAGAAGGCTCTCAAAGAATCCGATTCTCTACATCACAAATGTGGAATCTGGAATATTCGTGTGCCTGGTGAAGTTAGCAAATACCCAATCCTCCCTACCAATGTTCTCTCACATAGATTAGAAAAAGCAAGATTTCAGTTCTTTGAGCTACCTTGAATTTTTTTGTCTTGTGGAAGCCGACTGTGACTGTGAGAATGTTCTGAGTCATCCCTAATCCACGCATCATGGGAAGATATTTTTCTTGTTCTTTTAAGCATTTTTTTCCTAAAAAATATGCTTTCTTGTTTCTGCGCTCCTTTGCTGTTTTCATCTAAAATTTTTAAATCTGTGAATTGTATCCTGACAATATCATAAATATGTAAATAGGTTTATAGACTATCTCAGCATTCTAAATTGTCAGGAATAAAATACCACTGACAGATTTAGCATCCCACACAGGCAAAAGCATTCTTTAGTAACAAGGAAGAACTTTACCATATGGCACCCCGCTAGGTGGTGGAATACAAAGGTCTTCCAAAGTACTTATTATAATTCGTATACCATGAGAAGCTGACTAATGTTTTATTTTCTTTTTAATCAGAGATCTACTCACTGTCATGTCTTTCTTCCTGCCTGCATCTTCTAACTTTGGACATAAACTTCCTAATAAGCACCATCACAAATCTTTTCTCAGTTGCAAAAAGAAAATACAATAGGAGTCCTGAACCAATTAAATGAACATCATGAGTAGAAGAGAAAGAAATGTGTAAGATAGATGGAGATTGCTACCAAATGTTAACAGCCACAGGAAGACAAAAGGTAAAGAGCAAAAAGGTCACTGAACAAATATTTTAATAATGCTTTCTTTGAAATTCCATCAGTTACACATTATTACCTTTACCATGCTGCAGAAACTCAGGAGGGATAATGTGAACAGTATTATTTATAATACAACAAACCTCAACACCTCTAGGACACACATTAGCTTCTAAGCATTTTGCCATGTATTGCCTTATTTTCTGACTTTAAAAGTTGCTTTTCTTCAACACAAAATATCTATGTGTAGAATAAAACTAATATTAATGTAATAAAGGGTGTTTCTCATTGTCAGCTCAGTAGAATGAACTTCATAATAATATTATTAACATTATTTAATGCATTCTATGCACAGAGACTATATTAAATGATTTACATGTTTTTATTTAGTTCATCCTCATAGCCAAATGTGACGTAAATGCCATTAATTTCTCTGTTTTATAGAAGAAAAACAACTTAAAACATACAGAGTTGAAATAACTAGACCAATGTCATGTATGCAGTAAGTAAGCTTCTGAGATTTAAATGTAAATGTCATACTCTTAAACACTGCTGTACTATTATGTTGGTGCAAAAGTAATTGTGGTTTTTGCCATTAAAAGTATGGCAAAAAAAAAAAAAAACTGCGGTTACTTTTGCACCAACCTAATACCTCTTTAATTTACCAGTATTTCATTTAATTTTATATAAAAGAACGGTGTGGTGATACACCAAAGCCATTTCAAAATGGCATAATTCTATATTATACTATAGACTATTAAACACAGAAGCACATATAGTATTGAAATCCTTTCCTCTGGTTAAGGCTGTACATTATGTCATCGTGAAAACAGTATTCAATTGTGAGGAAGAAAAAAAAAAACAGGAATTAAGGATTCTTACTGTTACAAACTGACCGTGTGATCCAGGGTAGATTATTTATCCTCTACCTCTTTTCATCTGAAAAATGGGATGCACAGAATATATGTAGGTAATTAATTTGAAACCTAAAGAGTTTTGTTTTTTCTCTAATCTAACCAATTTCCAGAACACTGTAGTGTCATAGTTGTTGTTTGCTCTACAGATTGTCATGGGAAGCCACAGAAATATGCAGTACTGAAAGCCTACTCATGTCTTGTCTGTCTTAGGCAACCAGAACCCTTCAAGCACAAATGCTTTCGTTTCTTACCCCTGGCAGATCCAATTGCTCACTGTAATTTAGGAGGTAGAAGGGTGGACAGAGGTAGATACAAGATAACATTTCTACCACGTTTATAGTAGAAGTTTTATATCCTTTGAGATCTAATACAGGCCTATACATTTGAGCCATGATTTATTTTATATTTCAAAGTCTTTAACACTGAGAAATGCAGATAATTGTATGTAAAACTAAATAACATGACGTTCCTACTGGGAAATACATGTTCATACCAATTTGCAATCCTTTGAGGATCCCCTTCAGACCTTTTTGGTGTCATTAGGCTTCCATGGTTATTAGATGTGAGTTACTGCTTCACAGTTCTATGCTGGCAAACAGATTTTTTTTTTCATTGTTGTGCTGTGTGTGGATGGGGGTGGGTGGGAGGGGAAGTGGGGTGATGGAACCAACTAATACATAAGACTAGTCACATAAAACCTCAGTGACTGCAGAAAAAAAGTGAAAAATATCTGGAATCCTGAATGTTGCCTTTGCATTATCTTTGAATGTGAATGGATAATTTGTTTAACCTAATGGTCTGTGATACAATCTGGAAGCAAGAGAAAGGTAAAAGGGACCTACTTTCAAAACATAGAAAATTCTGAAAACTCTCCCTTTTATTTCTATATACAGAATTTGACCACTTCTTGTCTCTTATCTCCTTATCTCTTTACCTTCACCTGGGTGAATCTTTCATTACCTCTGACTTGTAATACTAAGCCCAATCTAGCAACCAGAGTGAGCTTGGTGAGGTGTAAATCTCACCCTGTCGCTCCCCTCCTCAAAATCGTGATGGCTGACATTACTTATATGTGGTATCTGAAAAAGTTCAACTCACAGAAGCAGACAGTAAAATGGTGGTTACCAGAGGCTGGAGTGGGGTGGGAGTCTTTGGTCAAAGAACAAAAAATTTCAGTTAGATAGGAGGGGAAATGTTCAAGTGATCTATTGGACAACATGATAACTACAATAAACAAAAATGTACTGTATTCCTGAAAATTGCCAAAGGAGTAGATTTTAAATATTTTCATCACAAAAAATAAATATGTTAAATAATGTATATGTTAATTAGCACAGTTAAGCCCATTCACTATGCATGCATCTTTCAAAATATTATGTTTTATAAGATAAATATTTACAATTATTTTCAATTAAAAATAATTAAAAAAAAACTGTGATGGTGTTCCAAGTCGCTGGGTGGTGGTGGGGGTTGGGGTGTGGAAAGCCAAAGTCCATTCAATCTGCAGAGACAAAGCATTCATTTGCTGACTTCAGTGCCTACTCATGTCCCGTTGGTTTTTGCTGCAGCCATGCTGGCCTCCCGATTGTTTCTCAAATCTTTCAGCTTCCTCCCATTTCAGAGACTATCCTTGCTGGTCTTTCTGCCAGGAACAGTTTTCTCTTGGATACCTGCAATGGAATACACTCTCACCCTATTCAGAATAGGGGCATCTCTTTGCTTGCTATGCCTTTATCATCTCATTTTAAAAAATTACCCTTCCATTAAATATATTTGTATATACATATTAACATTCTCAAAAAATGGAAACACAGCTTGAGTTTATGGTATTAAAATTGGGGTAGATACATTCTATTATCTATTCTATTATCTATACTAAATATAATAGCACTATTTATTTTCCTCTTTATGACCGGTAAATGAGATAAGATGTAATTGGTATCTATTGATTTTTCCATGTTCAATGTGATACTAATTAAATTTAAATATAGTTGAAAATATTTCCTTGCAGGAAATAGTCGTTGTCTCTGGGTTGCAGGATTAAAAGTGACTTTTGTTTCCCTCTTTAATTTTTTCTGGGTTTTAAAAGTTTATGACAGACTACACATTTATTATGTTTATTGTTGTTGTATTAACAATTTATTTGTTTTTGTTTTAATAAATAAAGGGTCATTTTTGAAAAATAAAATTGTACTAATGGTTTGTATAAAATAAATAGATATACTGTTTTCTTTTCTGCCCCATGCTCAAGGTTACTCTTCAGGAGTCATGGCTTTATTCTTTTTGCTTTGTTTTTGTTTATCTCCATTGTACAAAATAATATGCATATCTTGACATTTGCTGATGCAGTCATTTAAATCACTGTTTATTGATTTTCTTTTATGAAAGACCGCATTTCCCTTTCTTTCATACCACCCTTCCAAATTCCCACCTACTTTCTTTAAAAAGCTCAATAAAATTTTTTGGTTAACTTGATTGTAAATTTGTATATTATAGGACAATATAAGTATTATCTAGTAGTAAGAAAATTGCCTACAAGGTGGAAGTTTTATTACCTGTGTAACTTATTTTCCCTGAAATTAATATTTGCTTCATGTTTTATTTGCTTAGTTTCCAATGTACCCATTTTTACTCATTATAAACCTGTCAACAACATTATTTTGCAAAAGCTCAATTCCACTAGAGATTTTATCATTTCCACTTTTTCCTGAGTGTCATCTTTCATCCTATCCTGCGAGCCTGAGGCATTTGTTTTCTAAAACTGCTCTGTCCATAATTGCATAACTAGCTGTGTTGTTTGGAGTTTCCTGTATTTTAAAGACGTCTCCTTCTTCTCTCTTCTTGCTAAATCTTTTTACCTCATTTAGTTTATCCTCTTGTTTTTTGGATCACATGTTCTAGTAGCTCTGTAAAAATCAGAAAAATGGGCAATATGTTTCTTAAAACTTTACATATCCAAACATAAATTTATTTTGTCCTTCCAATTAACAAGCTAAATGCAGAATTCTATTGAAAATCATGTCCTTTCAGAGTTGTGAGGACAATGCATTAATCTATTGTTTTCTGGCTGTTATTATTGAGAATTTCTGAAATACTGTGATTCCAATTCTTTTATATAAGATCTTTTCACTCCAAATATTTTAGGAACTTTTTGCTATCCTTGATATGCTGAAAAATTTAAATACTGTGCTTTAATTCAGGATTTCTTTATTGTGCAGGACCGTTTGTTAGCTCTTTATGTTCAGAGACACATGTCCATAATTTATAGGTAATATTGTTGTATTATTTATTTGATAGTTTTTTCCACCTGTTTTTATCAGTCTGATTTTCTTTAATTTTTGTCATTGAAATACTGAAACTTTTAAATAGTCTTTTCAAATTTCAAGATTTTTTTTTAATTTCCATAGCTTTAATTTTTGAGCATTTTTCTTGACTTCATCTTACATCCTTTCCTTTCTTATTTCAGTGTTGTATTTTTAATTCCCAACAACTATTTTACTTGATCTAATTGTCCTTTATTCTTCTTATTTTACCAATGTAATTTTTATTTTTCTCTTCTTTTGTTGTAGCTTGGTAAGTTTCTACATGAGCTGGCATTAGCTTTTTAGATAGCTCAGTCCTTGCCATACTTCAGGTCTTAGCTTAAAAGACATCACCTCAGTTTTCTTTATAGCAATTCAAATTTGAATTTTGAATTAATCATTTTTTACTTGTTTATTATCTCTTTACTGCTGCTAATATGTTTTATGATGACAGAAACTATCTTTTGCTTATAACTGGGTACCCTCAGTCATGTGTAATGCCTGGTGCATGATAAATATTGGTTAGGGTTGATGAGAAAGGAAATGGTGTACAGTAGGAAAGAATATATTGGGTAAAGTAATAAGTGCACAAAATGAATGCTATAATAGTAGAATTTGAATGTGCTAAATTAGTGGATATAGGAAACCCTATGCTGGCAAGTAAGATATTACAGAGAATTAGAAAATGTAAGAAAGTAGAAATTCAAAGAGTGCTTAGATTCTTAACAACACAGAATAAGAAGCCAGAACACAGCCAGAGTTTGATAAAGTGGGGAAGAGGGCCCAGGTGAGATGGATGAACTGCCAGGTACGATTCGGAGTTGGTTTGGCCATAAGACCCACTCCTCAGGATAATGACATTAGGATGAAAAACACTTCATTCATTAAATTAATAGTACTAAGATATGTAATACCATTGGCTCATGCCTGCTTCACCTTGGAATAACCTTTTGGAAAGAAATTATTGGAGGTTTCTTCAGAGCATAAGAAAATGGCTTTGGTTGTAAATATACTGCACTGAATTTACAATGCAGAGAGCTTTCCGGTGCCTTAAACCTTGAACCCACCGTAACTCCTGTAGATGCTCTTGTAATCAGTATTAGAAAACTACATTATTTCATTTTTTTTCCTTGGTTCCTTTTTTTTTTTTTTAGTAAGGAAGGAAATCCCTGGGCTGAAACAGAATATGACTCATTGAACCCATTCTTCTGATGGTTTTGTGAAATAGCTTGGGGTAAAAGCAGTTGTAAGAGCTTGTTGTTTTCTTAGTGCCTTGCCACCGCCATGGAGCGAGCATAAACCCCATGTAAAAAGCTAAAACAGGTAGGAAAGGGGAACTACCAAAAAGTTATGTTGAATAAATTCAACGTATCTTTATTCATTTTTCCAGCAGGAAGGTGTGTGACCTTGTGAAGGTCATTTAGCTCTGAGTGCTGCCTGAGAATTGTAACATCTGCAGTGTGCGCTGTAGGTCTTTTGCAGAATAAGTGTCATGAGGGACAGTCAAGTAGGATGAATCATTGCCTAGACAGAATATAAAAAACAGTCCTGAAATTGAACTGAACGGGTGGCAGAAGGAGGTTATCACATTTTGGTTATCATCAGGACCTGACACACAGTGAGAGGCTCAATAATCACTTTGGATATAATGACATTTCAATGTTAAATTTGTAGAAATGCTGATGCCATTTTGACATGGGAGCAGCCCAGGTTCGGGGGTCTTCCACGGTGGGAAATTGCACTATGAGGAGAGTAAAACACACAATGGTGTGTAGGGTTGAGAAATTGTATGAAGGAGAGAAATAAAGTTCCAAAACAAACTTCTGACAGGCATGAAAAAGTATAAGGAAGTTATAAGTAGAAAATCAATCAAGGGATAGGTCTAAATCATTAATCAGAATAAAAGCCACAAATAAATGATTACTTAGACACTTTGAAAAAGAAGAATTACCACCACCAGGGACTTTTTGAGGTTAAAATTGTTTCAAATAGAACTATTTATTTAGGAAGTAATATAAGTTTCATCTTTTCAGAGGGCCACTGTCAGACACATTGGGTGAAAGCATTTATTCTGACAGAGTGTTTCTTTATTTTGACTCATTCGTTTTATTAACCATTTATCTCTTGGGGAATTGTTTAAATATTTAATCCTTCTTAATATTTATTTTGCTGCAGGCCAAAGACGGCTATGTTTTTAAAGGAACTACAGTATCTTATCGTTCTGATGGTCTGGAAGTTTATATTCACATCCAAGAATTCTTCCTGCTTCTCCGAAAACTCATCCTTTGCTTTATTACTCTTCATGGGAATAAGGAAACAGCTGTGCAGTATAAGTTATGTGCTCTTTCTTTTCTTCTTGACAACTATTATCAACTCATTCTTACCGAAAAATGACTTAATAAACTTCTCTCTTCTAGCCTCTTTTAAAAGATCTATGTAGTTTCCAAAACTCTTAAACACTGTAGGAACTTTTTCAAAGCCTATTTCAAATTGGGGTCTGTATCAGATGTAATAATCTTTAGAAAACCTGATCAATATTAATTATTTAGACATGATACCCTCCTCATTTCTAATTAGCAAATGTTTTATTTTTTTCTTTGTATTTGATATGAGCACTTTATGCACCCTTTACCCCACACCCCAACAAATCTAAGAAAATAAATTATGGGCCCAGACATTTTATTGATTTTAAAATTAACTTATTAATCCGTGAAAAGCCTAAAATGAGAAAGGTAAAAAACCCAGGTCATAATATATCCTAGAAATTCCTCTTTTAAAAATATCCCATATTTTGTTCAATGGATTCCCATGTTTCTAATGAAAAAGAAACACCAATTTTTCCACTCAATTTCAATATTAAGAAAAAAGGCAGGGGAGAATACTTTCTATGGGAAAAAGATGCCAAATTGCATGGGTTTGAAAACATTTGATTCCAGAAGACATTATGAGATCAGTCTATTCTGAGATGTCCTCAGAGTTATCCCTGAGCTGTCTGCAACCTGACCTTTCAGTTGTTGATACCAGTTGTTTGTGTCCTTGTTTGATTGTTCCTTTTCCTCCCTATCACTTATGACGAAAGTTACATTGTTCTTAATCCTAGGATCTTATCTAAATTATTTGCCGTTCCACTAAACCTCAACATTTTTTTGCTCAGGCTTTCGATAGTTTGAACTCCCAACTTAAAAATTCTGTAATTTTTTTCCATCTTTCATTGTTTATTGTTATATGCTTTTATTTAGAAACCATAGATTCTAACAAGAAATCAGGATTAAAATTGCGGGTCTGAAACTAATGAGCTGTTTGAACTTGGGCAAGTTCCTTAACCTTGTTGAACTTCAGTTTCTTCATCTATAAAATGGAAAAATCAATATCTATCTCATAATATTGGTGTGAGTAGCAAGTGAAATAATGTGTATAAAGGAATAAGAATGGTGCTGGCATTGTTAAATCTAAAAATACTAGTTTGCCTTCTCATTCCTCATTGATTTCCTTTTTCAAGCTAAAACTGGATTTCACTTTGTCAGAAGCAACTGGAATATAATGTGCAGAAGAATATGGCTAATGCAGCTTAAATTTGTTGTTATCATTGTATTAAATGATCTAAAACTGTATCAAATTGTGTACAGTGAATTTGCTTACAAAGGAGGACTCCTAAATTTAGTTGGTCACTCATTTTTGGTCATTTTTTTAAAAAGTTCCTGCAAAAATCTTGAATTGGCATTATTTAGCCAGCAATAGCATCAGCTAGTAACAGAAAGCAGTTATAAGGAAAATGAGCACTAGGAGATTATTATTATGTCAAAATATATGTAAATAAAAACATCACACACACACTAAAATGTAGAAGAACAAAGCCCCACTGGAAAACAAAACAAAACAAAACAAAACAAAAAAACAAAAAAACAATGGTAACTACTTGGCACATAGTCATCTAATTAGAAAGCACAGTTTTGATACATCCTTACTTTGGCAAAATATTAAGTCCGTTTTCCACTGGATTGTTTGGAGACTATTAGTATTCAGGCTTGAATCCATGGAATAGGGACATGTATTTGTGTGTCACAGATTGAAGGAAATAATGATGACAGAAACAGCCTCTGCCTCCTATCTAGTGCTGCAGAGACATCTTAATAGAGGTGAAAGAAATGCTTTTCTTTTTTAAAGCCATTTTAGGAAATAGTTATAGACCTCCGGGGCAGAGCAGAGAGGTAGATCAGGAAATATTTATGCAGAGGAGGGATACCTATAAAAACCGTAGAACATTGATCATAAGGGATTGCAGAATTACTCTGACACTAATTCAAATTGGAGCACGACAGTGGCCACCAAAGGTGTTTGTTTTCAAGACAGCACAGGCAAGTGGCAGATAGGCAACTGTTGGAACAGAAAACAAAGTCATTGTCTTGAGAATTTGATCTTGTAATCATGCAAACTTCACTTCTAAATAATAATGAGAGTTCTAAGGAGCCTTAAAAATTATAGCCTAATTCTCTCCCTCCCTTGCCTTCGTCTCTCTCTGGGAGAAGTCATAAGTGGGTACTCAAAGAAGCTCATTCACACTTGGAGGCTAAGAGGACACTGAAGCAGTAATATGCTAAGTGCTCCCCTAGCGGGATAAAAACCTGAATGTGCTTCCCTGAGTGTAAAATGTTATCAACAAAGACCTTGGCACTAGAAAGATAAAAACCTCATTGAACACATGGATATGTTTTCTTTGACTCTGATTTATAGCAAGAATGTCCAACAGACAAAATCATAAAATTCGACTTCCATACATTTGTACTATGCTCAGCTCGACACCAGATTTTCTGAGGACAGTAGCTCTACATCGCTTCCTCCTTTACCATCAGAACAAACTTTGAGCTAGCTGTCACATAAAATGGAAGGTGATAAAAGAAACCAATTCAAATTAAGGATTTAATTATACAACTGTTTAATTTGCCCTTTCCCTCCAAAAGGGGGAAGGGTTAAAATAAGCATTGTGGAGACCATGGTTCTTATTATGTAGATGAAGTCTCATAGGTGGCCTTCCTAATAAATGGTAAATGTTTCCTGTTTAGACCTTTAAAAGGTGCTAGCCTCTCAATTCATCTCTTCAGGATTGGGAGGGCCTGAAAAGGGGAAGATCTAGTTATATTAATATAGAGATTATTCATAGATGCAAATATTCCCTCAAAAAAGATGCCTTTGCAGGTCCATTTCAAAATATAGAAGATATTTTGGGGTAAAAATATCTTGATTTCTTTCTTTTTGTGTTATGTGATGTTATACTAGAGTCAGGAATTTGATATCTTATTGCTACGAAGAATCTGTTTTGTCAGTCTTAAGATCACTGTTTTAATGTTAATGCTGGTCAGTTGCGTCTAAACTGGAAAGGGAGGAGGTTATAGTGAAGCATGTCTGACATTATAATTACTGATATTCTGAATTACTGTCATGGCCTGAACTAGTTTTTCAGGTTGCTTTGGGATCATCTTAGCCAACAAGAGGGTCCATTCAGTCTGTTGGGGGGCTTAGAATTTTATTTTTGGTTTACAACATGGCATATAGCAGGCTCTGAAGGAAATCAAAGTATTTTACCCCAAAATATATTTCTTTGACCTATTTTAAAGTGGCCCTACAAAGCTGTCACTTGTAGGGGAAATCTGCATTCTGTGGAGACTCTCTCCCTTATTAGGTCTTTTTGGGGAAGTCTGACACAGTTTAGATTTGATAAGAGACATTCACCATCTATTTTCTCTGAAGCCTCCTACCTGGAGGTTTCATTATATGACAAGAACCTTAGCTTCCATAACCCCCCACCCCTTACTTTAATTTAAGCTGACTTCAGTTCTTGAGGCGGAGCTTAACTCTTTCAACCAATTGCCAATCAGAAACTTGCTGAATCTACCTGTGACCTGGAAGACACCCCACTTCAAGGTGCCCCGCCTTTCTAGGCCAAGCCATTATATACCTTACATGTATTGATTTATGTCTTTGCCTGTAACTTCTGTCTCCCTAAAATGTATAAAACCAAGCGATAGCCCAACCACCTTGGCCACATGTTCTCAGGACTTCCTAAGGCTGTGTCATGGGCCATGGTACTTAACCTTGGCAAAATAAACCTTTAAATTGATCGAGACCTGTCTCAGACACTTTTTGGTTTACACTAGAAAGTGATTTCACTCTGACAAATCACTTTAGCAATATTTCATATTCTGTTGCAATAACTTGAAAGAGTTAATGCACCACCTGAAAAGCTAACAAATACAACCATCAGGAAGGGACTTAGGTGCTGAAGGAATTGGATTCATTATGTAAAATGGTGCATGAACTCTCACTTTTTCAAATTCCTGGAGGACTTTTTGAAGCAAATGGAAATTTTGTGCTTGCATTAGTCTACCATATAGATTACTGTGATGAATTTAAAATCTTTGCCAAATGACTTAACCAAAAAATAAAAAAACAAAACAAAACAAAACAAACCCTCACACAGATGCCTCCAATTTGAAAATACAACGTAAGCATATCTATTTTGTTACTCCCATTTATAGATTTTCCAATAATTTGAAAATAAACAAAACCTTCTGGCTTTACATGTCTGTGGGGAGTTTAGGACTGTAGGTACACATATTTGAGAATCTTTTACATAAATCTGCATATGTTTACATGCAATGACAGACATACTGCCGCTTCCCAAATGTGGCTAGGGTAATTTAATCTTCTGCAACATTTTGCATAGCATATGTAGGTGTAATATGCTCCGAAACTTTACCTGAATATATGCAAAGTACACTTAGCTCATGCTTACATAGTTCTCATACCACAAGATGTAGTTAGATCTGAGATAACACTTTATAGCTTTACATCTGTACATTTAAAGAACTCAAACCAAATTATCCATTGCAAGAAATGAGCTTTTTAAAAATTTAAAGATACTCCTAGATTTGCTTATTGTGCATTCTTTGAGCTGATTTGTATTTCTTTAACTATTTTCTTTGTTTAACTTTGTAACTATTGAAATTTATTTTTCTAAATTATTCAACAGTTGTAAGTTGGGGCTATTGAAAATTGTTGTAACACTGATTGTAAGAGCATTTACTCCAAAACAGTAAAACTATAAAGAGTAAAAATAATAAAAAGTAATATTGGTGTAAGCATAAAGAAAGCACTTATACATTTTTTAAAGGGGTAATATTACAAAATTTACAAAACTTATTAAATCATATAGAATATTATATTTTTACTTTTGTGTTGTTAGAAACACACTTTCTTTTCTTACGAGCCTTTGATTTCATAGACTGACTCTTTGTTCCAAATTCCTTAATTTGAATAAATACCTAATGTTTTGTTTACCCAGAAAATATATATCTATTATAATATTATAGAAATACAAGTAAGCAAAAAGAAAAAAATAGCACCTATAATCCTGTTATCTAAAGCAATGTTAACAGTCCATCCAGATATTTTCTTCTATCATACTTATTTGGCTAAAGTTTTTCATATAGATTTTTTCACCAAATTATATATTTTTATATATATTAAATATTTTTCATGCCATTTGAATATTATTCTTCTGTAACATCTTCTTTACTGGCTGCATAGTTTTCCAATCATCACAGTTTTGAAAGCAACTTTCCTGAATTCTCTCTTTTATGTATTATAGAGATAATCTTCAAATGAAAAAATATCTTTTTGAATAAGAATTTTTTAAAAAATCTTATTTTCTGAAAAAGAGTTAAAAACAGCTCATCACCTGCTCACCAGTGGCTTCCTTCCAGTCATCTTCTCCTCCTTCATGACTGGAATGTTCTATAATGAGTGCCTCTCATTCATACATCCAATTTACCTCCATCTATATCATAGTTATTTGGAATAGTGCCTATGAGAGAATGAAGTGACCACACCTGGAACGTTATTTTCCCACGTTAAAAGAACAGAGCTGCATTTCTTTTTTAAGGCATATTATTTAGAACAACTAATGAGCCTTATATTCATGCATGATGGTAAAAATTTAAAACTCCTGCCATTTTATTTTATAATTATGTCCTAAACGCTCAAAAAGTTAACAGATATGTATATAAATTTATATATATATTATATATGTTATATGTAATATAAATATATAAAACCTGATTAGGTCATGACACTGCTTAAAGAACCTGGACCAGTCCTGTTTCTTTTGAACTAAACTAAAATCCTAAATGAGGCACAGCAGCTCTTCTATTACCAGTCCCTGCCTTGCTTTCTAGCTTCTTATTCCATCACTACCGCACCCAAAATTCTCTATTTGTATTGAATTTTAGCTCACATAGAGACGCTGCTCTTTTCTGGTTGGAATGCTTCTTCTGTTTTCACTTGATCTTCTCTTCCTCCAAGGTTTAGCTCTGGCATGTTCTCCCTTAGAAGCAGTCCTTGAACTCCCTATTTTGAGTCAGTTTCCCTTTCTCTGTGCTTATAAAGAACTGCAATGCTATGTTTTGATGTTCCTTCAGCTGTGAGCTCCTTGAAGACAGGAATGAATGAAGGAAATTAGTTTACTTGTGCCTTTGAAAATGATCTTCAGATGTGTGCTTATGTATGTGGCCCTGCAGATGGCCTTTAGGATGCTCTCTTTGATTCCTTCCAAGAATAAATTGTGCATGTGCAAATCTGTTCTCTCTGCATATTGCAGAGCATATGAATGCCAGAGCCCAGTGGCTTGCTGCTGCTGGTCATAATCTAGCCTGAGTAATAAGTATGCTCTATGTTATATAAAGAGCCTTAATTTTTTTTTGTCTCTGCCTCAAATCTATGGCTGAAAGAATATATATGTGACATTTGTTAGTGTCTCTCATTCGTTCATTTCCCCGTCCATACTCTAACTTACTAGGCACAATTATAAGCATCCAGGACAAAATGATGTTGCTATTGATACAGAGCCACCAATTCACCCATAGTCTTTAGATTTCTGAGGTATGCCTTTGCCCTACCACATTTTTCCTTTTGTTGCCGTGTTATTAAGCACTCAGACATTAGAAGCCACAGAATATAATTAAAAACATGATTCCTGACCTTGAGATCCCTTCAAAATACATGAGAGTGAGAGTGTAAAAAGATAATGTGTATATGGGGCACAAAAGATATAAACATTTTAGAAATCCTAGTAATGTAAGCAACAATATCAACTAGTATTTAATACCTGCCTCGTAAAGTATGATGATTAAATGAGTTAATATATGTAGAACATTTGGATAATGTCTGGAAGTATTAAGCATTTTATAAGTATTTGCTATTATTATTATTTACTAATTATACGATAGATGCTGTTGTAAGCATTTTACAAATATGAACCTTATATAACTCTCATTTAAATCTTCATAATAGCTTATGAAATTGATTGTATTATCATCCCGTTTTATATGTGAAGCAACTGAGGCTCAGAGACATAAGTAACTTGACATAGGTCATCTAGAATTCAGGGCCCCTCTCTCTAAACTTACTGACCTTTCCACTGCAGACAGCTGCCTCAAATTTATCTAGCAGTTAGAATTTCTTTTATTGTGCTACTCTGAAGTTATCTCCGAAATTATTTTACTTCATATTTATTGGAAGTACTAAGTGCCTCTTGGCTATAGATAAATACAGGGTAATAGTGTCAGTGAGGCCTAAGAAAAATGGTAGAACATTTTCCTTTTAATTTTCTACTCACTTAATTTTTTTAACATCGTATGGCTCTAGTATAGGTCACATAGAGTTCACTTTTAGAGGGCATGGTTATTTTAAAATACTTTACTCAAGTCTCCTCTAACTCAACATACAATTAATTTTAGATTTTGTATTGATAATTTTCCTCTGCAAAGATAAATTAACTCTTCAAATCAAAGCTGTAGAAGCTGAGTATTGACCGTAGTGAATAGTAAGACTTCCTTATTCTTTCCAGCATCACCTAAAGAGTTGTAAATTTTCAAATCTCTGCTTCTGTTGGTGGGAAGCACAGTTATTTATAAGCATAAATTACAAATCAATAACTAGCTATTGAAGACAAATTTTAAAAAAACTTCATTCTTATTTGTGTTTTTCTAGTTATATCTTCCTCCCTTAAAGGTTATTTTCAACTGTAAGTGTTAACCCTCATGTTACTTTGAAAGTCTCTAAAGGGACTAATTATTCACATCTGCTTCCTCTGAATTTTAACCGGATTGAGACATGAGCTTAAGAGCCAAATACAGAATGAACTGTTAACATTATTATCAGTGAAATGGGCATATAGCTTGGATTTAAAGCTAAATTGGGTTTAGCGCTGAATTTGCTTTTCTCATGTCATTGCACATGAGAAACTTAGCAACTCAACCTCATCTCTTCAAGGGGCAGCCCTTCTCTCTGTGGGTATGAACTAGGGGAAGAAGGAGTGGTACATTACTTACAGGAAGGCAGGCTCTATGAGAGACTGTGCTATCCATCCATGCTCAGTCCCTCTTCCTAATGCTCTAATCAGATTATCCCATGGCTCTTCCATTTGAGGTGGTGGGTAGAGGGTAGAGGTGAGGTAAGTGGTGAGGTGGAGAGATTGGACAGTTATCAGGGAACCTGCCCTGATAGTCACGTAGGTTCTTTTCTATTTTCCCTAAGCATCAGCTGGGTTGAGAAATAAAGGGACAGAGTACAAAAGAGAGAAATTTTAAAGCTGGGTGTCCGGGGGAGACAACACATGTCGGTAGGTTCCGTGATGCCCCACAAGCCGCAAAACAAGCAAGATTTTATTAGGGATTTTCAAAAGGGGAGGGAGTGTACAAATAGGTGTGGTTCACAGAGATCACGTACTTCACAAGGTAATAGAATATCACAAGGCAAATGGAGGCAGGGCGAGATCACAGGACCACAGGACTGGGGCGAAATTAAAATTGCAAATGAAGTTTCGGGCACCATTGTCATTGATAACATCTTATCAGGAGACAGGGTTTGAGAGCAACCGGTCTGACCAAAATTTATTAGGTGGGAATTTCCTCTTCCTAATAAGCCTGGGAGCGCTATGGGAGACTGGGGTTTATTTCATCCCTACAGTTTCGACCATAGAAAACGGCCACACCCAAGGGGGCCATTTTAGAGACCCACACTCAGGGGCGTATTCTCTTTCTCAGGGATGTTCCTTGCTGAGAAAAAGAATTCAGCAATATTTCTCCCATTTGCTTTTGAAAGAAGAGAAATATGGCTCTGTTCCACCCGGCTCACCGGCGGTTGGAATTTGTTCCCTAAACATTGCTGTTATCCTGTTCGTTTTTCAAGGTGCCCAGATTTCATATTGTTCAAACACACATGCTCTACAATTTGTGCAGTTAACGCAATTATCACAGGGTCCTGAGACAACATACATCCTCCTCAGCTGACAGGATTAAGAGATTAAAGTAAAGACAGGCATAGGAAATCACAGTGGTATTGATTGGGGAAGTGATAAGTGTCCGTGAAATCTTCACAATTTATGTTTAGAGATTGCAGTAAAGACAGGCATAAGAAATTACAAAAGTATTAATTGGGGGAACTAATAAATGTCCATGAAATCTTCACAATCCACCTTCTTCTGTCATGGCTTCAGCCGGTCCCTCCGTTTGGGGTCCCTGACTTCCCGCAACAGGCAGTGGAAGAAAGGAGCAAAAACTGTGTCGCAGTATTTCTTAGGAACTCTATTTTAGTCTGAGGTAAAAACATGAATAAGTTTAGGGTAGGTTCTTTTACATATACATATTTATAAATTCTGAAAAGATCTAAGGTGATAAAGCAAAACAGTATGTCATATAATAAGAGCTTAGTGGGAAAGACAGACTTTTTAAGAACCCGTAACCCATACCAATGGAGTGTATTAAATACAATAAATACAATGGAACCCGAAAGCACAGGATACTATGGGAAACAGTGGAGAAACCCTCACTCAGCTTAGGAAGATGGGAATCTTGGGGAAAGTTCCCAGAAGAAGCACTATAATATCAGAATTGTCAACATAGAAGATTGCCATGTAATGAAGAATGGCAGTGGTGGTGATGATCTATGGGGAAGAGCGTCTTCTATAGAACTTTGGGCCCAGGGAAATCTTGAAATTCAAAGGAATGTTAAGAACAAAGACTGTTCAGAGAAAATCACACCATTCAGTATTGGAACACGATGAGAATGAAATTAGAGATGCAGGTAGAAGCCAGAGAATGGAGGTCCTATAACTTATGTTGAGAAATTCGTATTTTACTGGAATGGTAGTTGGGAGTTATCACTAGACATAATGAAGGGTTTGGTATGGTCATACATGAAGTCTTTTGGTATCTCTATGGTGACATATTGTAGGACTATGAGTCCAGAATCTGGAGAAGCCTTAAGAGTTATAATAATCTAGATGAGAGCAAATGAAGTTGCAGGAAGGAGTGTTTTTGAGAAATCTGAGGCAATCCAATCCATGAAGTAGGTAGAAAGGTAGATACAGTAAATTATTGAGTGTGGAGTTAAGGCACAGAAGGAGTTAAAAGGGTGTTTACATACATTATTCACCATGACATGCAATACTTTGTACTTATTTCTAACATAACATTGAATATAATTATTTGTTCCTTATATGATTATTCTCTGAACTCTCGTAAGTGTAATATTACCAATATTTTTTTCTGGAGTACAAAGAACTAAGAGATTTTACTGATAAGAGATAGTAAAATTTGCTAATTGAACAGTCTCTCTGGATCAAATTTAGCCAATATGAATGAGGTTAAGTCCATGAGGAGAATATAAGATAATCTTCATGTTTTGTTTTAATCTCAAAAATCCTAAAACTATATTTGACAGAGGAGAATTTTTTGGTAATTGATAAACATGTCTAACCATTAGTAAGAAAAGTATTTTTGTTTCAGCAGCAGGGTTTATATTTACAGCATTTACATTGTGTAAAACCCATTATATTCCTATATCCTCAAAGGTTATATTCCAAGGGCAATTTCTGGCTTTATACTTTTGGGATCTGTGTATTTATGAGTGTGTGTGTGTGTCTGTACATATAAAATTTGACTTCAGCATATATTTTAAATATATTTTTTAATGTTTTCCTTATTCTAATGATGGAAATATTTTGAGTTATTTGTATTGTTGTGTCAAGTCTCCTTTGAAGACCAAAAACAAGCAAAACATAATAAAACAAACACAGAAACAAACAAAAAATGTCCAATTACTTCATTGTACAGTACGGTGCTCAGCAAATTCGTTTGTCTGGCCACCCTTTCTCCACCCCTTCCACATCCTTTGTCTAGGAAGTTCCTTTGAACATTCTTCATCTATACAATATGATATTAATATAACAAAGATGCATAATTTACTGTGGCAACCAGTTGTAGGGGCACCTCACTCAGCCCAGTGGGAGTTGGATATAGGAAGGTTTACCTGAAGAGATACTGTAATACCTGAATAGTGATGGTCAGTGTGGGAAGACCCTGTGTAATGAAGAGTTGTGGAGGTGGCGGTGGTCACACAGCATAAACCTGCACCGAGACAGAGGTAAATACTTTTCTGAAGGTGATCAGTATACTCATACTGAGTTCATTTAATTTCTTCCTTGAGGACAGATAATACAGGATAACAAATTCCGTCTCTTTCTGAATACTCTTTTTGAGCAGAGGAGTAGGGACCTGGGAAATGTTGCCAGGAAACATTTTATTTCAGGTGGCTTAGGAATTGGAAAAAGCCTGCCCAAATTTAGTGGAAGAATACAGTACATCCGTGGAAAGAATCAGAGATTAGAAATAAAGAGAGGGTTTTACAGCACTCTCTACCCTGATTTTAATGCATTTTTAAGATTCAGCTGCATCCCTGCTCTTGGGTTTCTTAAGACACTAAACATCCTTGGGATGTATACACTATACTCAAGGAGTTTTCTATTATTCCAAAACAGAAGGGTGCTATATACACCGGAAAGTTTCTTTTTCAGTTGTTGATTAGGCTGCCAGAAAAGACAAAACAACAACAAAAAACCAAATATGTTTTGTGATCATGTGGTCTATCTTTAAAGCTCATTCCTACATGTTTTTCATTTGACAATACTTTTACCAAAGTATTATAACTTCTAAGGTATAATATTTTTCAGTGGTTGTGCTTAAGAATGCATCCAGGATTTTAGAAGGGGTAGGAAGAGTATCTCAACAAAATCACTATAAATTGACCTTGTTAAGCAAAAGTCTAACCACTCAATCAAAGTAAAATTTACTAGAGTGAGAGATAACTGTGGGAAGGGAGAGAAGGACAGGAAAAAAATATACTGTTGCCCAGGTCATTCTATGGAGTTCAGAGAAATATGGCAAAACAAGCTCACTTGCCTGGGATGGATGTAGAAAGATAAACACTGGGGTAAATGTGAGTTCTTTTCAGTGGAAAAAGGGGTAGGTGAATTATCTCTCCCAAGTTGAAATATGCCCAGTTTTCTTAATTTTTCTTTCTAAGATAACAATGCTAGATCCACCAAACTAATTACTATCAAGGAGATTGAATGCAGTGGCTGTTTGGGATAGCTTATAGTGTAATGCAGTGACTACAGTTGCTTGGATATACAAAACCTTAACCCAGAATCATTCTTAGAGTGGTGAGAATTTGATATTACAGAGAACTGATGGGGGCTGGGTTTATGAGATCTTATACATGATGCCAGACACAATGTGTGATTCTGGAGAAGAGAATAGAGATAATGATTTGATATCTTCATAGCCCTAGAAACTAGTTTGGTATCTGGCTCAAGATAGGCCCTTAGTAAATGTTTAGTAAATGAATGAATGTGGATGTACACTTCTCCTTCCTATTTAGTGGGTTCTGTGTTGGTCAGATGCTTACTGCAAACAACAGAATTAAATTGTATCTGATTTAGGCAGAAAAATAATTTATTACATTCCCTTTGGGTTATTCCAAGTATTGATTGCAAGGCTAGAAAACTAGTTCAGAGATGACTCTTGACAGAGTCAAGAACAAAGCCAAAAATAACAAAGCAGAACTGGCACTATGAGAACATCTTATGCCACTACAGTTGAGCATTATTTGTTGAAACTTACCTCTCAACGCATCTGATAAGAGAAAATGGATCCCACTTTTACCACTTATTCTTATTACCCAGAGACCAGTTACAAAGACCATGGAGGAAGGGCAGATTTCTTAGCTCCCATTTAAAGTCTGGAGCAGACTTGTCTAATTAGAGGAGTCAAAGACACCCTCCCTGGGCAGAAGATAGGCTACAAAAATAAATATCTGCCTCTTTCAGATTTTAGGGTGAGAGGTGGGCTATACCTCCCACCAGGAATGCTAAAATGGAGGATTTCCCAAATATAGAAACAAGATTTAAAATATGAGCATCCAAAAAAAAAAATGCCTACCTCAAATGTCCTCTGCAGATAGATTTTAAAGGTTTATATATACAAGATGTCATGCATCAGCCCTGGTTCCTGATTCTGTAGATAATACAGAATAAATTGAGTATTATTTAAGGAGTTCATTTGCACTTCTCCACACAACACAGTGACTACCAGCTCATCATCAATTCCTACTTCCCCTTTCCCACTTTACATATCCATCACCAGTAGGACTGAAATATTTTTCAGGTTTTAAGCATATGACTGAACACATATGATATTTGCGATTCTTTGAGTAGTTAAATCAATATTCAGCAACATAAGGTTATTGACTAGAACTTCAATACAATGGAACATTATACTATTTTAACTACAAGATTTAAATGGAAGAACAATTCCACAGGGAACTGGGAAAAACACAAAATAAACAATAATTATCAGAAACATTTTAGATAATCAATGATTAAAGTGAGCAGAATGACTGGATTTTAATCCCAGGTTCAACACTTAAAATTGTGTGACTGTGTGTCATTTACTTAATCTTTTCATGCCTCGGTTTCTTCATTATTACCTAACTCAGATGATTGTTATCAGGATTAAATAAGTTAATGACAGTAAAGTGCTCAGACTGTGCTTGTCATGTAGAAAGCATTTATATGTTTGCTCTTAATTTTTGTACTATTAATATTAAATCATTATTATTTAAAATATGCACTTCCTTAATATGTTCATCCATAAAGGAGCTTGATCTGCCTCTTTGATGGACTGTTCCCTGTGGATTTTCTTCTTCACTGCTCACCTTGCAGTTGAGGACAGTGGCAAGAGCTTTGACACTGGCATTGGGAAGAAGCCAGGTAGCTGAAGATAAGCTACTGCTCTGAGTGGCCGTCAGAAAAATTGTGATGTTTGTTTTCTGACATTTTGTACTTGGTGACTCTGCTACCTCTTTCTTCAATGGCCAATACCCTTTATTATTTTTCCATTTGGACCTCTATCAAAAATGATGTTTATAATTATTCCCTATATTTGTATTATACTTCCAATTTACAAGGTATATATATATATATATATGTATATATACATATTTGGTCCTAGTAAAAACTATATGACAGTTGAGACAATTTAAAGATGAGTCTGAGCTTAAAGATTTTAAGCGACTTACTCAGGGTCATGCCAATAATATCTGGCAGCATTAGAATCAAAGCCCAGGAATTCTGATGCTTAGTCCAGTATGGTATCAAGTTTTTCACAATAGTCATGTCCTTTTTAAGTGGAACATTCCCTAATCTCAGGCATATTTGTACAGGAAATAATAGGCATCACTCTAGAATGGTGGGTCTCTACATAGGAAATTTGAAGCAACTTTAAGTCCCAAAGGAAGAACAGAGAAAAAGCTTTTTAAAGGGCCTCAAATTACATCAGGTAGCATGGTCCATAAAGAAGACAAGTACCATTGTGCCTTGAATTTTCTGAAGAGTTATAAATGTGATTCATGCTATCTAATGGTCATGATCAAGATTACAACTGAGAAATTTCAGATTCCAGTTAGTGGTGGCATCATACATGCTTATCACCCTCTTAATAAAGAGCAATTATGTAAATATAAGAAATATTTAGATTGTACTCTAAATGAGAATGGGTATTGGCTATTTTAATTGCAAGATACTTATATATTTTTTAGTTCCATAATATTTTATTTGAATAAAGATTATTTGTAAAAGATATAGAGCAGAATGTATAGTAAACTAGTATGTATAAAATGAAAGGGATAAATCAGACTAATTTTATTGTATATACATGAATAAATTCTAGAATGGTACAAAAACTTACAGCAATAGTTACTTTGAAGACAGGGGAATAATTGGGTATAGGACCCACAGCAATTAATGCATTTGTTAAAATTAACATATAAATGTATTACCTAGTTTTAAACTATATATTCGATTTTTTAAAAATCCAGAGAACTTAAAAATATGTAATATAGCTAGGAACACTCTGACAAGGAGGAACATGAGAACCAGTCTAACAGATATTTTTATATATTATAAAATATTGAAAATTAAAATGGTGTGGTAATAGTGCAAGAATAGAGAGGTATATCAAGAAAACGAGTAGATATTCCAGAAATAGATAAATACATATGCGGATTAAGTACATGTTAAAATAAGCATCTAAAAATCAACTGGAGACAAGATGGACTATTTAGTAAGTGGTATTAGGAGAACAGAAGAGATATCTAAAAAAAATCATTTGGACTAGTGTCACAATGCTTCTTAGGATGTATTTCAAATAGGTGAATATTTAAATGTAAATAATAAACTATAGAAGTGCTAGAAGAAAATATGGGATAATTGACATGGAAGGAAAAGAAATTTCAGAATTGGACTCAAAGCAAAGGACATAACAGATTGTTAAATAAGAGAGAGAGAAAAAAAATGTACCAAAAGTCAAAGGACAAACAAGCTGAGGAGAAATATTTACCTCTCCTACCACAGACTGTGCTAATCTATTTAACATTAAAAATCTGAAAATCAATAAGGAAATCCCCCAAAAAACAACAGGAAGCAAAAGAGAAAAGATTTTGAAAATAGAGCTCACCATGGAGGAAATGAAAACTGGTTCACATACACAAGGAAATGCTCAAAATCATTATGGTAAGAGAAAAGTAAATTAAAGTAATTACTTCAGCAAATTTTCCGAAGTTTCACGATACTCTGAAGGAGAAGCTATAGGGAGATAGGCACTCATATATGCTATTGAGAACGTAAATTTGTGTAATCCTTAAGGTGGGTAAATTGACAAAATACATATATATTTTTTCTTTCATTATTATTATACTTTAAGTTTTAGGGTACATGTGCACAATGTGCAGGTTAGTTACATATGTTTACATGTGCCTTGGTGGTGTGCTACACCCATTAACTCGTCATTTAGCATTAGGTATATCTCCTAAAGCTATCCCTCCCCCCTTCCCCCACCCCACAACGGTCCCCAGAGTGTGATGTTCCCCTTCCTGTGTCCATGTGTTCTCGTTCAATTCCCATCTATGAGTGAGAATATGCGGTGTTTGGTTTTTTGTTCTTGCGATAGTTTACTGAGAATGATGATTTCGAATTTCATTCATGTCCCTACAAAGGACATGAATTCATCATTTTTTATGGCTGCATAGTATTCCATGATGTATATGTGCCACATTTTCTTAATCCAGTCTATCACTGTTGGACATTTGGGTTGGTTCCAAGTCTTTGCTATTGTGAATAGTGCCACAATAAACACATGTGTGCATGTGTCTTTATAGCAGCATGATTTATAGTCCTTTGGGTATATACCCAGTAATGGGATGGCTGGGTCAAATGGTATTTCTAGTTCTAGATCCCTGAGGAATCGCCACACTGACTTCCACAATGGTTGAACTAGTTTACAGTCCCACCAACAGTGTAAAAGTGTTCCTATTTGTCCACATCCCCTCCAGCACCTGTTGTTTCCTGACTTTTTAATGATTGCCATTCTAACTGGTGTGAAATGGTATCTCACTGTGGTTTTGATTTGCATTTCTCTGATGGCCAGTGATGATGAGCATTTTTTCATGTGTTTTTTGGCTGCTAAATGTCTTCTTTTGAGAAGTGTCTGTTCATGTCCTTCACCCACTTTTTGATGGGGTTATTTGTTTTTTTCTTGTAAATTTGTTTGAGTTCATTGTAGATTCTGGAAATTAGCCCTTTGTCAGATGAGTAGGTTGCAAAATTTTTCTCCCATTCTGTGGGTTGCCTGTTAACTCTGATGGTAGTTTCTTTTGCTGTGCAGAAGCTCTTTAGTTTAATTAGATCCCATTTGTCAATTTTGGCTTTTGTTGCCATTGCAAGTCAATCCTAAGCCAAAAGAACAAAGCTGGAGGCATCACTCTACCTGACTTCAAACTATACTACAAGGCTACAGTAACCAAAACAGCATGGTACTGGTACCAAAACAGAGATATAGATCAATGGAACAGAACAGAGCCCTAAGAAATAACGCCGCATATCTACAACTATCTGATCTTTGACAAACCTGAGAAAAACAAGCAATGGGGAAAGGATTCCCTATTTAATAAATGGGAAAACTGGCTAGCCATATGTAGAAAGCTGAAACTGGATCCCTTCCTTACACCTTATACAAAAATTAATTCAAGATGGATTAAAGACTTAAACGTTAGACCTAAAACCATAAAAACCCTAGAAGAAAACCTAGGCATTACCATTCAGGACATAGGCATGGGCAAGGACTTCATGTCTAAGACAAAATATATTAAAAATATGCACACACATTCTTTGACCTAGTACTTTTACGTCTTTCTGGGAATTTATACTGGAAGTATACTTACCTCTGTGCAAAATTGCAAATATATAAGGTAATTCATTCCAGCATTGCTTATATTAGGTTGAACTATGTAACATTGACATTGATGTGAATCAAAAATGGTTGAAGGCTGGCAGTTTCATATGATTCAGCCTATAATAGCAAAAGATTGAAAAAATCCATTAATACAGTGTGGTTCAAAAAAATTTGTTGTATCAAGGTAAAATAATAGCCTGAATATAATTAAGATAGTCTGTGTATACATCGATGAAAACATTGCCAATACATGTTGTCATGTGGATAAAAACAAAAGAAAACAACAATATTTTTAATAATAGAGATTATATAGTGTATTTTATGTAAAATGAGGGAAATGAATAATATTTGTCATATTTAATTGCATAAGCATAAAGAAACCCTAATATTTATAATAGTGGCTAGCTTTTGGAGGGAGGTGGGCCCGGGCTTCTGCAGATGGTCATAACTTTTGGAGGTGAGATTCACATGGAACTGTAAAATGTATGGCCATCATCAGGAAAGGCAACTGTGTGGATAGAGCCAAGAGTTCAATGGGAAAGGGAATTTGTACGTTGCATATGTTTTAATATGATTGGATATTTGAACTACAAAAATGGTCTACCTGTTCACAGATAAAATATATCTGGTATTTATTGTATAAAACAGTTTCTTCATGTTATCTGTGGGCCAGATTTTTCCTTATTCCTATAAGACTGTAATCTCATAACAGTATTAATACAATATTCTGATGTAGAGTTATTTTATAGGCATTATGAATCTGTAATGGATTAGAATAAAAAATATGTTTAGTAAGTATTTCTTTAACTTTTAAAAAATGTTTCCAGCAGGCTGCTTTGGTGTAATGATAGACGGATTTGGAGCCTCAGCTCTGCCACATATATACCTCCTTTGTGGGCTTTAGATAGCCAACAGTTCTCAACCTCCATTTTTCTTAGTTGCAAAAGTAGATTAATAGTTAAAACCACCATTAAATAAAATTTCTTTGTAAAATGTTTTGCATATCAAAATTTTTATGAAGTCAACATTTAAAAAAGTTCATTTTGAAGCATAAGTATTCATAATAATAGAAGTTATTGGGTTTTGCTATGTAGATAAAGTGTCCAAAAGAGTTGTGCTATGTGAACTGCCATATGTGTACAAAATAGAATCTTACAGATCCACAGGGAATTGGTCAATGGGAAGAAAATAGGGTAAATATGGGTGTTACAAAATGCATTAATGAACCACAGTACACTCCGGGCTGGGGCAGATCTTCTGCTTGTGTTTTCACCACCATCACCACCAATTACACCACAAAAGAAGCTATTACTTATTAAGTCCCAAATATTTGTTAGAGTCTGCGTGGCACGTTGTACTTATTCTATCCCACTTAACTGTTATAAAAACTCCTGTGAAATAAGTATTACTATTTCTATTGTACAGTTGCCTAACAGTGAATAGCCAGTTAAATATGTAAACAGGTGATTTAAAGACAGGTCTTTTTGATCCCAAATCTCAAATCCTTATTAATATTCCACTTTCTTTCAGACTTTAGTGGGCATTAACATATAACAGAAATGCAGATTTCTGGACGTTGCCTCAGAGATTCGGCTTTGCTTGGTCTGTACTGTACCATCTCTCCCAGCGGCTCTAATGTTGTTGGACAGTAGTTACTGAAAGTAATTCCATGCTATCCCCAACTCCTCTTGGCCTTCTTCTATAGCAGATAATCTGTAAGTAGCTCTGGCTAAGTCACTGTGTTTGCAGGAAAGATGGCTACCACGGAGCCATAGTTTATGCTTTGCTTTTGGTCTCTGGGTGTTCAATGTCAGCCTCTCAGATGATATTGTGGAGAAAGAGAAGGGGTCGTAGAATCCACCTTCTTTGTTGGAATGGAGGCAGAGAGGTTAGAAATAATCTGGGCAATCTGGGTTCTAAATCCATCCTGGAGATTGAACTTCAGGTCTGCAATAGGGTGTTACAATGTGTAGCTTCGAAAAAGCACAGTTTGGATAATTAGCCAGGTTTGCAAACAACTGGGATAAATGCTTTCAAACATTTTTTTTTCCTCACTGTTACATGATTAAGAGCCACATGGCAAATGTTTCCCAATTCAATGCTGTCTTATTAGGATAGCCATTTCTTCATATTCTCAATAAGTATTTTTTTTTGAATCCTTGTCTGTACAGACACAGAGAAAAGTGCATGGATGGCTGCAAATCTGGATCAGGCATATGGAAGATGAGGCATAGCCACAAATGCTGTGCACCACTAAGTAGAAAATTTGCTGAGAACCAAGATGCAATGAGGATGGGTGCTATAAGAAATTAGAAGAAGGGGGAGATCAGTGAAAGGATCAGGGAAACCTTCACAGAGAAAATGGTATTTGCAGGATGGATATGATTTTAACAAGCCAGTCTAAAATGGAAAGTAACAGAAGGCTAAAAGACTGCATGAACATATGTAATAAATATGTTGAGATTTGGCCAAAAATACTTTTGAATAAAAAAATAATGAATTTCCATGTATAAATGTCACATATTAAAATGTAATTAAATGAAATAATTTATACCATAATCAACTTAATACTAGTAAACACTGTAAATTAGACATACTAAAGAATCTAGAAATATAATAATAAACAAGATTCTACCCATATACAGGTCATTGTCTAATAGAATGCAATGCAGAAACTGCTATATATTAGAGGTATTTGTCAACTACCTGGGGATTGTTTTCAAAACTGTATTCCACAATGTATATATACTTTAAAACATAATGCTCTACACAATACATGTATATAATTTTATCTATCAATTTAAATAATAATAATAAAAATTAAAAAATAAACCTGTTTCCTATACAATACAAGGTGCCTGGGAATGGGCCTGGGAATTGTTTACATGTAATTAAAAAAAATTGCCTCTGGTCAATAAGTATGGGAATTGTTGGTTTAAACAAATTCAGTCAACTATTTTTTCTCTGTGACTTTACAGAGCCATTAATATTCTAAATGTATCATGCAACATTTGTCCAACTTCCTTCAACATGGTCTCCTTTTACTTCTTTATTATTATTGCTATTACTGTAGAGCACCTATAAACATCTGGAGCATTAATGTTCTGTTGAACACAGATTGGGAAGCTAAGTACTGGAAAACACAGCAAAGGAGTCAGTAGAGATATTCGCCAGGAAAGAGGAAAGAGTTATTTCATGGAAAGCCTTTAGCTTTTTTCTGTGAAAACTAAGGACAATTAAATGTAGGTAAGTTAGACTGTAAATAGCCATTGTAATAATAGTATACAATTTTATTTTATTCACAAGTTCTATATTATTTAATAATGTCATACATTGCATTTATTAAATAAAAATTAATCTGGTTCCTGTGAAATATCCTTTCTTTATATTCTAACTATGTTTCAGAAAGAGTAAAAAAAAGTCTGTTTACTGTGTAGTCATGTAGTTCCTACTGTCAAAGTGCGAGCATTTATTTCTCCAGAAAGCAGTATGTCAAGAAGTCCTGAAATAATCTGTGCAACAAACCTCTATGACACAAGTTTACCTATGTAACAAACCTACACATGTGCTCCTGAACTTAAAATAAAAGTTAAAAAGTAGAAGCATTGCACTGCAGATATATATTAAGTTTTCACAAAATATATGTACTCATTATGAAAAGTAAAGGGTCTTAAATATGGAAAATAAAGAGTTCCTATAGCCCTAATATTTATTTTGAACCTTTTCCCTATGGATGAGTGTCCTCAAATATTTCTAGACTATATAGACAAGTTAAAGGGAGACTATATTAAAAGTACTTTAAAAATTTAATTAGATTATTCTTTCATTATTTATTAAATGGCAGCACTGATACAGTATTTTCAAAGTTTTTTTTTAAGTCCATACAGATGAAAATATTCATGGAACTGTTCTTTAATCACTATAGGAATCACTCCCTCCTGGCATCCTTGGTTACTTACACATTGTCATTTTTGGTTGGAGTTAATTTTTGTCCCCATGAAATGGCTAACCAAGGTGTAAAAACATATATAAGCTAAGGGTTCTCTACTTACTATGTAGCTAAGGAGGTTGATACGCAAGAAAAATATTGTATTAATGACATATGGTCCAGATAAAGGAGTTTCTGAAATGGGTGTTAATATTGCCAACTAAAATAAAGTAAACTTGAATATAAAAAAAAAACAGGCCATTTTGAAAACCAAGTGATCAAGAAAATGAGGCTAATTTCCTTTTAAGTCAGAAGATACTAAGATTGTGCAGCTTTTCGGAGCAGATTTTATTGAAGGCCAGAGAAATGAGGATATTGTCTTAAGGTTATACAACATGTTTTTGAAAGAGCCAGAACTCAAATGCAAATTCCCTGTCCACTACTTTTTCTATTACATATATTCTCTCATCTTTTCTGATTTTCTAGTTTTAGACAGTTTATCAAATTGTGTCCTCTAAATTCTCTTTAGGGCAATGTTGTGCCAAAGGCTGAGTTGCTGTCATTTTCTTATGCTGCCTATCAAAAGAAAATAAAAACAAAATAGTCAGTATTTAGCACCTACTTTGGTGGTATCAGTATTTGAGGTTAGAATAGTATAATGTATTCATGGCCATGGTTTTCTCTGATGGTAGCACATATCCAAGTCAAAAATAGTTTGGCCCTGCCTTGACTGTTATAAAGTAAGTCATTATTTTTAAATAATTATGAATGCATTACAGCTTTCTTTTAAATTCTGTTAATTTTGATGCTTTTAAAATCAGCGACATAAATAATGTCCTAATACTTGAACTCTGGCTCATATATCCAGCTGCATAGTTGACATCTCTACTTGAATGTTCAATAGCTATCACAAAATTAACATATCCAAAACTTAAATCTTCATCAACTTGTCCTTCTCCCAATGTCTCATACTTTACTAAATGAGCAACCATTCAACCAGTTAGTTGCTCAGACCCAAAACTTGGAGTCATCTGTGATTATTTTCTTTCTCTTTTACCCCACATCCAAACTATCAGTAAGTTCTGTTGGCTCTATTGTCAGAAATTATTCAGAATCTAACTGACTTCTTATCATCTTTATCATTATCCTCCTTGTTCAGGCAGGAGCCATCACTGTCCATACTAGCGAAACAGCATGCTAACTGGGCCCTTTGCTTCTGCTCTTTCATTGCCATAACTTTTCTCCACGTTAGATACTTTGAACCTTGTAAAACTAAAATTGAATTATTACATTCCTCTTTTTAAACACCTTCCCAGCACACTCAGAATAAGATCCAAATTGCAAGCTCTTTTCTTGGCCTATAATATCCCATAAGATCTCAAGCCCTTTGTGTCTGTTCTCATCTCACTTTCCCTGTGCTCACTCACTTCGAGTTCCACTAGTGATCTTGCTAGATTTTGATCCTATAAGGCATACTACTACCTCAAGTCCTTTGCTTTTGCTCTTTCCTCCACTTGTAACACTTTTTCCTTTATTCTGTTCTTTTTTCAAATATCTCTAATTAAAAAATAATTTTCCTGACCACCTTACCTGAAATAATACTCTCTTGTACCCCTAAGCACTTACCCTGTTTTATTTTTCTTTATTTCTCTTAGTATCACTTAACATTATAATATGTGTTATATTGGCTATTATCTGTCTCCTTTACTTTTGTCTAGAGCAGTAAATAATTGCAATTGTTGGCTTTTCTATTGCAAGTTTCTAGTAAGTGCATGAGTTATGGGTGACATCTAGTAAGTATTTGTTAATAACTTGTAAATGTGAACAAAACTAGACACATACAAACATGGAGCTGTAGCTCTAATTCCTGTAAAGAACACTCGACTGAATCAAGGTGATCAAAAAGTCTTCCCTGGGAAGAGCATCTCTATACCTTGATCTAAGGGGACAATGCAGGCAGTTAGCTAAGTGAAGAGAAGAAGAGGAATCTTCTGAGTAGTGCAGTGTCATGCCAAATATAAGAGCCTAAGGCAACAAGGCCAGTGTGGCTGCACCAGAGAGATCAAGAGCATTCATGAGCAGAGAAGTGTTACTCACTGAGGGATGGAGAGGTAAGTAGGAGCTGGATCATGCAAAGCCTTGTTATGTGTGATAATCGTGCTGTTTTGTTGTAGCAATAGGAAGTCTTTTTGATGCTTTCAGTAGGGCATTGTCATGATCATATATATATATATTTTAAATATATATACTATATATACACATATATATTATATATATACATGTATATTATATATATACACATATATATTATATATATACATGTATATTATATATATACACATATATATTTTATATGTATACACACACATATATTTTATATATATACACATATATATTTTATATATATACATATATATATATTTAAAGGTGCGTGTGACCATGGTGTGAAATTTGAAATTTAAAAAAGTGAGTGAAAATCAACTAATTCAGTGGTGAGAGAAATCGTTGAGGAAAAAATTATCAATAATTTACCAAGGGGAAGGTGGTGGGAGCTGTTCGTCTTAGTTCTGGGAAATACAGGAGTGCATTGTTTGTTGAAAATTTAAAAAGAATAATATAACCAATTAAAAGCCAATTTTTTTTTTTACTATCAGAAAGTGCCAGTAATTCTAAACAATGTTAGCGACTAAATTAGTCTGTTAACTTGGCATGCCCTGGAAATAATAGATGATCATAGCTTGGACCAAAGATTCAGTCATTTATTCATTCAAAAATATGTTTAAGTGCCATCTATGTGACAGGTTGTGTTGTAGACATGGGAATGCAGTAGTGAACAAAAATTCTCTCCTGCAAGGAGCCTATATTTTTGTACAGGGAAGACAGACAATATTAAATACATGATTAGCATCTCCACTGGTGATAATTTTTCTTAAGATGCCCAAGAGGAAATTTTAATTAAGCACTTGGCTATAAGCTCCAAGTGCTGAAGCAATAGCTGGGCTAAAGATATAGTTTTGTATGTCATCTGTTGGTAGGTAGCTGCGATAATCATGCATGTAAAAAAAAAAAAAAGGAGCTTAAAAAAGAGCTTTCGAAAGAAGTGTGCAGCCGAGAGAGGAGTCTAAACCCTAGCATGTAGGAGATGCTCCAACATTTAATATTCAGGCAAAGAAAGATGAGCTTGCAAAGAAGATAGAGAAGGAGCAGTTAATTAGACATAAGAGCATATCAAAGACTGATGTAGTCATTATAAAATAATTAAAAGATCAATAGCTCAAAGAAACGTGGCCATAGTCCCAGTGCTTGAAGGGTGTGTTGCTTCTCACTTGGAAAATTTTGAAATTGCCTCTATTAAACATTTCTATTTTTCCACTAGAAAGATGGAGATGACTCTGGGATAGATAGGCTAATCTTTCCAAGACACCCATTTCCATATCACTCTCTTGCCAAAACATTTTTCAGTGGCATCTTTCTCATGGAATCAATTAGAAGTTCAAAGTTCTGACATTCAAGATGCCCCATGGTTTGGCCTAAACTTCTCTTTTCAGCTGTGACTTCTACTTACCCCTTACATGAACCTTCTGTTCTGGATCATCTAATTCTTGTCATTCCTGTTCTAGAAATTCTTCCCATTTTTATTCTTGGAATCATGAGGATGTTTTTTCAAAACTCTAATATGATCAAGGATGAAGGCTGTTAATTATGTGTTTGTGTCTACCACAACATCTAGCTCACATTTCTGTTTGTTCAGTAGTAAGTAGATCTTTACTGAGTGGATATTTCATGTCAGGTACTGCAAAGAGCCAAACAAATAGCTGCTAGCTGAACAACTGTAGTTCTTCTCTTTAAAGTGCCAGATGGCCGGGTGCAGTGGCTCACGCATTTAATCCCAACACTTTGGGAGGCTGAGGCAGGTGGATCACTTGAGGTCAGGAGTTAGAGACCAGCCTGGCCAACATGGTAAAACCTGTCTCTACTAAGAATACAAAAAAAAAAAAAAAAAAAAAAAATAACCAGGCATGGTGGCAGTCGCCTGTAATCCCAGCTGCTAGGGGAGGCTGAGGCAAGAGAATTGCTTGAACGTGGGAGGCAGAGGTTGCAGTGAGCCGAGATTGCACACTTGCATTCCAGCCTGGGTGACAGAGCGAGACTCCATCACAAAATAAATAAATAAATAAGCAAATAAATAAATAAATAAAATGAATAAAAAATAATAAAAAAAAGTGCCGGAATGAGCCTATCTTACAGAGCAGAGAGCTCTGGTGTTCAAGGTGATGGGCAATGACAGAGATGATCCCTAAGCTTATTTGGCTAATTTCATTTTTTTCTTGTTACTTACATAGCTCAGGTTAGTTTCAACACTATCACTGTTTTAAAGAAAAGAACAATTCCTCTTTTCCTTTTAAAATGATGAAACCTTAATATTTAAAAACCTCTCTGTGCAAGCTGTTGGTATGAAATATCACAACATCACATCTGATAGTTCAATTTAAATATTAATGAAAACCTTAAGCTTTATCTGGAACAGTTAATTTGGAATTTCAATTCATATTCACATCCTCGTGCAAAAAGAGGAGAGAGAGAAGAAGGGGGAGGCTGTGTGTTTTAAAGGATTTGTGAATAAGATTCCCCAACAGACACACTGTTTGCAGACAAAGCAGCACAGATGTTACTTGTCTGTCACAAGAAATGCCAGCCTATAATGAGGCTCACCTGATTTGGTGTGCGTGTGTATGTGTGTGTTTGTGTGTGTGCATGAACATGTGTATGACAAAGCTAACCTATTGCAAAGCCAAATAGCAAGTGCTTGCCAATCTGCCATATTCATACCATGTTGCATAGGAGAACACAGTAAAGAGAGAGAGAGGCAAGAAAAGGAGGCTCAAGTCTGAAATCCTGTTTAACATGGGGCAAAGCAAGTGTGTCTTTCAGATGATCTAAAATCTGCGAACTTATTTTCTGTTCGATAAAGCCCTCCAAAGTTTAATTATATACATATAATTGTAAACATTCACAAAGTGAAATTGTATATAATAAGTAAAAAAAAGTCATAGGTAAATGGCCATTTAGCAAATGTATTTCTGTGTCCCTGTGGATCCAGACATAGAAACAGCCTACTGCTCTTCAGTCTTTTTATGAATGCCTCCAAGAAAGCATTCTTGAATTTGGCTCATTGTGTTGTATGAACGGTGATTGATCTTGTCAGGCGAAAGTCAACCACACTTAGCCCCTTGCAAAGCAAACAGCACGGGCAATATCTTAGTCAAGTTCTCTTTGCTGCTGCTTCAGCTGTCAAAGTCACTGGTGCAATGCAGCATTCAAGGTAATTTCCATTTAGTGGTGAAAGCTGTTTTCTTCAATTTCTTGGCTTCTTTGTCTTTTCACTTGCCCCCTATCCATCTAATACCATTCCCGTGTCATTGGCACACTTATATTTACCTCACCTCGCTGATTTCTCCCCACCTGCGTGACATGCCTAGAGCCCCAGTGCTGCTGATGCATTATCCATCCAGGGCTTTGTTGTGTGGTGACATTCCAGAGCAGAGCTCAGCCCACGGGCATCTGCCAGTGCACAGGAACTCTCCTTTCTGGCAGTTATTCAGTTTGATTACACACGATAATAAGCTATTAAGAGGCACTCAAGCACGGCCCTTTATTTACCAACAGTGGAAATCCCCCCGTTTGCTTCCACTGTGTAAGAAAATAATTGTAGTGAAGTAAACAAAAGGGAAGGGCAGTCACCTGTGGTGGGAACAGTGCTACAGGGTAGTGAGTTTAAGTCTCCTAAATAACAAAGGTGTCAACAGATCAGTCACATCAATATTCAAAACTATCATGTAGATAGAGCAACTGGAAAAGAAGTATATCCAGTGTGTATGATCCCATAATCTAGTTTTCAGAAACGCTATTCCTGGTAGAAGTGGATGGTTTTTTATACAGTCACACCTTGTGAACAAAATGCGTATTAGGATATTGAAGAATGCTTGCACAAAGCAAGTTACCTGTAACAAACACTTTAACAACTATTGAAAATTCCATGTTTCCATTAATAATCCATAGACTTCTGCTTTATTAATTCGGTTACAAGTGTATTTTCTGTGTCAATATTTACAGCAAATAATGCATTGCATAGAAGTTCCTATTATTAACATTCTCAAACTCTAGAAAGAGTGCCATTGTGGACTGATGTGTGGAGTGCACATAAGTACCAGTTGTTTCTGGGTCTCTTTCCACTGGCAAATTTAAACAAGTAGTTTAAATTCCAAGTGGAATCATTTATCTGAGCAGCAAGCTATCTTTAACAAGATACCCTAAATTCTCTCGAAAGTAGTCACCTTAAATAATTACAAACATCCACTACAGAGAATTCTATCTTCTCTCTAATGCCTTTTTTTCCCTCCTATCTGCAATCCTATCACCCCTACCCTCTACACAGGCATTTTGGAGCCTGGAGGAAGAAAAAGGAAATTAATTTGTTTATCAGGTAGACTTGAAAAATAAGTGATTTTCCTTTGAAGGTCTCTTTCCTTCCTTTCACTGCATTGAATTTAGTGCCCTTCCTTCCCAACTTTTCCCCCACTTGTTAATACATTGCCTCCTCCCAGGGCAGCATCAATAAAGAGACCTAGAGATCCTGTTTTGCATTTGTTTACCCTCAGCCACAACTGGGAATATGATTCCTAGCAGCATACAATGAAATCTTGCTATTGTAGGGGGAAAACAAGAAGATGAAAACTGTGATGCTTATGGAGTTCACTGCAACAAGAATAGATTGAGCCCATGTGGATATATGCTTCACCTATGTATGTATTTATAAACTATTCTCTGTATGTCCATATGGGAAGTTGGTTGAATTACATGCATAGCCCATGCACTGTATGGAGGGAAAAATGTGAGAATAACAATACTAATTTTTTTTTACACACTCACAAGTGCACATAAGTACTAAGCTCGCATATCTATTTTCTAAGTATGTTTTCCAGTAATTCATCTAAGAAAGTCAGCAGGTGAGATAAATGTTTAGATATAAATAAAACTAGCTCTTAGAAGCCCATTTAGCTCCCTGCAAAAAACATCTCTAAACACACTGAGTATCTTCTCTAAGTAAGGCCTTCATCAAATCACAACTATAATTGGGTGGATACAAAAAGATAGGAATCTAGTTGGTAATTACAGAATGATTGTGGTGCCTACATGAAGTTTTTAGTCTGAACTGCCCAACTCCACAAACAAATATGTGAAATATCTAACATTTCTCAGAGAACTAGAATTAAATTGCTATTATTTTGGAAATGCAAACATTATTAATCTAGCAAATCATTTCTGAAAACCTATGAAACATTAAAATATGAGTACTGCAAAATTTGATACTTGGAAATCTTGGAAACTAGAGACAGATCCAAAATTACTCTGATGTTTGCAATTTCTAACATGATATAAAAATATTACCACCTATTGTTTAATTCCTTCTAAACCAAGATAAAGTAGATACTCCGTTGTCCAAATTCCTCCCATCCCAATCTTGTGATATTACATGTCCATAAATGTTACTCACAGTGGGCAGAATTTCTTGTCTCTGAATGTTATGTTGTTGTTGTTTTTGTTGTTTTTTTATTTGTTTTTTGTTTGTTTGTTTGTTTTGAGACTGAGTCTTGCTTTGTCACCTAAGCTGGAGTGCCATGGCACGATCTCAGTCCACTGCAAACTCCACCTCTTGGGTTCAAGCAATTCTCCTGCCTCAGCCTCCCTAGTAGCTGGGACTACAGACATGCATCACCACGCCTGGCTAATTTTTGTATTTTTAGTAGAGACAAGGTTTCACCATGTTGGCCAGGCTGGTCTCGAACTCCTGACCTCAGGTGATCCACCAGCACCGGCCTCCCAAAGTGCTGAGATTACAGGCGTGAGCCACTGTGCCCAGCCTGAATATTTTGTTTTACTATTAGAAATGATCCCAATTTATTTTATAATGCTTTTTACAATTAAATATTCCAAAAGTAGCTTTAAAATAAAGTAACAGCTTTATTTCCAGAAAAATATAAGTTCATAAAGTCTACCTTGTGTAAAATTCACAGAAACAAACCAATCCATTCTCCAAGTATTTTAAGAAATACACAAATTTTCAGAAACAAAAATCTGCATATATGAAAATCAAAGTGTTTTTTGTTTGTGATTGTTATGCAAACTCCAATTTCCTTCATTTCTGACCAAGAGAACATTCTTCTAAGTTTCATTCCAAATAGAAATTTCTTTCCTGATGGCATCATTTAATAAAGACCAGCTGTCATCCTTCAATCTAAGAGAACATTAAATCATACTTTCTGTATCTTAAAACATAGACAATCTTTTCAAATTGCAAAGTTCTCACAATTTAATGGAAATTTTAACTTGTTTGGCTTTGTGGGCTATTCAATAGTTTTCTAGGTAAGTAATCAGAGAAAATATTCTTGTGTGGTTTTGTGCATACATCATTTCAGCAGTGTAGCTAGCTCTAAAGCAGATAAAACTGGGGGAGAATAGTGAGTTTAACAATGTCAAAAAGCAATTGGTATTGGTAGTGGTATTGGTATCAACTTGTCTATTACAAAGACCACTCTATTAATATTCTTCTGTGGTGAAGACATTTAGCATTGTGAGAAATGGGATTATTACCAGTTATAGAAATCCAAGAGAAACCTTGGAAATGATTGTTTCTACTTTATCCTTTGGTAGTTTCTGTTACAACACTTTGTTCATTAAAATCAGATTCAATCATGACTGCTGCACTGATTTAAAAACATATCTTATGAAGAGTTCCTGCCTTTCCCAGGCAATTCCTGTTTCTAATAATGTCCTCTCCCTGTTGGTCCACTTGACATAGCTTACTCATCTTTCAAGAAGACCCTGCTCTTTGTGGTCTGTTGCGTAAAACTGCTGTCTTCCAATGCAGTTTAGCCCTCTCACTCATTAGGCTCCCACAGACCTTCGTCCCAGTTCTGGGAGAGCCCTGGCCCTGTTGCATAAGAATGATTTATCTTCCAGTCTGTGTTCCTGACTGGAATATGAGCTTCATAAGAGCAAGGATTATACCTTTTTCTGCCGCATAACCTCAAGCCATATCTGACATACAATGAAGTGCCCCAGGGGGATAGAGACGAGTGCTAGGGAAGTTTCTGTTTAAATGTACACAACAGCAACAAAAAATGTGTGACTATATTTCCTTCTCATTGTCTTTAAGCTCTCTTTGTTTGTTTGTTTATTTTGTTTGGAGGGCAGTAGTGTTTTCCAGGGAGGTTTAGAATAAATTGCAAGCTCCTGAAGGACAGGGAACTTGCTTGATTTGTTTCTTCTTAGAGCCCCCAAATACAAGTGGTCTGTGCAGTGGGCAGTGAGTGTTGAATCAACACTCCAACGCTCATTGCTCATCTTGAAAGTAGGTCATAATGTCAACTGAAAATAATATTGTCTTGTCAATTATAAGTGTTATAAAACAAAGATTCTCTTTATAAGTAAATTCACTGTCTGATATTAGAAAACAATTGAAGTTTAAAATACTTTTGCAGTGATAAGCCACAATTAAAGCAAATCAAATACATACACTAACAAAAGCAAAGACATTTATTGCCTCTTTGTTGTCTTCAAGGCATCCACTTATTCATTAATAAGTTCATTAATTTATTTCCTCATTCCTTTAGTGATCAATAATTATTACTATTTTAAATTATGTATACATAATAATTGTATATATTTAGGGTATATGTGAAATTTTGATACAAGCATACAACATGTAATGATCAAATTAGGGTTGTTGGGATATCCATCACCTCAAGCATTTATTATTTACAGGAGACCTATTGTGCAGGCACAATTCTAGTTTTCATGTGGTTTGCAGTGTAGTGATGAAGACAGACATTGAAGGGATGAATGGACAAATGATAATAAAAATAAAAATATAAAGAGTCCTGATTGCTACTGGAGAAAGTATAAGGGAACTCTCATCTTGTCACTGATGGAGGAAGATTGAGAGACTGGTGTAGAACAAGGAAGAAGTCCTTGAGGAAGTGTCACAGATGCCGAGTCCAGAGGCAGGAGGAGAGCTTGTCAGTCAAAGGGCTCAAGGGAAGGAAGAGAAAATGGTGAGGCAATGTTCTAATGCGTGAATGTGATTTTTATGTAGCACAAGGGCAAGGTAGGTGGATGTGACAGTGGAGACATAAGGAAGTGTAAATTGAGGATATACAGAGATAGGAGTCAAAGAAAAATGCTTCATGAAGTATTTATGAAGTTTTTAGTTTTTTTAATCAACATTTATATTATTAGTATTCTGAAAATATTTTAGGCAAGTACAAAAAAATCCTAATTTTTGATCTCAAAGAACTTTACATTTATTGTAATTATTCAGCCCTTTATTTATATGGACTGCTAATAATTTATTTTCCAGGGGTTATAAAAATTTGGGACTAATTAAGAAGGCCTGGCTCTCATGAATGGAAAGAGGTCAGTGAGTATAGTGAAAGCTTAAAGGGATGGAGCCTGAGCTAAATTGTAGCTACTCTCAGTGTACGCAAATTTCCAGACAAACACCACGTCTTAGAAGAGGATAGGTCAAAATCTACCGGCAAGTGGCGTTGGAAAATTGACCCTATTAGAAGGATTGTGCAGTTGGGTTCAGAAAATAGGAGCTCTCCCTGTAAACTCCTGAAATTAACTTCTCTACGTAGATTGCATAAGTGACAAGCTGCTGTCTTTTGCCATAGTGAAATGCAAAGCCTTTCTGTATCAACGAAGTCTAAAGCAAGGTGTATCACCATGGCAACCATAACTCCAATCTCAAGCCAGAAAATGGACATTTTTTTATGTGCAGAATTTTATTGAGATGGTGGTCTCCAGCAGTTCCCAGAGGTCTGGTGTCAAAGACAGGGTAGGAGTAAGTCGGAAGTCATTATATATTGCTTATCAGACTGTTACGTTGGTTGTTAAGCAGCATCTCTGTACAGCTCGTTTCCTCTACTTTATTCAGAGATGGTTGTCTGTCTGACAAGCATAGTTTTGGCATTATAGGAAACTAGTTAGCTACTGACAACTGTTGCCTCATGATTTTGACTTTCTGTGTTATCCTGAATTAATTGTAGGTGATTCTGTAAGATTTCTAGGCATTATCATTTATTTTTTTCAATGTTATTTATGAACACTTCAGGTAAAAAGTAAATACCAAATTTTTCATCTTGTTTGCCTAATTATTTGTTCATAAATAACAAACTGTAGGAGACTTAACATACCTGGAAGCTAGTTTGTGGCATATCTCCATTGCATATTAATGCATTCACTCTATTTATTAATATAGAAATAATATAAATTGATATTTGTGAGTGATGTTACTAAAAACCTTGTGGGGAAAGAATTAAAGAATTAAATAGCTATGATGCTGATTATGTAGCCTTCTGAAGAAATTAACTTTTTTCCCTCATCTTTTGTTAAATGCAAACAAAAATTTTGCAAAGATTTAATTTTTCACTTTGAATTAATGATATGCACACATCAAGAGACTCACAGAAAAAGCATATTGTTTTAAATCTTTCTTATTAGAAAATTTCAGATTATTTTTTCTTGTGTAGTTTCTAAGTTAAAAAAATGACTACTTATAAATTCATGAAAACCAGTCTTTCATTATGAAAAACCTGGAAATACTGGTCAAACATATTGAACAGCAAATGAGGATATTAACCACTTTTATATTAAGAATTTAAACAGTTTTGCTTCTTATTTCACATACACATAGACATAAATTATCTTAGATATCAATGATTTATTTTCTCAGCACCTCTGTTGGAGGAATAAAGAAAATAATATGAGCAACTTAATTCTGAGGAAAAGGCAGAGGAAGAGAAATCACTTTCAAATATTTTTTCATGACTAGAAGTTCCTCCTTTTATTTACATTCAATTTGCACTTGATTCCTCATTAACATATGCCTTTATTCATCTTTTCATTAGCAGGGAATCATAGCAACCTAGGAAGACACAGAAAGACATTGTAAGTTTTCTTACACAATAGATTGGAGGACAGAGTTGTCTTGTTTGTATAACTTTAGCCTTTTTTTATATTACTGAGGAGTCATAGAGCACTCTCACAGAGATCAACCCTGAATTAATGACGTTGGGATGATGAATGAGCAATTCATCTAAAGCTTCCTTTGGATAGGCAAACAGTCTTAGACGTGTGTGAACTACTCTCCAGGCAGCTGGGGAATAGGTCAAGTCAATGCCATTCTTTCCCTGAAAGTACTTTCTGTTCTAGGCATGAGGTCCTTTCAAGGCAGCAAGAAGTATCACATAGATGACTCAGCGTCATGCACAGGTGCTGGTTGGATTCAGTTCTTGGACCTGGGATCATAGCCTATTCAGATTATCAGTGAGATGTTAAAGAATTCCTGTCCAGGATCAAAAACAAAGCAGGCATTCTCTCTTTTTTACGGTTGGTTTTCCATGATCCTTTTAAAGTGCAAATTCTCTGTTTTCCTAAAATTAATAGTTAAATCACTGCCTTAGATTTTGACTTGTTAACTGTTTTTTTTTCCTCTTTGTGACATTACTGAACTATCTTACATAAGCTTGACTGTCCTGTCCTCATCTATAAAAATGAAGATCAGATAATCTAAGTCACAGTGATATTTCCAGAGTTAAAAAGATAACACGTGCAAAATTATTGCAAAATCTTTGGGATGTAGACAGTTAGTACTCTTCCAAATACATAAATCAGAAATTTAGCTCTCCTGAGTATTTTGTTTTTATTCTTCAACTGTTACTGGTAGATAAATTATTAAAGATTAAAAATGTAAAATTGTGACTTAACTAAAATGTCTATATGAAAAATTAGAACTTCATTAAAGAGTTTTAGATTAAAGATTTTATGATCTGCATCGGCAATTTCCTAATTCTATTATATTTTATAACCCTGCTTTAGATCAGTGAAGGATGTACATCTTCACAAGAGTACAGCAGAAGCTGGAAAAGTCAGAGGCTGAGTAGCATCTCTGATTCTTTAATATCAGGTCACTCACTTGTTGAAACCTTTCTTTGTCCTTGAGGAGTTAATTAGATTTCCCTTATTTCCTTTGCATTATTAAAGATAAATAATAATTGTAAATTGAAGAAGCACTTCTAGATCCTTTCATGGTGATGGATAATCATTCAGAGTATAAACCAAGTGTTTAGCCATTTGTAGACTCATAGTGCATTTTAGAAGTAAGTAGAAAAAAAACAAAAACAAATGCTCTGATGAGATAAAAGTTGGAATGTATTTTGTATCTTAAATGATATTTTTTATTCTTCTCATTTTTTGTATAGTTAGACATTTAATATAACCAAACTTATGTAACATGAGGCAGAGTGTGGTCTGAAATCTTTACTTCAAAGTTATTTTGAAAAAAAAATAGAGCCAGAAATGTCATTTTGAGGTAGGAGTAGTCCCTTAACTACTATTATTATATAAGCTTAATGCTTCCTAAAATTCTACTGTATCAGAACACCCAGAATAAATTAGTGCTCTCTTATTGGTGGCTTTGAGGTCTTGTACAACTAAATGAAATTTAATATCATCTAAAAATATCTTATTGTAATAAAGAAGTCAAGATCATAATTTTAGTCAGCATCATTCTAAGATCTGGCAAATGTTATCCAAACTGAAGGAGCTAATAATATGCATTTTTTTTTTTTTTTTTGAGACGGAGTCTCGCTTTGTCACCCAGGCTGGAGTGCAGTGGCGCAATCTCGGCTCACTGCAAGCTCCGCCTCCTGGGTTCACGCCATTCCCTGGCCTCGGCCTCCCTAGTAGCTGGGACTACAGGCACCCGCCACCACGCCCAGCTATTTTTTTTTTTTTTTTTTGTATTTTTAGTAGAGACGGGGTTTCACCATGTTAGCCAGGATGGTCTCGATCTCCTGACCTCGTGATCCGCCCACCTCAGCCTCCCAAAGTGCTGGGATTTACAGGCATGAGCCACCACGCCCAGCCAATAATATACATTTTTATCAAAGTATCACAAACTTATATTGTAAGGAACTGTCAAAACAAATCTTACATCCATATTCTAGTGGCTGCTACCCCGAATGTACTTATAAATCAAATTCTATGCCTTTTTTCTAATTTTGTTGTAAGCATTAATTGTTAAGTTATTGTCAAGATTGACTATGGTCATGAAATTATGAATCTTCAGGAAGATATTCTGGTACTTTACCAAGCTTTGCAATGAAACAAATCCTCTTCCTAATTTCCAGGAATACGTCATTGTTTTTATTTCTTCTCTTGTTTCTGAGTACTCAGTTTCTGAGTACAACACATTTTGGGGGAAAACTTTACAGTGCCCACTATGACTTACTTTAAGGTTAGTTTAGGGTGAAATCTGATTGTAATTTAATCACTTCAACTTTTCTTAAAATACAAAGACAAAGAAAAGGATAGTTGAGAAAATAAAATATTCCAAAAATAGTTTTTCATGGTGACCTCTTACAAGATCTTGCTAAATTTCAACTGTCAAGGAAAAACTAGTCAATAAAATGAATATAATATTAACTGACTGTTTCATTAATGTTTAAGTTACTATCTCAGTAACTTTTACTTCTTTATTCATTTGACATATATTCACTAAGCATTATAAGATGCTTATAATGCTTAGCCAAATGTTGTAAAATTTTAAGCAACTAATAGTTTTAGAGAGGAAGGATTAAGTTAAATTAAAACTTAGGGATATTTTATATAAATAATTCAAATCAAATCAAAATCAAAACTACTGGTAATAACATATGAGTCCAGAGAAAAGGGAAAGGGATTTCTGAAGAAAAGCCAATTGATGATGTGTCAGGTAAGTAAGGCTTTGAGAGAGTGAGCATGGTTTGTATAGGTAGAAGAGAAAGATCATTCTAAAAAAAAATGAGGCTGGGTGCAGCGGCTCACACCTGTAATCCCAGCACTTTGGGAGGCCAAGGTGGGCGGATCACGAGGTCAGGAGATCGAGACCATCCTGGCTAACATGGTGAAACCCCGTCTCTACTAAAAACAAAAAATTAGCCGGGCGTGGTGGCGGGCGCCTGTAGTCCCAGCTACTCGGGAGGCTGAAGCGGGAGAATGGCGTGAACCCGGGAGGCGGAGCTTGCAGTGAGCCGAGATTGCGCCACTGTACTCCAGCCTGGGCGACAGAGCGAGACTCCGTCTCAAAGAAAAGAAAAAAAAAAAAATGAGTAACATAAGTTGAAGCCTGAGAACAAGAAAGAGTGTGTTGTATTTAAGTGAGAGTCAGGGAACCATGATGGTCTTGATAAAATACGTATAGTATTATGAAATAGGGTCAGATAGAGTTTTGAAAGCCAGGCTGAGGTTGTAAAATTTATACAAGGACTAAGGAATTGGGGAAGTTTTAGGAGAAACCGTATTCTGCTGATGCTAGTAAAAATTGGTTCATTATTTCTGAAAATTTTTAAACCCTTTGACTCAAAATTGCCACTTTTAGGAATTCATCCTAGAGGAAAAAAATCAGAAGTGATTTAAAAACGAGTGCTCTACAATATTATAAATAATATTGAGAAACTGAATTTCAATTAAATGTCCAAAAATAGTGATACAGTTAAATGAATTAGAATACATCTTGGAACGTGAAATGCTCATGAAACCTCATGTTTTAGAAGATTATTTATCACATAAAAGTTTAATACTCTTTAGAAAATTAGGCTGAAAGCAGATACTGGTACTATTAAAAATATTATTTCTGGTTATCAGTTGATGAGGGATATGCGGGGTGATTCATTTCTTTGTTCTTTTCTGGATTTATAAACTTTATACATAGGGTATATATTATTTTGTACTACACGGTGTTTTTTCACAAAATAAATAACCTTGAAATAATTTTCCACAGGATATTGTCATAAAGAGCTCTGTATTTTAGGAAGGCCACCCGGTGAGAGTGTAGAGCTGAGATGAAGGGAGGCAGGAGCCATGTATTATAGAACTTATATTGAGAAGATATTGGAACTCAAGGAAAAGGTGGGTGAAGGAAATATGATTGGGATTTGATATTTACATGGACATAGGTATGAAGGAAAAGATTGTCAAAATTTGGAGCCTACAAATTTGATTGTAATAAAAGTCAGTTCTTTGAGTGATAAAAACAATAATGGGCCGGGTGCAGTGGCTCACGCCTGTAATCCCAGCACTTTGTGAGGCCAAGGTGGGTGGATCACGAAGTTAGGAGATCAAGACCATCCTGGGTAACACGGTGAGACCCCGTCTCTACTAAAAATACAAAAAATTAGCCGGGCTTGGTGGCGGGTGCTTGTAGTCCCAGCTACTCGGGAGGCTGAGGCAGGAGAATGGCGTGAACCTGGGAGGAAGAAGTTGCAGTGAGCCGAGATCGCGCCACTGCACTCCAGCCTGGGCGACAGCGTGACACTCGGTCTTAATAATAATAATAATAATAATAATAATAATAATAATAATGATTTTAGTATTGAACTGTTAAATTTTAAGGTGATGAGATTTGCTCAAAATATGGAGATGGAGCTTAAGTAGAAAAAAAAAGCAGAAGCTAAAATATGCATTTAAGGATCATCAAGTATTATGTTAAGCTATTGGAAATGATCAGTTACATAATGAAAAGAATGGATTGCAGAAAGAACAAATGCCAAAACCTGAGCCTTGGAGAATACTTTAAATCCAGAAATGGAGGATAATAAACAGCAAATAACCCAATGGAAAATGGTTAATTGGCAGTGCATGGGAGAAAAAAGTAATTCTCAATGTCATTGGAAAGCAAAAAAAGAGTAAGGCGACATTTCAAGGTGACGATTGTTAGTGTTGTCAACTATTGTAATATTTTGAAAAACATGTGGCAAAAAAGTCATTGCAATAGAATATTAATAGGCGATGAACGTGGGAGAAGCTCAGGTACTTCTCTGGTAACTGCAGACTTCAAGCTGGATTAAACACTACTGTTTAAAACTTGGGTGCAACACTGAGAAGCTGTGAATATTTGGAAATTGACTTCCACTACCGACCTATAGTCCATGTGCACGATGGCACCAATGAATAAACTGAATAATGAATGCTTTCAGTATTTTTTTTTCGGAACATAACTGAGATATAATCAAGAATTTCACGAAGTGTTCTGAAAAAAAAAAGAAAAAGAAAAAGAAAAAACTCCAGTTCCATGGGACATTACTAGTGTGAGAGTTACATGAACAAAGTATTCTGGAATAAAATGACTTTGGGAAACTGAGTTATACAAAGTTGAGAAAATCTCTTCTTTAAAGAAAGTCTTTATGTGATGTTAATTATTTTAATTATTTTTGTATACACTGTAGATTTCAGATAATAAGCTTTTGGAACAAAGTGATTCCTAAAATTAACTGTGACTAGAACTCATTTTTTCAGGCACTATCTCTCAGACTAGTTTTCTGTTGACTGGACAGTGGGAAATGATGATAGACTACTGTTGTGAGAAGCTTGGCCTTCCCCCTTGTCCCAAGGACTTCCTATCCTACAGCTTCAGGTTTTATCTATGCTTAGAACAATGGAAATGCTAATTTACTGTTCATTGTAGGCTATCCTCTTCATCTTTCTTCACACTTTTTATTTGCAATCACTTGGTAAAATATTCTTTAGAAGAGATACCTGTAGCCAACATAAGACTGGACAGATGCTATCCTTTTCTTCAAAAATAAAACATGACTTTTGATCTTTGACTATATTGAGCATTTCAGTGCTTTCCTTGTGGAATAGGTATCATTCCACTATAGTACATATTTTAATAATAATGTAAGAAAATTATTTTTAAGACTGAGATATTAACCTGATATTTAATATTTACTTTCTTTTTATGCATGAGCATTAGCTATTTTTCAGCCATACACCTGAATTGAATTACCCTTTTCCTCTTTCTCTACTTACTGACTTTTGTTCTTTAAGCATCACTTTATCAAAAAGACTTCTATGATTTCTAAGCTGAAAACTCCTACTTTGTGCCTACTGTTATGGAATAATTTACCACTCTGCATTGTGGTCTTTTCCATTAAATGTGTTTTGAACAACTAATTGCAGTGTCTAACATTTAGTTATTGATTAATACTTGGTAAATGAATGAGTGAATAACTGAATGCCATCTTCTATATATTTATGAATTCTGAGAATCCATATAAAATGTTTAATTACAAGAGGTTTTAAAGCTGAAATGACTCAGTAATGCAATATGTATTTTTTATTTCTTAACCAATTTCTCTGGAATTTTCTTTACACTAAAAACTGTTCTAGAATACAAGGATTTTATTTAAAGCTACAACTTACAAATATGAAACAAGAAATGCTTCTCAGTATCTCATATCCCTTCCCTTTTTTTCCTAATTATCTTCCGTTTCTTCGTTCTTTAAAGTGAACAGATGGGCTGTTCCAAAGTTTTTACAAATCTACTTGCTGAACATTCTTACAGACTAAGCAACAATTGAAAATGAAATCCACCAGTTGTTTTACTGCTCTACCATCAACTGGAGCAATAAAATGATTCCATGAGGGAATTGTTGCCACTAGAAAATGTGATAATGCAACTTTCCATTTCCATTTACTTTCATTAGTGATAATAGATAATTTCTTCTTGTTTTTCCTCCTATCTTTTTCTGCATATAACAGTGATTTCAAATTCTTTCAGCTGCAGAAACTTTCTTTAAAAATTATCTTCTGCATATTTCTAGTTACACAGAAGTAGAACCCCATGGTGAAGGGTCAACTCCCACCTTCTTGTCTTAAGCCACTGGAGTGGCCTTTGAGATATATCCATGGAAAAAACAGTTGCAAAAACACTGGGCTGAAAGCTTTACCTTTCCCTAATGAGTGCCATTATAGTTGACATTTTAAACCAAAGTTTACCTTTCTATGGCAGGACTTTTGGGGCTTCACAGTTATGGCCAATGTGTTAATACTAAAACAAATTATATAATTTTTAAAGTCATTTGATGCAATGAAAGCTTGGTGTCATATTGTGGCTTGTTTGCTTGTTTTATAGAAGATCTATAAACTGTGTTTTGCTCTGAAAATAACTATATAGACTTAGAAAATAAAAGGAGCCTAAATAATTTGGAGGATTAATACAAATGTGACATAAAGAAATATACCTCTAGGCTAGTAATCTGAATTCTTGACAGAACAATAAAAACCAAAATTGTCAGCTCCTGACAGCTGTTTGATAGAAGATAGAAAATGTAGTAGGACTTCCCATCTAGTTCACATTATGCAGGTGTCCACATTTTAAAAAAATCATAATTGGCACTAATTAAGAGCATTGCTGGCAGCTTCAGCAAAAAGGCCATACACTGAGTGGGCAGGAAGATCTGCTTGGCCTCTAAGCCCCCGAGTCCCCGGCAGGTCACTGCTGAATTGAATTAACAAAGCTACTCTTACACTTTAATTCTGTGGAAAGAGAAAGTCAATTTTCTGGTGCCAGCAAAATAAGCAATTCCAGTGTGTTTATTCCTATACATTTATTAAATACATTGAAAGGCCCAACCTCAGGATCATCTTTGATAATATGAATGGCTGCAAATATTTTCTATCTTGTTTGTCCCCTGTAAGAAGGCAAAGCAGCAGGATCACTTAGCACAAGTTCTGCAGTTAACATTCACACCATTGACAGGAAAGATAATTAAGTGTGTGATGAACCTGCACCAACCGATAACCATAAATTTTGCTTTTAGGACTTGCTGCAAGTTCCTATTTTATGGCCTTTGTATTTCAGTGTAATGTGTTGGTAGTTTTGGCTACCAGATCCATCTGTGATTTTAATTTTGTTTGCACATGAAAATAAAGTTGGCAATTAAACTTATTGTCTTGGGATTTCCATCCTGAATAGTATTTTTTAATATTTTTTAGTGATGATAACATTGTAAGCGTACAAGAGCCTCCTTGGCTGGTAAGAATAAGGATGTGTCCGTGTAAGCCAATCAGTGTTAAAAAGGTGCTCGAGGTTGGTTTTCAATCAATGTATTTAAAATTATTCAGCCTTACAGACCCACATTCAGTTTTACATTCAGATGCAGTCCAGGGTTGGGGGGTGGGAGGAAAATAAAGCTCTGAAGTGGGGTACCTAATCATATAAAGGTTTTCAATTTTGTTAGGAATAATAGAGAAGCAATATTGAGAGAGCTGTGGGGTTAATGAACACGGATGTGGCTTTCATGTGCAAATTTCTTTTGATTAGATGAAACAACAATTCCCAGAGTTGGGACTGGTGTCCACACACTCAGGCCTGCATCTGCATGTAAATGGCTTCATTAGATGCCAAATCTGTGTGCACAGATGAACTGTGTAAGGCACTCAGAGAGTCTCTGCTTCATGAGCCACTTTCTTGCTGTGTCTTTTTCCCATTCAGAAAATTAGTGGTAAATTTTCCTTTTTGCCAAAGCTTTTGAAAAAAAAGGGATAGGAAGCAGTGAACTGTTAACATATTTGTCCTCTTTTTCTTATTCTTACAACTTGCCGATTGAAAACATAACTTTTTCTACTTCCAAGTAAAATTGAACTTTCTCAATTTTACCTTGCAATTATTGAGGTTAGTGTTCTGTGGTTTACCATTTATTAAATGCTGACAGAAGAATGGTCCTCGTGTCAATCAAGGGCATCACCAAACATTCAAATAACTTGGCTGTTGGCTCATTCTACCTCGGTTGAATCGGACCTCTGAAACTCCCTGGCCTTTTTATGATTGAAGGCTACTAAGGAGAACAGTCTTTTCTTTGAGAGAAAAGAGCAAAATATATTCTCAATATGTGCTTAATGACATCCTGAGCATCATTTTAGTTTGAGATATTTCTGGGAAATTTTTATCCATAATCAATTAGTTTATTAATTGAACTGGCTTACTATCAGCTGTAGCCTACTTATTTTAGATGGAGCATATAGGTGCTAACTTTGTGGGCACTAAAGTAATAATACTTATATAATAGAGATCTGATGTTATGTTATTTCTGCTATAATATTTTAGAGATGTAGTTTTGTTTTATTTACAAGCTATAAAATGCATAGATGGATAGTAGGATCACATGCATTCTTTTGTATCTGGCTTTTTTTTCTCTCAGTTTAATGTTTTAAAGATTCAGTCACTTCACCGTATTACTAGTTTGTATCTTCTTATTGCTGAGTAATATTCCTATAAATATACCCCAATTTTCTTATCAATTTATCTATTGATGTTCTTTTGGGTTGTTTCCAGAGTTTGGCTATTATGAATAAAGCTACTATGAACATTGTGTATAAATCTTTGGATTTATGTTCTCATTTATTTTGAGAGAATACTTGAAGTTGTAGTTGCTCATTTATATGGTAAGGATATGCTAAACTTTATTAGAAATTCCCAAGCTATTTTCTAATGTGTCTGTATCATTTTGCATTCTCACTAACAACATATGAGATTTCCAGTTGTTTCACATCCTAGCCAACATTTGGTATTAACAAGCTTTTAAATTTTAGCCCTTCTAATGGGCTACATTTGCATTTCTTTGGGGATTAATAATATTGAGCATCTGTTCCTGTGTACACTGGCCACTTGTGCATTTTGTTTTATGCAGTCCTGTTCACAATTTTGCCCATTTTTAATATTTTTGTCTTATTGAAACAAAAGATTTCTTTATATATTTGGATACGTGCTTAATTTCAGAGGTATTTATTGCAAATACTTTCTCCTAGTCAATGTTATGTCTTTTCAGTCTTCTAGTAGTGTCATTCAAAAAGGATTTTTAAAAATTGATGAACTCAATTTGTTCATTGTTTCTCTTACGGTTTTGCTTTTTATGAACTGTCTAAGAAATATTTGCCTTCCCCAAAGTCACTTATTTTCCCCTCAGAGTGTTATAGTCTTAGCTTCTATATTTAGGTCTAAATCCATTTCAAGTGTGTGGTGTGAGGTAAGATTTAAATGTTTTCCTTTATAGATATTTAGTTATCTCTGCACCATTTATTTTTTGAAAACGCTATCTTTTTACCATTTTATTGCTTTCAGACGTTATCAAAAATCAAGTAAATATTTTGGGAGGTTTATTTTTGAAGTTTTCCCTCTATTCCATTAATCTCTGTCTTTAAGCTACTAGTATATTGTCTGGATTATTGTACCTTCAGAATAATCTTGAAATCAAACGGTATAATTCTTTCATCTTTTTTCTTCTTTTACAAAACATAATTATTTCTTATTTTTTACATTATCATATTAAAGTGGCTTATTAATTCTATTTTTAAAACTGCTTAAATTTAGATTGGAATTGAGTATTGTCTAGGGGTCTATTTTGAGAAAACAAATATTTTGACAGTATTGAATATTCTGATACATCAACAATTATTTGGATTCTTCATTTTTTCTTAATGTTTCATAGTTTTCAGTGTACATGTCTTACAAAATGTGAATTTCCCATAAATATGTTTTTGTAGACACTATGTTATACGTTCTTGTTTTAATTTTGATTTCCACTTTTTTTTCAGAGTGTAGAAACGTAAATAATTTTTGTATATTGACCTTGTATTCTGCAAACTGGATAAACGTATTTATTAGTTTTCTAATGATAGTTTTTACTCTTAAACCAACCTTATATACTTAAACCCCAGGACACAATCTTTTCATACATATCTGGTTTGGCTTTGCTAATATTTTGTGACAACTTTTTACACGTATGTTTATGAGGATATTGTTGGGTAGTTTTATTTTATTGTAATGTCTTTGCCTGATTTTCATATCAGTGTAATGTTTTCTTTATAAAATTAACTGAGTAATTTTTGCTCCTAAATTTTCTGGTAGAATGTGTAAATAGCTAGCATTCTTTCTTAAATGTTTGATGAAACCCATTAGTAAAAACATCTGTTTTTTTGTATATTCTTTGTGGGACCATTTTTAACTAAAAAGTCAATTTTGATAATACATATAGAAATACTCAGATTATCAATTTCTTTCTGAAACAGTGTAGGTAGTATGTCTTTTAAGGAATTAATTCACTTCATCTAAGTTTTCAAAATTATCAACATATGGATTTTTTTATCATTCTTCTATTACATACCAAGAAATTTACCAAATTTATTAGTCTTTGAAAGGTTTCATTGATTTCCATTCTTTATCTATTTTCTATGGTATTTGTTTTCTTTCTTACCTTTAGTATTTTCTAACTTTGTTCACCATGGGTTCTAGTTTCTCTTCCTTTTTGGTTTATTCATATAAAAACTTAGATACTTGATCTTAGACTTTTTTTTCAATTTAAGCATTTAAAATTAAAATGAAGGTTTTCTTACACATTAGCATCATCCTATGCATTTTGATATATTTGCATTTTCATTTTCAGTTGGTACAAAGTATTTTCTAATTTCATTTATAATATCTTCCTTGAAGTATTGGTTATTTAAACTTATGTTTTTAAATTTCCAAATACTTTGAGCTTTTTAAATATATTTCTGTTATTGACGTCTGATTTAATTTCAATTAGGTCAGAAAATATGCTCTTACAATTTAAATCTTTAAAAAATTTATTGAGACTTGTTTGACGGTCACACATATAGTCTATCTTTATAAATGTTTCTTGTGCTGTTGAAATGAACATGTATTCTGATGTTGATGGTGGTGTATTCCATGTCAATTAGATCAAGTTTGTTAACAGTGCTGTTCAGGTGTTCCATATTATTATTTATTTTCTCTCAGTAGTGTTGAAATCTCTACCTACAATGTGGATTTTATTTCTCCTTTCATTTCTTTCATATTTTGCTTTAAATATTCTGAAGATTTGTTGATGGGTGCTTATACACTTATAGCTGTTAGATTCTTTTAATGAGTTGAACCTTCAATCATTATGTGTTTTCCTGCTTTATCCATCGTAACAGCAACTGTTTTGAAGTCTACACTGTCTGATATTTACAAAACATCTTCAATGTTTTTTATGACTAATATTTGCAAGGCCTATCTTTTAAGCTATTTCTTTGTATTAAAAATGGGTTTCTCAAAGAAAGCAAATAGCTGTTGCTTTTTTTTAAATCCAGTATGTCAATATATCCCCTTTATTTGGGGTGCTTTAATCATTTACATTTAATATAATTATCAAATGTGTTTGGGTTCATATCCACCATCAGGTTAATTTAAATTTTTTTCTCATCTGTTTTTTTTTTCAGAAACTGAGGACATTTTTATTATTCCATTCTGATTCTCTGATTTATTTATTTATCATACCTGGTAAATAGCATGGTTTGTTTTATTTTATTAGGAGTTCTACATTTTAAAATACATATCCTTAATTTGTCGTAGTCTGCTCTCAACTGATATTATACCACTTTACATATAAGAACAATTTCTGTTTTAAATTTATTCAGGTGAATTGACAATCACATAAGCAAAGTTTAATATAAGTCAGGATGTAGGTTTTGTGTGACACATTGTGAATAAATCTGATTTGAAATCCACATCTCAGGCAATTGGTACTGGCTGAAAACACATCTCAGCCAGTTGGTACTGGCTGATTTTTCACAGAAAAGCCATTATTGGCATCCTAAAGATCTAGACTTGTCAAGGAACATAAGGCAATTTGATAGAAAGGGTGGGGACATGTGGGCTGTGTCTTATATATCCATGTATCTACAAGGCAGAACACAAAATCAGGTCAGGTACATCTGGAGTTCTAAAAATATATTTGATTGAAAGACAAATAAGTGAATTTAAGGATGACTAGCAGAAGCTGGAGAAAAAACCCAAAGCTCTTCTACACCATTCAATTGTCTAGAATGCTTTTGCTACGACTACCCAGGCAGAAGCATCAGACTTATTCTAATTTTATTTAAATAAAATTTCATATATCTGAACAATTTTTTTGTGGGGAGGGAGGTTCAATTTGTTAGGTAAAGGATTTTATTTTATTTTCTAATAAAACTATCAAATGTACTCCTTTGAACTGAGATATTTATTCTGCTCCTATGTTTCTAGAAGGCATCATGCACTTGAAAAATTTCTGAAGACTTGGTAAGTCAGAGTGGCCTCTTTCTTCATTTTTTCTCCCCTTGTTCATGAGGACCATGGAAAGTTATGGCTATGGAGGAAAGATAGAGTGCTGGGAGAGGGTTTGAAGGCAGGAGAAATCCCAGAGGCAAAAAAGTGAATGAAAATATTCTGATAAAAATTGTCTTATACTGTATGTCTATGTATTTTGTATCCAAAACATTTTTTGTTCAAAACTAGATGACTAATTTTAATACAATGTTGGGAAGCTTCTCTTATTCTGTTTATGATGAGCTGTTTTATTTTCAATTGTTACATCTTTTACTCTTTTATGGAAGGGAAGTGGGAAATAACATGTTTCCAAGACTTGTTTTGGTTACTTTTCACAAATCGTGATTTAAGACATTCTTTCCGAAACATATGGTCATTAGTTATCTTTATCATTAGGAGACAAAAGATGACATATTTATTATTCAACATATCTAAATAGTTTTGTTTCATATTCATTTTTTCTCTGTAACAAGGACAAAACATCTAGTTTCACCCAAGTTCTTGAAAGATAATATGTTTGGGCTGGTTTCGGTGGCTCATGCCTGTAATCTTAGCACTTTGGAATGTTAGGTGGGAGGCTCACTTGAGTTCAGGAGTTTGGGGCCAGGCTGGGCAACATAGCAAGACCCCAACTCTACAAGAAATTAAAAAAAAATTAGCTGAGCATGATGGCACATACCTATAGACCCAGTTACTCAGGAGGCTGAAGCAGGAGAATCTTTGAAGCCCAGGAGTTTGAGGCTGCAGTGAGCTATGATTGCACTACTGCACTGAGCCAGAATGACAGAGTAAGACTCTATCTCTGAAGACTCTATCTCTGAAATAGATAAATAAATAAAATGCAATATGTCTGTATCAATTTCCTACTTTTTAATTAAATAATTGTGCATAAATTAGTACTATTACTTTTTTCAGTTTTAAAATTGAATTTCCATAAAAGTAAGTTCTTTTTAATATTCTAAGAAGTCAACTTAACTCTTAGAAATATGTTCTTTTCAATGTCTCATTGATGGCTGCATTCAACACTATTTTTTAGAGATTGTATTTGCTCCAGAGGAGTTCTTTTGATGAAAGAGATCAAGTCATATAGGAATGTTCTTCCCTCTCTATGAGTGTAAGCTGTGTGGGTCCTTTCAAAACTTTAGGTCTCAGTGAATCATCACATGAGAGGTAGGTAAGCTTTATTCTGCGACTTCATCAGAGCATATTAATTTCATTTGATGTGCTTATCAAAAATTCAAATCTTTTGCTTGACTTTCATGTCTCATAATTCAGTAAATCATTCTACTTATGAAAAACCTGTAATTAGCAAGGTCCTAGTGAGATAAAAGGATGTAGAACCACTTGATGCCTAACTCGAGTAGGGGAGCAACAACATAAATATGGAGAGCAATGGTTTTCATAAGAGCTTTGAGGCAGAGGAGAAAGCTTTTGGATTATAGTAGAGCATAATACTAATGATGAGCAGAATTTTTGGTAGACACTTTCAATAGAAATGACAGTTTAGACAGAAAGGGCAGAATGAATACCAGCATGCCGTTTAGAAATATAGCCCATATCCTAGGAATGCCCAGTAGTGTTGTTCATGTCAGTGACACTGAGTGTAGAGAAACAGAAGTTAGGGTTGAAAAGATACAATCATGAAATACTGGTTTTTAGAGGGTGATCTCAAAATTAGCTGGTCTAATCTAATTTTATAAATGAAGAAAATGAGGAGCACAATTGTTTGGAGTCCAGTGCATGGCTCGGATTTTCTCGAATTCCATTTTGTCTCTTCAAAATGTTCTGTCTATGTGTCATACTCCAGAGAGCCCTAATCACATTGTCATGTGTTCACATTTGATTTGTTAAAAAATGGTCATTACTGAAGATTTTTGAGGAGAGAAGTAACATGATCAGAGTCACACTTAAAAAGATTTCTCTGACAACTCTCTGGAAGATGGATTAGAGAGGAGAGAGACTGAAGGAGGGGAAATAAGTTACAATTTGATTTAACAGCCCAGAAGAGTAATAAGAGTCTACACTATAATGATGACAACAGTAATAAGAAAGAGGAGATGGGAAAAAAAAAAAAAAATATATATATATATATATATATATATATATATATATATATATACACACACACACACACACGCACACAATCTATGTATATGTTACATATACAGTTAATATATGTAAAACATATGTATAGTTATATATAAAACATAGATATAGATGTAGATATAGCTTAGGGTAGAAGTGGCTGGATTTATTATCTTACTGAATGTGGGATTCCAGAGTGAAGGAAAAGTGATCTTTGACCCGGAAGTTCGGAGTCATGGTAATTTAGAGTAAGTCAGCATTATTAACAGAGAGAGGCCAATCTACTGACATAAGAAGAACCAGGCACACACACACACTCAATGCAGACACAGAATCATTATGAAAAGTTTTATTTCTTCTATGAGAAAAGCATTTTTCAAAGAGGATCACCTAGATGGGCTAGAGATTGTGATATGGAGACAATTCTGGAATCGTCACGCCAGAGGGCTCGGTTGTATGACCAAGCATGCTGTCTCTCCTAGGGTACACCATAGGACAAAAGGAATGAGTAAAAAAGAACCTAAGATATATTCACATAGCTGGGCTATAATTATTTAATAAATAGAACCAAAAGAGATCATATTTTTATATATTGGGAAGCCACGTATAGATAATTTTATGTAAAAAGAAAGGGTTTGACTAGCTGGGTCTATAGGATGAAAAACCTTGCACTAGAATTGTGTATCCTGACTCTCAGTTCAGTTCTCTTTCCATTGCTTTTAGGATGTTGGCTGCAAATACATCAAAGGCAAAACTGTAAAGAAAAATTATAGGAAAATTTAAAATACATGGAAGGGGTAATAGGATTGGAAAATTATGTTAGATACTCGTGAGCTAAGTTCTCAAGCGACATTGTGAGACATGCAACCCTCCTTTTCTCTGGCTGAACCAACTACTTTCATTCTTTCATTCTAGTAGCCACTAGTTATTTTTGCTAAACTTCTAATTCTATCCTAATTAAATGGGGTGAAAATAAGCCACTACCACATTCAAAGCAGCTTGTGTGTTCTCCTCATGCTTCTGAACTGGGGGACTGTAACATTTACAAAAGGCTGGTTTTGCAGTAGGCTTTTCATGTTCTAGTTATATGACCTTAGGCAAGTAACTTGACTCTTCTGGTTTTATTTTCTTCAACTATAAAATTGATAGGGTAATAATAAGATCAAATTATAGGGTTGCTTTTAAGACTAAAATGAGTAATAGATGTAAAGCGCTTAGAAGACTACCTGGCATAAAATAAATGTTCATTATTTTCCCCAGAGTTAGAAAGTGTTCTGACTTGAACAAAGCATTACTCTCCCCTCACAGTGATCTATGAGCTATTTATAGCTCCATGTATTGTACAGTTTCTTCATGAAACCTTTTTACCACTTTGATGCCCCACCTTTGATCATTTTCCTGCTTATAGCCAAGAATACCTGATAGAAAACAGGTGCAAATGAGAGAGGATACAGCCATATTTTGTCATAAAAACTTTCATTCCTTTTTAAAGCTTTGCAAATAACTGATCAAGGAAGCAGTATAAATTGAGCATATCCCATATGCATGTCGTTGTTTATCGGTATAATTGTTGGTATATATCACTCAGTATAATTAAGACACATTAACAACATTTTTTTCTCTTTCTTTTCTTGGACTTGGAGCAAATATCCAGTATGCCAAATTATACTGAGACCGGGATGTCTGATATAATTGTAAGAAGTGGAGAGGTAGACCAGTTCTGAGATTCATAATCCAGACTCTGCACTGGATGAGGACTGATGCTTCTTGCGTGACCTCCCAAGTATTTATTTATGTAACACCTATTGAATGAAGATGTGTGAAGATGTAAGGATGAAAGAAAGGTTCCTCCCTTCAACAGCCTCCATTCACTCTATATAATGCTATATATCCATTTAAGCCTGAATGTAATTGAAATCTAATTCAATATTACTCCGGCAAAAATGAGAAAAAAAAGGGTAGTTTAATGGAAGATTAATTGTGTAGGGGAAGCAAACTAGTCAGTTATTTTGTGGGTGTTTTTGTGTTCCTTGGAAAGTATTGTGAGCAATTAATTAGTATGCAGACCTCGTATTCTCTAGCGGTATCTTGACTATAGCTAAAGAAGAATAATATTTGGCAAGAAGTGATTATAAATTATTTTAAAAAATCAAACATAAAAGAAAAGTGAACTTTCTGGTTCCTTAAGTAGGCCTATGGAGACACAGTGGCAGAGCCAGGTGGATTATTCTCCTTGATTTTCAAAATCAGTGTTTTAATGGAGGGCTAATTACGTAGAAGAGAAGAAATGATGGTATGCAAGAAAAACAAATTGTATAGATAAAAGCTCTTTTTGTGTGTGGTGGGGAGGAGATTTACACATTTTGGTGGTAGATTTGGACAGAACTAGAATTTCCATGTATTTTGGCGTTGGGCAGCAGAACAGCCGAAGTCTTAGTAAAACACACATACACACAGAGATGTGCACACACAGGCACACACTCACAGAAACGTGCCTCACACAGCATTCCTGTTTTTAAAAAACTATTAAAACGTGCCTGTGTTTCCCTCTATTGTCCTTCTTGGTACCTCTTTCTTCCTTTTTTTTCTCCTTCCTCCCTTCCTTTCCTTTTTCCCATTTAGGCTGGAAACGACTCTTTCTCTATTGAAAAACCTTCACAACTGCGGTCATTTCACATGCAACTCAGGTCCTTAGTTTCAGACCATCTGCTGCCCTCTTGTGGCCATACAATCCACCTATCCATGCCCCAACTCTAAGACCCTGATGGTTTTTGTCAGTTGAAATGTTTTTTTCTCAGATGAAACGGACATCTCAAATTATAAAAAAGCTATTTTTACTGTCATATATTACACCATTATCTTCTAATACACTTCTCTAAAGTATGTAAAAAATATATAATGTTTGTAATCGTATTAAAGACAACATATTCCTATACATCATGGAGTGATTGTTATATCTTTCAGGGATATTTGAAAGTAGCGCATTTCACTCATTCATGTGGAGTCTTCAGTAAGTATAAGCCACTTTATATTAGTAGATAATGTTCTAACATAGAATGAGCCATAACTCACCATATAGTAAAATTATACCATGGCAAAAATTCTCTGAGAAAGGTATCAGGTAATGATAATTCTTGATCAAAATGATTTGTTTCAAGCATGTCTCATATAATACTTTAATAATTGAAAGAAAGAAATGGTTTCAGGTAGAATTCTTAAATATGTCTTTTTATAGATTTGGGAAATATGTTTTTCTAACAGATTCTCAATTTCAGTACCAACTATACATAAACTAATACATTTATCTCTAAAGTCATTACGCTTCAATTTATAGTCTTCCTTTTTTACATCATGATTCCAGTGTTCTTTTTTGGTCACAAGAATAAAGCCAAAGTTAAAGCAAGGATAAAAAGAATCATTTTATTAATGTTGGCGTGCATGTCCCTGATATTCCTTATTGCACTGCTTTTTATTTTCAGTTTCTCATTACCATTTTAAATTAAGGACAAAGATATTTAACTTATTCAATATAATGCTTTAATGAAAACCAAAGAGCTAATTCCAAGTAGCACCATATACTCAGCTACTCTGAATGCTCAGCAAAGCTGACAATTCCATTTAAGGGGAACCTTTTTTTTTCGTTATTTGGGCTGTGGCTTAAAGACTATATTAGGTAATTCAAATGTTTCTATTGCAATAATTCCTAATTAAAATATTCAAGGAGATGGAGGTAAAAGAAACAGAGATTAAATGTTAAAGTCCTGGTACTACTGGAGTGTTAATGTCTGAGACATTGTCACACTGGCACAGGTTGTGCTTAGGGCCCAGCAAAGAAGAACATCAAATCATTTTAGAGAATTATTTCATGCTTTATATTTAAAACAAAATCAAATGTTATTTTTAAACAACAAAGAACATCAAATCATTTTAGAAAATTATTTCATGCTTTATATTTAAAACAAAATCAAAATCAAAATGTTATTTTTATGTTAAATAGATGATTTATCTATTTAAAATAAGATAAATAGATGATTTATCTATTTAAAATAAGATAAATAGATGATTTATCTATGGGAAAAGGCAGAAATCTGTTGTAATTCCTAATACTTACTTAATGGTTTAGCTGGTTATGGTTTGAATTAAAAATATATGGGACATGTATATTCTTTATCATATTTAGGGTCGCTAAAGGTCCTAAAACAGTTCTTAGCATCGGCAAGCCATATGATTAAACTGATTCTTTGGAGACTGAGAGTAGAGAATAATGATTCAATGAGAAGCATATGGGCTATTGAAAATATTTCTAAGCTGATGACTATGATGTTTCCTTAAACATGAATCACTGATTATTGATCACTGAACATGACTTTTTACCAAAAATAAATGCCCTTTCTCTATATTCCTTACTATCCTCGTCTCTGAAATGGAAAATAGAATTGTGATCGAATCTGAAAGTATCATTATTTAATTGATACCTGAATAAACCTAAATTTTCTTCTTCTTCAGAGCCGAATGAAGAAGGAGGATATTTTTCACCTGGATTAAAGTTATTTAACTATTCAATAACAGTTTTAAGCTGTCTTGTGACCACTTGTCTTTACTATTTGAAAACAATCTAACCTGGATGATAGAGCCAAAGGCGGTTGTCTTAAGTTGTTTTGGAGATGATTAGCCTGTACAGTATATACAAACTTTTCCTATTGTTTAAACAAAAGAAATCATAGATAACTATTTCTTTCCAGAATATCATCTTAGTTTATTACTTTAGCATTCAATTTCACTAACTGAACCTAGATCCATACACAACTTAAAAGAGAATATTTTCTTTGCAATATTTGTCTTGTAGAAACTAACAACAAACAAAACCTTTTTCTTGCTGCTGTTAAGCAGGGGAAATTCTGGCTTGCAACTCCATTCCCCTCTCAATAGGTACCCCCAGTTCAAATATGCACATGTTGCAAGAAAAGGCCAGCTTCGTATTTGGAAAATGAGCTGTAGATACTTTTCTCCACTATAAAGAAAAGATGTTCTTACAGCTTTTCCTTAGGGTTTTATGGGACAAGAAAACAAGCAATTAAAAAACAATCACATGTGTAAAGTAGCATGTTGTTTGAGTTGTCGCACAGGCTAAGCAAGAAACTAAATCATTGAAAGTTCGAACATGGCTAAATTGCAAGTCTAGAGAACATTCTCACACTGAAAAATGCTTGTTTATAAAATTTATAAAGTAAGAATGGGGACCTGGACTGCATTTCAAATTTAATATGATTATTTAGAAATAAAAAAATTTAAATTATAAATTGTATGAAATCCTTCAAATGCAAATATTTTAAAATTGCAGTATTGGAGGGTACAGTATGCTGCAAATCAGAAAGAACATGTCTCAAAGGCAAGATTTTTAAAAATCAATTTAGATTAATTGGAAATAGTTCCAGTAAAATTCTTGGACACGTTTATTATTTAGTATGCATCAGAGCTTAGCTATTTAAAAATTATTAAGCACGGCATTTATTGAATAATATTGTTATTTTTATGTTAAATAGCTGATTTTTTTCTCTGAATGAACCATGCCTTATCTGAAAGATTTAGCTGTAACTTTACTATTTTAAGAAAACTAACAAGATCACATCCCTGCCTTTCTCCTTTTTCCCATTTCTTTCTTCCTCCTTCTCTCTCTGTCTGCCTTCCTTCCCTCCCTTTTCTCCTTTCTTGCCTTGTCTCATCCCACCTCTCTTTTCCTTTCTTTTCTCTCACCCACGAAATGGCCATGTGCACAAGCCTGATGGATGCCTCATTCTGTGAATAAACTGGCGGTGTTGATCTACAGCTGTATACAGACCACATCTTTCTTCTAAAGCTGCAAGGCACACATTTAAACTCAAATCTCAGAGATTGCAACACCTAGATTGCAGTACAAATTGGTATGACCGACCAGACCCAGCAACCATCGATCTTCATTCTTCCTGCCACCCTGAAAACTGAAACCTTTTGTAGCAAGAGGTAACTAAAATTCTGAAGTCGGCTTGCAATAAAGGGAAGCAACAACTTTAAGATTGGACTGAAATATCTGACAGCTCTCTGAAACAAAACAAAAACAAAATGTACCCAGGTTTCAGTTACGCTCTATTTGGTTTCTTTTCTTGTTAAATAAGTGCTGGCATATAACTCATTAGACACCTTGTGGGCCGCCCCACAAAGATGTGGGCAGTTCAATTTAGAGTAAGTGGGAGGTGTATAATTCAGAGTTTACACTTCTAGATAAATCAGGCTTCAGCATGAGATTTTTGCCATATACTTCAGATAATCTTATTTCCCTAGCTGCTGGCTCAAATTTGAATTTAAACAGAAATACAAACAATACATAGAGGGGGGAAAGTTTTCCAATAACAATTTCCATTAATAATGAAAATTTGTTTGAGGAAGTAAACACCTCTTAGAACTTGTTTTCCTGATTCATTCCTTCATTTTGGAGTAGACAGGAAAACTATGTCCTTATCTAGGAGGCTGAAGGCAGATCATCTGTTTGGTCTATTCTCAAGTGGTTCTAAAACCTTTTTAACTAGTCTTGGAGACATGTTTAACTGTTGGTCAGAGAATGTGCTTTTACTAGAAAGAGCTTCAGCAGATTCTCTCTTCTTGGTGTCTAGTGATTTCTGCCCAACCCTTGGCCTTTCCTGGGACAGTTTGTGCTCAAACTGGATGATCACATGTCTCCAAGTGTAGCTTGACCTAAGTCTGTTTAATGGGTAGACAGGGCATTAGAAGTGGTTGCGGATTTTTCTTCTATCAGAAAAATATATATTAAAAACAAAACAGCAACAATAAAAAGTACAAGACAAAAACAAGCAAACAAACAAACAGAAAACTGGAGTATCTCTCATTTGAGAAATATCCCTTCTCCCTCAAGATGATTAGAATTCTGTGGCATATAGTTTCCACAGTTATCAAGATGAGGTTTACTATTAGGCCTCAACAGACAAAATAACACCACAACACACTGCTCTTTGCCAACTATATGGCCAAAGATTTACAAATGAATAACTATTTCACTCAATGCTAATTATGGTATGATGGTACTAGCATTCTCATTCCCAGCTGTTGCTAGTTGTGGTAGACTATTTGCAACAAATGACAGAAGTTCCCTTACTTGAAAGAATCCCCCCTTGCCATGTAATTTTGCAAATCCCCTCATCAACAGATGGAGTATCCTTGCCCTTCTCTTTAACCTGGGCTGGCCTTGTGACTTTCTTTGACCAACAGAGTGTGGTGGAAGTGATTCTTGACCCAGACATAATGACACTTTTATGTCTGCATATAACATCATGAGAAGCTTTCTTGCTCTTATTCTGCCCTTGTCTGTAGTGGAGAATCATCTGTTATTGCTATTTGAGATCACAAGTCATTACCTTCCTGAGGAATGGACTCTGTTATTAAATTCACTCTCATCTTTCTGATTTAGATTTCTCCTAATACTGATTTCTCCTAATCCTCCCTCAGAAAGACTGATTTCTACTGCTTAATTCTAGGCACAGCTTACTTTCAGAATACACATTTTGACCAAACTCTTCATAAACTGTGTAGAACCAGACAAGGGTGGGGTAAGTAAATAAAACAAGGCGCTTAGATTGGATGCAATATTTAAGGGGCACCAAAAACGCAAAAGTCAAGAGAAATAATAGTTTAATGCAGTATTATAAAAAATCAAAATCAATGCAAAAGTCCATAATGAACACACTATCAGAAATTTAAACAAAGACATGATGAGTATGGAACCATGTAAGATGGATTTGGGCTAAATATATCTAAGTTAAATTTCTTTACTTTGACAGTTGTTACTTGTGAGGCCTCAGAAAATTTATATTCTCCAAATCTCTGTTTTGTCATTTGCATAATGGAACTATTATTTTCTGTGGGTTATTTAAAAGAGTAAATAAAATAAGGCATAAACTACTTAGCCTGTTCTTACCACATATTACTACCCAGTGTTAATGATTTGTCACTCTTTATTCTATGTGTGTGTTTTTTCCTTTTGAAGTTTATCATTTATTCAGCAAATATGTTTGAGTTCTCATCAATGATTTAATTGGTCTCAGCAATGGATATGGAATTACGATTTTAATGGTCAGCAAACACAAGCATAGGCCTTGACAATCCACGAGCTTACATTTCCATAGGTAAGATAGACATTAATGAGTTAATCACAACACACATTTTAAAATACAATTTAGATAACTCTATAACATAGGGATTCTACTTAATCAGACAGTGCTTCCTTGTGTAAGTACAAAGCTGTGATGTGTGCATTAATAATTAAGTGAATCCAGAGAAAGATAACATTCTTGGATACAGAAAGTATAGTTCTTCGTAAATAGTTGAATAAAAAGAGTGTTTGAGGAGAGGTCAATGATGACAATTGTTCTAAAAATGTCCATTGGATTTTGTGACATAGAGGTCACTGATCACCTTAAAGAGGGCTGTGACTCCAGGTTTGGCTTAAATGAAGAAAAGGGGGAAATAACAAATGAACCCATGAAGTAACAATACTCCTATTAATAAGCATTTTTCCCCCAAGATACCAGGCAGACATAGAATAGGGAGAAGAAGGAAGGTTTTTTCTTTTCTGTTTTTTAATTGTTTCCTAATAGAAAAGCCTTGACTGTGGTTAAATTTCAAAATAGGAAGTTTCCATTTCAGAGGGAAGAATTAAATATACAATCAAGAAAACAAGTAATCAAATCAGTCTAGTGCCCCTGAAAGTAGAAGAGAAAGGGTTTCAAACCATCATTTATAGATAGGTGGAGAGGCAGTAGTAGATCATCAATTATGAAGCAGAGAAGGATAAGAGGGGTATAAATATAGGTGATTTGCATGTTGTGTAGTGGAAAGACAAGAGCAAAATATCACATTTAAAATTGGAGGTGTCCTTTTCTCACTATGATTACCCTCTGATAGTGTAGTGTAGTGAGCTCAGTTTCATCCCCAAGTGCAAGTATGGGATCTTCTGTCTATCACTCTATTAAATGACTAGGGACTTCTTTGGTCTTATGAGTTGTGCTGTGCAGTGCTGGGAAAAGGACTCTCCATGAAGTTGTCATGGTAGCAAAAATGAAAAAAACAAAAAAACAAAAAACTTGGCATTGGTACTTATATTATTTTTTCATTGCTGCTCTAACAAATTACCATAATGTAATGGCTTAAACAACACAAATGTATTATGTTACTGTTCTGTGGATGAGAAGTCTAACACAGATCTCACACTGTGTTGGGGCTGCATTCCTTTCTGGAAGGAGTGCAGGGAAGACTTGGTTTCCTTGCCTTTTCCTGGTTTTCAGAGGCCGTCTGCTTTTTGGGGCTTATGATTCCCTTCTTCTTTCTTCAAAACCAGCAACATTAGCCTGAGTCCTTCTTGCACTGCCATCGGTCTATCCTCTAATTCTTTCATTCACTTGTAGGAACTCATAGGATTATTTTGGGCCTATTTGGGTAATCCAGTATAACCTGCCTATTTTAAGGTCAGCTGACGAGCAAATTTAATTCTTTCTGCAACCTTAATTTCTCTTTTCTATGTAACATAATTTATTCACAGGTTTTGAGGATTAATATATGAACATCCTTGTGGAGGGCCTTATCTTACCTACTGCAGTAATGCAGTAGTAGATTGACTGAGATTAAGGTTCAGACTCTGCAATATTGCCTTAGGGAAGGTTCTTGATGAAGGACTGGTCAGGGGCCCTAAACTCTTATCTAATATTTCTGGAGAAATAAATGGCACCAAATGCAAACATCCTTTGGAATACTCATATAGAATTCCTGACTAGTCATCTTCTAAATCCACCCTTCTAACTTAAGGTCCTAATCTTCTCTTCCACTACTTTAGAATTTCTAGAGCCTCTATTTTACTCCACGAGAACTACAATTCTGTAGTGATCTCCATGGATTGCAAATTAGACTAAATGGATGTCTAAATATTTGGAAAAGTGTTTTTTTTGTTTGTTTGTTTGTTTTTCATGAAACCGAGGAGGACACTGTCTCCTCAAATCCATTGCTCTGGGTCTCCACACCTGTAAAGGAATAATTAGGGGTAAAACATTGGCATTCTGATTCTGTCCTGCTGAGGTCACCATTCTTTACATAACTTTTAATACAGCAAGACAAACCAAAAAACGACAAAAAACCAAGTGTAGTTTGATTGATCTGCTAAGGATTTTTCTTTTGTTTATTGTTTATGACATATATGTATTTTGTATTAGTCAGCTTATGCTGCCAGAACAAAATACCATAGATTTGATGGCTTTACAGGAATTTGTTTCTCACAGTTCTGGAGGTTGAGAAGTCCAAGTTTAACATGTGCCCTGATTAGGTTCCTTCCTGAGGGCTTTCTGCCTGGCTTGCCAGCAGTGACCTTCTCACTGTGTCTTAATGTGGTGAAGAAAATTCTTTCTTACTTAGGTTTCTATTTTATTCAAGCCTTCCATGGATGGGATGATGCCCACTCACATTGGAAAGGGCTATCTGCTTCACCCAGTCTACTGATTCAAATGTTAATCTCATCCACAAACACTCTCATAGACACACCCAGAAAAAATGTTTAACCAAATATTTGGGCATCCTGTGGCCCAGTCAAGTTGACATATAAAATTAACCGTCACAAGTCCAACCCTTATCAACTTGGCACCAACATACATTTCCTTAAACGTTACTTAATCTTCAAGTACAGACAATAATATAGTCATAAATCCACTAAACATGATACAGCTACACTGTGTACAACTGAAAATGCACTGATACCTTCCCCAGAAAAGGAAGTAAAGTCCTTGAGTGATGTTTACTCTTCTTCTTGATATCTCATAACTAAAACACTATGATGCAATCAACAAAACTTAAATACTATGGTATAAAGTCCATATGTCTTATACTACATATGGGAATAAGAAAGGGAAGAAGACAAAGATATTTACATACACACATACGTATGTATAACAAAATATGGAGAAAGTATTCATAAAAACTATAGTTCTCATTTACATAGCTGATCATATGGTTGTAGCTGGTATTTATAACATTGTTCCTCTACTACATATTGTTTTTGGTTTTCTTTTTGAGTCAGAGTCTCGCTCTATCGCCCATGCCAGAGTGCAATGGTGCAATCTTGGCTCACTGCAATCTGTGCCTCCTGGGTTCAAGCAATTCTCCTGCCTCAGCCTCCCTGAGTAGCTGGGATTACAGGTGTGTGTCACCATGCCTGGCTAATTTTTGTATTTTTTTTATTTTTTATTTTTTGCCAGGCTGGTCACAAGCTCCTGACCTTAAGTGATCTGCCCACCTTGGCCTCCCAAAGTGCTGGGATTACAGGCCTTTACTACATATTCTTTATTCCCTTTGTCTTTGGCAAACATCTCAGCTGGTAATGGTTCTTTACCTGGTAGAATGACCCAAACCTTCATAACTGAAGGGTCTCAGCCATTAGTAGTTCTGCCTGGATTCCATTGTTTTAGTTTTCCATTGGCCTGAATCACAGGAAATGGTAATACTAAAAGATACCCTAAGGGATTTCCTGTATTACAGACATAGATTTATTTACTTTTATAGTGGCATAGCAGTCCAATTTCCCCTTGGCAGTTGGGATCAATTAGCCCATCCAGCAATGTAATTCCCTTCTTTGCTGTTGATTCAGAGGCACGAGGATTCTAAAGGGGCCAGTCAGCAGTTCTAACTTCCAGTTCGATGGATCATTGTTTCCCCTAGGGAAGAAATTCTTCCTCTGGAATGAAGACCTCTCAGCCAGCAGAGCATAAACTTAACAGGAACAAGAAGCAAACATTTTGCTAGAGGGTCACCAGGGGTGATAGAGAGTGTGTCACTTCCATTTCCATCCCTTGAATCTTGAATCTATGAATTTTGGGTATGGGAAAAACAGCACTATATGTTGGATATTGATCAGTAGCATATGAAGCCTACAGGAGAACTTTGCAGCAGCTGTGCAAGGTATTGCTTTCTAGGTGGCACCATCGCTGAGTCTTCAGAAGGCCATTCCACTATCCTATTAAACTAGTTGCATCAGGATGGAGGAGAACATGATAAGGGCAGTGATTCCATGAGGATGGGCCCCTTGCCACACTTCTTTTGCTGTGATATGAGTTCCTTGATCAGAAGTAATGCTATGTGGTATACCGTGATGGTGGATAAGGCATTCTGTAAGTCTGTGAGTGGTATTTTTGGCATATTTGTGTGTAGTGTTGGCAAACCCATATCCACAATATCTATTTCCATAAGAAGAAAATGCTATGTCTTCCATGATGGAAGTGATCCCATATATAAACCTGCCACCAAGTAGCTAGCTGATCACCCCAGGGAATGGTGCCATATCATAGACTCAGTGTTGGCTTCTGCTGCTGGAAGATTGGGCACTCAGAAGTGGGTGTAGCTAGGTCAGCCTTGAGTGGAAGTCCTTGTTTCTAAGCCCGTGCATAACCTCCTTTCCTGCTACTGTGGCTAGTCTGGTCATTAGCTCATCAGAAAACAACAGAGGTGGCTGGGGAAAGAGGCTGACTGGTATCCACAGAAAGTGTCATTCTATTCACTAGATTATTAAAATTCTCCCCTGCTTGGGTCACCATTTGGTTAGCATTGAAATGGGACATAAATATCCTCATATTTCTTGTGCATTCTGAGAGGTCTACCCACATCTTTCTCACAAATATCCTTGCCACCAACTTTGGAATCATGTTCTTTCCAAGTCCCTGACTGTATACCAGTAACATGCCTGGCCATTTCTTCTTTCGCGAAAAGATGTAATGCTGGAAGTTCTGCCCACAAGGAGGATTTCCCTTCCCCACTGTTCTTCAGAGATGTTCCAGAAAGAGGCTGTTGTGTTACAGCTGTCCATTTTCAGGCAGTGCTTGCATATTGTGCAGAGCCATCTATAAACCAGGCCCCAGTCTTCTCTTCTTCTGCCAATAATCGTAGGGACTCTCCATGAGACCATAGGTGCAGGATGGAAGAGAGAAGGTAGTGTAGCTGGAGTGGGAACCATGGGCATTTAGGCTAGTTCTTCAAATAACTTGACATGGGTACTTGTGTGTTCAGAGCCTGCTCAGGCCTGATTGCGTACATAGCACTTCCATTTGATGATAGAGTTCTGTTGTGCATGCCACACTTTTTGGCTTAGTGGGTTGGATAACACCCTGTTCATCATGGGCAACTCAGTCCCATGGTAACTTGGTGGCATTTGTTTAAGCACTCAGTCTCAACTGAGGCCCAGCGTCTGGCCAAGAACTGTTTCTCAGAAGAAAAGTAGTTATCTGCAGAGGATGGCAGAACTTTGCTCCAAAATGCTAAGGACTTGCACTGTGATTCATCTTTAGGGGCTTGCCAAAGGTGGCAAATGGCATCCCTGTCTGCCACTGACACTCCAAACAGTTGGATCTGCTGGATTATATAGCCCAATTGGCAGAACAGCTTGCACAGCAGCCTGGACCTGTTGCAGAGCCTTTTCTATTTCTGAACCACATGCAAAACTAGCAGCTTTTGAGGTCACTCAGTAAATAAGTCAGAGTAACTAAGAAATATGTTGCCAATTCCTTACCCAACTAGAGTAAGTTGCCTCCAAAATGCAAGTAGCCCCACTAGGCATTGTGCCTCTCTTTTGGTTGTTAGAGGGTCATATGCAACAACTTATTTTTCACCTTAGATGGGTAACTTGACAAGCCCTATACCACTGAACCACTAGAAATTTCACTGAGATAGAAGGCTCTTGACTTTTTGTCAGATGTATTTTCCACCTTCTGACGCACATATGTGTTACTAATAAGTCTAGAATTGGTGCTACTTTGTGCTCACTTGGTTCCATCAGCATAATGTCATTGATGAATGTACCAGTGTGATGTCTTGTGAAAGTTAAAGGAGATACAAAATCCCTGAGAACTAAACCATGACATTATATTAATATAAAGAATTTTTCGGAAATATTAAAGATATCAGGAAGCTATTCAAGGTCATGTTCAGGCTAAAGCTGCCTGGCTTTGAATGCCAAAGACTAATTATAAGTAATTTATGCAAGGCTGTATGCTAAAACCTACAATTCTCTTCCAGGAAACAAAACCATTGGCAAATACTCCAAACCCTTGTGGAGTGTTAGACTAAATTATCTTTACAAATCTTTCACACAGCATGGTGAGGGGGAAGGGGTATTTGCTCCTCTACCTATTAAGCCACAGGACTTGGAAGAATGTTCCCTACATCCTGTCATGCAGGACAGGAGGTTTGACGTACTTTAATTTTAAATTAGAGAGATTCTTTTAAAATAGAGGATATGTAAGGGGAAGCAGTTAGAATTGAGAATAGGCCATAAAGATGAGCTGTTGGCTTCTGGATGCAACATCTGGAGACTGTTAGTACTCAGGATTTGTGTAGCTCTCTGTTTAGAATTTGAGAAACAAACTTGGCCCACAGCAATCTTGGATGGGATTGCTATCCAAGGCAGAAAGACAACGTTTGCTTATGTCTCTAGCATAATAAATATTAATTTATGTTATAGAAAAAAATAATCACTCATTCATTCAAAAAACATTTGTGAGGTTCCTACTCTGATTCAGGTTTTGTGCAAGTGTTAGAGATTGAAAGACAAAGACTGAAACATGCCTTGAAACATTAAGAACTTGAGAGAATAACTGTGGACATTTAAAACATCATCGTAGTGAGATATTTTCTGATGAAGTTTAAAACAAGAGGAAACGTCTCTCAGGCAGATAAGTGGGGATGGGAGAGTGGTGGTAGAGGAGTTAATTCCAAATAGGGTAACTGCTAGCATGGGAAAAGGCAAGTGGAGTGCAACACAGTAAGTTTGCAAGGAATTATAAGACGAGTGAAGCACAAGATTCAAGCAGAATTAGAGACAGTAAGTACTGAAGATGAAAAGGTAGCAGGGACTGGCACATGGAGGATATTCTACAGCTATGACAGAATTTATAACTTTGATCATTTATGCAACAAATTTACAACTTTAATTTAGATACACATTGCGCATGATTGTTTGCTTTGACGTATTCTTTAAATAAACCAATTTTTTAAAATTGTATGTCTATTTTTAAAATCTTATATTAGTCTCATAAATAGAAAATTGGTACCATTTTCTATAAATTAGAAGTGAGAAGCAACTTCTCAAACTTCAAAAAATGTTATTAAGGGTGAATCAAAGGCAATTATCTGTCAATTATAGATTTATGATTATAGAGGTCATTCACTAAATTGGTCCAAGATACTAAAGAAAACCAATATTGTAGACAAGATACTAAGGTCAATTTTTGGTATGTTACCTTTGCAATGCCAGTGTTTGGGCATGTAGAAAAAAGTTCAGAAATAATGTTAGTGCTGGGAGTTTAGCTCAAGGCCATATCAACCTGCAGGTGGGAGTTGACACTCCAGGAGTAAATGGCTCTAAAGGTTTGTGAGGTTCTTAGTCAATGAGCAGATTAGCAGTAGGTTAGACTAGGTAATAACCATAACCTTGAAAATACTAAAGATTTTTTTTCTTTTTTGCTTTCCTTTTCTCCTCCTTTTCGTCTTCCTCCTTCTCTTATGCTACGATTCAACTATGACAAAAATTGTTTTTCATCACTCATGTGCATAAAAGCAATTTTTTTTTCTTTGTGGCATATCCTCCTAATGGCAAATTTCTAATCCATGGTGATATATATGTTTTCATTTTTTTCTTTCTTGGTGTTCCAATGTCTGTGACTGGACTTTGACTTGACTCTTTCACGGTTAGGCTGTTACTGAGTTGCCTAACCTTATCTCCGTGCTGAAATAGCCATGCATGTGCAGCTTTGCTATGAGCTGGATGCCCATGTTCTCCCAAAATTCATATATTGAAATCCTAGCTCCCCCAGGTGATAGTATTAGGAACAGGAGCCTTTGGGAATAATTAGGTTATGAGGATGAAACCCACATACATGAGATTAGTGTCCTTATGAAAGAGATTCCAGAGAGCTAGCTATCCCCTTCTGACATGTGAGGACACAGTGAAAAGTCACCATCTGTGAACCAGGAAACAGGCTTTTACTAGACACTGAATCTGATCTTGGACTTCCCAGCCTTTAGAACTGTGAGAAATGAATTTCTGTTCTGTATAAACTACTTCATTTATTGTATTTGTTACTGCAGCCTGAATGAACTAAGACATGATTCTATCCTATGGGTTCCCGTAGGAACTGACATATATAATCCTTGAAATGACCTTTGCCCCTTTGCCTTGGTATGACATTTACATTACATTTCCTTAATCCTTCACTCCCTCTGATTAATAAACTCATAGGTGAAATACATTTTAAGGTATTGTGTTAATATGATAACATAGTAGTGTAAAGGTATTTTCTAGATTAGCAAAGAAAAGAATATTTAAATAATAACTTACTGCAGGCAGTATCTTTACTATTCTGATGGAATCTAACATTGACGCTAAGTTTTAGTGAATTTCAGAACAAATGTGCGAGAATTCATGTTCTGGTCTTTCAGTCCGTGTTGACAGGGAATTTTAGCCCAATAAGATATTCATCTGAGGCATAAGATTTTTCCTTTGAACAAAGATAGGAGTTAGTGAGTGTGCTGGATCTGCTTGTGATAACCATCAACAACATGGAACTCACAACAAAACAATGGCAATGAAATGAAAGCTTGCTAGATTGAGGACATTTTAGGGGATGAATGTACCAGGATAAATTCAAGACTGACAGAGAGTGTAGAAGCAGTATTGTCCAGCAGTCCAGAGGCCTTACAGCAAGGTAGGCATGCAGTACACAACAGCATATAATAAAACACAGGCAACTTTCTATTTGATAATAGAGAGCTTGATGCTGGTGGGATTAGCCAATTGAAAATGAAATAGTATACAAACTCTCCTCCACACTATGTCCCTTCTACACCTTGCCCTGTTTTAATTTTGAATTAGAATTGTCATCATTTATAGGTTACACGGTCATCCTTTCAAAGCCTTTTCATCATTGGAATATTTTTCCCTCACACTCTAAGGTACTCATTCCAAAGTGTAAAAATGACACCTTTGGTGTTTCTCCTGGAGTATCTGGCCCAGTGCCTTGCACATATGCTATGCCCAATAAATTATGGTGGCTGGTTAACTTAAGAGCTATTTTATTGTGAAGTACTAAAAAGTCTTACAAAACACATTAAGTAGGGATGTTGATTTGAGGGACTTAGACTGACAATAGCCAAAGCCTGTCACGATCATTGTGCTAATAAAAAAAGAGATGCCAGAATAAATTGGGAAAAATAATTTACCTTTGTGATGGATTAACACAGTTTTACCAATGAGACATGAAATGTTGATGCTGTTTCTTTTGAAATATGATTAGTTAGAAGTACTAGAGTTGGTCAATAAATCAGTTTTGAACAACTAGAAATGACCACAAAAATTTAGAACATAAAGATATTTGTTGTTGAAAAAGATTAGTTCTGAGATTATGGTTAATATAGTTAATTATTTGATTCAGGATTTTAAAATTATTTTTTTCTGGGATTAGTTGATGAATTTAGGAAAATATGATTTTGACTCCAAGCAATGATACTGTAATATGATATCAAAAGTGGAAATGTAAGTTCAGAAATAAAAATGCAGGGGAATCTCCACAGGCAGGATATCTGTAGGTTAGTTTCAGATCTCTTATTAAGTTCTGTGAGCTTTTAGGCAAATCACTTTCTGTCTGAAAAGTTAGGATCTATCTGTAATTTAATAATTATGAAATATTTGTTAAGTTCCAAGTTTATTCTAGGCAATTTTTGAGGCAAGCAGCTGTCAACTTAAAATATGTTTTGGACACAAAAATCCCTTTCCATCTCTAGATTTTATTACCTATTACTAAGGTTTTTAATATTTTAACCTGCTAAATCCACATTTCAAACAAAATTCAATGAGAATTACAATATATAAACCAAATCTATGCAGTGAAGCAGGGATAGAGGGCTTGGTCTCCATCTGTTTGACAATGCCCCCCCGCCACCAAACATCTTCCTTCACTACTTCCAAATAACTTTATGGTTTAGTCAATTACCATTTAATTTGAACTTGACTTACCTAGACCACTATTAGTTGATATTAGCTTAACAGAGGGAAAATTGTAAATAAAGTAGATGTAATAATTAAACACCTACATCATTCCTTCATTCCGGATCTATCAATGATTTCATACTTTGACTATATCTAAATTATCCGTTTTTCCTGGCCTTCAAGGTGGTCTTTAGTTCAGCCCTGCTTTCCATGGGTTAATCAAATTCCCTACAATGCTGAGATGTTTATATTGGTTTCCTCCTGTCCTATGAAGTTCGTACTGATTTCTGCCACAATAAATTTGATTAGACGAACCCATTGTTTCTTGAGTGTCATCTCTTTTTCTTTTTTCCTCTAAGATCAAGTGTAGTTCCATTCTTGACTTATGTTTTTAACCCCATTGCTTGTTAAACTCAGTGAATTAAGCACTATATTATATATTGCTTTGTCCGACTTGCCATTGTAATTCTCTTGATTGCTATATATAATCCACATGAAAAATTCCTTAATTTTTCCTATTTTTTAAACAAACTCATCTAAAAACTAAAAATAACCAGAAAACTTTGGACTTGCCAGGCTTAACATAATCCTCAAGATCTGGTGGTATCTTTATTTTGAATAACGTTGGTTTTCAAAAAGTGTTCAACTGGCCCACAATAAATGGTGGTGGGTGGTTAACTTAAAAGCCATTTTATTGTGAAGTACTGTGCCATGGATTAGAAAAATCTATGCTTCGATGCTTCAACTCTGTTCACGTTAAATTTTATCTTCAGTGCCATATTCTTTTTTTTTTTTTTTTTTTTTTGAGATGGAGTCTCGCTCTGTCACCCAGGCTGGGGTGCAGTGGCGCCATCTCGGCTCACTGCAACCCCTGCCTCCTGAGTTCAAGTGATTCTCCTGCCTCAGCCTCCCGAGCAGCTGGGACTACAGGCACATGCCACCACATGAGTCTATTTTTTGTATTTTTAATAGAGATGGGGTTTTGCCATGTTGGCCAGGCTGATCTCAAACTCCTGACCTCAGGTGATCCACTTGCCTTGGGCTCCCAAAGTGCTGGGATTACAGGCGTGAGCCACCGCACCCAGTCCCGGTGCCATATTCTTTGCCTATGCCTGGAGTATGGGCTAAGATATTGAGTCCTTAAGTCTATAAAGATACTCAAGCTTCCTTTACCCTTTGCACATATTGTGCCCAATTTTAGAGAAAACTGTGTCTACAAATTGTGGTGTCAAAGGGCATAGATTTGATGGAAGATAGTGCTAATATCCACGAGAGTCAGCTTTGCTGTCTGGGTCCTAAGAAAGAGAATTTTTAGGGGTCATTAGTGCTCTCAAATCAGAAAGACAGCAAATGGGACAATTTGCAGTTAGAAGATCTGAAAAAGGTAGTGGAGACCTTAAGAACTGGGAGCTGGTGAGGGCAAGGCAAATGTCTAGGTCCCTACACACCAGTAGAGTTTTAGCTCCAGAAAAAGAGTTTGAATCCAAACCAAAGGTGAGACTAGAAGCCCATATATTTGGACTGGGAAACAGAGCACAGATGTAAAAGAGAACACAAATCTAGGGGTAAAAAGGAATCCAGGACTCAGACCCAGGACCTTCGATGCTCAGTTTATACTGAAATAACTAATTTAAATCACCAGTAACAATGTCTTTTTATAGTTTCTGCATAATAATCAGAGCTTCTCTGAACAACTACTAAGTACGTGATGACTAAAATTTAAAAATTGACAATATTAATGCTAACAAGGATGCGGAGCAAGAACTTTTATTTTTAATGGAAACTCATAATGGTGCAGCTTATTGGTATTAATCTAAGTGAGTTGGAAACTTATGACCATACCAAATCCTGCACACAAATGGGTATAACAGCTTTATTCATTGTTGTCAAAATTTGGAATCGACCAAGATGTCCTTCAATAGTGAATGAATTTTAAAAACTATGGTACATCTATACAATGAAATACTCTTCAGCAATGAAAATAAATAAAACCACAAAAAGATACGGAGTTATCTTAAGTGCATATTACTAGGTGAAGGAAGTCAATCTGAAAAGGCTACTGTGTGAGTCCTACTACATGTGGTATTTTGGAAAAGGTAAAACTATGGAGTCAGTAAAAAGATGAGGGTTTGCCAGGAGTTCCTAGGGAAGGAGGGATGAGTAGATGCAGCAGGGAGGATTTTGAGGGCAGTGAAACTATTTTCTCTGATACTATAATGATATATACATTTCATTACACCTTTGTACAAACACAGAATATACAACACAAAGAGCGAGCCCTAACATGAACTGTGGATTTTAGTTAATAATAATGCGTCAGTATTGACTCATCAATTATAACAGTGTATCACACCAATGCAAGATGTTGATAATAGGAGAAACTGTGTATGTGTATGGAGGGGTGGGAGTATATGGGAATTCTCTGCACTTTTTGCTCAATTTATCTATAACCTTAAAGCTTCTCTAAAAATATATTAATTTTTTTAAAAAAGTAGTTTGTTATCAGTAAGTTATTTTTGTTCCTCCAGGACTATCAATGTCCTCTTCAAATATAGTTGAATTCACATTTGCACAGTGAACCAGTTTTCTGGGAACTATTATGAAGTATTAAGTAGAAGCTTTGGCTGGATATATTAAATAAAGGCATAAAGGCATAAAATATCAATTGCTAAAGACAATACCCTAAGTTTTGAATAATTTTTTTTTTTTTTTTTTTTTTTGAGACAGAGTCTCGCTCTGTTGCCCAGGCTGGGGTGCAGTGGTGCGATCTTGGCTCACTGCAAGCTCCACCTCCCGGGTTCACGCCATTCTCCTGCCTCAGCCTCCCGAGTAGCTGGGACTACAGGCGCCGCCACCATGCCAGGCTAATTTTTCGTATTTTTTAGTAGAGATGGGGTTTCACCTTGTTAGCCAAGATGGTCTTGACCTCCTGACTTCATGATCCACCCACTTTGGCCTCCCGAAGTGCTGGGATTACAGGCGTGAGCCACTGTGCCCCGACTTGAAGAATTTTTTTAATTAACAAAAGTTAAAGAAATGTCATTTCTCTTTTTGATTGAACTCTCTTAATCATTGATTTCAGGGAAGATTCATATTGACTTATGATTCATGTTAAGCTTGTATGAAGGAGAAGAGAGCTTTGTTATTTATCTAGAAATCATGCATCATGTATTATCGGTATTTTTATGTTTAGCATCATGTTGATGATACCATTTGTACTAACCATTTAATTATAATCTTGGGACTGGAAACATGCTTAATTCCCTCTGACACCTTCCTATTGCCAACATGCCTAATCAGAAATTTCATACATAGCGATACAGCTATATGGTCCAATTTTTAATATGTTATATAAAGATTATTCCAACATGAAAAACGTAAGAATGCTTTATATTTTTTAATAATATATGAGAAGAACAAAAACACCCAGCTGACAAATGTAAATGAAAGTACATCGATGTTTCTATAAAAGGACAATTTACTATCTTGAAATTTTTCAAAAGCTTCAGTGTGATGTAGAACATACGGATTTAAGAAATTTAGAATAATAAAAATGCATTGAAGCTTACAATTTTCCAGTATAAGTCTCATAGATAAAGCAATTGTTGAGCAAGAGGAGGACATAGAAACAATAATGATGCAAAATAAAGTTAAAAACAAAATAGTAATCATGGTACTAGCAGCTACCACTCATTATTCGGTTTTCATTTGCTAAGCCCTTTACATACTTTTTTTTTTTTAAATTCTCTTACAACTTTAAGGAGCAGGTAATAACTGTTGTCTTGTTTTATAGATGAGTACATAGGCAAGAAGCTATGTTACAGGCACAGGCAAGAGGTTAAATTATCTGCTCAGGATACTACAGCTATTGAGTGATGATATCAGAATTAGTACTAAAGAGAGCCCTAAGTGGTGTATTGTCAGAGAGGAGGGGTTGAACCATTCCCAAGAGTACATGAAAAGAGCATATAGGAATGAGCTTACAATTTCAATTAAGTGCATACAAAGGGACTGAGTATATTCCTGGTTGAGGGTAGAGAGAGAATTTTTTTTCGAAGAAGAGCAAGTCTAACTTAAATGAGCACTAGAAGACAATGTTAGCATCTGAAAGCTAGTATTTCTTCTTAGGCCCCATTAACCTGTTAAGAATATGTACAGTAAACCCTCACTTAACATCATCAATAGATTCTTGAAAACTGTGACTTTAAGCCAAATGACATATCAGAAAACCATTTTCTTCTCATCAATGTTATAATCAAACAACATTAAATGAAATGATGTTATTTGAGGACAAACTGTATGTCACTTTGCTTAAAGTCAGTTTCCAAGAGCCTATCAATGATGTTTAGTGAGGACTTACTGTATTATATTTTCCTTTTCTGTTAGCTCTTAGGGATGAAGAAAATAAAAAGAAACATAGACAGGAATTGTTAGAAAACTTTCCAAACTCTTCCCCTTCCCTCACAGACCATAGACTCCTTCCACATGTCTATACCAAACTCTTCCAAATCTATATTCAAATGCATTTTCTCATGGAAAGTAAGAAGCATTGGTTCTTGTTTCCTTGTATGACATCATTTCTTCTGACATGTTTTGAGTTATCTAGGAAGGGCAAGCGTCCCCAACACAGGAGTCCCCAACTGTAGGACCACTGAGGGTAAATACCTGTCCATGGACTGTTAAGAATCAGGCCACACAGCAGGAGGTGAACGGCCTGCAAGCGAGCATTACCGCCTGAGCTCTGCTTCCTGTCAGATCAGCAGAGGCATTAGGTTCTCATATGAGCACCAACCCTATTGTGAACTGCGCATGTGAGGGATCTAGGAGGTGCACTCCTTATGAGAATCTAATGCTTGTTGATCTGAGGTGGAACAGTTTCATCCCAAAACCATCACTCCACCACAGATCTCCCCTGAACCCACATTTCTCCCCTCACCCCATCCGTGGAAAAATTGTCTTCCACAAAACTGTTCCCTGGTGCCAAAAAGTTTGGGGACTGCTGAGGAAGGGCACCCATGCACAAAGACCTGGTGCAGTGGAGTCATACCATAGGAGTAACAATAAGTTAACATTTATTGAATACTTCGAATCTGCTACAATGTCTAACAGATTTTTACATGGACAGTCTCATTTAATTTTCTTACCTCTTATTCTGGTCATTTAACATGTGAAGTAAATAAAGCATAAAATAGTTTAATCTCTTGAGGAAGTCACACAAGTAGTAAGTAGAACTAGGATGCAAATTTAGGTATCTTACCTCAAGAATTCACATGCTTAACTGAAAAACCAAACTTCCCCTCTACAGACTGTTTTTTTTTTTTTTTTTTGCCTCTTATATTCCACTTGTCTGCAAAAGCTTATTTTATTCAGATTTACTTTTCTTTTTTTTTAGATTGAGGCCATAAGACATCAAAGCATCATACAAATTACAAGTCATTAAGTGAGGTTCTAGGATTAACATGTATTTTAGAGTATAGCTTTTCTTCATTTCTTCTGTGCCTTGAATCCGTCTCTGTTCATAAGACTATTGACTATGATCTATTATGCATCCTAGTTAGGCAGTGATGGTATTGAGACTCAGATGGTGAAGTATTACTGCTTTTGGGGAAGACTTTCTGGATGCAAAATACACATATGTGTATAACACATTAGATATGTGTGATTTAAGTATATATTACACGTATATATGCAATATATGCTATACATGTTTGTGTGTATATATATATCTATATATGCACACAGACAGACACAAACCCATAAACACACGTGAGAGAGAGATTTCAGAGCCTAATGTAATGCTTGCTGCAAGTCAAATGTCTTTGCACCAATCAGTTTTAGTGCTTTTTTTCTGAGAAATGTGTTTAGGAAAGGTAGCAGTTCAAATTCCTACATGTTTAAGTCAATCTGATCCTCTCTAAAATGTACCTTTCTCTAAGCAGTTTGAAGAAGAATTAGCCCCTATCCAAAAACAAAACAAAACAAAAAAAAGGTTGTATCCTAAATGTTTTACTCTGCCATCATCTGTTCTATCAAGGGCACTTTGCCACTTTGTTACTTTGTCCTGTGAAAGAAAACTAGAAAACTTGTTTGCAGGCACAGTTTGCTGACTCCTAAGTCACTTGGCTTCAATGGTCAAGCTCCTTACATGCCCTGTACACAGCTTGCCCAGCTCTCACTGCTATTTTGGAGCATTATTTTTGCTAGATTCTGGAAGTCATCAGTTCCACCAGGAACAAAATATCAGGCCGAGGGGCCAATGCAGCCACTGACTGAGGACTGCAGATATTCAAGGCCCGTGTTCTGACTTGATGGGTCTTAATATGCCAAAGAGAAATGAAAGAAGCTTCATTGCTTAGTTGGAAAATATTGAGAGACACGAGCTTTTGAAAATTTTGTATCACATAATTTCTTTAAAGTTTTGCTTTCTTATTTGAAATATATTTATTCCTTGATGTCAAGTCAACCGCTCCATTTTAAACATTAGAGTAGAACTGAAAATTGATCCTTGCTTAACTTTTTCTTTATTCAAAAGAGCCTCATTGAATATTGTCAGAGAGTAGTTTTGAGAAGAGGCTATGAAACTGCAAGTCTTTCCAAGTTGACCTTTCTGGTGAAGCGGTGATCTGATGTCACCAGATAAGAGTAAAACAGTTTATGCTTTGTGCTTTTAAAATGGGTTATAAACAACATGAGTTTGACTTTATTAAATTAACTTTTCTTTTCTAACAAACACCATCTGTTTAAGCTTGGCAAGTCTTCCACAGGAAAAAATTTGAAAAATATGTATCCTGAAATAGAAAAGAGAGTATAACTTTTTCCTTCTTAATTGACCCTGGTAATTTACTAAGGTTAGGTTATGCCAATTCAGAAATAGCTTGTAAGTTTGCAGAACTAATTTAGTTATTTAGTACAAAAGTTGGTAAAGATTTAGAAACTTTATTTGGAAAGCCATTTCATGTCCATTATATTATTTAATTTTCCCAACGAAGATGAAATATTAATGACTTTAGCATTCTACCCTCCCACTTTTAGACTAGCAAATAGAGGAAGAGATGTTGCAGCTTTTTTAAAGATGATATAGGGAGCAATGATAGAGGTGAGTCTTAAATTCAAATTTTCTGGCTACCAATTCCATATTATCTCCATTCTACTACAGTTCCTAGGCAAGTGAAAATGACATGAGCTTTTCTGTACACCATAAAGATATGACCTTTAGTGACCTGGAATGCAGAGTTGGATTAAGAAATATTAGCTGCTCCACAACCAAGATCTGTGCAGCACTTTCTGCACTTCACTAAGGAACAGGTAGAAATGGTGAAAGGATAATGGCTGAGCAAACCGCCCTCAAATAGAAATTTGCTGAGACTACGTGATGGAAATAGTCCAACCATTTTGAAATGTTTTGACCAGTAGCCTGGATAATAACAATCACAAAAGAGTCAGCAAATGTAAAATCTGCAGCTGCTCAGGATTTTGATGAGATGACTTCTTTCAGCATCATCAATTATTGGAGATGATCAGACTCCACTTCTGAGAGAAATGATGCTGAAACTAAATGAAATTAGGAGCAGGCAAAAGGGCAGTTCAGATGAAAGGAGCAATCCATAGTACGATCATAATCTTGATGACTGCTTGCTTAATGTGTTTTACTTTGTAAACAGTATAAAGTAATTGTTGATGGCTTTGCCTGAGGTGCTTATGACAACAAAGTTATACCTGGCCAGAGTTCAATATTGCCAACATGGAGAGTTTTTGTCTCTGGGTCCAAAAAAATCTGAGGGAGATACAGGGAGAACCAACCTCAGGCCAGTGATTCTGTACCTGTCTGTGTTACATACTGGAAATCTGATTAGGGTAGGACTAAAAAACTCAAAGATCTATTGTCACCCAAACTGGCATTGTGCTGATTCCCAATAAAGTATTTTCAAATTAAAGCTCTTCCAATATTTGATGTTAAATGTTCCACTTGCCTTTCTGAGTGCTGCATCAGGAAGAATTGAAACATGATATATAGAAGGTCCTGGGTTCCCAGGATACGAAGCATTCATATCTTGGTTTTTTTTATGAGTTTGCTGAACATTCACAACTAGCTCTTTTTCTAATTCTCTAGAGCATACATGAAGTAATCTTTCTTTAGGTCCTTTGCTCCTCTTTCCAAATTCCTGAATGAGCAACATAGAGACCTGTAATAGTGTCTAAAATAGCCCAAGAGGAAGTAAAATGGTTTATATGGGTACAATCTCAGCTTCAAGGACAAAAGTATATTAATTAATAGGAGCATATTTCAAAGTTCACTTCTAAAGCTTGCCATTTCATTACTGTCTTGGCCAAAGTACAAAATGATGATGGTCTATATTATTTAACTACAATGAAATGGCCATAAAATGTTACTGATATTGAGAGAAAAGTAGATTAGCCTGTATTTTTTCCATCAGCTCCTTTGAAAGACAAAGTGCTACCATTTCTTCCTTTTTTCTGTCTAATCTCTGGTTCTTTTTTTTTTTTTTTTATTCCCATTCCTCCTCCTTTTTCTTCTTTACTCCATCCCCTCATCGTTCTACCTTCTTCTCTAGTTTCACCTCTCTGGACTTTCCTTTATTCTTTATATCTTTGTAACACTCACTATGTAGGATCTAGAAAATGAGATTTCATGTTTTTAAATAATTATTGTATCAACTGGGTAATAATGTCAAAAGAAAAGCACAGATAGAATGCAATGGATGTTCAGAGATGAGAGAGAAGTTCATTTTAGCTTAGTGGTGGGGAAAGGAAAGGTCAGTGTAGGTTTGATGGATGGAGATTCTCTAAATTGAGAGTTAGAATAAGGGTAAGATTTGGCCATGTGGGTACATCAGGACAGAGGAATTGCATGCACATAGGCATGGAAGTGGGAAAAAGATTTAATAGCAGCAATTAAGTTTGTTCACATGAGCATGAAATAAATGGAAAGAATGGGAAATTAAAATATAAGGTAAGACACACACAATCAGATTAGGGTTTCGAATCCGACATGGAGTAATTTGAAATTTATTCATTAGGTAAGAGAATCTTGATTTTTCTTGGGAAGATCTGTTTTGTGTCTCATGAAGATTAACATGGCAGTGATGTTTGGGATGGTTTGAAGGTGGCTTCTGTAATAGCTATTTATTTTTTTATTGACTTACTTATTTTTGAGACTGAGTCTCACTCTGTTGCCCAGGCTGGAGTGCAGTGGCACGATCTTGGCTCACTGTAACCTTCGCCTCCCGGGTTCAAGCAATTCTCCTCCTTCAGCCTCCCGAGAAGCTTGGATTACAGGCGCCTGCCACCATGCCCAGCTAATTTTCGTATTTTTGGTAGAGATGGCGTTTTACCATGTTGTCCAGGCTGGTCTCGAGCTCCAGACCTCAAATGATTTGCCCACCCTGGCCTCCCAAAGTGCTGAGATTATAAGTGTGAGCCACCACGACTGGCCTGTAACAGTTATTGACATGGTTTGGCTTTGGCTCGGTGGCCCCACCCAAATCTCATCTTCAGTTGTACTCCTGTAATTCCCACGTGTGTGGGAATTACACACACACAACCACAGTGGGAATTACACCCCCCCAACCACAGTGGGAGATAATAGAATCCTGGGGACGGTTTCCCCCATACTGTTCTCGTGGTTGGGAATAAGTCTCACGAGATCTGATGGTTTTATCAGGGGTTTCTGCTTTTGCCTCTTCCTTATTCTCTCTTTGTCTGCTGCCATCCGTGTAAGATGGGACTTGCTCCTCCTTGCCTTCTGCCATGATTGTGAGGCTTCCCCAGCCATATGGATCTGTGAGTTCAATTAAACCTCTTTCTTTTGTAAATTGCCCAGTAATAGGTATGTCTTTATCAGCAGCATGAAAACGGACTAATACAGTCATTGATAGGTTAATGAAGTACTCTTTTACGTTTATGCATTTTGAGTTGCATTTTGAGTTTCCTAAGAAGTAGTTTCAGTAATAAATATCAGCACACAGAGGTTTATTAGCGAGTGTTCTTGGGATCCGTACCTGTGGAAGGAAAGTGAAGAAAATATAATCAGGTGGAAAGAGAAATCTCAAAAAAAAAACAAACACTCTGATCCTAATGGGAGCTCCAAAGCTGGTATGGTCCTTCAGAATTGGGACAGTCCTTGAATATAAGCTGCCCCAGGAAGGGGCCATGCCCTTAGGCAAGGTGACTCTTCAGTGGCGATAACTCCTGAAATAGCTTGACAGTTGAGTGCCGTCTAGCAATAATACTCCCCATAGCCAAAGCAATATTTCCCGTAGTCTTGCTGGGAAATTGGAAAAACACATCACGGTATCCACTACAATGTTTCTTTTATCTCAGTGTTTAAGATATGTCCCAATATGGCCTTGACCGCTTCTCTCTCAGAGCACTTATCACACTCTATAGTTATTATAGAATTACTTTATCTTTGTAACTAGGAGGTAATCTTTGTGTGGGCCAGAATTTTATCCTACTCATTTTTGTCTTAATAGCATCTGGGACGGTAGGAAATAGGTGTTCAACAGACAATTTTGAATAAATTTTTTTTAATTTGCTTTAATAAAATCTAACTTTCTCCAAATTTAGAATGATAGACCAAGTGTTTGTAAAATAGTGAAACTATGTAATGATGCTATATCTCAAATCAACCATGAGTGTTTCAAATAAAATACAGTGGAAATTTTTCCTTAAACAATGACTGATAGATTCCAACCCTTCTCTTTTGTGTCTGTATTCATTTGGGGCATGTGATAGGAGCAAATAGAAAATATCTGATTCAAAAACTGACGGCCACTTCAGTTTCTTTATGAATTAAAAACTCTTGTCTTGTTATAAAAAGCTATCTTTCCATTTTTAACCTTTTTAGGGGAAGTCTTAGTTTAATCAGGCTGTCCTGAATGTGCATTTGTGTCTATCATGTGTTCCCTAATCTCTGACACTAGTATTATTTTGTAAAGTTACTAACCATTATTGCCAATGCATATGCATTTTTGTAAGACACTGCTAAATATTTAAGCATATTGAATAAATCTTCCATATGTAAGGAAAGGCCAATGCTGGGAATTATTTGAAGATACAAATGAAAAGAAGATATGATGATGTACTCTAAAATTTACTATATTGTTATAGCACTTTACAAAGTCTAATAAACTCCAGAATAAATATAAAGCAATGTATAATGAGTATTGAGTAATGCTGAATAATTAAGGATAAGAAGCATTAAAAGAAGGAATGATCAACATGAGGATAGTTTGTGGAGAATATGTGTGGTATTCTAAAATATGGCCTCAAAATTCTTTAATCTACCTGCAAAGAGAGATGAGGCCTATGCCTTCTCTCCTTGAGCCTGGGTGGCTTATGACTTTCTTGACCTAAGAGAGTACAGCTGATGTGACCACCAAGTGACATAGGAGGCTTGGTCAGAAAAGGTCATGCCGCTTCCACCTGGTTCCTTTGGAACACTAGCTCCGTGAAAGCTCACTTTCAGGAAATTTTCTATCAGAACCCAGACACCATGCTGTGAGGAGCCCAAGCCATAGGTAGAGGGCATGTTACAGTGCTCCGTTCAACAGCCTCAACTGAGCCACACTTAAATGTGGAAGATGCCTTGGAAGTGATTCCTCTAAAACAGCTGTTAAAGCCCTGGATCATTTGAGTCCCAGACATTGTGAAGCAAAGGAGCCAGTCCTGTTGCGTACTTTCGTACCCACTGATCTGACCCACTGATTTTGTAAGTTATGTTTGTTGTTTTCTGCCACAAAGTTTGGAGTGATTTGTTGAGCAGTAAAGATGAAGATTAAAAGGGCTTTTTGAAAAATTGCATTTAAAAAATTCTTAACTCTCATTGTATTCTTAAACTATTTAAGTTGCTTTAACTATTCTGGAAATGTCATACATTTTTAATTTCTGTTGTTCAGAGAAGAAAGTGACTATAATAGGGTAAGCTACTAAGGCACAATTTTCTCATACTAGTAGACAACAGAGGTGGCAGTTTTTATAATTAATTAAAAATGTAATTACATATTTTAGGAGGTTCTGCATGTCAGATATCATGTTATATGCATTATGTGAATTATTAATTTATTTTTTACTAAATTATATTCACCTAAATTCTTTAAGGGAGAAACTGTCATTATATTTTATACATGAATATAATGAGGTTTAAATATTACACGAGCAATTGGCCCAAGGACAGTCATTCTTTCCATTCAAAGAAAGTTGCGAAATGAATCTAGGTTGAGTTGACACCAAAATCTATAGTCTTAACTGCAATGAACTAGGGTTTTTATTCTTGAGATAGAGTAGAAAAATTTACAAGGGGAAAATAGTATCAAATGGTTTTTGGCATAGTAGTTTCCTCTTCTGTATGGAAAATAATGAGTGTATCATAATATTGTAGTAACTTTTTACACATTAATACAAAACTTGGTGCAAAAGATTCTGGCTTAGTCTGTCTACAATATTTAGAGGAAGAGGAGAGTATTGAGTTACTATATGTGCTGTATATAGTCAAGAAGACAATCTGAAAAGAGTTCACTCAAGCAGTTGCTCTTGAAAATAAAGATTTTCTCATAAAGTAAAATGAATTATTGTCCTTTCCCATTGCACTAAAACTCTAATACGATGGTAACCAGAAAGCTGAAAAAATTCATTTCAAGTAGGTCCTGTTTTGTGGCTCTGGCCCCACAGATTGATTTTATATGCAGGTTTAGCACTCGGCAGCTGCCAAAAGCCATCAGTGCAATAGCCCATTCAGAGGAAAACAAAATTTGAAAAGAGGTCAGCCAGCAAGGACATGCTGTAAAAGGCAAAGGATAGATATGAAAAAGATCTGCTGGTCCATGATCTCAATCTGGACATTTACAATATCTTAGAATAGAAGAGAAGACGGGGAAAGGCTGGACAAGGGAAAGGTTGAAACATATGAAATAATGATCAGTTGCTCATTAAATCTTACGTATTTCCGTGAGAGTGGGACTAAAGATAACTAGCTGAAATTATTTCATTTCAAGTAAGAAATCCCATTTAGTGTGGATGTTGAGCCTGGGAACTAAATACATATGAGAGGTGATGAAACCCCATGATCATTTGAACATAGCCCTCTTTTAGAGATTGCTTGAGTCTGTGGGGTAGCAGGGAGCAGTAGATGATTGAGAGTTATCTGGGGACAATTTTAACACCTTTGTCTTGTGTAAAGGTATTATAAAGTTACGATATTTAAGTGTTCAAGAATAATGAAGTACATGAGAGAATGTTGCGATCTTAACTTGGAATCTAACAGGGTGTTTACAACATGAATTATTAAATACAGCATTCTTGGGTAGCTTTATATTTCCTGACTAACACAGCTTCTCAGGGTAACTCATCATGTAGCTTCAGAAAGGATCCTTTGGCTTTACAGAATTTGCTATGAGATAAACGTCAATTTAGATGCAAGATTTTGAAAGAAAATGGAAATTTGAATACATATTATTTATACTTTTATTTCCATAAACCAGAGGAGTTTCCCCTAACATTGTTTTTATTTAACAAGTCATCAGTAATAGCTTTGAGAAGAAATAATTCATGTAACTGAAGTTCAAGACAATAGTGGACTTGACAGTATGTAACTGTGCTGAGTGCTGGTGTACTGGTCAGGGTAATGTGATGCTGGAACGGGGACCAATTTCTGCGACAGGTCTGATGTTTCACAATGTGGCTTCCTGGTTGTATACCTAAGTGGCATGAGTAAAGGGACTGTAGAACCTCTAATATGGCTTGTATCCCACCGTGCTCTGCAGGCTTCCAGCAAAGCTTGACAAAGCATGCTGTCTGCACGCAGGTTCAGATGTGCTTAGAGACCTAAGTAGTGTGAACTCTGGAGTGACTCTATTGCAAAGTGGAGTGCAAGTTACAGATTTCCTTTTAGTGATTCCTTGTTTGAATTATTTTACAGTATCTATCTGCTTGATGCTAGCCAGTTCAAAATCAGCTTGAAGATCAGTCTAAGTTGTTCAAATGTTTGAATAAATATAGCATGTTAATTGAATAATCACAGTACTTTCTAAAGAAGGTGAACAATATGGATTTTGAGTGGAAATAATGACTGGTACTGACTTTGAACAATAGACAATACTTTCATGGTGGTGGTGGGATATTGTAATAGGGAAGCCTCTAGCAAAAATATTGAGCTAAGTGCATTTTCTTTTTTAATTGCAATTTTATATCAAGGCAAGAGACATCAAAGGAACACATTCTAAGACTGAGTTTGTGTGCCTATCTGGATACTGGTAATGGTCCTTTTAAATATTTGACCACAGGTGGAACTGTTTTCCTTCAGAGCTTTCTTAATTTTAGTTTGGCAATAAGCAAAACAAAAATATGCTTGCCCAGTGTCTGACAACTCTGAGTTGATAAACTAAATGATTTCTTGTCTGTGATAATATTATAAATAATTGGAGTGTTAACCCCTATTCAACTGAACTGAAGTTATTTTAATGTAATATAACTTACTATGCACTATATTGTCAATGCAGCTATATTGTAGCATTGAACAAGGAACACATTTTTAACACCCTTATAGATTCTCTTTGGGAAGCCTTGAGTTCATAGGGACTCCATTTTAAGTAGTTATTTTAATCACTCCTTGTTTGTAGTCAGTGTTTTAGAAATAGAGCTCAATATTTGCTAAAACATTTAAGAGATTGTGATTCCCCTTAGAAATCTTTTCTTGTGTGTTAAAACTCTATAGGCAAGACACTTTTCTAAAAAATATTTGCCTGTAATTTCAGTCCTTTTATTTTATTCCCATAGAGAGAAAAATATGTTCACCATTTATACAAAATCATATACTTTATCTGAAGAGAGAATATACTTTCTTGGCTAAAAAAGCTGAGTTTGAGGTCTATTTCATAAAATTATTTCTCAACCCATGCACACTTTTGCTTTCCATATTATTTGTTTTCATACTTAAATTATGAGATCCTTGACAAAATATATACTACTTAAAGGACTAATCAATATTAAGAATGTGTTTAGAAAATATACATTTAAAATTTATTTGCATGTGCACCCACATTTACATTCCTAAATGAAAAATACTAAAGCAGTCTCAGTCTTGAAGATAACTGTATGCTGACTAGGATTGTGGTAAAGAAATTCTATTGCAACATGGGGCAAGGGTTCACAACTCATGATTCAGGACCATCTGCTCACTTACAATTGTACATATTCATTCTCTCTACATATATCTGTTCGTGCCATTCTTCTCTGCAGTGTTCTGGCAAATTTTTGTTTTTTGCCTGGACAAATCCCACCCAGACCAATGGGCTGCTCTCTAGTTCACTTCTTCCTAGGGTTCTTTTCTAATTACCAAAGCCTCTATTAAATCTCCCCTCCTCTGCAATTCTTTGTCACACCAGTAAGTCTTCAATATACAACATGTTATCTTGGGCTCTTAAGATGTTTATATGGTATAAATTTCCAAGTAAACTCTTAAACTGTTTGAGAGTTAAGAATATATCTAAAAGTTCTCTTGTATATTCACAGCAACTGAGCATAATGTTAAGCACACCTTGATAGATGCTTATAAACCCTTGTTGATTCAGTTACACAACCAATTGATAACCTGAGTCTCATGGTTAATTTTGCAGTTCAGTTTTGTGAGACAGAGAACATTATGGTCACTTTGAGTTTCAGGAACTCTTTGTCAGAATTTGAGTTCTAGGACTCCTTAAGACCAAGTTGAGTTAGGGTTTGGAGAACAGATTCTTTCAAGTTCGATTTGTTGCTCTCGATTTTTAACAAGAAAGCAAGCAAGAAAGCCAGCAAACAGGCAGACACACAAAAAAACCTGTTATTTTTTCAGGCTTTCATATTCTAATTCTCACTGAAAAATGTTAGCAGCCAAAAATTTCTAAGCAATTCTATAGAATAATTTTTTAAATTCCATTATTAAATTAGCACCTGTGATCTTTGGGAATGATATTCTTTTTAATAAAATGAAAAGCTTACCCCCTAAATTCTTTTGCACCTTATAATTGGAAGATTCTAAAGAATCATTATTGCTAGTTTAAAATCTTGGTGCCCAAAGAGTTCATGTGAAATAATTTGTTTGATTCATTTTTTCGGACTGCAGATAATTCATGTCTGAACAAAGCGTAAGTATTGCTTAAAGTCTGTCTATACAACTTCATTAATACTAGTTTAGAAATTTCTGGTACTTCATGTTTTGATGACTGAATGTAAACTCTAGAAGGGCAGGGCTTTTAAGTTTTACACTGTTCCATTTCCATCGCTTAAACAATCCCGAACACAACACAAATATTTGCTTTATGAATGTATTTATTTAAACTTTTTTGAAATTCCAATGATATTCTAACTTTGTGGTTTTGTTAGGCAAAGATAGAGCCAATGAATCTAGAGAGGGAATAACCTAACGTCCTCTCCTGTTTCAAGATGACCTTAAGATGATCTTTGGTATTATCTTTGATCAACTAATACTTTTAAAAATAATGTAATTTTTGAGGCTATTTTGAATCTCATAGAAATGTAATTTTACATTTTGTGTAAAAATTTGAATTTATTAGGTTTTTCTATGTTGGAGAGTGTAGTCTTCTACCAACTTTACTTTCTCTTTGTTAACACCTATACTGTTGACTGATGCCATTAAAGACCAACATATTGCCTAATAAAGGCCAGCATGCTCCAGATGTTGTTTTGAACAGTAATGAAACAAGTAGGCAATTAACAAATATCTTCAATGTTTTTGGTAGAACTTGGTAGAACCTAGCAGCCAAGCTTTACCTTGTTCTTTTTCAAAATTAATGACTGTGCATTTAAAAGATAATATATTTTTTCTTCTGCTTCAGACTTTTCTGAGCAGGGAATTCATTGCATCCAGAGGATAATTGTACAATGTCAATGGGAGGATAGCAATACTCCCCATATTCTCCATTACCCATTCTGCACAAGACATATCAAATAAAAAATGTACTCTAAGTAGAAAATGTGCACTTACTATGCAGCTACAGTTTCAAAGCATGTTTACTAAAATTCCTCTTGGAAATAGACTTCTTTGCCTAAGCTCTAGTTTAGAAATTATGAAGTTTCCCAGTGGGCATTATGTTCACGGATAGTTCCGTCATTGATTTGTAATAATAATAATAATTAAATTCTTTGTGCTTTATGCAAAACAGCTAGCATAAGTGTTCATGTTTTAATTCTACGGTGGCCTTTAGAGATGTGTTATTTTTTCCATTTTTAATTGTGCAAGCCAAGGCTTAAAATGGTAAAGTAACTTGTGTTAGCTAATAGAATTATTGTGATATAACTGCTAGCTGGTATTGGAACCCAGTGTGTTTTACAATTAATCTGTGTGTTCTGCTCTTAACAGCAATACCATATTGCCTCTGTCTGCTCTTGGCAATTATTTTACACATCACTAGCTGAGGAATGCAAAAGGAATATGTTGCTGAGTTTACTTGTTTGGAGAAGGAAATTTGATAGACAAAATTGCTAAAAGATAAGAGGCACTTAAAACTTTTATCTCTCTCTGAAAAAGAAAATTTGTGCAAGTTAAAATGAAAGGTGATTTTGCCTGGTAGCATAGATTTAAGAGATTTTAGAAATTGGGAAACACTATAGTCATCTATTCAGTCATTCAGTATGCAGATATTTTGAACACCTACTAGATGGCACCACTGAAAGTAGGCACTGAACATACAGTAGGATACGCTTGAAGTAAAGGTTTCTTTAGTGAAAATTATACAGAAATAATGTGACTCATCACAGATGAAAGTTGTAGGGACTGATGGAAACACCATATTAGAGATTTCATTGGAATTTTACACAATATTATGGAATTATGTATTGCTAATGAAGGACAACATATTAAATATATGTGATATCATTGAGCTTATGTCTTGCAGTATAATATCAATAAATGATTTGTTATGTGTATTTGTGTGTTTTCAGATTTTATGGCCAATCTTCACATTCAGCAATCTTGTTAAATTCATTTATTAATTCTAATACCTTGCAGATTTGTCTGAATTTTAAAATATACACTCATGTTGCCTAAAATGGTGAGTTTTCAGCCTTAGATTTAAAATTCTTATAACTTTTATTCTTTTTTTGTACTTCCACAGTGAATAGGGCATTCAGTGTTATGTTCAACTCAAGGAATAAAACAGATATCCTAGACTAATTTCTGATCTCAGAAGTAGAACTTTCAATATCTTACCACTAGCTAAAATGTTTGTTGTGTGATATTTGTAGATACCACTCACCAAATCAAGAAAGTTTTTACCTATTTCTAGTTTGCAGAGATTTAGTCATGAGCTGTTTTTAATTTTATCAATGTTTCCCATGTCAGTTGCATTGATTTGGTTTTATATTTTGTATTTTTTTCTATATTTTATTAACATGAATGATGACCAGCTATTGGTTTTACATACTTGGAACAAATTGAACTTGTTTGTGGTTTACTTTCTTATTTATTTTTCTGAATTCAATTAGCTAATATTCAAATTAGAATTATTGCATCTGTGTTTATGAAGGAGCTTATGTTAAATTTCCTGGTATTGTTTAGTATCAAGAGTGTTATAACTTCATAGAAAGAGTTAGGAAGTGTTTTCACTCCTTATAAAACAGGTTGTGTAAGGCTGGTGTTATTTCTTTCTTACACATTTGCAGGAATTTTCTTGAAGCCATTCTCTGTCCCTGAAGATGTGTGTGTGTGCGTGTGTGTGTGTGTGTGTGTGTGTGTGTGTGTTATAGGTGATAAATTACAAATTAATAACTTCAATAGCTGTATAATTATGCATTGGCAAATGTTATTCAGAATAACTTCTTACTCCTTTTTCATGTTTGTAAAACTTGTATTGATGTTCCTTATTAATTTTCAACATATGCAATATATTGTCTTCCTTTTTTCTTGTTTCTCTTTAATAGGGGTTTTTAAATTGTATTTTCAAAGAAACAACTTTTAAATTCGTTGATTTTTTTATTCAACATTTATTTTATATTTTATTGATTTCTTGATTTTTTAATATTTTATTGATTTTATATTTTATTGATTCTTATTTTTAGAACTCTGACCATTCAATTAAAAAACATTTTTCTAGAATCTTGAGGTGAATGCTTGATCGATGATTTTCTGTCTTCTCTTCTAATCTATGCATTAAACTCTTTATCTTTGTATATGCTTAGCTTTAGTTGCATCTCTCCAAGTTTTGATATGTAATGCTTTCATTTCATTCAATTCATGTATTTCTAATTTTCATTATTAGATCTTTTTTGACTCATGGGTTACTTAGAAGCATGTTGCTTCATTTTTAAACACTTAGGATTTTTATTTAATTATTTGTTATTGACTCCTACCTTAATTCTACTGAAGTCAGAGAACATGAACTTTATGATTGTAAAATTTTGCAGTTTTCTGAGAAAATATTGATAATCCAGCATATGGCTTATTTTGGTAAACCATCCATGTGCAGTTGTAAATAATGTGTACTATGGAGCTGATAGGTTTAATAATTTATATATGGTTAATCGGTTAAGTTTATGAATGTTGTAGCTCACATCACTTGTACCTGTAATAATGTTTTTGTTGGATTGCTCTGTCAGCTATGAAGATAGCATGTTAGCATGTTAAAGCCTTTAAATACTTCTCTGTTCAGTTGTGTGATATTATGGAATTTTTCCTCCACCGTAGTGCCACTTCTTGCTTAAACTTCTGTGTTGCTTAATAAAGTATAAACTTAATTTTGATTATTATGCATGGCACATACTTTGCATCCTTTAACATTCACATTTTCTATGTTTTTATGTAGAAAGTATAACTCTAGTACACAGCAAATAGTTAAATTTTTAAAAATCTATTCTGAAATTTTTGTGTTTTAATTAGATGACTTTGTATTTTCTAAAGTAATATATTTAAGTTTAAATCTAACTTCTTGCTATTTACTTACTGTCTAATATAGGTCATATCTCTTTTTTCCTCCTAATATTCTTTCATACTTTTGACATTTCAGGAAATAGACAAAAATACATTTTACAGTTTCAATCATGTTTATTTTCATACATATATTTCCATTATATTCATATACATTTTACATAGAAGACATAATTTTATGAAGACATGCTTAAAAATGGTGAAAAAATTTTTAAGGTGAATAATGGGAATGAATTTCTATTTTTCTGAGATGTGGCAATAAAAGTTAATATTGTATTTAACTATGATAAAATTATTTAAAGATTTATGCATAATCATTGTAGATGTTTTAAAAATACAAATAATTCCAAATAAAATCATAACTAATACATAGTTATGAAAGCTTCAATCATCTATGTTGACACACAGACACACATACAGCAGAATGATCATAAGTATAATGTTGAGAGACTTGCTTTGTTTGCCTACAATATATTATTAATGCTTTTACCTGGCAATGTATGTATTAATAGTGCATTATTTAAAATTACTGCAGAAGTCTGAGTGTGTACTTTAAGGCATATCCTGATTATTTTAGATTAGAGGAGATTCTGAGGATCAGTGAATATAGAAATAATATGTCAATAGCAGTGGGTGAATTTCCTTCTCGGGAAGTTTTAAAAAATGAACACATTTTCGTTGCTTCTTGTCAATCAGTAAAGGTAATGGAGGTGAATTCTATGATTCTTTATATTTTGAAATAATGCTAGTGTTTCTGCAACTGAATATTATGGATTTATAAATGTGGCTGGGCAAGGTGGCTCACACCTGTAGTCCCAGCTACTTGAGAGGCTGAGGAGGGAGGATTACTTGAGCTTAGAAGGCGGGGTTGCAGTGAGCAGAGATCAGGACACTGCACTCCAGCCTGGGCGACAAGAGTTAAACGGTCTCAGAAATAAAAAATAATAATACATTTTAAAAGAAATAATATGTCAATAATCGTGGATCAAATTACTTCTCAAGAAGTTTTAAAAAATGAACACATTTTTATTGCTTCTTATCAATCAGTAAAGATAATGGAGGTGGATTCTGTGATTCTTTATATTTTTGAAAAATGCTAATATTTCTGCAACTGAATATTATAGATTTATACATTTTATTGTTCTTCCCAGAAATTTTAACACACACTTCCTATGCTTTATGATTTCAGTTATTTTATTCAGAGAAAATATTTCGAATCACAAAATATGATTCTGTGATATCTTCAGAGAAGTTTGTAGAAGTATGCTGGCTTGTTTAAAATTTAATTCCAAACATAATGGAAGTTGCTACTAAATATTTATTTTCTAAATTAAATAAAAGCACAGTGCATTTAAAAATAAGAAGAGATTATTACAAAGAATAGTTTATTGACTTAACACCATTTAATCATTTACTAAATTACAGTATCTGAAGAGAAAGACTTAGATTCTGGTATCCTTTAAGTGATTTTTTTTACCTTTAAACAGATAAATTTGTGGAAGCGATGGGAATGATCTTATCCTTTAAAAAAAATGGTAAAAGTATAAACAAGAAAGGTACAACTAGCTCTTCGAATATTTTACATTAGTGATTTAAAAATATTTATTTATCTCTTTATTTCTTAGAGACAAGTTCTGCTCCGTCACCCAGGCTGGAGTGCAGTGGCACAATCATGGCTCACCACAGCCTCAAACCTTTGGGCTCAAGCAATCTTATCACCTTAGCCTCCTGGGTAGCTAGGACCACAAGTGCACACCACCACACTCAGCTAATTTTATTTTATTTTTTTGCAGAGGCAGGGTCTTGCTATGTTGCCCAGGCTAGTCTTGAACTCCTGGACTCAAGTGATTCTTCAGCCATAGCCTCCCAAGTCCTGGGATTATAGGTGGGAACTAATTAAAAATAAATATAAAAATAATTTTTTGAAATTTTCATTCTTCATGCAAGGAGATAAACATGCATTGGCTCATCCATACATTCATCTATTCAGTCATTCTTTCATTTATTAGTGTTTGGGCACCTATTATGTACTGAGAATACAATAGCTAAAAAGACATTCAGATTGCATTCCAAATTAGGAGCAAGAGCCTAATTAAATTCAGTTAAAATGGCATTATTACTTAATTGAATTACTTTAAATAGAAGGTTTAGGAGCAAAAGATAAATGAAGAAATAATAAAGATGTTGAAGAAAATATAATTAAAAGCTATTATGTACAACTTTATTAAATTGAATTTGAAAATTTAAACAGGCTTATTCCTGGAATTCCAAGAAAAAACATAATTTTACAAAATAGATAAAGAAGAAAAATAAAATTTAAATAATCTTGTAACTATTAAATCAATTACAACTGGCTTAAAAATAGCTGTAGCTGCCCGGGCACAGTGGCCCAGGCCTGTAATTGCAGCACTTTGGGAGGCTGAGGCAGGCAGATCACTTGAGGTCAGGAGTTTCAGACCAGCCTGGTCAATGTGGTGAAACCCCGTCTCTACTAAAAATACAAAAATTAGCTGGGTGTGGATGGCGGGCGCCTGTAATGCCAGCTACTCTGAAGCTGAGGCAAGAGAATCACTTGAATCTGGGAGGCGAAGGTTGCGGTGAGCCAAGATTGTGCCACTGCACTCCCACCTGGGCGACAGAGTGAGACTACGTCTCAAAAAAAAAAAAATAGTTGTAGCTACAGGACCTGATGGCTCCAGAGTTAAATAATATGAAATATTTAAGTAAAAAAAAACACCAAACCTTATCACAGAAAAGAAAAAAATAAATTATAACTTACTACATTCCAAGAAAGACAAAGAAAAAAATATATTTATATTTATATTTATTTACTTTCAGGAAATGAGATGCAAAACACTTTAGAAACAAAATGCCAACAAGCTAAATGAAATATTACATGAAAGGATAGAATCTTGATCAAAATTATTACCCCTGAATGTGATGGTATAGCATGCAACAGACCAAACTTATTCAGAACAAGCAGCAAAAAACAGATAAAACACAAATTATATTTTCTTAAAGGCATTGGAGAGAAAGCAACCAGGCTTGGAGGGAAAAGGATTGCAAAATTACAAAGCAGATAAAAATAGAGATGTGTGAACTGACAGTCTGCAGCCATCTTTTCCTTGGGGGCATTTGCTTACTCTAAAAGCAAGACAGGAGGCTGAGAATCCAGGCCTCATTTTCACATGGCCCTCCTGAGAACAGAGAAATCAGAAGAACTAAGCAAACAACAATAACAGCAACAACAACAAGACAAACAGCTTAAGCGTTTACGGGCCATGATACTAGGGTACAGTAATGGAGGCAGAACAATACTGATCCAGATATAAGGCTGATATTTCTTCTAATGTGTTTGCCAAAATCTGATGATGCAAAGAGTATAAGGCTAAGAAACTGAAAGAAAAAAGTTGTTCTGATTATTTATTACTTTATTTTATATTTTTGTGAGGTTATTCAGAAATTACAATGTTCAGAGTTTAGAAATCAAGAGAAGTGGAGCACCAGTGACTACACCAAGCTTTCAATTTGAAGCCCAGGAAAACTTCACCCTAACTGCTTTACCCAAAGGCTGAGGCTTTTCAAACTTTAATTTGGTGCATGCATGGATCAAGGTCATAAGCACGTTCTATTTGCCTAGGAGATCAGAAGCTGAACCTTCCCTGGTTGAAAAATAGCATCAGTTGGAGCCTTAATAATTTTTTATACAATATAAAAATTTGACAAAAAATTACAAAGCATTCCAAGATACAAGATCACGTAACTGAAAACAAAGAATATAGACAACAGAAACTGTCAAAGATAGTAAGAAGACAAAGACTTTAAAACATTTTTACCATGTTCACAAAAAAAGATGAAAGGTCACTGATGAAAAACTGGAGAATTTTGCCAAAAATTAAAATAATATGAAAAACAGCATTAATTGGGAAATCTGGAAAGGAAAAGCAAAAGTACTGAAAATGAAATTTCAATGGATGATTTTTATCAACAAATAGATACAGCAGAAAACATAATTAGTAAATTGTAAGACAGGAAATGTAAAATATCTTAATCCAAAACAGAGAAGAAAAAGATAAGAAAAGAGCAAGATATATGTGGGACTTCAACTGTTCAAAATAAATGTAATTAGAATTTTAGAAGAGGAGGATACAGCGACAGATTAAAAACAGCATTTGAGATTATAAAAATTTTTCAAAACTGACAATGAATATCAATTTGAAATATCACAAAGTTTCTATAAACTAAGCAAAGTAAATACAAGGAAAATTATGGTTAGAGATACCAAGGTCAAATGTAAGCTAGTAAGATAGATACAGTACTTTGTATTCCAAAAATTAGTATCAGTAGCAGCAACTGACCTTTAAAAAATAAAATAGAAAATACTTTTTAAATTACTTAAAAAATAAAGCAGAAAATAAAAGGGTATGTAAAATATGGAAACATGCATTCTATGCCCTGCAAAGTTATTCTTTAAGTATAATTTTCCAACAAAAAAGAAAAAAATTATCACCAGAAATTATGCATTAAGCAATAATAAAGGAATTTAATTAAGTAAGAGAAGATGATATGAGATGGAAACACAAAAATTCAGGTAAAAATGAAGAGTAATGGAAAGAAAAATACATGATTACATATAAATGAGTATTTAATAATTACTTTGGATGTAAATATATACATGCATATATATATACAGAGAGAGAGAGAGAGAGAGAGAGAGAGAGAGAGAGAATTATACAGTATATAATTAGTGCAAAAGTCAAAAGAGAATTAAACAGCTTAAAGAGTCCTAATGTTCCAGCATTATTTGAAAAGTGGTAAAAACAAATAATTTCCACTGGGCTGTAATAAATCAAAGATACATAAAACATCTAGGGTAGCCATTAAAATAATAGAGTAAAGAGAGGTAACAGAAAAAATAGCGTGATCAAAAATATTTGACTAATCCAGGTAAAGGCCATAAAACATAAAATATGCAAGTAAAATGCAAAAAACTCCCACATTTTATACATATACATATTGTGTATAAAATCTTACAATGTGTATGTATATTGCATACATACGCATATTACGTTTACATTAAATGTAGTTATATAATTATGTTTAATCCTATCATACTGCTGTCAGTTTTTTTTTTAATTTTTACTTCATGATTTTTTTTTTCTTTTTTGGAGACAGAGTTTCTCTTTTGTTGACCAGGCTGGAGTGCCATGGCGTGATCTCAGCTCACCGCATCCTTCGCCTCCCGGGTTCAAGCTATTCTCCTGCCTCAGCCTCCTGAGTAGCTGCTTACAGTCATATGCCACCATGCCCAGCTGACTTTGTATTTTTAACGGAGATGAGATTTCTCCATGTTGGTCAGGCTGGTCTCAAACTCCCAACCTCAGGTGATCCGCCTCCCTCGTCCTCCCCAAATGCTGGGATTACAGGTGTGAGCCACACCTGGCCTACTTTTTGATTTTTTATAGGTAAATAGTAAGTGTATATATTAATGACGTATATGAGATATTTTGATATGGGCATTCAATGTGTAGTAGTAGTAACATCAGAGTAAATGGCGTATTCATCACCTCAAGCATTTATCATTTATTTGTGTTATAAACATTCCGATTATTCTTTTAGTTATTTTAAAATGTACAGTATCATTGACTGCAGTCATTCTGTTGTGCTATCAAACACTAAACCTTATTCATTCTCTTTAACTATATTTTTGTACCCATTTATCATCCCTTGGTCCCCCTCTGCCACCCCATCACTACCCTTTCCAGACTTTGGTAACCATCATTCTACTGTCTCTTTGAGTTCTATTTATTTATTTATTTATTTATTTATTTATTTATTTATTTAGACAGGGTCTCTGCTGCACTGCCTTGGGTTGGGGGAGGGGTGACGCAAGTACTTCCTTGGCTACCCCAGCTGGTGTGCCACTAAGTTGTTTGCACCCCAAGTTCACTTGCTCCAAGCCTGGGACAGCACCAGGACTTGCCTAGGAGTGGCAGTCTTTGTGGCTTAGACTGCCTTTAAAATTTGTTTAGAACCCTAGAGCACTTTAGCCATGGTACTGGGGCTAGCTGGAACTTAGTTTCTGACCATGAGATTCTCCTTAGTCTAAATGTTCCCACTGTGAACACAGGCTGAATTCTGCCCTGTGTTGCTTTCCACTGTGACCGGGCAGTACTGAGCTTCAAAGTTAATTTTCACAATTACTGCCTCCCCCTCCCGGAAGCTCACAGATTCTGTTGCTGTGTCAGGCAGCTACTGCTAAAACATGGGGGATGTGTAGGTGATTCAAGGCTGTCTTTACTATCCTTTTCAGTGCCTCTCTCCTTGATATAATGCTGAAACTAAGTACCATGATTGCTCAGCTAAGTTTTGGTTCTTATGAAAGTGCTTTCTTGCATGAATGGTTGTTTAATCTGGTGTTTCTGTGGAAGGGATGATCTCTGGAGGGTACTGTTTGGCCATCCGCTCTCTCTCTCCTTCCTCTGTCTCTCTTTTTTTTGTTTGTTTGTTTCTTTATGGCTTCTTTCTTTCATTCTTTTGCTTTAATCAAGTATTTTAAAGTTCCTCTTTATCTTGTATTATCTTCTTGTTTCACATTTAGTATTATTTTATCATTTTAGTAATTACAGTAGAACAAAATATTTTATGTGTATGTATGTAATGATTTATGCACACACATGCGTACATGCAACTTAAGGTAGCGTAAAAATAGTAAATGAACTTATGATAGCGACTAAAATAACCACATACCTGGAGGAAAAATACAGGACAATATGTTCCAGTGTTCTACACTGGAAACTACAAAAGCTAATTAAGAACAATTAGAGGGACCTAAATAAATGAAGAGATATTCTGTGCTCATGCATTGGAAGACTAAATTTTACAAAGATGTTAATTTTCCCCAAATTTAGATATAGTTTTATTATAATCCCTATCACAGATTTTTTTGTTTTTTGCTCTGCATTTAAAATGTATCAAGAGTCCAACTTATCGCCACCCCCACTACTAGAATTTCGTAGTTGAGTCTACCGTCTTATATTTCTTAGCTGGTCTTACTGCTTCTGTTTTGGTTTTCTTATAGCGTGTTCTCATTATAGGCACTACAGTGTTAAAAAATAACAATATGCTTCTACTTGTACAAAACACTTCAATTCTTGCCAAATTATAGAGTAAAAACCGGTGTTCATAGCATCCCTCTTCAGTGCCTCTCTTAATCCCCCTTCCCCTAACACCTGTGATCTCATCTCCTACTACCCTCTCCCTGTTTACGCTGTTGCAGCCCCATTTTCCTCCTTCAATAGCTTGAACATCCTTAGCACAGTGCACACCCGGGTCTTTCCATTGCCTTAACCTCTGCCTAGATGTTTTTTCCCAGTTAACAATATGTTTGCCTCCTTACTTCCTTCAGGAATTTACTGAATGCAAGTCTTTGGGATGACCACATTTAAAAATGCAACCCATCAACACCAGGATCAGTGCTTGACACAGTGTCTTCAATAATGTACATCAATTTCTGTATTCAGTAAATGATTGGTGGACACATCCAATATACCCATCCTATGGCTTGAAGAATGCCAGTGTAGATAAGATTTAATATTTACTTTAAAGCAGAGGTGTCCATTCTTTTGGCTTCTCTGGGCCACATGGGAAGAGGAAGAATTGTCTTGGGCTACATATAAAATGCACTAACACTAGTGCATTTTAGTGACAGCTGATGAGCTAAGAAACACTAGTGCATTTAATGACAGCTGATGAGCTAAGAAAAAAAAAATCGCAAAATAATCTTATAATGTTTTAAGAAAGTTTACAGATTTGTGTTGGGCCACATTCAAGTTTACAAATTTGTGTTGAGCCTCATGTGGTGGGGGTTATAACTGTAATATAACAACTATCATCTATGTGATTTGCAATTTATGCAACACATTCACATACATTTTTCATTTGAGCTTCAGTAATAAGCTGAGGTGCACTGTAGAGAAAGCAGATGTTTTACAGATGTAAAATTGAAGAGGTTTAATAATTTGCCAAAATGGAAAAGCTGTGTCTTAAAGCCTGATTTTCTGACTTTGAAACTTTCTTTTTTTAATCATACAAGACTGCATTTTGTTTAGAGTTTGGAGAATTTGATAGAAGAGCAAAATAAAATTTATGCCCACTGTAAATTTAAAATGTTTTGTGCGTCATAGCTGTGGCGTGAGAAACAAAATGGAAAACTATGATACCTGGTTCCCTCAGGCCAGTTTACATTCTGTAAAATGGAAATCATGCATACGTAGTTCTCTTGGGGGACCTTGAGAAAATTAATGAGGCTATGTTTGTAAAAAGTTTTTACATTATATAGAGAAAAGCATTACCTTCAGGAAAGAAACTGTCACTAATCCATATTTTCCTTGTACGTAAGCTCAGCATATGGATTCTGACAGGAAATCCATGGCTGTTTAAGTCCAACTTTGAAACTTAATATATTGATTTTAAAAGTATCTGGTTTCATAATTAAAACATTAAAATATTTATTACATTCTTCAATTAAAAAAGGCAAGGCAAACTTATCTTCCAATGGCGTGCCAATCTGTAGACCATTCATTCTATGCTTAGGACACTAAAAAAATTAAGGACTTTGAAGTTATTAACTTGACAGCCATTAAATTTTGAAAGAAGAACATAAAAGATTCCAAAGAAAAAAATTAAAATAATACTAAACAAAATAATTAAAAGATAATTATTTTATATCTAAACTGAGATGCAGAGATCGTAAGATTTGAAAGACTAATATATAAAAAATGGCATCTAATTAATAACTATAAAGTGACTATGAAATAACCTTGCCAGCATTTTTAATATAACTTTTTATTATAAAGTGGATTTATAAAATGTGATAAAGCAGTTATTTATATAAAAAAGAAAATATATGTATTTTGTTTTGTTTTGTTTTGTTTTGAGATGGAGCCTCACTCTGTCGCCCAGGCTGGAGTGCAGTGGAGCGATCTTGGCTCACTGCAATCTCCATCTCCTAGGTTCAAGAGATTCTCATGCCTCAGCCTCCCAAGTAGCTGGAACTACAGACGTGTGCCACCACACCCAGCTAATATTTTGTATTTTTAGTAGAGACAGGGTTTCACCATGTTGGCCAGGCTGGTCTTGAACTCCAGACCTCAGGTGATCTGCCCACCTCGGCCTCCCAAACTACTGGGGTTACGGGTGTGAGTCACTGTGACTAAAAAAAAAAAATATATATATATTTTCTAAACTAAAATGCTAACGTACAGCAGAAACATCCATAAAGTGAAGTCATGATTAATAAGGTTTAAAATAATAATAATTAAAGTACAAGCATTGGTTTGTAAGCTTACTAAAATATGCATACAGTAAAATAAAATAGTGATTTAGCTACTCATTCAAAATTGATACTTTATATATACAGCCACTAAAGTTTAATATTGTAAAATCTATGAAAAATTAGGATAATGCAAAATAAAATATTTAAAAAATTCAGCTTTAACAGATTTTTTATAAACTCAAGTTAGTGTTTCAGGGCATTTCATAATAAATATAAATTGATTTATCTCTCCTACAGGAATTTTGCCGAATTTTCTGCTTGGGAAATACTGCCCTTTATTTTTCATTCTGATTAACTTACTTAGAATAAAGCTTAATTGAATAATACATTCCAAATGCATGGTCCCCAAGTTATTTCATATCACTTCATTTTTATAGTAGATAATGATGCAATACAATTCAAGTGAAAAAGTTTTCTGATCATATGAAAAAGCAAAGAAGGAAACTGTGGTTAAGAAAAATGTGATGGTTTAGTTGATGTGTCAACTAAGCTAGGCTATAGTACCCAACTATTTAGTCAAAAGCCAGTCCAGATTGTAGTGAAGTCATTTTTTTAGGTGTGATTAACATTTAAATCTGTAGACTTTGAATAAAGCAGATGATCCCCTATAACATAGGTAGGCCTCAATCAGTCAATTGAAAACATTAAGAAAAAACACTGAAGTCCCCAAAAGAGTGAGAGATTCTGCTGCTAGACTACCTTTGGACTCAGGACTACAGCATGAACTCTTGCCAGAATTTTCAGCTTGCCAGACTGCCCTAAAACTTTCAAAATTTCTTATTCCCACAGTTGCCTGACCCAATACCTAAGAATAAATAAATCTCTATTTTCAGTTTTTTTTTTTTTTTTTTTTTTTTGAGAAACCTCTAGAGTGCTTTTCCATAGTGGATATACCACTTTACATTCCTGCCAACAGTATACAAGCATTGCCATTTCTTCACATCCTCACCAGCATCTGTTAGCTTATTTTTTCAATAGTAGCCATTTTAACTGGGATGAGATAATATTTCATTGCAGTTTTGATTTGAATTTTCCTGATAATTAGTGATGTTGGACATTTTTTCATATACCTGTTGACCATTTGCATGTCTACTTCGGAGAAATGTCTGTTGGGGTCTTCTGCCCATTTTAAATCAGATTTTTTTTTTTTTTTTTGCTATTGAGTTGTTTGAGTTCCTTATATATTCTAGTTATTAATCCCTTGTCAGATGAGTAGTTTGAAAATATTTCCTCCCATCCTCTAGGTTAACTCTTCACTTTGTTGGTTGTTTCCTTTGCTATGCAGAAGCTTTTTAGATTGATGTAATCTTATTTGTCTAATTTTCCTTTTGTTGCCTGCACTTTTGAGGTCTTACACAAAAAATCTTGCTCAAACCAATGTTCTGTAGAGTTTCTCAAAAAATTTTCTTCTAGTAGTTTCATAGTTTCAGGTCTTACATTTAAGTCTTTAATCCATTTTGAGTTGATTTTTATATATGGTGGAAGATAGGAATCCAGTTTCATTCTTCTGCATATGGACATTCAATTTTTCCAGAACCATTTATTAGGAAGGCTGTCCTCTTCCCGTTGTGTGTTCTTAGTGTCCTTGTCAAAAATACATTGGCCATCAATGTGGGGATTGATTTCTGGGTTCTCTATCCTGTTCCATTGTTCTGTGTGTTTTTATGCCAGTGCCATGTTGTTGGCTTTGTATTATAGTTTTATGTGAAATAGTGTGATGCCTCCAGCTTTGTTCTTTTCGCTCAGGATTGCTTTAGCAATGGATGAATGGTTAAAGAAAATGTGGTATGTGTGTATACAATGGAATATTATTCAGTTACAAAAATAATAAAATCCTATCATTTGTAGCAACATGAATGAAACTGGAAGTCATTATGTTAAGTCAGATAAGCCAGGCACAGAAAGGCAGATATCACATGTTCTCACTTATATGTGGAAGCTAAAAGTGGATTTCATAGAGGTAGAGTAGAATGGTGGTTACCAGAAGCTGAGAAGGGTAACGGGTAGGGGGCTAAGAAGAGAAGATGGTTAATGGCTACAAAAGTTATGTAAGATAGAAGGAATAAGTTCTATTGTTCCATAGTACGGAAGAGAGACTATACATAACAATAATTTACTATATATTTCAAAATAGCTAGAATAATTTGAATGCTCCTAACACAAAGAAAAGATAAATGTTTGAGGTAATGTATATTCCATTTACTCTGATTTTATTATTGCACATTGTATTCATGTATAAAAACATCATATGAACCTCAAGAATATGTAGAATTATATATAAATAATAAATTAATGAATCTCAATCTCTACGAACATACATATAAATATATACATTATTCTATGTACTATATGTATATATGCAACGTACAATATGTATATATACTATACATTGCATATATACATATATAAAATAGAAAGCAGATACATATATGCATAAATATGTGTGTATATATACACACACACATATATACATATATATGCATAGTTTTTAAAGGCATTTTCTTATGGGTAAGATTTGGTATTACTTCCCAGGAAAGGAAGTGATAAATCTTTTCAATGTGGTTTCAGAGACAGATAGTTAGGACCCTAGAAGTATTTATGCAAAATGGAAGGTGGTATTTTAAGCAGAAAGGATATGAATCAGATTATATGACTTGAAGTTATTGTATGAGAACAGCTTTGATTAACTAAATACCCCTTTCTCCTCAATACTAAAGAGAAACATAAAAGCCTATAGACAGAGTGCTTAAGAAATACTTAAAGTAGATGAAACTATACGTTTTGCAGGCTTCTGCCATGGTATCTCAACATGTCTTTTTGTTCATTCTTGAAGATAACCACTCAGCAATGAGCTTGAGTAATGTGTAGCTTCTATATCTAATCAAATAAAATAATCATTAAGGTCACCAAATGAACTTTACAAGTGAAGAGCTATGGAAAAGAATGATGACCAGATAAGTGAACATTAGAAAATGTGATCAGACTACAGAATACAGGATTTTGTTTCATCATAAACACAGACATTTGTCAGCACCATTTCTGGCTTTCAAAACTTTAGGGCAGGTAAGAGAGTGGATGATCTGATATTTAGGGATTATTTAATTTTTCCTTTTAAAAAATCTTTTAAGTTCAGGGGTACATGTACAGGTTTGTTACACAGGTAAACGTGTTATAGGGGTTTGTTTTACGCATTATTTCATCACCCAGGTGTTAAGCCTAGCACCCATTAGTTATATTTTCATTTCTCATAATTCATATGCTGGTTACTTGCTGGCTTGGTTGCTGGTCTGTTTCTCACATTCCTTTCTTAGCTCTGTATTATAAATTCTCATAACGATTGACTTCTAGTTACATTCAACACATGGTAGGCATTGGTAGGTGTGAGTAGAAGGCAAGTCAGGGTATCACTCCACTCTTGTTCTGCCTACAGTGGCATTTCTGGCAGTGCCCGTTTATCCATATTGGTTTTAGCTCCTTATGAAAAACTCTTTGCTATGGCCTAAATATTTTGTGCTCCTTTATCCCTCCCCCCAATTTATATTTTAAAACCTAACTATCAATGTGATGTACTAGGATGGGGCCTCTGGTAGGTGAATGATTACTACCGTCCTTATCAAAGATGCTCGCAGAACTGCCTTGCCCTTTCCAACATGTGAGGACACAGTGAGAATGTGCCACCTGTAAACCAGGAAATGGGTTCTCACCAGACACTGAATCTGCAGGTAAATTGGTCATGGATTTCCAGCTTCCAGAACTGTGAGAAATAAATTTCTGTTGTCGCAAACCTACCTAGTCGATGGTACTTTGTTATGGCAGCCCGAGTGGACAAAGACACCCCTATTTCATGGTCCCTACTTTTGCCTGCCAAGAGGTGGGCTTTAATATCTGTTAGTCAGTCTTACCTTCCTGCTATGGTAACACCATCATCTCTCATTGATCTTTTGTCCCAGGGATGGGGTGTCTTCCTGCAGTTGCTAATTTTTGGGGTGCTTTATAGTAGTCACTTATACTACTCAATTGCTTAACTAATTATCCATCTTATATTTCCTTTGCATAAAAAATTAAATAGATTTCTGTTTTTCTAACTTCATATTGTTCTTAAAGGTAGTCATATAATTCTCTAGTAAGAGAACAGAATTTATCCTATATGGTAATGGGTTTAGGTATGGACCCATGTGCATGTTAGATTTTCTGATTGTTATTCAATTATCACTTCAAGAATTTTCATGACATGTTGCACTTTTGTTGTGAAGTACAATCAAATGTACCCATATTCTTATTGTTTTTTATGGAATTTTGCATTTTGTCACTTTTATAACAAATGCTTCAGCATTACTCACCAAAAAAACCCTTTACTATTATTTTAGTTCTGAATTGGGGATTTTAATGTGTCACATTGTTGTTGATGAAGTGCAGTTGCAATAGGGACTCTTCTACTTTTTTTTTTTTTTTTTTTTTTTGAGACGGAGTCTCGCTCTGTCGCCCAGGCTGGAGTGCAGTGGCGCGATCTCGGCTCACTGCAAGCTCCGCCTCCTGGGTTCACGCCATTCTCCTGCCTCAGCCTCCCGAGTAGCTGGGACTACAGGCGCCTGCTACCACGCCCGGCTAATTTTTTGTATTTTTAGTAGAGACGGGGTTTCACCATGTTAGCCAGGATGGTCTCGATCTCCTGACCTCGTGATCCGCCCGCCTCGGCCTCCCAAAGTGCTGGGATTACAGGCGTGAGCCACCGCGCCCGGCCGACTCTTCTACTTTTGCTATGGATTTTAGCTGTTTTAAAACTAATTGCGCCTTTGGTATAACTAGTTACTTTAGAAATATCTCTAGGCTGAGTGTGAATATCAGTATTAGGAGGGAATTTATGAAGATATTGTATGCCCCAATTAAACAATTAAACAATATTTCACTAGACACTAAGTGAACACAGCACAGGTTCCTTATTGGACTGCCTTTGGGAGCCTTGCCATGGTCCCACCTAACAGGTAAGATTGAAAAATAACAGCATTCTAATAATTAAGTAACTTGAATTATCTCAAATTATTTTAATGGTTAACTTAGAGGACAAATCTAGAGAGAGGCTTTTTAAAATAGTGAAATTCTGGGATTTATTTCTCTGATCTATATGTGGTTCACAACTTTACCCATATATCAAACATTAATGTAGTTCACAGTATCCTCAAGGGTGTCAGAAATCTGGCTACTGTGCTGAGCTGGACTTTGAGTGTAACCCAGTTAGACCCTAGGGAGAGAGTGAATATTAAAAGCAGCATGCACTAAAAAGGAAATCCATTGGGAGAAGAGCAACATTCTGTTCTGCCTGGATCGGAGCTCAGTGACCCAGATGCAGCAGAGTGACCTAAGAGCTCCCAAAACAATTCTCTAGCTTCCAGAGTGAATGACACCTGGGACTGAAAACTCAGAAATTCAGAGTTTGCATGTAAGGGAAACGCTGAAATGATATCAAATTATATTTTTAAAAATCTGTGTATTGAGTGTTGTTACACATATATTTGAAAATTTAAGTAAAAAACAAATTTATGTATGGTAAGAAAAGCAAACCTACATATATGAGTATGTATATATATAAAGTGTTTTAATGTTTTCATATCAACTCACCTCTGAGTTAATTAATAGTATATTCTCAACAATTCAGTCTACTTATGACATATATATATATATATATATATATATACTCAGATTCTACAATCAAATATACCATATGCCACAATGTTACGAGTTACTTCAACTTCAAAAATCAAAGGAAATGAAATATTCCTCTTTATATATTTCTCCAAATGGTTACAGTTCTTCTTTTGGTACTTATTGACTCTATTCAACATTAGAATTCTTCTCAGCAAAGTAGCTGAGAATCTCCAGACTTTTGTTATAAAAAGTATTTCAGATATGATATTTCTTTTATAACACAAAAGTAATCAGTAAGAGTCAGCTCTTTAGGATGAGAAGATTCACCAAATACCAGAGGGATTTGAAGGAAAGATTTTGTTCCATTCTCACTGCCAGAAGGTCAGATTCAATTTGATGCCACACTTTTGTTTTCGTTGTTGTGGTTATCTGAAAGCTTTCACGTAGTTGTAACTCTGAAGTGGAATGCTAAACAGCAAAGAAATAAGAAAAAAAGAAAGTTCCACAAGAGTTCTGAAGGTTTTTATGAAGAAAGATTTCTTAAAGGAAAATAAAAAATAAAAAATGAAACTAGGGCAAGGTAGTCTTAAAAGTTTTGGCTTTGAGTTATAAGCACCACAGGAAAAAATAGTTTGTCAATTTAGGTCTAAATTTAACAGGCGATATGCAGGTGGTAAAGCATTTTGTCAACTATCTATGGGTAATGAGGCTTCCCTTGACTTCATAAAAGTTTGAAGACCTCTAAGTATATACCAGAAATTCCATACCTGAATTGGAACTAGTAGCTGTTAAGTTACTGGTTATCAGTGATAGTTCGGTAACTAAACCCTAAGGAGAAATTTGCTTGCAGTTTAAAAATCAAAGACAATTGTTAAAATAACTTTTGTTTTTTGAAGTATAAAGGCCAAGTAATGTATAACCAGAAAATTTCCTTATTACAGGCGTTTATTTAGTGTTCTATTTACTCCTTAGGATATACTTAGTATAGTATGACAGACCTCAATAACACTGCCCAGACTAGGTGTTTAAAACTATATATTTGTAACAGCCATATGACCTGATTGTCTTTAGGGAAGTAGTTTTCTCTCTAATTTTTTTTTTATCAATTGCTATAGTTTAGTGCTAATGAAATAATATTACAGTTTCTCACCACATTCTGCAAAAGTCAAGATGTCCTGTTGACTCAAACAGTAACAGTGGTATCTGGATTTATCTTATGTCAGGGTCAGCTCTGTTCCACAAGACAGCAATGTTCTGAGATCATCCCGTAAGGATAGCAAAGTGTAACACAGGGTTACTCTGTTTAATTTGCCTCAAATGAAACAGAATGAAAGTTCAAAATGTCCAGACTGAAAGTTGCTCTCTTTCTCTAAAGAATTACTCCGTCGTCTGCAGAATAGTTGCTAGACTGGGGCCCCCAGAGCCACATTGCCTGAATTTGATTCCTGACCCTGTCAATAGCTAACTGAGTGATGTAGGCAAATTACTTAGCTTCAGTTTCCTCATCAGTTAATCTGAAATCATGATACAAGCCACCACGTACGGTTGTTATAAGGATTTAATGTGTTAATATATTCAAACTGGTGTTGTTACTCAGTGAATAACGGCAGCATTATTCATCTTGTCTTTCAAGATAGGAATTTTATTATTTGCCTTGACTTTCAAGACAGCAATCTAGGGTCATTCGATCTCCCTCCCTTTTCTCATCATGCTCAAGTCCTGTCATTTCTATTATTTTAAAATTTATCACATTTTTCTCTTTCACATTTCCCTCATTAACGTTGAACTTGGCTCGTTGCAACTGATGTCTTTTTTTCTTTTACATTCCTTACAAAGTATTTATGGAATTTTCAAGCATAAATTTGTTCACTGGTTTCCCGTTGATTGCTGCAGTGGTTGTCAAGTTTTGTGAAAAGAGTTTACATCTTTTTTACAAAGAAAAACTTTCATGAGAGTCCCATGTGTACAAAACTATCAGCACTGAAATTCTCTAGTTGCAGTGGCAAGTGGGGGTTAGGAATCTTTTCATTCACTCTGCAGTTTACCATGTCCAACTTGTAGGCCTTGTCTTTTACCTCTGCACATTCCTATGCTTACTACTATTCTTTGGTCAAATACTTTCATATGTTGACTCAGAGAACTCATAGTTTATATTATTTAAATTACGCTTATGTTTCTACAATTATCACATTTGCATACTGCTGTCTTGTATTGCTATTGTCCTTCTTTAACTGGACTCTACACATAAGAAAATGAATTGAGTTTACCTGTCCTGTGTTCCTTAAAACTTCTAGTGTACAATTTTGTGTACTACAGGTGCTTAATAGTGTGTGAACAATAGATCAATTATGCTTCATGTCTTTTTTCTGTTGTCTCCTCACTTAGGACGAGATCCACCCTGCTCTTGTTTATGCTCCATACTCCCCCTTCTGTTTCTTGGTCATCTAGTGCCTCCCCAGAGTAGTTTTCCACCTGGTCTACCTTTCATTCTTGGAGGATGAGTTTGTAAGAAATACTTCATTCTGACATCAGAAATCTTAGTGCCTGTCATATTAGTTTTCCATTGCTACTATGATAAATTATCACAAACTTAGTGACTTAAAATCACACATATTGACAAATTATTCTAAATTTCTGCAGGTTAAAAGTTCAACATGGGTATCCCTGGGCTAAAATCAACGTATCAGAAAGGCTGCCTTTCTTCATGGGGGTCTACAGGAGAATCCATTTCTATCTTCTCTACCTCCCAGCAGCCATCTGTAATTTTTGGCTCATGGTCCCTTTTCTGCCTCTTGAAAGCTAGCATTGGTGGGTTGAGTCCTTACATCTCATCATGCTCATGTCCTCTTCCACCTTCCTTTTCCGCTGTGAGGGAGTTTTAGGATTACATTATATCCACACAGATAATCCAAGGTAATCTCTCTATCCCAAGCTCTTTAATTTAGTCATATCTACACAGTCCTGTCTTTTCATGCATGTAACATAATCACAGGTCCCAGGGGTTATTAGGATGTGGATATCTTTTGGAGGCATAATTCTGCCTGGCACACCTGGGACTATTTATTAGGATGATGTTGATGATAATGCTTTGCAATTGCATAGTATGTGTATAGTTTTCAAATTCCTTTCTTCTCGTTTAGTCTAATCTAAATAACATTTGTCAAGGGTATTTGTCATGTCATTTTTCTCACACTAATCTTACAAACTTTCATTTTTATATATAGTGTCATATAGATAGTCCTAGTTACATATCTGAGTCTCCACTAGATCAGAACTTAAAGGTGTAAATTATATTTTTTTATTTCTGGACAAACTGAAGCTTGTATTTAGTTTTATTTACTTTGCCAAATCAGTAACTGAAAAAGCTATGTTTTAAAGGGAATTATGTGACTTATCCAATACAATATTTTAAAATGTTGGAGCCACAATTAGAACTCAAATCTTTTGAATCAAAGTTTGCCTTATGAACCAAAATTCTTTCCAACATACCCCAGTGCTAATAATATACTAGCTGATTACATATTTTCATTATAGGGTTACATATCTTCTGTGTAAGGATGATAAAAACTGTGTTTACAAACATACTGGAAAATCTGTAGTGCTATAGTTTGCATACCACTGTTATGTAATGTAAATTTTCCGGGGTTGAATTTCCCACAAAGAAATTAGAGTGTTTGAAAATGCGAAATTCTCAATAGAAAAATAATTTGTGGCCGGGTGTGGTGGCTCACACCTGTAATCCCAGCACTTTGAGAGGAGGGTGGATCACTTGAGGCCAAAAGTTTGAGACCAAACCGGGTATCATGGCAAAAACCCGTCTCTACTAAAAATACAAAAATTAGCTGGGTGTAGTGGTGCACACCTGTAATCCCAGCTACTTGGGAGGCTGAGGCAGGAGAATCGTTTGAACCTGGGAGGTGGAGGTTGAAGTGAGCGAAGATCATGCCACTGCATTCCAGCCTGGGTGACAAAGGGAGACTCTGAAGAAATAAAGAGAGAGAGAGAGAGAGGAAGGAAGGAAGGAAGGAAGGAAGGAAAAAGATCATCTGTTGTTTGTTTTGAAGTAAATCCAGTTTTATCAGCATCAAATATACAGAAATATTATTCATTAAGGTATATAAACATGTGATGTAAGTAAATGAGAAATCAAGAAAAGAATTCAGAAGATTTTTTCTCTTTTAATAAGTTGGTAATATTAAAAATAATTATTTTCTTATTGGGGAAATTTGGCCTTTTAAAGAAGAATGTAGATTTAGAAAAACTGGGGATAGGATGCTTTCAATAATTTTTTGAAAGCTGACAAGTAAAAAGCAAGAGACCTTTATATTAAAGATATCCCTTGCATATAATCTTTGTTTGTACATGTTCATTAATTACAGGCTAGAAAAAGCATAATTTGAAGTAGGAAACTTGTGGGGGAAGTTCTAGATTAAAATCCCAACACCTTTGGTATTGGTGATTTGAATGTCACTTGCTGGAACCAGCTAGTGACCTCTGTTCTATCCTGTCTTTGGCTCAATTTTAATCACAAGGAACAATCAGACTATAGAGAGGTGTGTGCTTTTTCTGTAGTCAAATAAGACTGGCTTTCATTCTAGGAAGAATTCTCCCTGGAGCTCCGTTTAACCTGTGTTTTTTATCAGGATGCTATGAAGACCTATTAGGACCTAGGATACAACAAATTGAGCATAATCACCTCAGGCTCTATGGCTTATAGCAAAGATATACCTCCTTGTTAGCCTGTTGGGAAGAATAAATGTTTTTGGTGTTTAAAAGAAAAAAAAAACTATTAATGTTGCATAATAACCCACGAAGACAAAATGAGTAGAATATCTCCAATCTTCTATACCCATGTTCTTTGCCTGAATTTTATTGACTTTTTACTTTCAAGATTATAATTGAAGTTCAATTTATCTTGCTACCTAATTGTTCCAGTACAAAAGAATTAAATCTCACGGAAGTCTGTGTTGAAGTTTCCTGAGTCCCCAAAACTCTTGGGAAATTTTGCATCCAATAAGTAAAAATATCCCTTAAAAAATGTTTAACAAATGTCTATAGTTAAATACAATACTTAAAGGACAGTATTGTTTTTTTCTTTCTTCTTTTTTCCCTTAGTGGCAGTGATCCAAGATTGACTCAGGATTAATCTTCAGGAAAGTTCTAGAAGACTAGTAGAGGACTCCATCCATGCTAATATATGGGAAGAGTATTAATAGAAAAAACAGTGAAATGTCATTGTCTCAATAGAGTTTAGAAAAAAACCAAGATTTTACAAGCTTCTTTCTTTTTATTTTTCACTTGTGCCTAGAGAGGGCATATAAATCTGCACTTCTCTGCAGACTAGTTTCAAAAGAAACTTAACATGGAGGGATGCATATCAAGCAGAATTTAAGATCAAGAATGCAGTTTTTATAAACTCAATAATGCCATCATTTGTTTGAAACCAAGGTGCTCATTTTCTGTTGCATAGATTTCATTCTGACCTTAATAAGAAAATAACATATTCTTGTACGTGTGTGTGTTTTCTTCTCTGAAGCTGTAATATTAAAAAAACATAAATCAAAGCTGTTTTGACAGATGAACAACACAATTTTGTAAGAGGATGGAAATTTAAAAAAAGAAAGGCTCAATAGCTGATAAAAGATGAGTTGGACTGGAGGATTGATGTTAGAGCTGAAGGCAGCATTAGAGATTAGACGCTCATTGGCTTTTCAGCAAGACTGGTGACTCATTCTACATAAATGCAGTTTGTGATATGTAATGAAAAGCTGTCTATCTTCACTGCAAGCAAATTAGCAGGTATTTTGTGGCAGGAATGTTAATGTTATCTTGCATTTGTTTCTGAGCAGGAGCACATTAACAGAGCAGGTTTGAAAAGAATTTCACTTTTGTAACATCAGGTGCCGAAGGTATTAGAACAAGGTCACCTCTGTAAAGTAATGAGGGAAAATTAGGTTATAAACATGCAGTGCCTAAAAATATATTCAGTCTGCTCTGCAGAGTGAATGCAATATAAGATCGCCCCAAATTGCTAATTTTCTTTTACTCCGAATGACACTCAGACCCCAAGCTGAATTTGAAAAGTTAAATAATAAAGCTAGACAGGGTAGAGGAGGGTTACTGAGGCTCATAATAGACAACTAATTCAAATCAATAGGGTCCAAATATCTGTACACAGATACAAACTGCTTCATAATTTATAAACCAGAAAGCTTGGAATACTTTATGCAACAAGCCTCAGAGGTTCGTATTATCTGCTTGGGAGAAATACTATGGCGGAGAAAGGCAAATGAAAGAGAAAGGTAAGACATTGCTCATATTGGACGAAATTAAAATGTAGGAGAAAGCTGAATGGCTGTCGGGATTGAGAGATGAGCTAGAATATAAAATAACAATAAAGTTTTGAAAAGTAAAGTAATAGAATTGTGAATAATTATTTTCCTTTTACCACTAATATAAAGATACAAAATGGGTAACGTGTGTGCAGAAGGTCTGCCAGATCTGAGTAATCAGTTCTTGGTCCATCTTCTATGATGGATCATTAAGTATCAATGACTGACTTGCAGGATCTGGGTAATCACACTGGTGGCTTTCCCTGGACCAGAAACAGACTTGCTGATTAAGTCTCTTATCTTGCCCTAAATATCATTAGCCCACTTGCCTGACCTCCTTTTTCCTCAGCCATGGTATCTGCCTCATTATTATTTCCTACACTAAATTAAGCTTGTTGTTATCCACTTCATCCTGTCCAAATATGGTAAAAATATATGTGGTGGTTAAAATGTGAGAAATCAACCCTGATCACCATCTACAAAAATTCTTCGAGTTATATAACAACTTAATTACTAGATTAAGCAATTAACTGTAAGTAGAATGGTGAAATAAAAGAATGTTTGGCATAACAGCCAATAAGGTTTGTGTTGAAGTGGAAGTTTATCATAGTAAGGATCGAATTGCAACTGAAAATGCACTGCCACTTACTTATAAAAGCCACTTAGAAAACTATCAACCATGGTCATTGTTGGATTCATATTGGTTGTATTCCAAACTGAAATTAGTGTGCCTAGAGAACTTAGTAGGTAATACGGATTTTTTGATTTTTTTATTTTTATTTTTATTTTTATTATTTTTTTGCGTAACAAAGGATTAAATTATCTCATCCAAACTTTTTACTTTATAGGTGAAAAATCTGACACCTGGAGAGGTAAAATAATTTGCCAAAATTCACAAGGTAATTACTGGTAGAGTCATGACGGACTAGAACCTAGATCTTTAGATTCTTGTTTTGTTAAAAAACACAACAGAACAAAACAAGAATATGTATTTTATTGACTGGTGCGGCACTTCTTGAACCTGTCTGATTATTGGTATTGATGTCTAGGCACTACTCCAGGTCTATTAAATTCAGAGTATCTGGGGGTAAGTTGCACCATAAATATTTTTCAAACTCTTCTCAAGTGATGTCATGTAGATCCAGGACTGAGAAACATTTGGGCATTAAGATATTTCATTAGAAAATGTTGCAATTCCTTTAGCCTAGGACTAGAGTGCTATTTTACCCAAGGTCATCTTGAGGAGAAAATCATTTTAGGATCAACGAAATGATTAGCACAGAAAGTGCTCTGTGTATGTTTGCAATGCTCCTGACATGTTTTCAGTTAACAGTAGGACATGTCTCAAGGAAAGAGCCAGTGTTAAGGTAACATGAGTCTCATTTTTGAAGCTGTCTTTAAAATGAGAGGTCTGGCAAGACAAAACTCAGAAAATAAATCAATGCTTTTCTAAAGTTTATGGAGTAATGTGGGAACTATTTGAGCTCTAGTGATTACAAGATCAGAAGATTAAAAAAAAAAAAAACCTAAGGGTGTGCTTTAGGTTCCATTTTCTCTGAAGATATATGGGAGATTTATGAGTGAGTTCAAATTATTTTTGATTTGAAATAACTCCAATCCAGAAAGAACATTAAGATAAAGTAAAAATGGTGGGAGGAACACTGTCAGAGAGAATATGTTATTTATGCACATTCTAACGTCTAACCATTTACTATTGAGAGAATAAGAAATAGCTAATAAATTAATGCAAAAACTAACAGGAAGCCTAACAACCAAGCAAGTTCTTACTGTAGTCAAGATGGTGTGAGGGATGAGATTAGACTACAAAGAAGACCAAGGTAGTACTGGAACTCAAAAAAAATTAACTTAATTTGACAAATACTTGAAAAGTTAAATAACAAAACAAGAGAATTTTCAATCCAATGCTATAATATATGGTCAATTATAAACCTTTTATATAGTCAAATGAATGTGTAGAAAATAAATATTTTTGGGAATTCAGAGGCAAAAGGAAGAAAGGCTCCCAAATGACTGTCTTCAAGACAAAATCTGAATAGTTGGACATGGAACGTGTGTGCTGTGGGTGAAGAAGGAAAAGGGAACATTAAAAGTTAAAACTGGCTTTTCTTGACAAGCTTTCCCAGATGTACACAATAGAAAAGATGCATGTGGTTGCCTCTCTATTCACTCCAGAAAAATAAATTCACCAATGTTATTTCCAGGCCCCTTCCTGTCTGGTTAAAAACTTCCCTCTAAAAGGGAGATATGTTACCGCAATTGATCACAAATCTGATCACATTTTAAAGAAGTTTATTACTGAAGAGTCTCAGAACTTTACTTTTGATAGAGGATTTCTAGAGAAGACAAGGGTGAATAAAATAGAATAAAATGTGATAGTGTATTTATAGGCCTGCAACACTTGGCTCTTTGCTTATTCGTTTTAGGCTGGTGTAAAGTAATTATTTTTAATGGCAAAAACTGTGATTACGTTTGCACCAATCTAATATTTGGTTAGTCAGCCCACAAAAGTGGGCTGAGAACAATAAATACTACTAAGATCTAAGCAAGGTGACTCTATAAAATAAAGATGAAACTTTTAAGCATTGATCTCTCACTGAATAGAGCAATAAAAATTATGATTGAAAATAATATAAACCCAGAGTTAAGTAGATTGCAAGACATACTATTAGCCATTTCTTGGCTTCTGCTAGCTTTTGAATGCGTTTGCTCTTGCTTTTCTAGTTCTTTTAATTGTGATATTAGGGTGTCAATTTTGGATCTTTCCTGCTTTCTCTTGTGGGCATTTAGTGCTATGAATTTCCCTCTACACACTGCTTTGAATGTATCCCAGAGATTCTGGTACGTTGTGTCTTTGTTCTCGTTGGTTTCAAAGAACATCTTTATTTCTGCCTTCATTTTGTTATGTACCCAGTAGTCATTCAGGAGCAGGTTGTTCAGTTTCCACGTAGTTGAGTGGTTTTGAGTGAGTTTCTTAATCCTGAGTTCTAGTTTGATTGCACTGTGGTCTGAGAGACAGTTTGTTATAATTTCTGTTCTTTTACATTTGCTGAGGAGAGCTTTACTTCCAAGTATGTGGTCAATTTTCGAATAGGTGTGGTGTGGTACTGAAAAAAATGTATATTCTGTTGATTTGGGGTGGAGAGTCTGCAGATATCTATTAGGTCCACTTGGTGCAGAGCTGAGTTCAATTCCTGGGTATCCTTGTTAACTTTCTGTCTCGTTGATCTGTCTAATGTTGACAGTGGGGTGTTAAAGTCTCCCATTATTAATGTGTGGGAGTCTAAGTCTCTTTGTAGGTCACTCAGGACTTGCTTTATGAATCTGGGTGCTCCTGTATTGGGTGCATATATATTTAGGATAGTTAGCTCTTCTTGTTGAATTGATCCCTTTACCATTATGTAATGGCCTTCTTTGTCTCTTTTGATCTTTGTTGGTTTAAAGTCTGTTTTATCAGAGACTAGGATTGCAACCCCTGCCTTTTTTTGTTTTCCATTTGCTTGGTAGATCTTCCTCCATCCTTTTATTTTGAGCCTATGTGTGTCTCTGCACATGAGATGGGTTTCCTGAATACAGCACACTGATGGGTCTTGACTCTTGATCCAATTTGCCAGTCTGTGTCTTTTAATTGGAGCATTTAGTCCATTTACATTTAAAGTTAATATTGTTATGTGTGAATTTGATCCTGTCATTATGATGTTAGCTGGTTATTTTGCTCGTTAGTTGATGCAGTTTCTTCCTAGTCTCGATGATCTTTACTGAAGGAAATAGAGACATAAAAAACCCTTCAAAAAATTATTGAATCCAGGAGCTGGTTTTTTGAAAGGATCAACAAAATTGATAGACCGCTAGCAAGACTAATAAAGAAAAAAAGAGAGAAGAATCAAATAGACACAATAAAAAATGATAAAGGGGATATCACCACTGATCCCACAGAAATACAAACTACCATCACAGAATACTACAAACACCTCTACGCAAATAAACTAGAAAATCTAGAAGAAATGGATAAATTCCTCGACACATACACCCTCCCAAGACTAAACCAGGAAGAAGTTGAATGTCTGAATAGACCAATAACAGGAGCTGAAATTGTGGCAATAATCAATAGCTTACCAACCAAAAAGAGTCCAGGACCAGATGGATTCACAGCCGAATTCTACCAGAGGTACAAGGAGGAACTGGTACCATTCCTTCTGAAACTATTCCAATCAATAGAAAAAGAGGGAATCCTCCCTAACTCATTTTATGAGGCCAGCATCATCCTGATACCAAAGCCGGGTAGAGAGACAACCAAAAAAGAGAATTTTAGACCAATATTCTTGATGAACATTGATGCAAAAATCCTCAATAAAATACTGGCAAATGGAATCCAGCAGCACATCCAAAAGCTTATCCACCATGATCAAGTGGGCTTCATCCCTGGGATGCAAGGCTGGTTCAATATACGCAAATCAATAAATGTAATCCAGCATATAAACAGAACCAAAGACAAAAACCACATGATTATCTCAATAGATGCAGAAAAGGCCTTTGACAAAATTCAACAAACCTTCATGCTAAAAACTCTCAATAAATTAGGTATTGATGGGACGTATTTCAAAATAATAAGAGCTATCTATGACAAACCCACAGCCAATATCATATTGAATGGGCAAAAACTGGAAGCATTCCCTTTGAAAACTGGCACAAGACAGGGATGCCCTCTCTCACCACTCCTATTCAACATAGTGTTGGAAGTTCTGGCCAGGGCAATTAGGCAGGAGACGGAAATAAAGGGTATTCAATTAGGAGAAGAGGAAGTCAAATTGTCCCTGTTTGCAGACGACATGATTGTATATCTAGAAAACCCCATTGTCTCAGCCCAAAATCTCCTTAAGCTGATAAGCAAGTTCAGCAAAGTCTCAGGATAGAAAATCAATGTACAAAAATCACAAGCATTCTTATACACCAATAACAGACAAACAGAGAGCCAAATCATGAGTGAACTGCCATTCACAATTGCTTCAAAGAGAATAAAATACTTAGGAATCCAACTTACAAGGGACGTGAAGGACCTCTTCAAGGAGAACTACAAACCACTGCTCAATGAAATAAAAGAGGATACAAACAAATGGAAGAACATTCCATGCTCATGTGTAGGAAGAATCAATATCATGAAAATGGCCATACTGCCCAAGGTAATTTATAGATTCAATGCCATCCCCATCAGGCTACCAATGACTTTCTTCACAGAATTGGAAAAAAATACTTTAAAGTTCATATGGAACCAAAAAAGAGCCCGCATCGCCAAGTCAGTCCTAAGCCAAAAGAACAAAGCTGGAGGCATCACACTACCTGACTTCAAACTATACTACAAGGCTACATTAACCAAAACAGCATGGTACTGGTACCAAAACAGAGATATAGATCAATGGAACAGAACAGAGCCCTCAGAAATAAAGCCGCATATCTACAACTATCTGATCTTTGACAAACTGAGAAAAACAAGCAATGGGGAAATGATTCCCTATTTAATAAATGGTGCTGGGAAAACTGGCTAGCCATATGTAGAAAGCTGAAACTGGATCCCTTCCTTACACCTTATACAAAAATTAATTCAAGATGGATTAAAGACTTAAACGTTAGACCTAAAACCATAAACACCCTAGAAGAAAACCTAGGCATTACCATTCAGGACATAGGCATGGGCAAGGACTTCATGTCTTAAACACCAAAAGCAATGGCAACAAAAGCCAAAATTGACAAATGGGATCTAATTAAACTAAAGAGCTTCTGCACAGCAAAATACCATCAGAGTGAACAGGCAACCTACAAAATGGGAGAAAATTTTCGCAACCTACTCATCTGACAAAAGGCTAGTATCCAGAATCTACAATGAACTGAAATTTACAAGAAAAAAACAAACAACCCCATCAAAAAGTGGGCAAAGGATATGAACAGCCACTTCTCAAAAGAAGATATTTATGCAGCCAAAAGACACATGAGAAAATGCTCATCACCACTGGCCATCAGAGAAATGCAAATCAAAACCACAATGAGATACCATCTCACACCAGTTAGAATGGCAGTCATTAAAAAGTCAGGAAACAACAGGTGCTAGAGAAGATGTGGAGAAACAGGAACACTTTTACACTGTTGGTGGGACTATAAACTAGTTTAACCATCGTGTAAGTCAGTGTGGCGATTCCTCAGGGATCTAGAACTGGAAATACCATTTGACCCAGCCATCCCATTACTGGGTATATACCCAAAGGACTATAAATCATGCTGCTATAAAGACACATGCACACGTATGTTTATTGTGGCACTATTCACAATAGCAAAGACTTGGAACCAACCCAAATGTCCAACAATGATAGACTGGATTAAGAAAATGTGGCACATATACACCATGGAATACTATGCAGCCATAAAAAATGATGAGTTCATGTCCTCTGTAGGGACATGGATGAAATTGGAAATCATCATTCTCAGTAAACTATCGCAAGGACAAAAAACCAAACACCACATGTTCTCACTCATAGATGGGAATTGAACAATGAGATCACATGGACACAGGAAGGGGAACATCACACTCTGGGGACTGTTGTGGGGTGGGGGATGGGGGAGGGATAGCATTAGGAGATATACCTAATGCTAAATGATGAGTTAATGGGTGCAGCACTCCAGCATGGCACATACATACATATGTAACTAACCTGCACATTGTACACATGTACTCTAAAACTTAAAGTATAGTAATAATAAAAAAATAAAAAAAAGAAAAGAATGAGAATAAAGAGTGAATTAAGCAGCTTAAGATCCAAAAAAAAAAAAAAAAGACATACTATTAGCTGTAGGAGAAGATAAAAATGTTCAGTGCCTCTTAAGCTGGTCCTTCTTCAATGTTCTCTATTAGAGAGAATGTAAACAAATCATTCAGTTTTTGCATGTTAGTTACTTAAGAGGTAACATTAATGTTCCATTGTACCTCATCCTCAATTCTTATCTGTTGGCGAGTTATTAATAATTCATATTCAAATTTCCTTCTTCTCTTTGCCACTTTACATCATCTCACCTTTATCTTGTCAAGTTGAATTTAGGTTCATTTCTCTCCTACACTATTTAAGTAGCCACCTGTCTAGTCTCCCTATATGTGCTCCTGGCACTACAACAATCTCTTCTCTAAAACTAATGAGAGTGATCTTTTCGAAAAGCCAATCTGGTCATATCATCACCCTACTTACATTTCCTGAGAGCATAGGTTCTGCTTTTGCAGAACCGATACTAGCCTATGCTATAGGACCTATAGTATCCCTAGTAGCTAATGTAGTTTCAGGCACAAAATAGATGCCTAATACATATTTTGAATAAATAAATCTGAAGTTGGAAGAAATATTTTGATATTCCCTAATATCATGAAACTTTAACCCAACTAAGAGAGACTTTTCTGCCCATTCTAGAGGTCACTGACCACACAAAGACTTCTAGTATTTAGAAAGCTGACAAAATACCTCTTGCCCATATGCCCCATATGTCCTAAATATATATTTTTTATATATTCAATCCAAATATGCATACAATAATTGTTTTTAATGTGTGTATATGTGTATTATATGTATATATATTTAGGATCTATTATATATGATTATATGTAATATTTATATATAATTATTATAATAATATTCATATCCCCTTGGACTATGATTTATATACTTATATGTAATTATTTTATATGGATATTTAGGGTATGTACTATATATAATTATATATGAATATAGGATTTTTTTACTACTATGAGAATTTGTAAATAAGATTGTTAGGAGGACAATATTTTCTACATAAATATGTGTGCAAATTCTATCTAAAGTCCACCTAAAGGGAAATAGATGAGTATTATGTTACAAATAATATTACTGATATTGCAGCAAACTTCTAGTAGAACAAGAAAGAAGTTGCCCTATTTGTGATGTAGCAGTCATACCATTTTGGCCATTATTATATATTTCCCCTTTGCCTCCCAAATAGGACTCCAACTTTCTCCAGGGAATCATCCTTCTGCTACTTCAAGCCCTGGCCAACTGTTTTTTTTTCTTTTTTTTCCCCCCAATTTTGGAAATTAGGCAGTGCATTCTCTTGGCCACAGTAATTGTTTCAGGGATGAGCACCTGAAATAGTCAGAGCTAATGAGTTGTAATCAGCTATCAACTGGGACTATACAACTTGAAGGTCAAAGAAGATAAAGCTGAAGCTGAAGCTGTTGCATTCATCTTGGCACCACTAAAAGAATGCCTGTTAAAGAATGGAGGCAACATGAAGAACACAGAGTTAAGTGCTTGAGATAAATCATGTCCTGGTGGCATCATATGAGCACCAGGAGCAAGGCAAGCCTTAACCAGAAGTCTTCTGTGTGTGAACTAATAAAATCCCTTCTGAATATCCTTGTTTGAATTGGTTTTCTGCCCCTGGTAAACAAGAGGGCTGGCTGGGATGAAAGGGTTCATCCCAGGCAACTGGAGTCAGCCTTGAAATCTGATAGATTGACTTATGGCCTAGGACAGTGTATCTCGGTGAGTTAGGACAGGCTAATGAAGTGCAAACTGCAACCACAGAGATAAAACTAGGCTCTGCCTTGCAGACTGCTGATGGAACCTATCTAGTTTCGCTTATAATAGGTTGCACCTGTTACGGGAAAAAGCCTCATGGCCATAGACTTCCAAAGTGGGCACCTGCCCAAGGTAAAAAAAGTGACAGGAAAATCAAAATTGATGACACATACCACTGCTTAACAGAAACCATTATTTTCATGACCTTTATTTAGTAAACACTCAAACAAGGGCCTCTGTGCACATTTAACAATTGTGTGAGAAGCAAAGTACAGGTTTTAGAGCAAAAAACCATTAATCTTTTATGATGCATGTTAGGTAAAAAATCCAACTGCTGTTTTATATTTTTTTAATCCTTTCTTCCCTGTGGAATATTTTTTCTCCTGTGGAAAAAGAAGGGCCAGCTGGGGGCAGTCCATGCTGTGACATGGGGACCAGAGGAAGGCAAGAAATGATAGGACAGCTGCTTAGCTAATCTGTCAACTGCCTTTGACAAGCTGATGACAGCAGTTATGGTACCATATCCTATAATAAGTGCTTATTTATGTGTGAAATGGTGTCTAAAGAAGGCTTCTTGATCAAAGGAATTTGGAACTTGGCTGAGTGAGGAAGAAACCTCAGGCTTGTGAAAGAGTAGATGCCAGAAGTGTGGCTGTTTGCTAATTGCTCCATCCTGGTTTAGTGATTTCTTAGATAGGTACGGAATACCTGTGACCTGCTCCTGCCAATGCCTCCTTCAGACTGGTATCTACATGAGCTTTGGAAGCCATGGACCTCATTATGCCACTTCCTGCTCAAAGTATTGGGAATACAATGAAATGATAAGCATTATTACTATCCTCATGGATCTCATTCTCAAAATATAAATGATAATAAAAAATAATTTGATCTAAAGCTAAGTGACATGTGATATGAACTCAAGAAACTGGGTGTTTCAGTTGGTGAATTTTTCATGGAAGAGTTTAGATCTAAACTGTGGCATAAAGAAAGAGTACAGATTAAACACCTTGAGAAGAGAAAAAAGTGATTTGTCTCTGGATCCCTGTGTAAACAAAGCTCAGGGAAATACAAGTAAAACATTTGTCAAATGGGGAAAGGTAAAGAAAAGAATATGTGAAATAATTCCTCTTTACCAATTCTGTAACTTATCTTTTGAAAAGAATCACAGAAGTATTTGTCCATTATAAATCAACCTCATACCAATCATTTCTTGTAAGTTAATTACCTGGGGGAAAATATATGCTTTAATTCACATTTGGACATTTTTAGAATTTTTAAAAAATATAGAGTTAGCTTATCATTTTTGATGATCTTTAAAACTTACCAGGCCCAAAGGAATTCCAATTATTCTATTAAATTACTCTATAATTGAACTAACATCTCCACTCTTAATAAAACTGGTTCTTATGTCCAAAGCAGTGTGTGAGCTATTGCTGAGTGTCTTAATGGCTCCTATGTTTGCCTGCATACTCTTATACTAGTCTCCAACTAATTACTTTGTAAAGCACTTTGAGATAATTTGGTTGTGAATAGTATTGTATAAAGCAAACACATTTCTTTTCTAAAGCATTGGCTCAAGTTAGGAGCTTAAGAACTGCAAGTAATTTCTTGTTTGTTCATTTGTTTTTTTTTTTTTTTTTTTTTACCTAAGCAGTAGCTATTTTATGTTAGATATAAATATATTCTGAAGTCCTCTTTTAGGATGACATGTTTTTAGAGACATGCAAAAAGAACTTCCTAAGGAAGCTAGAGAATCTGGGGGACAATGATTATTAAACAAAAATTCCACTTTATATAATAAGTGAACCTATTTTGCTGATATTGTCATGACACAAAAGATTTGTTTTAAAGTGTTCTATTAATGAATATGAATGTATTAATCCATTCTCACATTACTATAAAGAACTTCCCTGAGACTGGGTAATTTATAAAGAAAATAAGTTTAATTGACTTCACGATTGGGGAGGCCTCAGGAAACTTACAATCTTGGTGGAAGGGGAAGCAGGTATCTTCTTCAAAGGCAGCAGGAGAGAGAAGAGAGTGTGAAGGAGAAATTGTCAAACACTTTTAAAACCATCAGATCTCATGAGAACTCACAAGAACTCACTATCACAAGAACAGCATGGAAGAAGCTGCCCCCATGATCCAATCTCCTCCTACTGGGTCCCTCCCTCAACACATGGGGTTACTAGGATTACAATTCAAAATGATATTTGGGTGGGGACACAGCCAAATCATATCTTTGATTTATACATATTTCTCATAAAATAATTGTCTTTTCAAGAAATAACTAAGATCAGAGCAGAACTGAAGGAGATAGAGACACAAAAAACCCTTCACAAAATCAATGAATCCAGGAGCTGGATTTTTGAAAAGATTAACAAAATAGACCACTAGTTAGACTAATGAAGAAGGAAAGAGAGAAGAATCAAGTAGACACAATAAAAAATGATAAAGGGGATATCACCACTGATCCCACAGAAACATAAACTACCATCAGAGAATACTATAAGCACCTCTATGCAAATAAACTAGAAAATCTAGAAGAAATGGATAAACTCCTGGACACATACACCATCCCAAGACTAAATCAGGAAGAAATCGAATCCCTGAATAGACCAGTAACAAGTTCTGAAATTTAGGTAGTAATTAATAGCCTACCCACCAAAAAAGGCCCAGGACCAGACGGATTTATAGCCGAATTCTACCAGAGGTACAAAGAGGAGATGGTACCATTCCTTCTGAAACTATTCCGAAGAATAGAAAAAGAGAGGCCCCTCCGTAACTCATTTTATGAGGCCAGCATCATCCTGATACCAAAACCTGGCAGAGACACAACAAACAAACAAAATTTCAGGCCAATATCCCTGATGAATATCGATGTGAAAATCTTCAATAAAATACTGGCAAACTGAATCCAGCAGCACATCAAAAAGCCTATCCATCATGATCAAGTTGGCTTCATCTCTGGGATGCAAGGCTGGTTCAACATATGCAAATCAATAAAGATAATCTATCACATAAACAGAACCAATGACGGAAACCACATGATTATCTCAATAGATGCAGAAAAGGCCTTCGATAAAATTCAACACCCCTTCATGCTAAAAGCTCTCAATAAACTAGGTATTGATGGAATTTATGTCAAAATAATAGGAGCTATTTATGACAAACCCACAGCCAATATCATACTGAATGGGCAAAAGCGGAAGCATTCCCTTTGAAAACCAGCACAAGACAAGCATGCCCTCTCTCAACACTCCTATTCAACATAGTATTGGAAGTTCTAGCCAGGGCAATCAGGCAAGAAAAAGAAATAAAGCATATTCAAATAGGAAGAGAGGAAGTCAAATTGTCTCTGTTTGCAGATGACATGATTGTATATTTAGAAAACTCCATCATCTTAGCCCCGAATCTCCTTAAGCTGATAAGCAACTTCAGCAAAGTCTCAGGATACAAAATCAATGTGCAAAAATCACAAGCATTCCTATCCACCAATAATAGACAAACACAGAGCCAAGTCATGAGTGAAATTCCATTCACAGTTGCTACAAAGAGAATAAAAAGGAATCCAATTTACAAGGGATGTGAAGGACCTCTTCAAGGAGAACTACAAACCACTGCTCAAGTAAATAAGAGAGGACACAAACAAATGGAAAAACATTCCATGCTCATGAATAGGAAGAATCAATATCGCTTAAATGGCCATACTGCCCAAAGTAATTTGTAGATTTGATGATATCCCCATTAAGCTACTATTGACTTTCTTCACAGAACTAGAAAAAACTACTTTAAACTTCATATGGAACCAAAAAAGAGCCCGTATAGCCAAGACAATCCTAAGCAAAAATAACAAAGCTGGAGGCATCATGCTACCTGACTTCAAACTATGCTACAAGGCTACAGTAACCAAAACAGCATGGTACTGTTACCAAAACAGATATATAGACCAGTGGAACAGAACAGAGGCCTCAGAAATAACGCCACACATCTACAACCATCTGATCTTTGACAAACCTGACAAAAACAAGCAACGGGGAAAGGATTTTATATTTAATAAATGGTGTTGGGAAAACTGACAGGTCATATGCAGAAAACTGAACTGGACCCTTTCCTTACACCTTATACAACTGATGCTGGAGAGGATGTGGAGAAATAGGAATGCTTTTAAATTGTTGGTGGGAGTGTAAATTAGTTCAACCATTGTGGAAGACAGTGTGGCGATTCCTCAAGGATCCAGAACCAGAAATACCATTTGACCCAGCAATGTCATTACTGGGTATATTCCCAAAGGATTATAAATCATTCTGCTATAAAGACACATGCACACATATGTTCATTGCGGCACTATTCACAATAGCAAAGACTTGGAACCAACCCAAATGCCCATCAGTGATAGACTGGATAAAGAAAATGTGGCACATATACACCATGGAGTACTATGCAGCCATAAAAAAGGATGAGTTCATGTGCTTTGCAGGGACATGGATGAAGCTGGAAAACATCATTCACAGCAAACTGACACAGGAATAGAAAACCAAACACCATGTGTTCTCACTCATAAGTGGGAGTTGAACAATGAGAACACATTAACACAGGGAGGGGAACATCATATACCGGAGCTTGTCAGTGGGTGGGAGGCTAGGGGAGGGATAGCGTTAGGAGAAATACCTAATGTAGATGACGGGTTGATGAGTGAAGCAAACCACCATGGCACGAGTATACCTATGTAACAAACCTGCAAGTTCTACACATGTACCCCAGTACTTATAGTATAATTAAAAAATAATAAAATACAAAATTAAAAAATTGTAATTTTTGTATTTATCCCTACCCATGTCAGACTTTTAAAGAAAGAAAAATGCTTCCCTCACAAAATAAATGTAAGCAAAGTAAATTTTCTGAAAATTATTTAAAAATTAATAACTCTTGAACTGTGTCTCATCCCACATCCAGGTTATCTTCAGCAATCTGTGACATTAAAAAAAATTATGGCCATCTCTTATTTGATAATCCTCCTCTCCAAGTGCTGGAAATGGGATTCAGAATGTGTGTCTGGAATTGTTTTTTGTGCACACACATAAGAAAACACTTATGTCCTTAGAACTGTATGGCTTCTATGGACCTGGTGCTGGTGCCAGGTTGTGATCTGCTTCAATCTTCTTTGCATGCTTGGTATCTCCTAGAGACTGGAAGAAAGCCCTTGCACCACTCTTTCATTGCAAGTATTCAGTATTGTGACTTCTACTTCAATTTTCTGTTATAAAAATGATTAACAATTTCCAAGAAACTGGGGTGTAATCTGTCTCTGTAATCAGAGCATTTGGGAAAATAACTTATGCTCTTAAAATTTGCAGATATTCTTAAGTGCATCGCGATTTATTGACAAAGTATTAAAAATATTATCCCCCTATAAACAAACTGAAACGTTGAATATAAAGAAAAAAGAGCAGGATGGAAATTGTGCCCTTTAGATGGAATGGCCATCATTAATGCTGAATGATTAAAATGCATATGCAGGCACATGTCTCTCCTATCTAGACAATGGATTTGTGGATTTGCAAATCTGCATGCCCAGTGAGTCCATTTGGAGATGGAATTAATGGTTTTGTCCCTTTGATAAACCACTAACTGCCTTAAAAGTTTAATGATCCTTAGTGGGTTATTAGTGAATTGTTCCATGGTGTAATGGTTAAATCAGTGAAATCTCACAACAGTATAGTAGCTGTATCCAAAGGAATCTGGACATTGATGAATCTGTAGGAAAAGAAGTAATTTCTTTATTCTTCCCAGTGTGTCTCACTATATTCTTTCTTGTAAAATGCAGTTAAACATTATTGAAAGAATATGGGATATTATGTAATTATCAAATAGACTACTCCATGTGAATTGTTTCAGTATAGTGTGCTTACGCTATGCTGGTGCATAATTATACACAATTCTCAAGTGTCTTGTGTACTGAATGTTAAAACCCTTAAGAATAAGAATTTTATTGTTCATTTCCCACCTATGAGTGAGAACATGCAGTGTTTGGTTTTTTTTCCTTGCGATAGCTTGCTGAGAATGATGGTTTCCAGCTTCATCCATGTCCCTGCAAAGGACATGAACTCATCATTTTTTATGAAAATACATGAACACAGGAAGGGGAACATCACACACTGGGGCCTGTTGTGGGGTAGGGGTAGGGGGGAGGGATAGCATTAGGAGATATACCTAATGTTAAATGACGAGTTAATGGTGCACATGTACCCTAAAACTTAAAGTATAATAAAAAAAGAATAAAAATTTTAATGTAGTTTCATTTTATAAGGTTTTACATTTGTGGAGGTAAGGGAATTCTCATTCTCAGTGAGGTTTCTCCTGTAGCAATTTGTATTTGGGTACATTACAAATATATGATAATTAGAATTGAGGGCTTTTTATTGACTTCAAATTGCCTGCAAACCAACTGCTGACACCAGTCAATAATCTATGTACATGATTTGGGAGAAAACCATATTCATGAGCCTGTGAAGTTATATGCCACCACTAATTGCAGTACGGGGGATTCACTTAGAACAGCTAGGGGTTTCTTTGATTATCTTGATTTGGAGACATAAAATTTCAAGGTATATTTTTATTGCTATACACTGTTATAAATTTGACTATTGACAGATAACAAAACATGACATAAGTTAGAGAAGAGAACCAAAGTCATCGAATTAAAAAAGCAAGTCCAAAAATTCTCTCCTCCATTCACTTTCCAATAGCCTAGAGACTGAATTGCAGTGCTGAGAGGCAAGTTGGGATTTTTAACTCAGTAAGCCAATATGGCAAATGTCCAGAGCATGATCACAAAACAGCTGTTTTCCTCCATAACAGGGTGAATTATAGTGCATAGTGGAGCCAACAAACCTCTTAGCATTTGTGCAAAAGGTTCTTTTGCCAGCCAGGGAGCAAGCATCAACAAGCATTGGCTTTGGAAAAGTTGGCATCATTTAACTATTTGCCCATGACAAAAGTCTTACCTATGAGAAGTTTTGTTAAATATTTCCTAAAGGATCTAAGATAGTGATGAGGAAGAAGACATCATAAGTGAAAACAGGTGTGGGATTTTCACAAAAAATGCCTTTACAAAATACCATGACTTTTGAGTTCTTATTTATAGTGATAGAAATGCAATTCTCAAAGATAACATTATTAGCATCTGAAACTTTTAATATACAGATCTATAATCCAGATCTGTGCAACCAAGAAACCACTGGGACCCATCACCATCAAAGTCAGAAAATCTGGAGGTTACACGAACTTATACTTCATCCCTGAGCAGGAGACTTAGTGGCCTTCTATGAAATATGGATAAGAAACAGAGGCCATGCTTATTATGCTTAAGAATTTTTTTAAAATTATAGTCAAATCGAATAAGAGTTGGGTTATTAATTGCAGTGAATTTCAACAAATGAGAAGAACTGAAGACATTTGAGTATAAAAAAAATTCTATAGAAAAATTTGTGAAGAAAAGCTAAAAATATAACCTCAAAATGTAGGACATTATGATTTTCCTTTTGGCTAAATCAAGTCTGTGAGCCCCTGCCTCAGAGGCTGGGGCTTATATTTGTATATTTCCAGTCAGGGTAACTAGTGTTACTTAAGGTTACATTCCTAAGTGTTATGTATTTCTCATAACTCTTTTCAATTTGTGACACTGGCACATAATCCCAAGGCAAATACTCCAATAAAGACAGGATTGATATAATGGCATTTTTCTTAATTATTAACCTTTTTAATCTTAAAACTGTAGCTATCTGAGCCTTCTGTGAAATTTTGCAAAAATATGTATAGCTGATTCCTACCTTGTGGAGATTCTAATTCAGAAATTTGAGGGTAGAATAAAACATCCTTATTTTTCAAAAAGTAAATCTGATGTTCACAGAATTTTGAGAACTGCTGCATTAAATTATTTATGAATTGAAAAGATCACATATTTTCCTTTGAAAACTCAAGCTCCTTAAGAGAAAAGATTGGTTTTGCGCACGAAAGTTTTGACTTCTGGAAGAGCATGCTGCAGCCCCGTGGAAGCCAAGACACACATAGCAAAAAGAAAAAAAAAAAAAAGCATAGTTTGTGCTTATTATATCCCTTATGTACACTTAGCCTAAATATACTTCAAAGTAGTCTCGATGGTTCCATTGAATTTTAGCTCTGCATCATGGTCTGAATGTTTGTGTCCTCCAAAATTCATGTATTGAAATCCCAACCCCCAATGTGATGGTATTAGAAAGTCAGGTGATTAGGTCATAAGGCTGGAGCCCTCATGAATGGGATTACTGCCTTTATAAGAAAAGACACAGATGCTTTCTCTCTCTCTCTGTCTCTGTCTCTGTCTCTGCTCTGGGTCATGTGAGGATAAGATGAGAAGAGGGTCGTCTACCAACCAGAAAAAGTGGATCTTCCAACTCTTTGATCTTGGACTTATCAGCCACCAGAACTCTGAGGAATAAATGTTTGTTATTTAAGCTCACAGCCTTTGGTATTTTGCTTTTACAGCCTAAACTGACTAAGATGCTTGGCTCATTCATTAATGGTCAACTTGGACCCTTTGGCTCAGTGAACTAATAATTTGCCTATCTTGGGTGCCTACTCTGTTTTCCTCTTGGAGTCATAACGAGTTGTTTTTCTTTCCTTGTTAGATAACATCTGGAATGATTTCTAAGTAACTGATTATTTTGTTCCATTTTCTTGGGTGCTTATTAGAATAAGGACAAGGCTTTTCATCTCTTATTCATTATTATAGTCCTACCACCTAGAAAAGTTTAAGTGTAGTGGTGTGGCTTACATAGTATCCCTCTAAATTTCGGATCCATCTGGAACATCAGAATGTGATCTTATTTGGAATTAGAATCTTAGAGATATAATTAGTAAAGAACCTGAGTATGGAATCATCCTGAATTAAAGGTGGGCTCTAAATTTGATGACTGAGGTTCTTATAAAAGAGAAAGGGACACAGACACAGAGGAGACAATGTGATGGTAGCAGCAGAGATTGGAGTGATGTATCTACAAGCTAAGGTATGCTAGGAGCCATCAGAAAGTGGTAGAAGCAAAGAATGACTCTTTCCCAGAGTCTTCTGAGGCAGCATGTAACTGCTGACCCCTTGATTTTAGACTTCTAGGCTTCAAAGCTATAACAGAATACATTTCTGTTGTGTTAAGTCACCTAGTTCGTGATACGTTGTTAAGCTGCTGTAGGAAATGAACACAATGAGTGCTCAATAGCAATCTGTTGAATGATTGTAAATGGATAAATACATTCTGTATAGTTGTTCGCTGCAATAGTTTACCTTCTTTGTGGGCACAGTTCTGAGAGGAACTTATAATACTTAAACTTTATAATAACTTACAGATATTTGTAACCCAACAGCAGATATTTTAATGGATTTTTAGCAGTAATTTAAAATACAATAGAATAAAATATTATATAATTCAATATAATAAAAAATATTACAGGTTATCACACATTTTAAAGGTAAATATTGTGTGAAAATTATGTCCCAGTTATGTGCGCTTATGTGTGTGTAGATGCACTGTGTTGTAACATAAAATATGTTTTACTTTGGGCTATAATAAAATAAAAATATTTGAAAACCACTGGTCCAGAGATATGTTACTCATAGTTAGTGGAGCCAGTACAGTGTCTTTTATATTACTTATGAAAAATATATAATTTTATTCTGTCAGAGCATTGAAAATTTACTGTAATATCTTCATAAATACCAGGAATACATACTGAGAATAAAGGAGTAAAATTTTATGAAATAATCTTATACATAGAAATAAGGAATCTTAAAATAACTGGAAATAATGAGTTTACAAGGTTGCAGAATACAAGGTCAATGTGCAGAGATAGACTGTATTTCCCTACTGACAGTTGAGAATTGAAATATTACAAAATACCACTACAATAACCTCCAAAAGCATTACATCAAGCAAAATATGTCAAGACCTTTTCATTGAATACTAAAAACACTGCTAATAGAAATTTTAAAATACTTAAAGTGATATATCATGTTCATGAATTGAAATAATATATGTTAAGGTGTCAATTTTCTGCTGATTGATCTATAAATTCAATACAATTCTAATCAAAATTTCACAGTCCCTTTGATTGACATTTAGAAGTTAAGATTCTAAAATGTATTTAGGAATGCAACACCTTTAAAATAGCCAAAACAATTTTGAAAAAGAACAAATTTGGAAGACTATACCTGATTCCATATGCTAACTGATTCCTCTCAGTAATCAAAAGAATGTGATTTTGGGGTGAGGGTTTTTATTTTGAATGTGTGTTGATTTATGTAAAATGCTTTTCCTATACCTGTTGAAATGTTCGTATTTTTAGCATAAATCTTTTCATGTGAATGATATTGACTTTTAGAATGCTATACCAACTTTGCATTCATGACATATATTCCATATGGATTTGCTATACTATTCTTTTGATAAGAAGGTAGATTGTTAAAACTTTCTTAAGAATTTTCACATCTAAGTTTCTGAGGAATGTTGTTTTGTTATTTAGTATTTTCTTATTTGCTTTGTTATCAGTGTAATGAGGACTCATATAATAGGTTGAGAAATGTTTCCTTCTATTTTGTATGTGTATAGTATTGGAATTAATTCTTCCTTAAAAATTAGACGTTATGAGAATTTGGAATTTTCTTTATAGGAAAGTTTTAATCATAAATTTGGTTTAAAAAATAAATATAGGGCTGTAAATGTGTTTTATCTCTTTTTGAGATGGTTCTGGCAACTTTTCTCTTTTAAACAATTTTGCCACTTAAGTTGTTTATAATATGTTATATATATTTTTAAATGTTTGCAAGATCTGTAGCGATACCCTGTTTCAGATGGGTAGATAGTCATTTAAATTCATTAATTAAAAATATTGGCTTCATTGATTTTCTGTGTTGTTATTTTGTGTTGTGTTTCACTGATTTCTCTTGCTTTCATATATATATATATACACACATATATATAAAATACTTTATTTTTTTATATATACATATATAATACTTTATAAAATACTATATATTTTATGTATATATATATATATACATAAAATACTTTAAGTTCAAGGGTACATGTGCACAACGTACAGGTTTGTTACATAGATATACATGTGCCATGATGGTTTGCTGCACCCATCAACTCATCATTTACATTAGGTATTTCTCCTAATGCTATCCCTCCCCCAGCCCTCCACCCCTCAACAGGCCCCGGTGTGTGATTTTCCCCTCCCTGTGTCCGTGTGTTCTCATTGTTCAACTCCCACTTGTGAGTGAGAGCATGCAGTGTTTGGTTTTCTGTCCTTGTGATATTTTGCGAGAATGATGGTTTCCAGCTTCATCCAGGTTTTTATTTTTATGATTTATTAATTTGGAAGTATTATCATTGGCTTGAGGTTCTTCTTATTTTTTAATATTAGCATTTAATGATTTGTATTTTAAACCTTGCATTATTTAGAAGTGTGCTGTTTAATATTGACATGCTTTTTAATTCTCTAGAGGTCTTTCTGTTATTGTTAGTTTATTCCGTTGTCACAGAACATTTTCTCATTTTATCATTCTTAATGTTACTGACAATTGTTTTATTACTCAGAATTTCATGAATCTTGGTGATTATTCCATGTATGCTTGAAAATAATGTAAATGGTTCAGTTTTTGGTGTGTTCTGTAAATGTCAATAAAGTCTAGTTGATTGATGGTGTTGTACTCTTTGTATATTGTTCTAGCAATTAATGTGAGAAGTGTGTTTAAATATTCTACAGTTGTAGAGTTTTCTATTCTTTCAGTTCTGTCCATTTTAATTCATGTATTTTGAATCATTTTTGTCTTCATACACATTTGAGATCTCTTTGATTGTTTGATGAACAGGCCCCTTTCCTTGTCATGAAATATTCTTCTCTGTAATAATATTTTTTCTGAACCCTAGTTTATCTGATGTTAGTACTGTACCTGCTTACTAAATTCAGTACACGCCCATCACCATGATATCCTTGAACCCCCCTCTCTCTCCTCAACTCAGTGAGAATTCTAGGCTCTGTTTGAGTCCTGCCTCTTTGGTCTGCAGCTTAGAATATGTCTCCAAACAGAAAACCTGGAATATTAGAAAACTTAACTTATTTAATTTTATTCTTTCAGGAAGGGTCATAGTCCTACACAGCCAGAAAATAGTTGTTTACATATTCTGTCACATGTTCTAGGTATTTTTACAGTGGGGATAATTCTAGCTCCTGTTATACAGTATGGCCTAAAGCAGAACTCAGGATATACTTTCTTTCATATCAATTTTTCATTATTCTAGAACTTTATTTAAAGGTTATTATTTTGTCACTATATTGTAGTATTCCTTTGTCATAAATTAGATGACTATATACATTTTAGACTGTTCTTGGAATTACTTTTCTGCTCAATGGTTCGATTTGCTCATCCTTATAGCAATATCATAAGGTCTTACTATGGATTTCTAATGGTTTTTGATATGTAGTAATCTAAGTTCTTAACAGAAATCTTCTTCAGGAATGTCTTGTAAATACTGGACTATTTGCATTCCCTGTGAATTTTAAATTCAATTTGTTTTTACGGAAATAACTAACATAATTTTTAGTAAACATACATTTAATCTACAGATTATTTTGTATAGAACTTTTAAGATAAGTATTCCAATTTATGAATATAGCATATCATTCCATTTATTCAGATGTTCCTTACTTTCTCACAATAAGGTTCTAGTGTTGAGGTCTATTGCATCTGTGGCTAGGTATTTGATATTTTTCAGCATATTATTTTAACATTTTATCTTCTATTTGTTTACTGCTGACATGTAATTATTAAAATAATTTTGCATATTAAACCTGCATCCTGCAGTTACAAAGTCTACTTATTTGTATATTCTGTTCATAGATTTCTTAGGCAGTTTTACTTATTTCTTTACAGTTCTTGTATTACTTATACTTTTCTTTGGTCTTACTGAGCTGGCTAGTATCCTCGATACAGTTTCAAATAGAAATGATGAGAGCATGTTTCTTTGTTCTCATTCCCAATCTCAGAGAGGATACTGTCAAGATTTCTCCATTAAGTATAATATTTTATTATTTCTCAAATAATCTCGTCTATTTACAAGTGTACAATTTTTATTTTATTCTATGGGCTATCTATAAAACAATATTGGGAACTGAAGATGGTAGTATCTTTCAAGAGAAAGAGTTATTTTCTTTTTCTAGCAGAGCGATGACCTGATCATCTCAATACATCCAAGGAAAAGTTGAATGGGAGCTGAGTAACAGTTAGAGCAGGAATAACTCTACATCTGAATTGCCCTTGTTTTTTTGTGTGTCTATTTTGATTGTGAGCTTTGTAAGTCTCTTTCGCTCAGCTCTGAAATATTGACACAGCCCCAACCTTTAGAGCTTTTCAATCTCCCACCCTACAGGGCTTCATAATTTGGGCAATATTTCGAGGTGAGACTGGTTGTGTGTTTGAGGTTATTGAAATTGTTCATTTTATCACTTCGGCCTCCGGTGAATGCCAGAATTCCTGCTGCTCTCTCTGTCCCCAGCACTGGCCTCTAAGAGGGCCAGCCTTGGTTCTTAGCCTCCCCTTGCCCCCCCAGAGTTGGACCAAACTGACATTTGTGAAGACGCGGTGCAAACTCAGGGACAATCCAGCATCCCATCCCGGGCTTTCATCTCTTGACTATTTTGTTTCAGGTCCTCTTCCTTTAGCAATTGTTTCCCCAATACCCCACGTTTAGAATGTCTTTTATGAAGACTTCTAAATGCTCTCAGCCAAACTTTTTTCCCTCTTACCCAGACTCTGAATTCAGTATACATCTTCAGAGGATGTCTCTGTGTGGTCTATAGGATCTCCAAGCTTCCGATTCTACCACTCAAGGCCCTGACAACTGTTGAAAGCTTTGCTCGATGTTTCTTTCCCCAGAAGATGCCCTCTACCTAGTGTAGGCATTGATCCACAGTCTGCATTCAGAATCATCAGATGCCTCCTTCTGCCCATTCTGGGGCAGGGAAAATTTTAAACAGAAGCAGAAACAATAGCAACAAAAGGTTGCTGAGTTATCAGCTCACTTCTAACCAGTTTTTCACTTTCTGGAAATGATTTAGCTCTCATTACTTCACAGCACTCTGATGCCTTTAAAATGTTTTTTTTTGTTTGTTTGTCTGTAATTTATGCATGCTTTACTAGCTCTTGCCAGCAAGAGCCATTGACCTGCCCAGGCTTACTGAATCCTACCCTACTTTTTATTTCAAATGAATAAGCTTTCCTTTGCAGGTAATGATAAGGCAATAATTAAACACAGCTCATTAAGAGTGGGACAAATTAACATTATGTCTTTCTAATATGATGTTTTATGTAGTATTTTTGCCAAAAATATTTAACCTGAATCTAATTAAGCCTTTTGATAGAACCACAAGGAAACAATCAGTGAAATGTATAACAGGGGACTTTCTACATAACTGGCCTTGAATCTTCACAGAAAAACTGTCATGAGTAAAAATTAGGAAACTACTAAGACACTGAAGATACATTACAAACAAATGTAATGTGTGAAACCTTCAGTCTTGGTTAAAAAATAAATAAAAACCAGAATTTATTTTAAATGCAATGGAAGTGCATTGAATTTATAGATCAATTCAGGGAGCATGAATATCATTACAATATTATCATCTTCATCTGAGCACAGTATTCACTATTTTTCTATTTATTTAAATATATCAAGACTTCAAAATTATCTTTATATGCAGCATGAATATGTCTTCAGTTTATTTCTAGATATTTAAATATTTCTCTTGCTACTGTAAATGGGAGAGCACCTTCTGGCACATTGTTTTACATGAAAAATGTATTATACATAAAAATAATTAATTTGAAAATGTAATGAATCATTAAATAAACCTCAATATATTTCAATTCATATTAAAATGCCATATTAGCAGTATATTTAAGCCCTTCTTTTCCAGTTATCTTTTGTTGCATATCAATCTACTTCAAAACTTAGGGATTTAAAATAACAATATTTTGCTCATGAATCTGCAATTTGGAAGGGCTTGGCAGGGACATCTTGTCTTTGCTCCACTCAGTGTCAGCTGGTGTGACTTGAAAATTAGGGACTAAACTCAGTTTAGGGTTCATTCACTTGCATTCCTGGCTACAGCTTGGGACTTTAGGTGGGTCTATCAGCCAGACCGCCTATATGTGCCTTGAAGTACACGATATGGCTGAGTTTCAAAGGTGAGAATGCCAATCTAATTTTTCCTGCTCTAATGTGTTCATTGATTCCTGTAACACAATTTACCTATGGTGTTATTAATGAAAATCTAGGTAATTTCCAGTTTTGTTCTCTTATGAATAACACTCCTATGTGTTTTGTCCTACATAGTTCCTGGGCACATATGCAATCATTTTTCTAGGGCAAATATCTATGAATCAAATTGTTGGCTCATTTATACATGCTCAAATGTGCTAAATAACCACAAATTGTTTTACTTAGTGGTGGTGTCAATTTATGTAACTACCAATAGTGTAAGAGTTCATCTTTAGACCCCCTATTAGCCAAGAAATGATAATGTCATACTTTTAATCTTTGCTAATCTAGTGTATGTGAGTGGTGGCTCATTGTTTATTCTCTCTTCACTGATGATTTTGAGTGCAGTCTGTGTGTGCATTTTTTTTTACATGTTTCTTTTATATTGTTGATCTTTTTCTAATTGACATATGGGAATTTAAAAAAATTTCACTTATTAATATTTTTCAGTGTAAATGTGCCAAAAATCTTCTTGTTATGGGTTTTCTTATCATTTTCTTTACTGTGTTCTTGACATATACAATTAGAGGATTCAAATTTAGTAAAATAAATCACTCCTTGTACTATAGTTTGTGATTTTTGTGCCATTAAAAAAAATTCCCTGCCCCAAATTCTTAAATATATTCTCACATAATATCTTCTCAAAGTTTAAAAATCTTTCCCCTTACATGTATCACTTTATCTGGTAGAAATATATTTTTTAAAAAATATGATGTCAGGAAAAAAGCAATATTCAGTTTTATTTTGTTTATTCCTCACAAATGTTCTTGAAAAGGATCCATAGACTGCACTCTTGGGAGCAGTATTTTTCTGTACAACGACTGGATTGAATTTGTTAGTTTGCATCATTCTAATCATTTATGAATTTACAGATTACTTGGCTGATTGACTAATTGTTAAAATAGATTAAACTGCCTTTCTCTGAAGACGAATTTCTCATTTGCTACTTTTAGTTTTGTCAATTTGTGCTTTATATTTTTGAAGTTATTAGGTACAGCATTGAATTTATTACATCTTTCAAGTGAATGTAATTTTTCATGTAAATTGTACACACTATATAAAGCACTTCTCTGTATATTTAATGTTCTTTCTTATCCTAACTAATGACTAAATATCACCTCTTCAAAGGTTACTCCTTCATCTGTATCCTAAATCCTTACTTTTCCTCTACATATGTTTCCGCATGTCCACTTTCTACATGTTTTTCATCAGTATATTCAAATATAGTCTGCCCCAAATTAAATAATTATATTTCTTCTTACATCTGCATTTTTCTTATTTTTTCTGCTTTATTTAATAGAGTCATTTTGTGCAAGGCATCCATGCTTAAAACATGACTCATTTACTCTCTTTTGTCTTATATTTTCATGTATAGTTTATTTTTCAAGTATTATTGAATCTACCCGTACAGGGTAATCCTTATCAGTCCACACAGACAGCAACAACAGTTGTAAATCCTCAGTACTCTCTCTTTAAACACTGTAAAGCAACCCATTTTCCCCATTTTCATTCAATATTTTTTATACATTAGCATGTAGATCAAACTTCTGGAACAAATATTTAGATTACATAATGTTTCCTTTTAAAATGGTTTAATAACTGATTTAAAATATGGAACTCTGTGGTCCTCTTTGGAACTCAATGGTCCTCTTCTACTGAATGTCTTTTATTTTGAATTCTATTCAGATTCACCATCTCTTCATTTCCACCCTGCTTTTGTCTGCAGCAGAGGCTCAAGTATCATGGACTACATTCACATCCTTCAGTTTCTTGTACATTGTTTATTCTCCCTGCCCTATCCTTGCAGCCTTGGTCTGGTTGTGTCCCACTGCTGAAAGTTTACAGCTCTTGACAATGTGGTTTTCTTTATGGGATGCTCTCCTTCCAATTTCCAGTAACATCTTCTCCTTACTCTTTCAGATGCAAAGGTTGAACTAGCCCCCACCCCCTTACTATCTCTGGGGCATTGCACTCATCCTGTTATGATATTTTTATAGATTATCCCTTTATTAAACTCTCTTGTATTATACTAATTTTGTTGTATCATCTTTTTCCTGACTGAAAATCTATTTCCAAGTCCTGACCCCGCCATTTACTCCTGGGTAAACTTTGCAAATTCATTTAATGTTATTTTTAATAACATTTATGCATTCATATATATTATATCTTTATGTAATAGTTAATGTTATTTTGGTCCTCTAAAATGTAGACTACATAGAAATACTTAGAAAAGTTTTTGTGACATATATAGTGCTCAATATATGCTATATTATTATTTATAAAATGAAATTGAATTTCCTTAGCTTGGTATTAAAGACATGCTAGAAGAAGAGGAGAGGTAAACATATACTCTCCTTTCTCTGTAACAGGCAAAGAATCCTGGGAAACATTCTGGGAAACAACCAGAGCATCCCGAGTAGAATTAAGCCACAGTTATTCATGATGGAAATCAGCTTAATAAACGACACTTGCATTTGTGTTTCCTCTTGCTTTATTTCATTACATTGTCCTTTCACTTCTGTACTCTAGATGACTTTCCCAAACAAACACTTCATGTTTGTCTTAGTCTATTTTGTGCCACCATAACAAAATACCACAAATTGGGTAGTTCATACGGAAAGTAAATTTATTTCACACAGTTGAGGAGGCTGAGAAGTTCAAAATCAAGATCCAGGGGCCTGTATCTGGTGAGGGCCTTCTTGTTGTGTCATCCCGTGGCAGAAGGTGGAAGGACAAGAGGGCACGAGAGAGCAAGAAGAGGCAGCCAAACTCACTTTTATAACAAAACCACTCTCATGATAACTAATCTCACTCCCCTGAAAACAACATGAATCCATTCATGAGGGCTGAGCCTCTCATGAGGTTCCACCTCCCAACACTGTTGCTTTGGAGACTAAATTACCAATGCATGAAATTTGGTGGATACATTCAAACTAGAGCAATATTTAAATCCTTATGTAAGGCTCTGTTTGCAAAGGTATCACAAGCTAAGACAAAATTACTGGGATTAACTTTTGGATGCTGTGGTTAGAGGATGTTTTGGCTGTTAGGTAAAGTGTAAGCTCCAGTCACTAGCATATACTGAGAAATGCTGAAGCTGATATATTAAACTCTTCTTCAAAAAGCATTTACTATTCCTTAAATCTGTATTACCAACACTTTATCAGCATTTATCACCAACTTTTGGGACCAGGATAAAATAACAATTGTGTATGTGTATGTATATATATACACACACACACTATATATACATACACTATATATATACACACTATATATATATACACTATATATATACACTATATATACACACTATATGTATACACTGTATATATACACACACACACACATAAACTATATATATCTATCTATACAAATACACATATAGTGCTGTATGTGTGTATGTGTATATATAAATATTGTGGTTTATAGTATATATGTATAGTAGTGTATGTATAGTGTGTATGTGTATATATATGTAGTGATATATGTATGTGTGTAGGTGTGTGTATAATGGTGTATACATATATGTATACAGCACATACATCACTATATATGTGTTTGTGTATATATGTATATGTATATACACACCACTATATATACATATACACACACATATACTACTACACTATATATATACACACTCATACACCACACACACACATGCACACATACATGCACACATATATATATGTCTGTGTATGTAATGGTATTGATTTGGTAAAACATGCAAAGGTGGTAAAAGTATAAACCTCAGTAGGAAACTACACTAATCAAAGGATGGACTATTTTGGTATTGCCTGTTAATGCTTAATTTTGTTGATATAAACATAGATGTTTCATTTGGAAATATCTCCCTTGTGATGATATAAAACCAGTTTTATATGAGTTCATTCATTATGTGGTACATATTTTTCTTACTGTATGAATTTTTATGCATACTAAAAAGCAGAGTGCCCTAAATCACCATAAAAATTCTATAGTAAAATCATGACACTTCTCAGAATTTTTACCTGATTTTTGCTAGTTTTGACTCCATTGCACTATAATATAAATTTAATTTAGCTTTAAATGTATTACAGACTTATAGTACAATGTTAACTGGGTGCTCTTACTTTAAGATTCTTTATCCCTGAACCCAATTAATAGGTTGTAAAGATTGAGCATTTAAAGATATTGTTGAATGTCAGAAAAGCATAAACCTTGGATATTCTACAGCTCAGTATTTTAAAAGTCTGATGATATAGTCACAGGTGAATGTAACTGTGATACAGCAAATTAAATTAATGTATCAGGTAGACCTTAAGTACTTACATGTTCCCCTTCTCAAGCCTAATGGTATAAACCACTCTGGGGTCCTTCATTACAGCAAATCTTTCATTCTATACATACTACATTCCTCATCAAACTGTTAACTCAATCTACGAGCAACTCGGCAGCCACTGAGAAGCTGTATTTATTTACTCATTCATACTTTTCGTAGTGTATCTTTTTTGCTGTTTGTTTGCTGGGTCAATAGCAAATCAGAGTTAAATCAATAGTCACTCCTACTTGCCTTTGTGGTCTGGTCTAGCCAAATAGGTACAGTCTGATTTCAAATACGTGATTACCTCTGTGTAAAGAGAGAGGAAAATATGACCACTGGGAGGAAAATGATTTGATGGTATTTGAAATATTTATTTTGCTAAATAAAAAGGTCTGAAGTAAATGTGGTAAAAGTTAATGTTTAAAAATTCAATGTTCACTATATAGGGGCAAAAAATAGGATATAAGCTAATATGATGTAAAAAAATGGACACCAAATACAGAAGCTGAAAACACAATGGAAGCTTATTTCTATTTACATAGTATGCGGTGTAGAGGCAGGCAGCTCTGCTCAACAAGATCAAGATGGGGTCTGGCTTTCTTCTGTCTTAATGTTAGCTCTGTCTTTCAAAAGGGTGTTTGCCTGACATGTGGTTGAGCTGCTGGTCAGCAGCACATCCCTTTCTGGCCTAGGGTAGGGGAGCAAAGAGGCAGAGGAAAGCGAGTAACTTTCTTTTAGGGAAATGACATGGAAGTTGTAGATATCACTTCCATTCGTATTCCTTTTGCAAGGACTTAAACATATGTGCACATGCAGGTACAAGGAGACTGTGAAATATGATCTTTAACTGGGCAGCTGTATGCACTGCTGATACTCCAAGAACTGGAGTTGGTTTCTATTACAAAATGGAAAAAGGGCAGAAAAAAATCTAGGGGAAATTAGTCACTGCACAATGCATGTTTATTATGTTGTGTTATGTTATTTATGTCATGTTGTGTTACATTATGTTTAAAACGTAAAAACAAAAGAAACATTATTTGTTAATCACTTAGGGAGCTGAATAAATTTAATAAGAATAAATCTTTGCAAACCATGTTTGTGGTTGTTGATTTTCATTACTAAAGCGATAGAAGAGGTGAACAGTGTGGATATAATATATCTGATTTCTGTAAGTCATTAAATAAATTCTACTGTAATATATTTAAAATAATATGGGAGATGGTAGACTGAATGAATTATAGGTTGGCATATTAATAGTTAATTAATCACCATTTCCAAGTATATTGTTGATAGATGATGATGAATCTAGAGGGAAATTGGTGGTGGTATCTTACAGCTTCATCTTGAAGTCTGCAGTAAGTGTAAGAGACAATGAAGAGTGGGGAGAGGAAGGAACTAATAGCTATTGAGGGTCTGCTATGTAGGCACTGCTCAACTTTAAACTATTATTAATGACTTACAGATATTATTATTACAACTTTACAGATAAAAATGAGTACATAACTAGCCTAGGTTATTTTATTGAATTTTGAAAGGTGAAGTTTGGAAGAATACCCAAAATATGGGATGAATAATCAGAATTATGAGATGAAATTAGCATATTAAATTAGATAATTATATAAGGCACTACATTTATATAGAAATACTTAAATTAAAAATTGTTACTGCAAATAGGACTTTCAAAATATTTATTATGTGAACAAAAATGTAATGTTTAAAATCAATTGGTAACAATTTTTGTTAACCATAAGGCACACTTCCCAACCACAAACGATATTACAAATTTGATCAGTAGAAGCCCTGGTACTATCCAGAACATGGGTGGTGACATCTCCACAATATTCTGTGTTAATTACGTAGTCTTGCCTATTTTGTTCACTTTGGGAATCTGCATATTAATAGACAAATTGACTGCTTGCCATTTATCTGGAGAAAAGGGATCTGAATGGAGAACTATCTGGACATGATGTTATATGTGGGATAATGGAGGGACTGGGGCTATTTAATAAATTAGAAAGTTTACTGTTTTAAATTTTTTAAGGATTATCTTGGAAAAGGTAGACTATTCATTCTACGTGACTGTAGAAATCAAAATTAAAACCATTTTTTAATAACTAAATAGATAATGGGTGTATAAGGAAATTCCTTAAACAACTTTAACATTTATAGTTGTTCAGAAGTATAAGGGTACTCATTTCCTATCAGAAAAAAATTCACACAGAGAATAGATCCCTCTGTGAAGTGTATTTGAATTTACTGAGAGGTGGGGATAGTAGTAATAATGTTCACTTTTGATTTTTATATTCAATTACATATTTCTATCCTGCTCCATGTATATGATGCATCAGCCATTGTTAACTGTTATTATCCATAATATATGTACATATGTAATATATATGATATATGATATTCATTAGCCCTTCTAGATAGTTGTCTTTTGGCTAATTTTGCAGAAGAAAAAAATTGAACAAGATTGATTAATGGAAACTCTGCAGTATTTTCCCAACAACATATCAAGACATAAAAGCAGAAATTTTTCTTTTTTAGAAACATTATCCTTAGAAAACTAATGCAGAAACAGAAATTCAAATATGGTATGTTCTTACATATAAGTGGGAGCTAAAAAATGAGAATTCATGAACACAAAGGAAAAACAGACACTGGAGTCTAGTTGAGGGGAGAGGGCAGGAGGAGGGAGAGAAACAGAAAAGATAACTATTGGGTACTGGGCTTAATACCTGGGTGATGAAATAAGCTGTACAACAACCCCGGTGACAAAAGTTTACCTATGTAACAGCCCTTCACATGTGCCCCAGAACCTAAAATAAAAGTTTTTTTGGTTTTTTTTTTTGTTTGTTTAAAGAAACATTTGATAGAGGAGGATTTATCAAGCATTCCATTCTATTGGTCTAATCTATGGCACTTGCAAATGTGAATCAGATATTTTTTGTATCAGATATTTTTTTCCTTGCAAAACGACCAAAAGACAATACTAGAATTTATTAGGCAGGAGCCAGGGATTTAAATATCCTGCTTCGAATGCTAATAGCGTCACCCAGCCTATTAAAAAACACTGCTTCACTTTAGGAACTAACTTTTGCTTCAGGAAAAATAATATTGACTAGTTTTGTTTCAATTATGCGTTCTGATTAGCAAGTCCATAGCTCATTCCCAGGACAGATGCGTGGTGAAGGTGGGGTGGACTTGGGAACTGTGTAAATATCCTTTGGCAGTGTCAAAACTGGCCTTCTTCACGTCTAGTGGAAAGTGTCCTTCATGTGGTTGGAATGCTTTCTTGGGAAACTTTGGGGGAACTTGGAAATTTGTACCAAAACCTGGTAATGTGCTACCTAACATCCTTATTTATTTAATGATCTATTTTTCTTTGTACTTTTCCTTAAATAATTATTTCTGATGATGTCTTTCCATTATCATATGTACCTTTAGATGTCCTGTATCATTTATAGAATAAAATCCACCAGAATTGATATAAAGGCATTTTAATAGGCAAAGTCTTCTAAATGTATATAAAATTATTGCTTGAAAAAACAATTTAGTAAATTCCAGTTATTTATTCTATTATACCTCATAGTTCAGTGGAATCAAAACCAGGGCAGAGATTCAGGAAAAAAGTGTGTTCTACCACTGTCATTTTGATCTCTGGGAAATTATTGTGATGTCTCTTTTACTCAGTCATGTTTGACAGTAAAAATAACTAATTATTGTTAAATATTGTTTTATTAAAATTAAAAACATTTTATAATGGAGGAAAAAGCTATGCAATGGAGGAAAAAGCTATACAAAGAGCTTGACTTTATTTTTAAAGACAGACAATTTCAGATTATTTAGTGTAAGTAAACAGATGCTTGGTAGTTTTGCTTTCTCATTTAAAGATGCCAAATGTGTAAACAACTCCCCAAAATTATGTGATCATCCCATAATCATTTCAGATATTGTTATGTAAGAAACATATCTCTGATAATACACATAAACGAGTCTAGTAAAACAAGTAAAGAATAATGAATATTAAACCCACTAACCTTAGGCTTTCTCTCCTCACACACAACACACACACACATCTTGTGACACTTCAAAACTCTCATTGAAATTCAGGTAACAATAGTAAACAGCACAGAACAAACCAATGGAATCCATTCAGAGCACACAAAAACAAATAAACAAAACCACCAGGCTCCAGCATTGTCAAAACTGTACTGCTGAGTTAAGAAGCCAGGCAAGAAAATCAATTTTCTCTAACACATGAATTAAATGAATAAAAACTCAATATGAAAACAGAGGAAAAATAACCCAGCATTCCTAAGCCACCTGAAAATGCTCCTATACAGGGAGGGGGAAACAGTGCTTGTGTGCATATTTTTGCTTATCTATTCAATAGACATTTATGAAGCAACTACTAATTACCAAGAAACAGTATTGAGCATTTGAAATACAGAGATATTAATTCACTTTTCCTGCCTTTGTTAGGCAGTTTCTATTTCACTGCAAGTGCAAGCTGTATTTTGGTACTACTTATGTTTTTATTATAGACATGATATAAAGTTGGAAATCAAGTTCTTCATAAGTACTGATACTGCTAACACAGACCGTGAGGTGATGGCAAATATTATACTATGAATTACTCATCATTTTATTCTAGACCATCTTACAGCCAGAGAAATTTACAATTCCACATGTACAATTTTTTTAAGTCATAATTGTTCTCTGTCAATTGAGAAAAGCATTAAGATTAAGATGACAATGACTATATCAGCTGACTATTATAAATAGGCTCTCAGAAACGAAGGAAAGTGTGTTTACTGACATAGATGTAGAGTATTCATAATCTTAAAACTGGCTGAAATGCACCAGGTATACAAATATAGCCAATCCTCCCACCTATTAGGTAAAATGCATGGTGAAACCTACATATGCCTATTTTGGGGCCCACTGATCTACGATAAAAAACTTTCGCAAAGGTTGCTTTGGAGTTCTGAATAAAAATTTCTTATCACTGTTTCTGACAAGGTCTTTGTATGTAGAGTTAATTACTGAAACGGCATGCGTATCTCAAATAATAGAAATTATGTTTAAAGAAATGTTTGGAAGAGCTAAAAATAAGCAAAAGAAAGAAAATAAAATAGAATGTAAATTCACCTCAGCCTGCTGAATTCTTTGCAGTTTTATGTTTTTTTCTCACACCAAGATCTCTTCTTTCTCCTTTCCGTTACTCCAGGAAGCTTTGTTTGATCCTCCCAGGCACAGTTAGATGCCATTTTCTTGTTCCTGTCTTCTTAGAAGACCTATTTCTCCTCCCTCTCTAGACCATGCACTTCTTAAGAGGCATTGTCTACTGTGAAAGAAGCCATGGCCAGAATATGTATATGCTTAAAACATTTATGGAATTGAATTTGATTAAAAATACATATATCTCTTCATGAAAAATAGTTTAACTAAGAATTACCAGTAATGTTTATTTCTTTTCATATCATTTTTCAAAGACAAACTACCACTTGTCAAAGTCTAAGACACATAGTGGAAGACTCAAATCTCATGCATTCTAACTACTGTTTCATTAGTTTTAAGGAATATTTGTGCCTTGAGACATGCCATGTGCAATAAATCATGGCTAACCAGAATATTTAAGGAAAATAATTTTAACTATTGGAATCCCTGTTTCCTTATTCCTCCTCCAAATAATATACACAGTGCTTTTGTTTAAAGTCTTGTAGAGACATGCTTTGAAATTTTGTCAGTTTTTTTTCTGTTTAAGTCTGTACAGGATAAGACTCTACAGTGAAGCATTTTCTTGATTATTCACTGACTGATAGGACTCATGATTTGGATATGAGAGATTGGGCTGAATCACGTTGAACCCAAGACATGACTTCTTCCTTCTATAGGAGGAAAAACTGAATTTGTAGTCATTTGCTTGCCTTAACTTTCCCTATTCTCTACATAATTTTGTGCATTAATCTACAGCTTTTAGGTATATTTGTTTCTATGGCATATAGATTTGTTACTCAAAGTAGTAGACACATAACTTGCCTGTCTTTATGTAAGGGATTCAAGGATAGCTTGGTAGCCTTATTTCAGAATTGCTGAGACATCACTTAAAGTTAACAAAGTTTGCTTTCATAGATTGCTTATGTGATTTAAGATGTCATTCCGCACTAAATTTGTAAATTGTCTTTTCTTAAGCAGAAGAAAGAATATGTGTAGGTTGTTTTTGGAGTAAAATGTATTATTTGTCTTCTTTAGAAAGAACACTTTTAAAATCAGCTACCAATGCCTCTTCAGTACCTCTTGCCTTGTTTTTGCTGCCATAGAAAACAGAACATCTACATAGTTGCTATCTGAGACTTTCTAAAGTGATATTGACTTCTGTATTTGAAAGCACTTAGTTGAGTCTTTTTTCATGAAAATGCATTTTATTTACAACCACGGCACTGGTGATATGACATCTAAAACTATCTAATAATTCTTGTATGCATATTTTACCTTATTTTTATTTCCAAACAGTAGAAGTCAGATCATCTCATTATACTACTCCCTTACCATCACTAGTTATTTACTTTAAAGATGTGCAAAAGTACATGAAAGAAAGAAAGAAAGAAAGAAAAGAATTTAGTTCAATGAAACAACAATATCCTGCAGAAGTCATTTTAAAATGCCAGTAGGGACTCTGAGAACAAATAAATTTTTTTTATTTGCACACAACTGATAGCTTAAAAATGTAGCTAGATAGAGACACTTCCCATGCATCCTCACCCTTTTTAAAAGATTGTACTTGTTACTTTGATATGTGGGAACTGGAGAAACTTATCCACAGATAGATAGGAAGTTTTCTCCTACAGTATTTCTTACATGCACAGGTACTAAATGATGCAGTGCCTAACGTTGAAAGATAATAATATAAATTTAGGGCTAAGCAGAGACATAATTTAAATAAGCAATCAAATTTAGTAATTTTTTAAGGGAACGAGAACCATGCCTCTACCAGAAAACTAGTTCATCATGAAAAATGTGGGCTTTTTTTACTCTACTCACATAAACAAATTTTATCATTCATAGTAAAATATGCAGAAAATATATGATGAGTGCTGGTTCATTTTGAAAGAGCAATAAATAATCTAACATTGTGCAATAAAAAATGAGGACAGTGCATCAAGAAGAAGTACTTTCAATGGCATATTGCAGAAAAAGAATAAACAAACTTATTTTCTAAAGCTACTCCACATGCTGCAGACTAATTTATTATTACATTATTATTTCCCTCTAGAATTGAAATAGTGTGGTTGAATAAGATTTTATAGTTATCAGGAGTTCTAAATCCTTAAATTTTCAGTGCTTTGCATTTCCAATTTTTTATATACTAAGAGGAATAAAATGTTCCAAGCTCTCTCCTTATTTCTGCTCAGAGATGTTGCAGAAGCTGTCACATGTGCTCAATCTAAAGCAAGTATATGGATAAAGAGATATATGATTCAAGAGTAAAGAACAACATCTCCTGTATGAATGTGTTTCTATTACTATAACTGACTATATAATCATTCTACAGATGTGTTGGGAACAGCTGAATATTGTATCTAGCACAGCATAATTAAATAAACACATTGTCCTTTGTGTTTCCAGGGAAAGAGTTGTAGAACTGCAGCTTTTGGCTGTTCTCCAGGACTGGTGGGCAACTGTGGCAAGGTATTTTTGTTCCCTGATGGTTGAAAACTGTATTTGACAAATGATCTCATACACTAAAACATGACTGAAAAAAAAATGGGCCTGTGTGTATTTGTTTATATTAGTTATTCATTAAGCATTGTTACCTTATTCCAATAATACTTGATGAAATGTCTCATCTGTATAATGAGGTATGTTTGCAGTTGTCATACCATATCTTGCAATATGGCAAAACCACAGTGTAAGGGTGTGTCTACTTCAAAATTACTTATTAGTGTCTGAATGTGCAATAATTGGGACAAAGTAGGAAATCAGATGAAGAGTCGAATGTGAAACTGTGTTGGAAGCAGAAAGCAGGCTACAAAGTGGGGAAAATTTTGTAGGGAGAGAGCAGATTTAAAATTCCAGGGAAAGTTCAAACAATATGACCAAAAAGTGTTCAGTCTTTAGATAAGAGGAAAGAGAAAACCTTCTAAATAATGGCCAGCTAGCCACAGGAATATAGAATTGTTCTCAGTGATTTATGTGAAGACATGCAAAATGCAACATAAATCAAATAGGAATAACCTTGAGTACATGTAAATGGTAAATCTTTCACCCACTCTTTAATCTTCTTACAACTGTGGCTGCTTGGCCATTGTTTTGAACAGAGGTTTTTAACCTTGGTGATATTGACATTTTAGGCCAGATAATTATTTTTTGTGAGGGGCGGTCCTGTACACTGGGAATGCCAGTAGCACTCCTGCCTAGTTATGACAACAAAAATGTCTGTAGACGTTGGTAGTTGTTTCTAGGGGCAAGGTCACCTGCAGTTGAGACCACTGATTTAGTCTCTGTCTCAGATACTAAAACACTGCAGCAATGGACAGGATTAACGTATTGTATGTCAACATTAGTTGTTGTGGCATCAAATTATACTTCCTCATAGACTGGTCTTGACCTTCAATCCAAGTTCATGAGAACTAGACTCCAGTGTGTGCTGCATTTTTCTAAAAAAGTAAACTTCTGCAGCATCTCATTTGCTTCTGCCTCTATATTGTTAATACAAAAACTATTCCTTCACTCTATTAAGAGATTACTCCACGCCTCTTGCTGATGTCATTCTTCTCTCCTTCTATTAATATAGTAGTTGCACTTTTCCCCTTGCATTCCATTCTAACAGTTGTCATTTCTATATTCATGATAAATTCAGCTAAGCCGGCTTGTGTACCTAGGATTCAAAGTAAGAAAAACAATCCACATCTACGACCAAGAGTGGAGTTTTATGCTTTCTCCAATGAGAAAACTGCAGAGCGGCATTGTCAAGAACACAGTGAAGGATAAGACTATCCACATCTGGCCTAGTCAAGGCGAGGTCATTCAAGACAAAGATGGCATTAGGTTGCACATGCTCCATTTTAAAACTAAAATTAAAGTTCCTGAGGTGATTTTTGAATAGAATTTATTCATACAATTTATGAATACAAATGTATGAGAAGTAGTTTGCTGTACAGTTTCCATGTGATAACTCTCATCGTCTTTATTAGAAAGACTATAGAAGAACAATATATATGTTATCACCATGAGCCCTTAACAGTATTTTCATCTGCAGTTATTCTTTCTGTCCATTGACTCTACATCTTCTAAAAGGACACCTAGGGGTCAAAGTGGACATCTAAAACATGTGCTACCTAATGGTTTAAGAAAAAGTCCTGTTTCACCTATCTTTTAGGATTTATAGCTTTTTGCTTTGCATAAAGCATTCAGCAGGTCTCAAGTCAACCACTGATATTATTTCTTTCTCCCTCTTCTATTCCTGTCTCTCTCTTTACTTTGCCTTTTACTGATGACCAAGCTTTGTGTTTAATTGAGAAATCAGATTTAATCAGATATATTCTTTTACCTTCCCATTACCAAAACTGTCAACTCACCTGCATCTGTAACTACCTACATTAATTTTCCCTCTTTTACTTTGAAGGAAGTGTCCCTATTCCAATTAAACCAGTAAGGTATGCCCTGAATTCAACCTCTCAAACATGACCTATGAGATTACCCATCTCTTTCTTATTTCTCTAGGGAGGTAAGGACAGCCTGAACTAAGATATCCGTAGGATCACAAGGTGTATATAGATGAATGATGGGATGGGGCAATATCAATAGGAGTTATTAATTGATCTTATTTGGACAATAAAGGAGGATACAGTGAAGATTATAGCACATTTTTGGAGCAAGTAGAGAGATGTCATTGACTGGACCTGAGGAAACATTAATCTTATGATCGTTGATGGATTCACACACACACACACACACAAATTCCTTCCTCCCTTTTCTAAGTGGGGTGTGGAGAAACAACCATAGTTTACAATGCATTTAGGAGCTTTCTTATGTATTCATGGATTTTCCCATTATGTTATTTCTGGAAGACTCATTTTATCATTCTTAACTTCAGTAGAGTCTTCTTCATATCCTAGTTAAAATTGTGCTCTGTGTATAAGGATGGTTTATATATACCCCTTGATAATGAAATCTCAGTGTTTTTTCCTCTTATGATGGTAGTGATTCTATCTTCTGGTACTTTGTAAACATAATGACTGTAAATTCCTTGGAGAGAGAAATTTAAAAAAATAAAAAATGAACACATATGGTTGTGATTAAACATCACATATTCCAGTTATTATGAATTCTACCAAATATATGGTTAGATGATATTCTCTCCACCCCACTGAGTTATTTTACCACAATATTAGATCTGTTTTCCATTTTCCTAGGGTTTTTGTTTTTACAGAATTTACTTACCAGTGTACAATTTTTATTTAAGAAATTCAGTGTTATCGTTGAAATCTACTGAATTTTCTTCTGAACTCTAAACTCACGTTTTAAAAGTTGCTAAAATAAAATGTTTTAGATAGATTTTCTAAAATAATTAGAGCTAATTACACACTTTAATAAAGATTCTAAAATGTGATGAATACATTTTCTTAATTTCTTTGCATTATAATACTCACATACGCTGTTCTCAATCTGCAACCAAAATATAAAACTCTGAATAACTGTCTTTATAAAAATCATAAAGAACAGTGATATGACTTGAAATTATAACATTACTGAAGAAATAGCATTAGCCTCTAGGCTTGCTTGGAGTAGAGATGGTTTCATCATGGATAATGAAGTTTTCTAGGTCTTGTATCACCTCTTCACTGTTTCCTCTAAGCTTTTCATTACTCCTCTGACTGTATGTTTAGGAACATTTATACATCTATAAGTTTTAGAAGTATTAATCTTCTAAATTATCCCAGGATTTTAAAATTAATTTTAATTGCTCTTCTTTGAAGAATTTACAATAGCAATGCAAACATCTACATCTTCGTAAAACTAGATTTATTGTTAAGTGTTTGGCTGTCAGTTTGACATAAAAACTTTCTGTAATAAATGCTCTCTAAAACATGAATCTGTTGGGAGTTTTCTTAAGTACAATGAATTATAAACAATAGCCTCAAATTATGCTACAATCCAAAGAAGAGATGGTTTGAATTTTCCAGTGATACAATACACATATTTGGTTACAACCTTATAGGATTCTGCTATAATAATATGTTCAAAGAATAAAGGTATTTTAATAAATACCTTTATTATTTTATTATTAATACCTTTATTATATTAATTATACCTTTATTATAAAGGTATTCTAATAAATACCTTCATACCTTTATTATTTATAAAGGTAGTTATTAAAATAGGTAAAATTTGATTTTTCTATTTCTTTCGTAATTACTAAGAGGCAGTGGTACTTAGTACTGATTGTTACTCAAAGAATGTCTTACATGCCTAAATCAACATAAAAAAGTGTCAAAAATATAACTACTATTCACTTTCATCTTCTCAGTATCATGTTAAAATAGCATAAACAGTTCTTACAGTTTTCTGCTCAAGGATCGTCGGGCACACTTGTTGATCTAAGCAAAACAACATGAGGAGTTAGCATGAAGCAGTGATCTAGCAATTAGAAGATAGAGATTTAATTTTTGCCAACATCACTTGTTCATTTTGTCACTTGGGCATTACTCTGTCTCTACCAACGTGGAATTTTTACTTCCACAATTGTCTTGTTTACTAGAATGTGTTCACAGGATCTTCAGAAAATATTAAAATATGATAGCTGGTAATGGTAAACCTTGCGTTTTACCTATTGACTACAGAAAGTGCTGTATGATTGAGTAAATGAAAGGTTTTGAAATTGTGAATAAGGCTGTTTTTTGTTTTCTCCTATCACTATTCAGTACATTATTCTTTGTTTAATGATGGGTTGAACCCAGAGGATAACATACTGCTGTACACATCTATATATTTCTCTGTTGCATTTACTACTTAAAGCAGTTTATTATTCACCTTTGCAACATTTCCTAATGTTTTTCAATGTTTATTGGCAATAGCAAATATGAAGTTAAATATATTGTTACTTCTCCTGTATTGTAAGGTTATTCCAAAGTTGCCTTTCTCTAATAATAAGACCCTGGAAACTTGTACATTTTAAATTTCACTTATCTCCAGATGTACCTTAATTATTGCATGTCTCATGAGTAGATTTTATTTGTTTATTTATTTGTTTATCACATTGCTCCATGGCAGACAAAATTGCATCCTAAATGGACTGCAAAAGTAATGCTTGTTCTCAAAACAAGAACTGAGCCCATACTTGATGAATATAACTGGCTTTTTCAGAAATAAAATAATTTTAAGGGTAAGTTGCTGGGAAAGCCCTTAAACTTAGCACGTCTCAGAAATTTGGCCCATGTTTTAAAAAAAAGTGTATTCACCTTAGAGTTTGAAAATATTTTAATCTATTAAATTAATGATCTACAGAATTTTTAAAAAAGAAATAGCTCTGTTATTTTGCCCTGTTTTATATCAAGCAATTCTTCAGTCTTACTTTACACTATCAGTTTATCAAGAGAGCGGTTTCATCTTTTCAATTGATCTCAATTGTTACTTTTTAAAAAAATATCAGCTTTGTATTCATTGATTTTTTTTAACTTTTAGGTTCAGGGGTCCATGTAGAGTGTTGTTATATAGGTAAATTGGGTGTTGCAGGGATTTGGTATACAGATTGTTTCATCACCCAGGTAATAAGCACAGTACCTGAGAGGGAGTTTTTCAGTCCTCGACCTCCTCCCACCCTCCACCCTCAAGTAGGCCCCAGTGTCTATTGTTCTCTTCTTTGTATCCATGTGTACTCAGTGTTTAGTTCCCACTTGCAAGGGAGAACATTTGGTATTTAGTTTTCTGTTCCTGCGTTAATTAGCTTAGGATATTGGCCTCCAGCTCCACCCATGTTGTTGCAAAATACATGATTTCGTTTTTGTTTGTTTGCTTTTTCATGGCTGCATAACATTCCATACTGTATATGAACCACATTTTCTTTATCCAGTCTTCTGTTGATGGGCATCCAGTTGATTCCATGTTTTTGCTATTGTGAATAGTGCTGTGAGGAACATAGGTGTGCATGTGTCTTTATGATAGAACAATCTATATTCCTTTGGGTATATATCACAATAATGAGATTGCTGGGTTGAATGGTAGTTGTATTTTAAGTTCTTTGAATAATCACCATACTGCTTTCCACAGCGGCTGAACTAATTTATATTCCCACCAGCAGTGTATAAAAGTTTCTTTTTTTTCTTCTTTTTTGCAGCCTCCCCAGCATCTGTTATTTTTTTACTTTTTAATGATAGCCATTCTGACTGGCATGACATAGTATCTTTTGTTGTGGTTCTGATTTGAATTTCTGTAATGATTAGTGATGTTGAGCAATTTTTCATATGCTTCTTGGCCACGTGTATGTCTTCTTTTGAAAAGTGTCTGTTCATGTCCTTTGCCCACTTTTTAATGGGATTGTTTGTTTGTTTTTCTTGTAAATTTGTTTAAATTCTTTACAGATGCTGGAATATTAGACCTCTGTCAGATGCGTAGTTTGCAAATATGTCTCCCAGTCTGCTTACTCTGTTTATAGTTTCTTTTGCTGTGTGAAAACTCTTTAGCTTAATTAGGTCCCATTTGATCAATTCTTAAATTTTTATAGGAATTTATTATTTTCACAACAGCAGGGGAGAGCCATTCTTGACAAAAATGCAACTGTCTGATGTTTATTGGAATAAGCATGTATTTCTGATATGGTGTGTTTTGGTATCTAAGAAAAAGAATCACTCTTCTGACTCTTTTTCCTTTTCTTGTGTTTTTGCTAACTTTTGACTTTGAAATACAGTGTATTTTCTCATTTTAAAATCAGTTTTGGAGTTTATTTACTGACCATTGATACCCATACGCAGAAATAATAGCACGTTATAAGAAAATTCAGCACCTAGTGAAAAAATCAGGAAATCTTCCTGGAATGTCAATACAGGAAACTCAAAAATAGTTAGATCCTGTAGAGGCATATTTTCCCTTTTCCAAACTGTCTGAGAGAGGATTTCATTTTGTATGCATAGAACAAAGTCTAGTGTATACATTAAGAGAACTTTATGACAACAGGGAATCTTTGTGGACTTGAAAAATCAATAAAATATTTATAAGAAAATATAGCTACTGAGTACATACAATCCCTGGTTATCATCTCATGTTATGGGTGATGGCTTCAGCTAACTTCAAGTTGCAAAATATAATTTATTACTATAAAATCACCCTTACTACAAAGCTGAGCTCTTTCAAGTTGATACAGGTTATTGCCCTGCAAGGAGGTAATGCCCGTCCCCACTCAGAGCTCAAACAGTTAACATTCAGCACTTGGGACCAATTTGGCTGACATGAAAGAACACCTGGCGCAGTAATGGCTCTTTACTGGTGATCTGTATATCACTACACTGAAGTTATAGAATGCCAGAAGTGCTTCAGATGTGAATTTATTTTGTTACTGGGCTTAATGCACCAACTTGAATTTTTAGATGAGTCACTTTTCTGTCAAATAAATTTGTCTTTTGATCATCAAGCACTTTAAAATAATGCTGATAAATAGGCAATGGATAAAAATGTGTCCGTTTGATCAGAGGTTTTCTTTCTTCCACTTATGCTGGAACCACTAAGATTGAATAATATTTCAAATCCATCTTGAAATGAAACAGGTATAGATAAATATGAATTATATAGGCTAGATAGAGCAACTGACCTTGGTTTTACATGGCTGGGTTCCCATACCTGTCATGCCTGGACATGCAGAACACTGGTCACAGTTAGTCTTTGCAAAGGATGCCCCTCTGTGCCTAGATCATGCGTAGTGGACACAGTATTTTAGAAAGCAATGGCACTCACATGAGATGGAAAGATGGAGTTTGGTTAAACTATCACTGAGTGCACAATTGGCACCACAGCCCATGGGGTCACTGGTACAGGTGGATTCAAAGCAAGTGAGGAGTTTGATTAAACCAACATTCTTAAATCGCATAAAGTTTTTGTAGTCAGTTAACTGAATAAATCATACTCTTACCTGCTTTGAATTTATGACTTTTCCCCTAATGACATTTAAGAGCTAGAATTCACTTAAGAGTTCCTCTAGTCCAAACTCCTTACAGTATAGGAGAAAACTAAATTTCCAATTCATCAAGGGGAGATAGTAAGCTACATAGCATAGTAGTGGGTGTCAAACTATATCTAAAATAAAAGTATAAAAATTTCCTTTGCAGTGATCCCTTTCCAAAATTCTATTCAAGTTCTCTTTACCTTATTAATGTGTTGGCAGCCACCTTTCACCTGATGATTATAAGAAACATCATAGGGAAGTGACCTTACAATTATGGAGTTCTGGTTTTAGTCTCTCTTCAAGTCCATTCTGCTGTAGGGATTGCACAGTTTTGATCCTGGCTTGTTAACCTCATTAGCATTGATTCTCAACACCTGTGCCTGTGGTTAGTTGGGGACCTAAGGTGCATGACTTCTTTGTACCAGGGACCACCACCAAAAACCATTTCTCTCATGACCCAATGGAATACGTGGAACCAGTGAATCTGGAATCAAGTGTGAATGTTGGACAGGATATTATAAATATTTTGTGCAGTCTACATTTTATGATATTTCATGCAATAGAGGTTTGGACAACAGGCAAAGGAAAAGCAAATGAAGCTATTTTCTTTTGTCTCTTTCTTTTTTTTGTACTGAAGTTGATGGGGTTTTATTTGCTTTCCTAATGAGATGGTGATTTACATGTTTTGGAGAACTGCTATCTCTGTGCCCTCTGTGCATGGTTTTAGCCTTGCAAACCTGAATCAGAGGCATGTGTGAGTCCAGAGCAGATGTGTGCAGCTGGGCAAACCTCTTTGCCATTGCTCTTCCTTGGAACGATAATCCACATGCTGAGATTTCACATGAGTTTAATACACATTTTCTTGATTAATGGAAAATGGCAGAGTGTAGGAGACTGAAACAGTTCGTGCTTTGCTTGATTAATTAATAAGGGACTCTCTTTTCCCAGCTTCGACTCATTATGCTAATGAAGTGTCATCAATTAAGGCTTTCCCTTGATTATTGAATCTGTCAGGTAGTGCTCAGTGAAAATGTTGCATTCCTTTGCTGTCTGGGTGGAATTGCCATTACAGCTTTTTATGAACTGCTCCTGCCATTAGCTGCTGTTTGTTCTATTTTCTCATTATTGTATCTTTTTCTTGACCTTGAGAGAAGTGACTGTGGAAAGCCTGGAATGAACTGAAAGATGTTATATCTGGGAGTACAAGTTGAGAAAATATGTCAACAGAAAGATATACACCATTCTTCATTCAGAAACCACTGGTAATTATTAATGATAGAGTAAAAAATGAATCAAAAGAATGTGTTGAAATTTCTGAAGTAAGTCTTTGGCATTGTCATTAGATTAGATAAGTAGTTCAGAAATAAATTATCATTAACCATTTGTCATCCTGCTCTTCACGTTGTATTTTAAGAGGAAGAATTTTTCCTAAGGGAAATATTCTGTGAACAAAAGAGTGCATATTAAAATGTGTTTTTTTTTTCTTCAGGTAAAGTTTTCCTTTTAAAAAAAAAACAAAAGCAAATATTACTTGGATATGGAACCAAGTAAAGATGACAGAAATGTAAAAATAGTAGAACATAACCTAGGAAAGCTTGTGGGTTAGGCTTAGTAAACAAAATTTTTGTATGTCTTAGTAGCCTTTTCTCCCCGACACTGAAGATGAGGCTTTGAGTATGAACCAGCCGAGCAACAGGAGTCAGCTCCTGTTGCTTAATACACCCATTAGGGGACATCTTACTTTAGGATTAAGGTGGTACTCGTTAGTGAGAGACTCTAAAGCCGTTTTAAAAAGTTGTGTGTAGTAGAATACCGGAGTAAGACACTTACAATCACCCATCCCGTTCCCATTTTTGTAACTGACATCTTAGGGGAGCAATAATAATGAATTAATTTATTTTTTTTCTTTACCTAAAGAACAAAATAGTTTTATATTTTTATGGTATATCCCTGGCCCTAAAATAATTATTTTAAACTAATGGTGTCATCTGTTTAATTAATCCATCAATGACTCAGTTTCCCTAACTGGAATGAGAATATAATGTTTATTCATGACTACTCTTCTGAATATTTCGGATATAAATCAATGAAAAAGTAAATGGGATACTCTACTTTCTTTTAGGGGAAAAAAATTACACTGTTTTGCTTGGTTTAAACTGCAAAATAAAATGATGTTTTTAGAGAGGGGATTTTACATCCAACTGATTAATTTCAATTATTTCTGGTAAAATAGACTTTAGGGTGTGAATATATATGAAGTTTGCAGATCAATAAATACAGTTATTTTTTAGATGGACAATGATATGTGTTTAATTCATAACCAAGGGTTTTTAAAAAATATATAAAAGGAAATAGAATACAATCAGTTTAACAAACATGGCTTGAAAGTCAACATTTTGCCCATTCTCATGCCATCATTCCTCTAATAAACTTTATTATTGGTAGGAATTGAGCATGAGGAGACGCAGCCTTTATAAGTATGTAAATACACCAATGCTGGAGTCAAAGAGCCTGAGCATGAATCTTAACTCTCTCCCCTTTACTAGTTTTGTGAACATGAACAATTTACTTAACTGTGATATGCTTCACTTTTCTCTATCATAACGAAAGGAGTACCTGCCTCATTCAGTTGTGTACTAAATGAGTTAATAAATGTAAAGCTTCTAGAAGCATATTAGTACAGATTAAATGCTATAAAAAACATTTGGGAAATATATTTTACTGACAAATCTTACTAAATTTTAGGATCACATAGATAGGTGTTCAGAATCTATCTCTATGGACATCGTTATTATTTTATTTTTCCATTTTTGGATCTTGAGTAATGAGATGATATTTAAGCCTCAATTTTCTTTCTTTTTTTTTTTTTTAATTGATTTTTTGAGACAGAGTCTTGCTTTGTCGCTAGGCTGGAGTGCAGTGGTGTGATCTCGGATCACTGCAATCTCCACCTCCCAGGTTCAAGCGATTACCCAGCCTCAGCCTCCCGAGTAGCTGGGACTACAGGCACGCACAACAACGCCCAGCTAATTTTTTGTATTTTAGTAGAGACGGGGTTTCACCATGTTGACCAGAATGGAGTTGATCTCCTGACCTTGTGATCAGCCCGCCTTGGCCCCGCAAAGTGCTGGGATTACAGGCGTGAGCCACTGCGCTCAGCCATCTCAATTTTCGTATCTGTAAAATAGGCATAATGATAGAATCTACCATATTTTGTTTTACAAGGATTAAGTTCTGATACATAATCAGTACTTAATAAATGTAATTATTATCTCCAATTTTTGTTTACACATTGAACATCGTTGCCACATCAAAATAGTTTATTTTTCTTTCTTAAATTCAGTATATAATAAAATCATTTTCTTACAAATGCTTCAGCTAGAAACAGGTAATGTCATATACTCTAAGATTTGGTTTTAAAAATACATTATTGGGCATATACTTTGCAGTCTAATGTTCTCTTCTCTTGCCACAGCAAAACCCTGAATTATATCAGAAAAGCAAACATAACAACCTTAATAGAAATGGATTATATAGAAACAGAAAATCCCTCCTACTGTTAAAATATATTAGTTTTCTTAAAAAGGAAAGTAATATTTACTTTTGACTGACATAATTATAGCTAAGGCACAGAGTATCATAATTTCAAGTTTTATTGAAACTCAAAAGTTTACTCCATTTTCTACTAGGTTTTTTTTTCTTTTTTTCTTTTTTTTTTTTTTTGCCAAAATAAACATTACTCTTTCAAGCAAAATATAAAAACTTTGATCCTAATTTAAAAGTCTTTTTCAGTATAATCATCATCATCATTATCATCATCATTATCTTCATGATCATCACAACACATATATGTGAAGTGATTTGGGTAATATGTATTCATTCAAATAACTGAACAAAGAAGTCTTTTCTCTCAATGTATAAAATGCAAATTACGAAATGACTGTAAAATTAGAGGCTACTGTTGCTCTGTACTTAGAATTTATTTTACTTTTACTATTCTTTTTCTTCACCTACTTTTGTATTTTCATAACATACTTAGTTTTTTATGAATTATGCAACCACTTTTGAGAAATTCAAAAGCAAAGTAGACACTTGCCCACCTGCCCCTTTTACCTGGGCACATAGCTAAGCCTATATTCTCAAATTCCTCTGAAGATTGCTGTAACCATGTGACCAAGCATTCACCAGTGGAATGACAGAGAGGGTAGTATGCACATTTCTGGGTCTATAATATAAAAATCACTCATTAGCACTCCTTCACACTGCTTTTCCTTCCTTCCGTCTTAAATAGAAACCCCCAGAGTGCCTCAAGCTTGATCATTGACCTGAAATTTCACAGACAGTTACATGAGAATGCTATTGTCTTGAAGTATTATATGTTTAGTTCTATCGTCCGTAGCCCAGCTCACCAAAACTAGTAGAAGAAACATAATATTGAAATGGAGTGCTGACTTAAAAAAAAACATGTGCTATAACATAAGCAATTTTTGCTCTAACAGCAACAACAACAAATTGGAGACTATGTAATATACACAGCAAGTTGCAAAGATGTACATTTGGGCTATGTTTGGAATGTTTGGAGGCAAAGCATTTTGGAAAGTCATCCGTAGTTACTTGGAAAGCAGACCAAGTGGCCCCTGAACATTTAGCTAAGGGAAAAGTTGAAAAAAGTAAAAATATTAAGAAATATGTGACTATTATTTGCTGCACTGAGCCATGAATTATAAGAAAGAGCTGAGCTTAGGCAAGATTTAACAGGTTTTAAACAAAGATTGAAGGGAAAAGAGAAATCCAGAGATTAAAGCATCATAGGGCTGGAAAACCGAACTACTCTGAGCCCTGAATAAGGGGAGATAAGACTGGAAAATGCTCTGAGAACCAAAGGCATATTAAGATAGTATAATCAAAGGGCTTCGGTTTGTGCAAAAATCAGCTTAAGATGTCTTGTCTTCTCATCCAGTCCTATTGTTTTATACGTTCTTAAAGGGAAAAGAGAAAGAGAGGACAAACATATGTGGAGGGAGAGGAAGAGCGAAGAAAGCCAACTTGATAGAGTCAAAAATGATATCTAGGAAAAATATTTGGCAGCATTTATTAGAGCATAGAAGTAACTTGAATATGGAATTTATCTGAAATATGTACATTTTTAATGGAGTTGTATGCTTCAGCCCATAAAGTTATTAACAATTCAGAAATTTGAGTGATGTGGATATGAAAAATTTAGTATTATTTTACAAATTTCTGTAAGTCTGTTGTTAAATTAAAAGTTAAAAAAGCCTCCCATCCCCAGTAAAGAGCAAGAATATGGACATAGGGTGTGTAATAATAGATACTGGAAACTTGAAAGAGTAGAAAGTTATTTAATGTGTACAATGTCAATTATTTCCATGATGGTTATACTAAAAGCCCAAACTTCACCACTAGGAAATATATCCACCTAACAAAACTGCACTTGCACCTCTTAGATTTATACAAATGAAAAAAATAAAAATTTTAAAAAGAGCAAGAATAATAGAACAACAGCAAAAGTGTGTGTGTATGTATGTGACATATAGGAGAGCATGTGTGTGTATGAGAGAGAATGTGGCATAAAAAAAAGCCTGAGGTCACAGGAATTTCACCAGCAGGAACATGGCTGTCCAAATCATGAAGTTTCTAAGTAGGGCATTCTCCATGTCCCTGGGAAGTGGCTTTCCATGGTGCTTGTTTTGCAGGATTTGTCCTGCCAAGATCTAGGAACTGAACTGTTCTATATCTCCTTTTCCCCTTTCATGAATATGAGTTTTCATCTTGCTCTTGCTGTGATGCTGAGCATGGTGGGAGAGATTCCATATCTTCTCTTTCGATTCATAGGTCATTAGAACAAGCAGAACAAAATTTAAACCTAATGGACTTTGAGCTGACTTCTGTAACTGGAGGGTAGCTAGGTTGTCTCACTTGGCTAGGACTAAGTGTTTTCTCAATGGAAAAAGTTGCACACTCGGGTGAAGGGGCCAACTTATTTGATGGCTATTTGCAGTTCTCTCAGGAACAGATTCTTCTTTTTCCTGGACTACATTTTCCAGTTTTCCTTTCAGATAAATATGTGCATATGACTGTACTCCCTTTTAGCAAATAATGGGCCTCCCCTTGCCTTGATCTCCTAAATGCAGTCCTTTGTGCTCATTTCCCCTTCTGACTGACTTAGAGTATGATCCCCAGGGAAATCATGCAAACTGCACACTGACATTAGAGAAGTTGCCCTCAGCCTTGATACTCACATGATTTTGTGAAGTAGACGATCCCTGTATATTTGTGAAGTAGATCGATCCCTGTATATTTGGAAATTCCCTGTACTACACAATTTCATTGTGTTGATCTATTATATATTTGTCCAGTTGTTTTCCTAGCCTATCCTACGCTAATGAGCACAAAGGATAAAATCCAATTGGAATTGTAAGGATCTAAGAAATTTATTAATCTAAATTTGTATAAATCAAATTGGTTTAGGGGTTATTTAAAAACCTCAACTTACCTACAAAATATTTCCAAATTTATGTAGTAAGTGAAAGATAAAATTAGGCTAAAACACCATTAGAAATGATAGGTGGTCTATATTTCCTAACACTGTACTGATGGCACTTAAAATTATGTTGAATTTATCTTTGTCCTAATGTTAAAAAGCAAAATAAATGGTGAAAAGTCTCCTCAAATCATTTTGTGACTATATCTAGACTGGGCGGACAACACTATTACTACTTGTCACCTTGCTATTATATTCTATAATACTAAAGTGTTAGAAAAATGTCTGTCATCATGTCATTTGAAAATAAAATTTTTACCATTGATTCTTTATATCTCTGAAAGCAGAATTTTGTTACAGTGATTCTGAATGTTTATTAGCAAAATATTTTTGCAAACCAAAAAAAGAAAGAAGAGTTTACTATTCACATTTACTTCAATAGAAACATTTTTCCTTTATAAACCTCATTATAGAAAATCAGTAATTTGGAAATTAAGTGAGTGTATCTAAATATTGGATGTTATTCTAATATAGAAATAAAAACATTTAAAATTAATAGTTTCGTGTCAACAGCACAAACTGTAATTTGAATTTCTGATATGTTAGCACTGTTTTTAGTTTCATGGAAACTCTTTACATTTATTTTACTTTTGGGTGATCTAAATTGCAGTCTCAGGTGCTGATTTTTTTGTTGTTGTTTTTTAACTCATTTTGTTTTTCTTGATACATCCAGGAAATTGAAAAGTAAAGTAGGAAACATAATGTCCTGATAAAAAAACAACAGGGCTTCTTGTGCTGAGGTAAGTGCAAGCAGTAATTCTGCATTGCAGTTATTACTACGAAATCAATAAGTATAGAACTAGAAAACAAATGTGTCTCTCTGGAGGTTTAATCAACCAGCAATCTCCAATAGTGCCCTTCTGTGAACATAGTGTCGTTTTTATGAAGAATTTATTAACTTACGCTTTATTTTTGAATCAGGGCATGCAATTGCAATGTCATTATTTAATGGTTAGACAATACTCTGTTGATTTATGTGTGGATCATGTTTTAAAGGCACATTCAGGAACGGGAGGACAAAATGGAGAATGGGCCGAATTCTCTTCAAATAAAATACGTAGTAAGGTTTAAATTTGTGCTCTTACTCTTTTAAACAATGATAAGATGACAGATTATGTAGTAAAATGCATGTCCTACAGGTTTACAACGTGTTCTTGTTTAAGTAATAAAACTAATACATGTTTATTATACAGAGTAAAAAGAAGAAAATAAACTTTACCCATAATTCTACCAGAAAATAGTTACTTTTCTGTGTAACTACTTCCAATCTATTTACCCATCATCATCATCTGTCTATCTCTGTCATCTGTCCATTCAGACTCTTTTAGCTTGTTTGCATGTGTACATGTGATATATGTATTTCTTTGTTCTTTTAATTTTTGCCAAATTGCATTATACCATTTATGAAATTTTATTTTCTCCTTTTTGCACTTTACATGTATTTTTAGCATTTTCCATATCGTTAAATATGCTTCTAAAATAAAACTTTAGATAGCCACATGGAATTCTTTATTTAGATGTACTATTTATTCATTTATTTATAGTCAGACATTTGCGATTTCCAATTTTGCATCTAATTAACATCTTTTCTGCAAACATCTTAATATCTCTTATTCACAATTCCTGAGCTCAGGTTTTATTATTTTATTATTGTAGGTTTTTAGAGATATAATTTCCTGCTCACAAAGAGGAAGTTCTTTGAAAGGCTTTTGCATTAACTGCCAAACGGTTTTAGAATAGGTATACTAATATATATTCCAAGTGTGTGCAGGAGGATCTGCTTACTAGCCAACCTTAAGCATTATTTTTATTAAAATATTTGATATTTGACTAAATTGTATTTTATTACTCTTTAAATTTCAACTCAGATAACATTTATTATATATCTTTATTTGGTTAGTTGTCAATTGCATTTCATTTTTACAATGTATATTTTTAATATAAATGATGCAAACCATGATACTTACAAATGGAGGTAACACTAGATATTTTTTCCTTGTTTCTGAATTTAACAGACCTGCCCTTACATTTTAACTATAAAGTGTGGTATTGAATAAAATCATAACATAGCCTTTAATTGAAGAACAAAGGGAACATAATGTGCTTATTTTTCACATTATTTTTTCCTTGTAGTTCTGCTTTGCCATGTCACTGCATCATTTGTTTCAAAGGAAAATGGTTCAAAAGAATCATTTATGTAGAACTGAAATTATCTTTTTCTGTAATATACAACCATATGAAGCAAATTGCCATTAGGAATATTTTTCCTCACTAAAAAATATGTCTTTGGTTTAATATAATAAAAATCATCTAAGTTAGACCTCAATAAACGAGGGTGTGGATTTAATTACTTGTGTACAAGATGGACCATATTAAACATTTTATCATCAGTTTTTAAAGGTCTAGATATGCAAATTGTTGTGAATTTTAAAGCAAGTAATTCTTAATCTACCTAAGATAAACTATTTTTAAGAATTTTAAAAATATGATTTATATGCAAATATATTATGTGCTAAGTTCCGCTGTTTCTTGTCTGCATAACAAGCAGGCTTGACAAAAGAGGGCTACTCAGCAATACTGTTGGCTGCTGGTTTGGTGTTATGCTATTGATTTTACTTCTAGATCAATTATGCTTTAAAAAAATGATGTAACATATCCAAGTAAGTATTACTGCCTTCAATATTGTAACTCTGAAAGTTTCTATTCTGATTTTAATGATACTATCACTATTTAAACCCTATGTAAATATTCTCCTTTGGAAATATTTTAACGCCCTCTACAATACTCTAAATATTTTAGCTAGTTGCAACTTATTATTCATTTTGCAAACACAAAACCTGTGGAACCAAGTAGTGTGTAGGGATATATGCACTATACAGTGTTGATCCAACACTGCTTCACAAAAAGCGCCATGTGAGCAAATGATTTATTGATAAAGCACGTTGTCATTGAGCATTCACATACGCTTCGTTAATTTGAATCAAATATAATCTTTCAAGTTTCTCAGATTTTAAACATAATAAACTTGATTGATCATTTGACATTTTAAAATCAATATTGAATGACCACTATCAATTATTTAAAGTCTTTGTCTCAGGTTTTGACATATAATCACTTTTACATCTTGAAAATGAGAGAGTATTCCATGACATGCCAAAATTTTTTTCAAACGCATTTAATTATTATTATTATTATTATTTTTATCTAGCATGTCTTGAGCTTTGAAGTTTCTGCTCTGCACTCAAAACATATATGTCACCATCTTAGAAGAAACTTTGTTCTTATTCAATTATTTTTCACATCAAAATTATTTCCATACTTAATCAGAATTCAGATTTTAATTCCATATATTAAATGTTGGACATTTTAAACAATGTCTTTGTCCCTGTAAACTTATTCCTTTGTTTGTTGTTGTTGTTGTTAGTTATTATTCCAATAGCCACCAACTCTATTCAGATTCACATCATTTTACAAGGTCTATCACAATATTCATATATACAGTACCAGATAAACACTCACTGAATAAAATTCCAATATTATAAAGTGAAATTGAGACTTCTCCCTCTTTGAAATGCTTTCTTCCTAATCCTACCCCATATCTGCTACCTTTTCATTAAAGAGGCCTCTGCTTTACTCAACTTTCCCTCTTCAGTTAATTATTCCCTATAATAAAATGCATTCCATTTTTTGTGTTCATGCAGTCTCAAAGAAGACTCTCCATCTCATCTTTCACTTCCCCATATTTACATCATATCTTTTCTGTTAAACTTAGGTAAAAAATAAAACTGAGCACCGTTTGAAAAGTGAAATAAAATAAAATAGGGTTTAACTCTTGATCTAGTGTATGTGAAACTATTTTGTTATAACTGAAGAGTTATGTAATTGAGTGGCTTTGGCAGCAATATTAAAAATTTACTAATTTTAAAAATGATGACATTAATTACCAGTTAATTATGATTACCTGCTCAGACATATAAGCAGGATTAAACGTTCAACAAGTGGCCTTAGGAATGCACAGATTGGAAATTCTTGTTATTCAGTAACCCGTTGCCTTACTTAGATGGGGTACCCCGTGATATGATTGGGAAGATAAATCCATACTATGAAGACAGGGCAGAGCAAATATTTAAATTGTTGCACCATTATTTTCGTGAACTTGACCCTAATAAAATGGTTGGTACTAACATATATAAAAGATGAAATCCTCAAAAGCCATTGATAATCTTGATAATACTACAGGAGTGAAATCTTTAGTTAGAGAAGGGGTTAAAGTTATCTCCCTTGAACAACCATTAAAATATCTGTGTTTTCTAAAACTGCTTCGTAGTCACAGTTGTTTTTTCCTCTTTCATCCTTCACTTCTTTCTTGGGGGATTTTATCTATGCCTAAGAATAAATAAGCTCTGCCTAAATATTGTTGACTTAAAGCTCATCTCTAGAGCCAGATTTTCTTGAGAACTGTATACTCTTTTTTTTTTTAATCAAACTTTCTACTAGATATCTCCACATGATTGTTCCACAAACAACTTCATGTCAGTACGTCTAAAACTCAGCATCATTTTTCTTTCAAAATGTCTTCTTTTGTCATGGCCTCTGTCCCAGTCTAGATCCTTAGTTTATCTGTTATCCATTTCTCACCGGGATTATTACAATTGTTTCTCAACTGGTTGTCCTGTTTCTTGCCCACTAACCAATTTAATATCTCTACGGAGCTAGGTTTCTGATTCCCACATGAAATTATGCCATTTCTGTGCTTTGATTGCTTAAGTAGCCCCTTATCCTAATGTGATAAATTATAAATTCATGACACTCTGGAAGACTACCTTTACTAGGAACTCGATACTCTCACCTTACCAAAATACCACTCTGCTCTAAACGTTCCAGCTTTCTCATGCCATTTGGCTTCTGCACATACCTTTCTCCATGACTGAAGAACTCCCCAACTCTTGTCTGACTAATAATTTGATAAACATTTGTTAAGTCTCAGTCACGACTCATCAGTAAAGTCATCTCTCACTCCTCAAGGTACACTTCTGTTTCCCTTCTGCCATGCACCAAATGAATCTGCTACCGTTAAGTTGCACTTTATAGCAATGACTATCTTATATGTTAATTTATTAATTATCTTCCCATTAGAGTATAAGCTCCCTTGAAGTAAAGGAGCATGTTTTGCTATCTTTTGTTTTTATCATTAAGCATAATGTTTAGCCTATGAAAGACTCTAGTGCAATAATATCCAGTCTCTTTGGGGGGACCACAGTAGTGTTGGATATTCAGATATATTCAGATCTGTGGTGTACTCCAGTGCACCCATCACACTTTCAACTTTAGAAATGACCCATTTATCTGCTTTACATGTCGCTTTATAGAGAATATAATTAAAGGCAAAAGTTTTTACATGAAACAGATTTTTCCGTGAATCCTTCTCTAATATTTTGTAATTAATTAACTTTAGGCAAGTTACTGAATATTGAGTCTTTAAAATCAGAGTCAACACCTATACACTGAAGAATTGTGTTGCAATATCTGGAAATATTGGAGAAATTGATGCTTGCAGTAAATCTGAAAAGTCTTCACATTTAGCTGTGAAATTAATTCTTCAAAGCAGAGCTCAGAGAGATCTGAAAATACTATCATGAAGGTAAAGTGAGTTTGTACAAGGCTCTGCAAAATCCCCACATGTGACAGAACCATGCATCTTACAACTGCGACCTTCCAAAAATAATGTCTTCTGCTGCATTTTGCTTTTGCCCTCAGTAAACACTACAGCAGGTAATGATTCTTCAGCTAGTATTATAAAAATGTACTCTTGGTACATGACCACAAAATGAATCGTAGGATACACTGGCCAGAGGACCAAGATAATTGCTATTTGCTGGAATAACCTCCCCACTTCCAACCAAATTTGGGAATGTTTACTGGGTTATAGGAGAAACAAACAATTCCTCTAAGTAGAAAGTAAATAAAGAAGAAAACAGATAGATTAATACGCCATCAGTGACTTTTTTTTTCTTTTTCTTTTTTTTTTTTTTGAGATGGAATATTGCTCTGTTGCCCAGGCTGGAGTGCAGTGGCGCCATCTCTGCTCACTGCAACCTCCGCCTCCAGTGTTCAAATGATATTCCTGCCTCAGCCTCCCGAGGAGCTGGCATTACAGGCATGTGCCACCATGCCCGACTAATTTTTTGTATTTTTAGTAGAGGTGGGGTTTCACCATGTTGGCCAGGCTGGTCTCAAACTCCTGACCTCCGTTGATCCTCTCCCCTCGGCCTCCCAAAATGCTGGGATTGCAGGTGAGTCACCGGGCCCAGCCCCCCTTTCTTTTCATACATGGTATAAGAAACCGACAGACAAGCATTGCAAGTGTGGAGATCTATGTTGTCTTGCTGCTACCCAAGCCTGCCTCTTATGTAAGTTTCCCCTGAATAAATGTTTGACTACCTACCCACTGGAGTGGCCTGCCTCTTTATTTGCTCTGAGCTTGCCCTCCACTTACACAAGGCAGTTCTCAGTTTAGCAGGGAATTTTCCCAACAACTGGTGAGCTAGCCAGGAGCCCACCAAAGAAATAGGCCTGGGGAATAGAGACTCTGTGAGGGGAAATCCAGATTGGCTAGCTGCCTCCATGCTGGGACCAGTGACCCATATGTTTGATGCCTGTGGACCTTTGCATGAGTGCAGAATGCTCTAAAAAGGCCCCAAAGGGTAGTCACCCTATTTGAGGGATAAAAACAGATCATGGCAGTAAAGAAGTCAGTCACAGTCGGTGGCCCCTGTTGTGGGCAGTGCAAGAAACAACAGATACGTGGTTAGCACCAGAAGTGAAGATATGGAACTCATTGGAAAGTAAGACATGTATTTGATGAATTAAGCTATGAGATATAAACTTGTGTTTTGTTAAAGGAAAAAGAGTAATTTTTGCCCTAAAGTAGAATGACTTGTTTGAAAGTGATAATTTAATATTGAATACTAATTCAAGATGGAATTAATATTAGAAGAAACAAACAACTTTTATCTCTATTAGATGTTTAAGATCATAAAACTATGAGTTCAACCAAGGGACAAATGTGCATGTGGAAGTGCTGTGTCCATTACTTTTACATATCAAACAGAAATAAAACAAAAACAAAACCTCCAAAATCATGTATTTACTTCATTAGGTTCTTGCTTTCTCAATGACTGCTTAACATGAAACATGCTGTAAAAATAGTTAACAGGAAATAACTTGATGATGGCTAGTGTTGTTTTGCGTTACAATATGTCGACTTAAAAATAGCTCCCCACATCTCTTTGTTAGCTTACAGCCTTGGAGTTTTGCTAAGTTAAATTAAATAATGGATATTCATCAAATATCTAGATAGTTTCCAAAGAAGATAAAATACTAAAACATTAATTGCTGAGCATAAGTTTAATTTGACATACTTTTGGCATCTTACATGGTGTAGAAACGCTAAGTACTGTATTTTTGGGTCTGGTAATTAACATGAAAAATTGAACTTTGTGGAAGCATACATTTCTGGAAGTTATAAAATGATGTTAATCTACAGAATGCAAGTTCACGATTAGAATAAAATTCTAATTAACGTATGTTAATTAAAACTAGAAATAATAAGGGTGCTTTGTCTTGGGACACAGAGGCCAAGAGATAGAGACACACAAAAAAAACACGTGGGAATGAAAGTGTACGTTTAAAGAAATAATACAGTAAGTAAGAGAAAGATGTGAAGCAAGTAGAAACAACCCAAGAAAGACATTGGAAGAAAGAGGTGGGAGTACAGGAGCCAGGTCTGGATTATCAGTGTTAGGGAATCTTAGATAGGCCAGGCTTTTTGCTCTAGGTAGGGGCTATGGGAGGCTGGGTGACCAGAGGTACTATGGCTTGTGCTTAAAACCCCTGTGAGGCCAATGAGCTCATATTGGCTGCTGTTGTTGCATCCTTTCCTCTTCTATTCAAATATCAGGTTAAGGATGGGTTCCGAGCCTCACACTCACCAAAGACCAGTCTGCAGGATCAGTGGCAATGCCTACCCGTTGCCCCAGGAGGTTTCCCAGGGCATGCAACAGGGTCCTCAACACTATGCTTCACTGATCAAGTCAAATCAAGTAGCACTGGGAGGTGGAAAAAGCAAAATAAAACCAGAAAGACACAGCTCTGCAATCTGCCATGGAATAGTAGCCCATGACTTGACTCTGTTTTTCTCCCCTTCCCCACCTCCAGCATTGCATGGTCACGTTACATCGATGATATCATGTTAACCTCTGAAGATTTTTTTTTTTCTTGTACAGACCACTCTGACCTCAATGTCTGGCTGGGTGGACAAAATGTTGCCACAAGCTATTAGGCTTATAGATGAAAGCCCAGTGGGCCCTATTGCTCCATATGACAGGATAGATGAGCCATCGCTAAATGGCAAACATAGTATGGCAAACAAAGAAAGACATATTCTTGGCTCAGTCAGCCTCTACTAATTGCATTATGGCAATGCATACCTCTTGGGACATCCAGCCAGGAGACAGCCTGTTGTAGTGGAGACTGACTAGCACAGGAATACCCTGTCAGGCTGGATGGGATACTTTGTCTCACAGTGGAAGGAGGACTTCACCTTACTGACCTGGACTCCTGTCACACTGCTAGATTCTGAGCCTGAGGTAAGGAGACACTAATGCAAGGCCACTTGCATTTTGCATAAGGGAGAAGTAATCAGGCTCCTGATCTGGCATATAACAGTCCAGGAAGAGTAATCATGTAGGAGACACTCCTACCTCTCCCAGCAGGCAAGTATGATTTGCTTCTCCTGGGAAGCCTTCCCAGGCAGCTGCTGTTTTGACCACTTGGGACAAATCCTCCATCGTAATCATTGTTGGAGGAGACGATCTACCTTTACAAGCGCCTGCTGGAGTTTTACCTTTCAATCTCTAGCTTCCTCTTGTTGTATCACATGGCATCAAAGATAAATGATCCCACCCATTATAGGAACAGTTATCGTCACATTAGTTTAGAGATTGGGGAAATTGGTGGGAACATTTGTTAATATGCTTACTTCTTTTGCTTTGCGTTTTCTCCTGTGTGTGTCTCTATTGTTACTGTAGACTCATCATGCAATGTGGCACCAAGTTTGTGAATAATGCATCCACCCTCCCTATAAAACCCCTCAGGGAAGCCAGGTACTCTCATGGAAGAAGGGGCTTGTAAGAATATAAGGCCAGTCGGGAGGGGCGGCGTGTTGTGAAAATGTATTCTGGGTACATGACCACAAAGTGAGTTGTAGGATGCAGTCATCAGAAGACCAAATAACTGCTACTTCCTAGAACATCCCTTCCCTTACCCTCCATTCCCCACTTAGGAATGTTGACCAGATTGTGGGAAACCCAAACAATCCCTTTAAGTAGAAAGTACATAGATTAAGAAAGTAACCCTATGACTTATGATCATCAGTGACTTTTTTTTTAAATTTTGTCCCTTTCTCTTTTCTTTTCATGGTATAAAAGATTAGACAAGTATGCATTGCAAGCACACAGATTTACCTAGACATCACCCAATCCCACCTCATATGTAAGTTCCCAACTAAATAAATCTTTGACTACTTAACAATCTGAAGTGGTCTGCTTCTTTCTTTGTTCTGAGCTTGTACTCCGCCTACTGAGGGCGATTCTGAGTTCCAGGAGGACGTTTTCTCAGCAGTTAGCTAAGTGACCCAAATCCAGATTTTCATTTTTATAGAGTCCAAGTCATTAAGAGTCCTTTCTGGGCCATTAGCATTCTTACTTGTGTTAGTTATTACAGTTTTACATTAAATTTACCACATGACATCAGAGAACTAAAACACTCCTTGGAGAATCTCATGGGCTCCAGACACATTCCTTCCTGCCTGTTTTATATAGTTGTAACCCAACTTTCTCTTGATATTCAGAATCAATCACTACATCCAATACATAAAGAGACTCAACTGGGAACTTTTAGCCATCAGCACTCCCAGAAGATGAGGAAATGAATATTTCAGTCCCAAAGGAGTGGTCTGAGCACCACATAAAACATTTGTTCAGATTTTATAATGCCGTAATCCACTTATTTGATATCATAAGTTCTGTGAGCAGTTCTGCCATGATTCTTATTGGTCTCTTTTCCTGGAAAGTAACAGGAAGATTAGTGAGAAGAACTACAGCCCCTATTATTGTTCAGATTTTATAATGCTCTAATCTACTTATTTGATATCATGAGTTCTGTGAGCAGTTCTGCCATGATTCTTATTGGTCTCTTTTCCTGGAAAGTAAGAGGAAGGTTAGTGAGAAGAACTACAGCCCCTACTGCAGCTGGTCTCAAGGCTGAAATTGATACTTATTGTTTTACCATCTATTTGGGTGTATACCAAGACCTTATCCCTTGTAAGTCTGGTTAACCCACCCTTCTCAAGCCATAGCTATTGCACTTGTCCATTTACTTTCAAAAGCAGCCAAATTGATACCAAAATATATGCAAATAAAGATGTGGGTACCAAACACAATCTTTCTAGCCCCTATATCTAATAATAATACTTTCTCCTGATGACCAGGGTCAATTATTCCTTCCAGACTGATGATTCCTTTCCTTGTTTGCCTGTCTTTTCACATAAGAAGCCCTAAGTGGCCATATGATAGCATAGCTTGAAGTTTAGTGGGGCTTCTGCTACTGCCCTCAGGGAAACTTTGTCTCTGGGAACCAGGAACTCTAAACTCATATTGCCCAGATCATGCAGATGGAAAGTACAAATTCCCCAGAAAAAGGCCACAGAATTTGGAAGTGAGTGGAGCCCTTATTACTTTTGTCCTTCATGACCAAACCCATTTTTTAGTCTACCTATTGAAGATAGAAGCATAAAATGGTCATGAATTCAGTATAAATGCGGAGTCTTGAAAAATGTCTTCCCATCTTTGTAAGTTATTGTACCTAAGCTGGTGTCTCAGTTATACCTTTGAAAGGTAGTTTCATCACTCTTTCAGGCCAACAGCTTCTCAGTGGTGAGAAAGATAATAGGATTAAAAGGTCTTATGGTCATATGCCAAATCTCACACCTTCTTTGCTCTAATGTGGCATTAGGTTACATAGGGTCTTGGGTGATACTTCTCATCATCACTTCCAATAACCCACTTGTGTTGTGTTTTTCATTCTTATAACTTTAAGCTTAAGCTAATTAAAGTATCTTAGAGTGGTAAAAAGAAAGGACTAAATATATAGTAAGATATACTTCTACCAATGAAATGAAAAACATATATATTTTTATTACTCTTGAAAGTAAAATCATAGAGGTATCAGGCCTCAGTCCTCTTGGAAGGGACTTCCCAAGAAAGATATTTAGTGCAAATATTGTTTGAGACAACCATCATCAAGGTAGAAGTGTTACTATTGGCTATTACTAATTACTATTACAAATGCATATCTAGATTAATTATCTTCTTCAATTAGAACAAATTACTTCCCTGTTCATAATGAAAAGGACCCAGTGATTTCAACCTGCCATCAGCTGACTGGAAGATTCCTTACTGTTGGTGCCATGGGGAGCTCAGCATTGGTGTCTGCTTATAACAGAATATATTGTGGGGCATTCTACGTTGAATTCCTCAGTGAGGGGAATTGTCACTGATGAGGAGAATTCTATGTCGTTAACCTCTTCCATAACCAAAATTCCTACCACCATGCTATGTTCCACTTCAGTCCATTGATCTCCTGTTAAGTGGATATTATGTGACTGGTAAAAAAGTAGTCATGTATAAACCGCCTGATTTTGGAAAACCTCCTCTGCAGTGAATATTCTCTGGTGAATATTTACATGAGAAATAAATATATTCACAAGCTAAGCCCATTTTGAGAGATCTGCCTACATGGCCCTACTTTAGTCTTGCTAGTCTTAATGTTCCAAACATATTTTTCTCTGACTAAATGAAAAAAAAAAAAACATTAAACACTACCATAAAGCAATGTATTATACTTTTATTATTATTATTATACTTTAAGTTCTAGGGTACATGTGCACAACGTGCAGGTTTGTTACATATGTATACATGTGCCATGTTGGTGTGCTGCACCCATTAACTCATCATTTACATTAGGTATATCTCCTAATGCTATCCCTCCCCCCTCCCCCCACCCCATGACAGGCCCCAGTGCATGATGTTCCCCTTCCTGTGTCCAAGTGTTCTCATTGTTCAATTCCCAACTATGAGTGAGAATATGCAGTGTTTGGTTTTCTGTCCTTGTGATAGTTTGCTGAGAATGATGGTTTCCAGCTTCATCCATGTCCCCACAAAGGACATGAACTCATCCTTTTTTATGGCTGCATAGTATTCCATGGTATATTTGTGCCACATTTTCTTAATCCAGTCTATCATTGATGGACATTTAGGTTAGTTCCAAGTCTTTGCTATTGTGAATAGTGCCACAATAAACATACGTGTGCATGTGTCTTTATAGCAGTATGATTTATACTGCTTTGGGTATATACCCAATAATGTGATGTCTGGGTCAAATGGTATTTCTAGTTCTAGATCCTTGAGGAATCACCACATTGTCTCCCACAATACTTTTATTTAACCATCCCTACAGTAACAGTGGACAGTCAAAAATATTACTTCACATTTGTCTACCTTTATAATGCTCCTTCACTACTGTCCTTCCTAATCATATGAAACTTGTACTGTCACAGCATATTTTGTATAACCATCAATAAATCACATCTGATGTTTTTCCTTAGTCCATCAACCTGTCATAGGGAAGTCTTCACAAATCCATCAGTGTGAGTTGAAAGCAAGGTGGCAACACAGTGGAGTCTGAGCTATGTACAACTTTATCCTGTCCTCTGGAACTACTCAAGTTCTGTCTCATCTCTACTATGTTCTAATAATAGTTGATTGCTTCTATACACTCACGATTTTTTGTTCTGGTAGGACAGAAAGCAAGCAGTTTATGACAGATCGGCCATTTAAAAAAAACCCATAATCTATAATAAAATGATATTTCAATGTGGAATACTAAAGCATGACTGTGCTAGAAGACATAACAGCAGAGGCACTCTGTATGTGTCTGCTACAAATCTAAACTAATGCAGGTGTATTGTGTTAGTGACAAAAATTATGAGCAACATTTACATTGGCAAAAAAATTTTTCTGAAGTATCCAACAACTCTTACTACAGAGTGAAATAATGCACAGTCCTATCATTATTTATTTTTTTGTGTTTTGCTTTAGACGGTAAAAGATAGTTATGTCTGTTCCTAGTTTTTAACCTAAAGTTGACTCTTGAAGGCTGAAAAGAAGTTCAAAATATAGACAGTGCTTGAGTGCGAGAAGTTGAAGAAAAGAAAAGGAAAAACTGTGTGTCAAGAAACATGTGTGCCTGAGAAACTTTCTGGACAGCATATACTAATTTGCTTGATGTGGAAATCTCCATTAAAAAGCCATGTGTTAATAAGACATCACAGTATCTTCAGATCAAAAGGGAGGTTGTAATATTAGTTTAAATTATTCATGGCAAACCGAATGTCCTGGACACTAATTAGTTTAGGAAAGGACATGTGATTAATACTGACCAGTGATAAAGTAGTTGGGATCTACTAAAGTTGGAGGTTTCCATTCGTATAAAAGTAGTCAAGAAGAAACATCCCCTCTTCATTCATCGGATATTGTTGGCTCTATATGTGTGATCATGCTGAGGTCTACATGCTTAGGCTGACAAAACAAACAAAAAAGATAAAAGAAACATGAGCCTTTGATCCTGACAATGGCCATAAATTAACCAACATTTTAATCTGCCTGACATTTTGATTTCTTGTTTCCTGAGATAATATATCCATTATTGTTTACGCCATTTGATTTATAATTTCTATGACTTGCAACTGAGATTATTTTCAATAGTATAGCAAGTGTGGAAAAGTTGTTTCAGTGTTTCATTTATCTTCAGTATCTAGCCTAGGATATAACATCAAAAATGCTCAACAGATGTATGCAAAGTAACCAATAAATGAAATATTTTCACATTCAAACCTAAACAATGACCCTGTTTTATTAATAGATACATGGGAAGAGGTACATTTTTCTTTTTGTCCCCAGAAAGACTCAATCCACAGGGAATAAAAAAGGATGGCTTATTCCATTTAGTGTCCCTAAGATTAAATACTTTTCTAGTATAGAGATGATTGAAAAAAATCATCTCTACATTATTCACAATTCATGTGTAATGCTATTTTTAGAGTGATTATTAATGAAGATGACATAAGATTTTATCTAAGGATTTGCATAACATTAGATTTAATTCCTGATGATAGTGAAGATTGGTTTTTCAGATTTTTAAGAGATTTTCTAAAAATATAAAATGCAATAAAAGCTCACATTTCTAACTGAATTTTATTTTGCAGTGAAAAATAGAACTTATGCACTTCTTGGATAATTCTCTTGGATGGCCTTCTATTAATTTTCTGGTAGGTGACCAATCTTAAGAAATATTGGAGAAAACACAAAGAAATAAGAACTTTTTAAGACTACATTGGAAGTTAATCTTGTTCTTGCTTACTGCAGGATGATCAGCGTGTGTTTTTCTCAGATAAATTAGATGAAGATTTACTCTAAATTCAAAAACCATCATTCAATCTACTGTTTAAATGAAATGCAAAGGAAAGCAGAAAAAAAACTTAAGACAGCACTCAACATATGCCCCCCAAAAAGTCTTTTCACACACAAAAAATTAGAAGAATGGGCCTATCCTAACATAACAATGTTCAATGTCATTGACTGAGTTCAATGACAGAAGATGCCCATGGTATTAGAAAAAAATGTTTCGGCATTTAATGATTCAGTTCTACATTTATTCAGAAGTATAAAAGCACTAGAGATGAAACCTGTTTCATACTAAAATTAGTAATGGCATGTATTAAGTGCCAACACCCTGTCAAATTTGGCAATGCCCCTTATACTGAATGAATGTAGCTTGTTTCTTGGATGCATTTCATGTGTGTTGTTTTGGATGTCATATTAATCTTCCCAGAAGTACTTGGAAAGAGGTAATTTTGTATGATTAGGAGATAACATGAACATCAGAAGAATGATTTTTCAGATTTTTTTTTGCTGTTGTTCTAAGTGTGAATTAGGCATTAAGTTTTAAATGCATTCTTGTTTAAAAATTGAGTATCTTCTATGAGAAACAACAACTACAAAAATTATCATCTTTTCTATAAGAAAATTCATTTCTAAACTTGAACAGTTCAAGTTATTAACAGGCCTTAAAAAAATTAACTATTTGTAAAGCTTTGTGGATCATCTTTTGTTAGAAATGAAGGATACTAATATCTTATGTATCTTTTTTTGTTGTTTTCAAAAATAATCTAATAATGTTTTCTTGAATTCTGCTAAAGCACTCTGTCTCTCTCTATCTCTTCTGTTAAGGTAATATATAGTTAACAAGGTATTAACTGAGTTATCATAAAATGAATAGGATACACCATAGATGACGTTTTTACCTGTTTTCTGTTTTGCTTTGTTGTTAAAGAATGACTTGTGATTTCTGATTGCTAAGTCAATTTAAAATGAGTAGATATTGGCTTATCATACTGGCATTGCTTACATATCTACACATTATCATCACCAGTTATCAGTTCCAACTGGCTGCTGGAAATTTTTATTTTTAATTGTAATCATTATATCAAATGTAATTTTAAGCAATGAAAGGTGAAAAAATGTTACATATGGGACACCAGGAAACATGTTATCAATAAAAAGAGTATAGTTTGCCTTTAGGTTAAATGAACTGTGATCTTAAATATAATAATTTAGAAATAATTTATATCTAAAATATTTTCTCACTCATAAAATAAATAAAATGTAAAATTTTATACATATAGCAACTTTACACCATTTTTTTTTCATTGTCCATTTGGAATGAAAATACTTAGAAGCTGAAATAATTGAATTAATCAAATTTCTTTCTACTTGATCCTATGTAATGATCTGAAATTTAATTTTAAAATTATAAAGCTATATCACTGCACATCACATAGACAGTAAATAGTAATAAGGTAAGCCTTACTGAAAATAAATTTAAAAACTGGATGCAATGTACATATATCTTAAAAATACAATTTACCAAAACTGACACAAGATGAAATAGAAAACCAGAATAGTTCTATATGCATAGCAATTTGAATTAATTATCAAAATGCTTTCCACACAGAAAATTCCAGGCCCAGATGCTTTCACTGATTAAGTCTAATAAACATTTAAGGAAGAAGTTTTACCAATTGTACATAATGTTTTTCAGAAAACAGACCACCAGAGCCCAATATTAAAACTTGACAAAGGCCAGGTGTGGTGGCTCACGCCTATAATCTCAGAACTTTGGGAGGCCCAGGAGGGTGGATCACCTGAGATCAGGAGTTTGAGACCAGCTTAGCCAACATGGTGAAACCCTGTCTCTACTAAAAACATAAAAAAATGGGTGTGATGGCGGACGCCTGTAATCCCAGCTACTCGGGAGGCTGAGGCAGGATTATTGCTTGAACCCGGGAGGCGGCGATTGCAGTGAGCTGAGATTGCACCACTGCCCTCCAGCCTGGGCAATGAGAGCGAAACTCTGTCTCAAAAACAAACAAAACAAAGAAACAAACAAACAACTTGACAAAGACATTGCAAGTTTAAGAGTATGCAAAAAAAAGTAGAGGGGAGCAATTAAAAACACTTTATTTTGTTGTGAAAATACTAACTAAAATCAAGTTTTACTAAAAATACGCTTCCTTGTTGTGTGGTATAAATTCAAATTATTTTTAAGATCTTCTGGCATTCTATTATTTAATTTTTGTGAAACTGATGAAGAAAAATGAAAATTTTGATAGCCCTGTACAAAAATATGAATTATTTGTATTTTTAATTCTGCTGCTGCTGTTTTAAATGAGCCCTGATCATTTGCAATTCTAGTCTTACAAAAATGCACAAAAGACACATAAGCCAATTATCACAAAATATCATCTTTTTTTTCTGTTTTAAAGTGTATAATCATTCTCTACTTATCTGGAAGTTAAATTGCTGATCACTTTCACCATTGTGAAAATAATTTTCTCCTTGAAATATCTGAAAACCTTTTGTAGTAGAAAGTATGTAGGACATTTAATGTGGGTAAGAGCTAAGGAAAGCTTCCTAGAATACCATCTTCATAGTATGTAAATTGTTGTGGTGACAAAAGAAATGTTTATTTTATATGTTATTTAATAAATATATTGAGTACCTACTCTATTCTACAAACATAAGTTTGGGGAATAATTGGTATAGACAAGGATATCAGTATGTTTGCTTAAGACTTCTAGATCTTTTTCTATGCTCTTGTGCATTGTGAATCACCAAGACGGTTATTAGATAGGCACCTATGGACAATATATGATCATGCAATTTCAATGCACAAAATTTTCCAGCTAAGATTGTATGTGGAAGCTAAAATTCAACTTTGTTGTACTTACCAATCTATATGCTGTGCCCTATCGAAAAAGGGACAACTATAAGCTAAAATTCAACTTTGTTGTACTTACTAATCTATATGCTGTACCCTATTGGAAAAGGGACAACTATTTCTAACTAGTTTAAAGTCACTTGCTTTGCCTGACTAGACTGGGGACATTTTTCTAATTGGCTTATCCTGAGCTATTATTTTTACCCATTTGGAACTTAGTAAGGCAAACATTAAAAATCAGAAAAACATATTTATGTGACAATCTTTAGCATGGCAAATAAATAAAGTATTTGGTTTTTAATTCAGTCATCATTAATGTGTGTATGTGTGTGAATGTGCTTCCATGTATACATTTATTTGTTTTATTAACATTAACTATCATAATGGTACTTGGGATAGTAATTTATTAAAATCAACTCAAATATTATTTGTATTAATCCTTAGATTGAAAGTATCCTCAACTCTTATTAGGTACTGATGTGATTTGGCTGTGCCCCCACCAAAATCTCATCTTGAACTGTAGCTGCCATAATCCCCACGTGTCATAAGAGGAACCTGAAGGGAGGTGGTTCTATCATGGGGGTGGGTTTTTTTCCCACACTGGTCTTGTGAGATTGAAAGAGTCTCATGAGATCTGATGGTTTTATAAAAGGGCGGTTCCCCTGCACATGCTGTCTTGCCTGCCTCATGTAAGATGTGCCTTTGTTTCTCCTTTGCCTTCTGCCATGATTGTGAGGCCTCTTCAGCCGTGTGAAACTGTGAGGCCATTAAACCTCTTTCCTTTATAAATTGCCCAGTCTCTGGTATGTCTTTATTAGCAGCAGGAGAAAAGACTAATACAGGTACCATATTGTATTTATATTAATTTTTAATTCTCTAAGATTGCAGGTAATTTTACAAACAGATTAAGTGTTCATTTAAGCTGCATTAAAGGCATTCCATATTAATCTTATGTTCTATTGGGTGGTAGCTAAAAGACAATAGCTTTTTCCATTATACCCCTTTGTTCAAAATTTCCCCATGCTTACTGAAAGCTTCAAATTTTTAACAAATGTTGAGTTTTTTCCACCACATTCTGGACCCAACTTTCTCAATTATTCTTAAGTCTCCTGTCTTTAACACACTTAGAACAAATTTTATGTATTTGTGTATACACATGCACACACATTTTATATATACCTAGCTGATAATAATTTATATTGTGTCTGGATTACCGTTCTATCATCTATCTATCTATCTATCTATCTATCTATACCTTTCATATTATTCTTTTAAGATTTCATAAAAAATTTTCTACTACAAACCCTATTCATCTCACGTTACTCAAACTTTATGATTTTTTAGTGCTAAATGATATGCTATCTTATTGAGGTAATTATCGTATAATTATATATAATACTTCTATAATATTATATAATTAATATAAGTATGATCACTTTGCAATTAAAATGTCCTGGCATTGAAATATTTTACTAGGACAGAGGGTATCCACATAAGGATATCCAAAATGTGTGTAACATGTAAAGAGTAACAATTCAAAAAGCACTCATGTAGCCACAAATTTTTTTAACAGAACAGACATTTATCTTGGAAGTCCACTAGTAGCCTTACCTATGTGTAACAAGAGGTAAATACTCTCACAAATTTTGTATTTTTAATTCTCTTTTCTCATTTTATAGCCCCACCCCAGCTATACTGTTCCCAATCATAGAAGAAAAGCATTTGGTATTTCCCCATTAAGTATGTTTTTCGTGCTGCAGGATTTTCCTTGTGGGGGAGTTGTTTTGTTTTGTTTAGTAGATGCCCTTTATCAGGTTGAAGTTTACTTCAATTATTTTGTCAATGTTTCTTTTTTCTTACTGTTTTAAAATTTAAAATTCTCTCCATTGTGGATACCTAAGTTGAGACTTATCAAGAAAGATGCTGGAATTAGTCAAATGATTTTTCTATGTCTATTGAAAGGATTATATGGTTTTCCCTTCTTATTTTATTAATCTAGTGAATTACATTAAGTTTCAACTGTGAAATCTGAGTTAGATTCTAATAAACTTTATTAAAATAGAATTTACATACAAAATATGCATTCACTTTAGGTGAGCAGTTAAATGAATTCTCCCCCTTTTTAGGTACAATCCCAATCGAGTTTTAGAATATTTAATTTCCCCCAAAGTTCATTCTAGATCCATTACAGTTAACTCTGTACACAGAAAACTCCTTCCCAGATCAGCTTCTGTTATGATTTCTATTACTATAAACTAATTTAATCTGTCCTAGAAATTCACTTAATTGGAATTATACAACTAATAGTCTTTTGTGTCTGATTTATTTCACTCCATATAATATTTTAGAATGTTTTAATGTTGTTTTGGTCATCTGTAATTCATTCATTTTATTGTGAATATCATTTTTTGAGTACTGCAATTTGTTTAACATTTTACCTGCTGATGGCCACTTGCATTGTTTCCATTTGCGGACAATAATGATCAAAATTGTTATACACACTGCTATGCAAGTCTTTGCATGGATATATATCTTCATTTATCTTGGGCCAACACCTGAGAGTAAAATTTCTGAATTATATGTGGTCTGAGCATAAAGTAGATGTTAATCTTTGTTATAAGCTGCTAAGCTGTTTTTCAAAGTGTTTATCATTTAATTTTTTCCCCAGCAATGTATAAAATTCTAATTGTTCCACTTCTCCCTTAGATATTGCCAATCATTTTAATTCCTAGACATTCTAATGAGTATGTACAACTATCTCATGGTTTTAATTTTGATTTATCTGATGTCTAGCAATGTTAAACATCTTCACATGTATTTATTGGCTGAATTATACATATACTAATTTCTGAATTATCTGTTTAAATATTGTGTCTCTTATCCCAGTGGGGGATTTATCCCTCTGCTATTTAGTATGAAGTGTTCTATA